>NC_000010.11:107870368-109120368 GCF_000001405.40 Homo sapiens
TGCCTAACTTATGAACCTTACCTGCCTGACATTTGTGGCTTCATAGACTATGAATATTATTTAACTCTTAATATCTACACCTTTAACTATCATTGTAATTAACAACTATAGTAGAGCTTTGAGAATAGCCAAACATACCTTCTTGTCAAATCCACTCATCCTCCAAAGATTCAAAAATACTAGAGCTATTAAAGGTCTGTCCAATTGCTCATGTAGAATCCACATGGGAATTCCATTTCATTTCCCCCCAACACTGGAAACTTACCAGTTGTTGAACAAGACTGAAATCTTGCTTAAGATTGGTGATTACAATCTCAGTTCCATTTAAATAACGTCACAATTTTATACTCTGAATCAATCTAATAAAAGATGGCTGATAATTGTTGGAAGTAAGAATTCTTAGTGCTACACACTAATTCTTGGTCTTGTACATAACACTTTAAGAGAAAGTTAAAGTGGTGAGACAAAGTAATAGAATCTACTAATCTGGATTTATTAATATTTTATGATACTAGCCATTTGGCCATTTTTCCAAATACTTTAAAAATTATTTATACAGAAGTAAGGAAGGGGGCCGGGTGCAGTGGCTCACACCTGTAATCCCAGCACTCTGGGAGGCCGAGGCCAGTAGATCACCTGAGGTCAGGAATTCAAGAACAGCCTGACCAACATGGTGAAACAACATCTCTTCTAAAAATACAAAATTTAGCTGGGCGTGGTGGCATGCACCTGTAATCCCAGCTCCTCAAGAGGCTGAGGCAGAAGAATCACTTGAACCCCGGAGGTGGAGGCTGCAATGAGCTGAGATTGTGCCACTGCACTCCAGCCTGGGTGACAGAGCAAGACTCTGTCTCAAAAAACAAACAAACAAAAAAAAAAACGGGCTGGGCACGGTGGCTCATGCCTGTAATCCCAGCACTTTGGGAGGCCAAGTTGGGCAGATCACAAGGTCAGGAGATCAAAACCATCCTGGCTAACATGGTGAAACCCCGTCTCTACTAAAATATACCAAAAATTTGGGCATGGTGGTGGGCAGGCGCTCCCAGCCACTCCGTAGGCTGAGGCAGGAGAATGGCGTGAACCCGGGAGGTGGAGCTTGCAGTGAGCCCAGATCGCGCCACTGCACTCCAACCTGGGGGACAGAGCAAGACTCCGTCTCAAAAAAAAAAAAAAAAAAAAAAAAAAAAAAAAATTCCTGAATCATCTCTTTGAGATCTCGAGTATTACAATTTTATTGTGATTTTCAGTCATCATTGGTTTGTCTCACCCAGATTGGTGGGGACCAGTTTGCTCCAGGTTTGCTGCAGCTATAGAATCCCGTGACTCCTGACAAAATCGTGGTCACAGATGAGATTTCTTCCCACATCAGGTTCCCAGATCTCTGCCTACAAAGTGTGGTCAAAGCAAGAGTAGTAGGAGTTTGTCTTTTTCCCTTTCTACATTTGAATTAGCAGGAAAAAAACGTCAACTAGTTCTTGTTCACACACATACATCAATGTGGTTTTTTTTTTTTTTTTGGCGGGGGTATGAGTACTCATGTTTTCTGACCCCTTCCCTCTCAGATGGTCATTTTTTTTTCCTTTTTCTATTTCATGTGTCATAAAGAGGAGAATCAGAGGGTGAGAATCAGAGGGTAAGAACACAGGCATAAGGCTTAGATAAGCTTATTATTTGAGCTGGCCTCACAGCCAGGTAAGTCCACAGTTCTCACTAGAGTGATGTCTGTTTAGACAAACTTTGCTGTAGGGTCTCTGAGACCACAAAAAAAGTGTGAGGTTCTCCTTTTATCTTGTTTTATGTCCTGAGAATCTGGCTATTTGACCAGTGAGAACACTGTCTTTGGTCTCTGCCAGCTGGCAGGCAAGTGTGCCGGCTTGCGTCGGACAGCCAGTTGAATAGGCTAGAAGCTGCAGACACAAAGTCACAACCAGCAGTATCTGTTTAATCCTGATAGTTCTCAAGTGAGTTTGTCTTAATGAGAGGTTCCAATCCATAAGGGCCTTTGTTGTCTCAACCTTCAATTTCTTGGTAAGCACTGAGAAAGTCCAGTCTCAGTAGTGCCTTATTGGTGTCACCAATGACACATAATGGTTCAGTGACTGGAGGCACCCCAATTTTCTGCGGGAGACCAGAGACACCGTTTTCACAAGTACTGTTCTTACCACCTCTGGCAATGAAACTCTTTGCTTTCTTAGTTTATCTCTGACAGTTAACTTTTTAGATCATGGGGACTGCATTTTCGGTATCCACTTTAGGAACACCATTTCCATCATGGTATTCTAAACCTGAAAAGTCTTTTCATGAAAAGTCTTACGGCTTTGAGTTGCTTCTAGAATAAATAAATTGGTTAAATTTGAAAAAAGTTTGAGAGAGCTCTCATCCTAAACAACTGTCTTATTGGTGCATATGGAAAAATCAAACTGAAAAGAAGACACAAAGAACCGTAACAGATTGCCTTGGAGACTTCCTTAGCAATATTAAAAAGGAGAAATCAGATTTAGAACAAAGTTAAAATTCTTTAAACTGACCATAAATTCCCTTGTCTGCCCTCATTACTTCCCTATGTCCATGTCCCCGACCCTCTAAAAGCTCATTTGATCTTTGGGTCTCTAATTAAAACCCATCTTCTGCAAATTCATCTCAATTTCCTCAGTAAACTCCTTTAGCTCAGGAGAGAAACATTTGTAAGAATTTATTTGAATTATGACTCTTGGCTTTGGAGTACCCATTTGTTACTCATTCTCTTTCTCCAAAGGAGAGCTGAGATCTTGGCTTGGCCTTCCGCCTGCCAGGGGTATGTAGGTTGGGAGCTCCCAAGAATATGGTCAGAAAGAAATGTTGGTTGCACCCCATTTGCACGTAGTATACCAACTGTTGCCAACTCACAGAGACACTGTCTTTCTTCTGTATGTGTTTGGAGTGACTAACTCTTGGAAGAAATGTATCATTTTACTTTTGCATTGAAGATGGGTGCGTCTGTGGTTCAGCACCCATAAAAGGCTTATTAGTTTTAGAATTGAGTCACCTGTTAGGTATAACTTTGTTTTAGAACTTTGGTTTATATTCAGAGTGTAACAGAATTTAGGCTTTCTCTCCAAAGCTAAAATGGAACTATATGCATAGAAAGGAAAAAAAACAGTTTACTATAACATTTCAAAGAGGAACAGTTCTAAATATAGAATAAAGGAATCTTTTGATTTCCATCTTAGTGGGAAATCTTCTCCCTGATGTAAAGGAGCAAGTTGAAGATAATGCAGGATGGATGAGTCAAACCCTTGATATTATTTAGGTTGCAACCCAATTCTTTGAAGAATTAAAAACAACTGTCCTTGTTTTACAAATTGAGTCTTTACAAAGATAGAAGTGTGCCTCTAGAAGAAATTCAAACTCACCTATCCTTCTTACTAATTCCCAAACCTCATCTATGTATCTCAAGATGCTTGTAGATACTTTAGAAAATCAAGACATTGAAAATGGAACTGTCCTGCAATTAAGAAGGAAAAGTTTAAATAGTAATTACCCTAGACATCTGATAATAGGCAAATATGCTTCCAAAAACTGCTTGGTAAATGTGCATTCTTCCTCTGTGCCCTTGAGATGTCTTACCCAAGAACCATTACTTTTGAAATGCAAATTTAAGAAATAATTCTCAGATAAAAACAAAAGAAAGAAAATAAAAAAACAAAGGAAGGAAGAAGGAAGGAGGGAAGGAGAAGACTATTTGGAAACCAGCAAATGGAAACTCTTAAAAGCTTTAACCATCTGAGCAGGTAACCTTACTTTGTTCAATATGCCATATTCACTAAGTTTTGAATTACTATAGCTGACATGGGGCTAAAGTTTAGAGTGAAAGCGGAGTTATCTGTTCTGTCTGTGTTTATGGATGGCTACATATATACATATGTTATATAATATGATATTTTTCTACCTCCAAATGACCTCTACTTAATTGACTTAAGGAAAAATAAGGGTTTAAAAAATTGTTAGCTTAGTAAACTTTGGTCAATAAGGATGTCATTGGCTTAATTAAAACAACATGTCTTTAGAGTTGTTAGCATTAAATATAATGTAGATACACAACTTTTATTTTCATTAGATGTTTAAAATCCTAAGATAATTGGTTCAACCTAAGAACAAATGCACATGAGAAAGTGCAATGTCCATTACTTTATGTATATAAAGCACAGCCAAAAAACAAAAGCCCAATTATTTAACTTTTTACATTCTTGATTTTGTGATACTTGCCTAAATGCAGGTGCTATAAAAATAGTCGACAGGGAAATACTTGATATATTAGACAAAGCTAGTCATCTCATTTAAATTTCATAAGTAATCTAAGCATAATTGCAAGGAACAAGTGAATGAAATAGATATAAGTAGAATAAATGTTTATAAGCTTTTAGACAATAATCATGTTATGTCTACTTAAAATGGTTTCCCAATCTCTTTGGTAACTATACCCTTAGGTGATGGATATTAATTAAATGTGTATGTCATTTCCAAATAAAATAAAACACTGAAATATTAATTGCTGAATACAAGTTTCAGTTTATTTTGGCTTGTTAGTTTATAAAAAGAAAAAAATAGTTGAGTCTCTCAGTAAACATGCTCTGTTTCATATTAAAAAATTGTTCTGAGGAAGCATGTGTTCCTAGAAATTATAAAATGTGTATTCAGACCATTTAAAATTTCTTATTCCTAGGTTTTCACAGGAAAATGGGTTACTAAGACTTAACATTCTAATATGTAAATCAAACTCCTAGTAATAAGGAAAACAAGTGTATACAAAATGTACAAGGAAAGTAAGATGTTGTAAGGTATGAGGATGAGATTTTTTGCTGAGAAAAAAATTTCTGTCTAGGTAAGAGATTTTGAAAGGTTGTTTAAGAATGAATAAGGAAGAATGAATAAAAACTGAATGGATATAGAAAGTCTGAAGGGGTGACAAAGGGAAAGAGAAATTTGAGTGGTCAAACTGACTAAAATGGAATGAATTTATTATGTTTTTAAAAAATAGCAATTAAGGCTACTTTTATTACTTTGATATTAAATCAAAGTATAGAGATGTAAAACTAGAATTTGTCATCCCTTTTAAAAGCAAGATGTTCTTGGAATATTGGTAAAATATAGCAAGTAAAATTTCTTTACCTTTTGATTGTTCTTAAGGAGGGTGGGGAAGATTGTGTTTTGTCAAAATAACTGTTTCATGTTTTAATTATTATATCTTTGATTACTTGACAATCAAATATTCTCAATATTAAAAGAGCTAAGGTTTTTTTCTACAACTATGTTAATTTTCTCCATTTGCCTTTGAAATCTTGTGTCATTTTGATTTAATTTCATTTTATCTACAACTACGTTAATTTTCTGTATTTGCCTTTGAAATCTTGTGTCTCTTTGATTTTATTTCAAAGTGTTCTGTGGTCTTTTCATCAAATACTTTAAACCTTTTGATATTTTTGAGAAACTCCCAGTAATTCACTTTTAAATTAAGTCTTTTTTGACCTTGAATTAGTTTGAGATTTTCTAAACAGGCTTCTGAGATTTGTCAAGATAATTTTTTTCTTTTCTTGTAAAAGAGACATGTTAGGCTAATTAGGTTTATTTGATATGTTAAATTATATGGGAGGCATTGTCAAGTAAGAAATGATGTTTAACTGATATTATATTTAGAAAACACCATCCTCTCAGCCCTAAGGCTTAAGCTGGTAAGCAACTTCAGCAAAGTCTCAGGATATAAAATCAATGTGCGAAAATCACAAGCATTCATTTACACCAACAATAGACAAGCTGAGAACCCAACCATGCATGACCTCCCATTCACAGTTGCTACAAAGAGAATAAAATACCCAGGAATATGGCTAACGAGGGAAGTAAAGGACTTCTTCAGAGAGAACTACAAACCACTGCTCAAGGAAATCAGAGAGGACACAAATAGAAAAACATTCCATCCTCATGGATAGAAAGAATCAATACTGCGAAAATGGCCATATTGGCCAAAGTAATTTACAGATTCAATGCTACTCCCATTAAACTACCATTGACATTCTTCAAAGAATTAGAAAAAACTATTTTAAAATTCATATGGAACCAAAAAGGAGCCTGTATAGCCAAGACAATCCTAAGCAAAAAGAACAAAGCTGGAGGCATCAGCTACCTGACTTCAAACTATACTACAAGGCTACAGTAACCAAAACAGCATAGTACTGGTACAGAAACAGACACATAGACCAATGGAACAGGATAGAGAACTCAGAAATAGGAACACACATCCACAACCATCTGATCTTCAACAAACCAGACAAAAACAAGCAATGGAGAAAGGATTCCCTATTTAATACATGGAACTGGGAGAAGTGACTGGCCATGTGAAGAAAATTGAAACTGGACCCCTTCCTTATACTGCATAAAAAATTAACTCAAGATGGATTAAAGACTTAGATGTAAAACCCCAAACTAAAAACTCTAGAAGAAAATCTAGGAAATACCATTCAGCACATAGGCACAAACCAAGATTTCATGACAAAAACATCAAAAGCAATTGCAGCAAAAGAAAAAATTGACAAATGGGATCTAATTAAACTAAAGAGCTTCTTCACAGCAAAATAAACTGTCATCATAGAGAACAGAAAACCTACAGAATGGGAGAATATTTTTCCAATCTATCCATCTGACAAAGGTCTAATATCCAGAATCTACAAGAAACTTAAACAAATTTACAAAAAAAAACTAGCAACCCCATTAAAAAGTGGGCAAAGGACATGAACAGACATTTCTCAAAAGACGACATTTATGCCACCAACAAACATGAAAAAAAGCTTGACATGATGGATCATTAGAAATGCAAATCAAAACCACAATGAGATACCATCTCACACCAGTTAGAATGGTGATTGTTGTTTGTTGTTTTTTTTTTTTTTTTTTGAGACAGACTCTTGCTCTGCTACCAGGTTGGAGTGTAGTGGTGCAGTCTCAGCTCACTGCGACCCTCCACCTCCCAGGTTCAAGCAATTCTCCTGCCTCAGCCTCCCAAGTAGCTTGGACTACTTGGAGCTCACCACCATGCGCTCAGCTAATTTTTGTATTTTTAGTAGAGATGGGGTTTCACCATGTTGGCCGGGATGGTCTCTATCTCTTCACCTCGTGATCCACCTGCCTCCGCCTCCCAAAGTGCTGGGATTACAAACAGGCGTGAGCCACCATGCCGGGCCGGTGATTATTAAAAAGTCAAGAAACAACAGATGCTGGAGAGTCTGTGGAAAAACAGGAATGCTTTTACACTGTGGCTGGGAATGTAAATTAGTTCAACCATTGTGGAAGACAGTGTGGCGATTCCTCAAAGACCTAGGAACCAGAAATACCATTTGACCTATCAATCTCATTACTGGGTGTATATATACCCAAAGAAATACAAATAATTCTATTATAAAGATACATGCACATGTGTGTTCATTGTGGAATTATTCACAACAGCAAAGACATGGAATCAATGCCCATCAATGATAAGACTGGATAAAGAAAATGTGGTACATATACACCATGGAATACTGTGCAGCCATGAAAAAGAATGAGGTTATATCTTTGCAGGGACATGGATATAGCTGGAAGCCATTATTCTCAGCAAACTAATGCAGGAACAGAAAACCAAACACATGTTCTCATTCATAACTGGGAGCTGAACAGTGAGAACCCATGGTCACCGGGAGGAGAACAACACACACTGGGGCCTATCGGTGGGAGGGGGTAGGCGGATGGAGAACATCAGGAAACATAGGTAATGCATGCTGGGCTTAATAACTAGGTGATGGGTTGATAGGTACAGGAAACCACCTATGGCACACATTTACCTATGTAACAAACCTACACATCCTGCACATGTACCCCAGAATTTAAAGTAATAGAAAATTAAAACTGGAAAAAAATGATATTTAACCTTGAGTTATATGTATATACATTATTAATACGTGTTCCAGACATTTTGTAAAATTCCTAGAAAACTGATAAGTCCTGGTAAATCAGTCATAATCCCAGTTATTTTTAAATATTATGTTTCAGAGATAACCAAATTTTATTGTCAATTACATTTTAATAAACTCTCATCAGATCTTTAATCATGTCTATTTTTAAGTCTTTTGTCATCTACAGACATTAAGTATGTAAAATCCAAAAGTGCTTTATCTTCAAGAAAATTCATGGAAATGACTGACAAGTACAGACTCCTGATAACTTTAAGATCATACCATTGGACTGGGTATGACCATCCAGTGCTCTAGTGAAGATATGGACAGGTTAATGAAGCTGTTAACCCATCAAGTAGAGCAAGAGTTACATGGGTCTCAATGGATGGATGGTGATAATTGTTTAATGACTGTTTTTTTTGAAACATTGCTTGTTCTTTAAATGTTTATTTTTCCAGATTTAAGAAAACCCTCTTTTTCTTTTAAGCTATCTATACCATATAGCAATTTGGTAAAGTACAATTTTGTGTATAAAAATGCAAACATTTACTTTTCCCCCAACTTGATCTCTCCAGAATTTGGACACTCTTCATGAATATTCCTTTTTTTCTTCCCCCAATGGCAATATAGACATTTGCATAAGCTTAATAAAAAAAAAAAAACTTGTTCTTCTTGTAACAAAACACAATTGGAAACAGTGGTTATGCTACCAAGGCTTTGACTGTGATGTCTTACTTTCTGATATGAACAAACAACTTTAAGGAACTAGGGTTGACTTCATGGGGCCAATAAAGCCTATGGGAAATAAATGGTGTGGTACCTGGAATACATGGTTCACATGGTTGCTTGAGAGACGGGAAAGGAATGTCACTTTCTCGCAGGCCCAGGAACCTCAAGATACTTGAGGAACTACAAAGAGAGGAATTCACCCCTATCTATAGGTATTACAGGCACGGTTTGATGGTGAGTCCTTGGTTTGGCTTTTTAGTTCTGAGAAGCTTTTAAAAGCCCAGTCTGAAATTTCTTACTAAAAGTTCTAGCAAAGCAGACTTAGAGCCTAGAAAGAGGCAGAACAAGGTGACTGAATAGAACCCTGCAGTGATCATACCCTTGCAGAAGCACCAAAGTTAACAACTATCCACACAAGAAAGCATCTTCATAGGAACTAAAAAATCAGGTGAACAATCACAGAACTTGGATTTAACGTCATAGCAAGGAAAGAGGTGCTGAAGAGGGTAGGAAAGACAGTCTTTAATTGTCAACACCACTCTTTCCCCATCCCCTAGCAGTGCAGCATGGCATGGAGAGAGAATCTGTGCACTTGGGGGAGGGAGAGCAAAGTGTCTATGGGATTTTGCATTGGAACTCAATGCTACCCTGTCACAGTGGAAAACATCACAGGGCAGAATTGGGCTGCAGCCATGGAGGGAATATGTAGGCCAGCACTAACCAGAGAGGAATCATCCATCCCAGTGATCAAAACCTGAGTTTTAGCATGCCCCACTAGCGTGGACTAAAGTGCTCTAAGGTCTTAAATAGGCCTGAAAAACAGTGCAGACCACAAGGCCAGAAATTCCTGGGCAAGTTTTGGTGCTGTGCTGTACTCAGAGCCAGTTGACCTGGGGTACATAAGACCCAGTGAAACAACTACTGAGGTGACTAAGGAAGAGTTGTAATAGCCCTCCCTCCAATACCAGGTAACATAGCTCACAGCTCCAGGAGGGAGTCCTTCTGCTTGAGGAAAGGAGAGGAAGGAGTAAAGAGGACTTATTCCTGCAACTTGGATACCAGCTCAGCCACAGTCAAAGCACCAAGCAGGGTTCTAAAGTTGCCATTCCAGGCCACAGCTCCTGGACAACATTTCTGGACCCATCTTGGCCAAAAGAGAACCCACTGCCCTGAAGATAAGGACACAGTCCTGCCAGAATTTACTACCCGCTGACTAAAGAGCCCTTAGGCATTAAATAAATGGCAGTAATAGACAAGCAGCAGTTGCCACAGGCCTAGGGCAAGTCCCAGCATTGTGCTGGCGTCAGGTGTGACCTAGCACATTCCCAGGTGTGGTGGCCCTGGGGAGAGACTCCTGGCTTGATGAAAGGAGAGTATGAAAGACATTGTCTTGCAACTTGGGTACCAGCTGAGCCACAGTAAAATAAAGCAACAAGCAGACTCCTAAAGTCCCAAGTTTCAGGCCTTAGCTCATTGGAGGGCATTTCTTGACCTACCCTGAGCCAGAAGGGAACTCATGCCCTGAATGGGGTGAACCAGGCCTAGAAGGACTTACACTTGCTGATTAAGGGGTGCTTGGGCCTTGAAAAAAAAAAAAACCCAGCAGTACTCTGATTGTAGTGGCTCTGGGCCTTGAGCAGTGGTAATCATGAGCAGTGACTTCTGCTTGAGGAAGGGAGAGGGAAAAATAAAGAGGACTTTGTCTTGCAACCTACCAGCTCTGCCTCAGTAAAATAAAGCACACAACAGGTTCCTAAAGCCCCCGATCCTGGCCCTAAGCTCCTGGATGCCATTTCTAGACCTACCCTGGGCCAGAAGGGAACTGGCTGCACTAAAAAGAAAGACCCAGTGCTGGCAAGATACATTATTTCCTGTCTACAGAGTCCTTGGGTCTTGGAGTAACACAAGTGGCAGCCAAGAAGTAAGCATGCCAGGCCTGGGGCAAGGACCAGTACTGTGCCAACTTCAGGTGTTACCCAGCACAGTCCCAGTAAGTAGTGGCCACAGGAATGCTTGTGTCACCCTTCCCTCAACTCCAGGCAACTCAGCACAGAAAAGAGAGACTCTGTTTGGGTGGAAAATAAGGGAGAAGAACAAGAGAGAGACTCTTCCTGGAAATCCAGGGAATTCTCCACAATCTTACCCAAGGCCACTAAGGCAATAATTCTACAAGTCTGTAAAAGTTACAGCATTATGGGGCCTGCAGTGCCCTCGAATGCACAAATGGGTGCAGTGACCACAGATTTAGATCACAACACTCAATTCCCTTTAATACTTGGAAAGCCTACTCAAGAAGGATGGGTATAAATAAGCCCAGACTGCAAAGACCACAATAAATACATGATTTGCAGTCCCAGATATCAGTGAACATACACAAACATCAAGACCATACAGGAAAACAAGACCTCACTAAATGAACTAAATGAGACACTGATGATCAATTCCAGAGTAACAGAAGTACATGAGTTTTCAGACAGATAATTTAAAGTAGCTTTATTGAGGAATTCCAATAAAATCCAAGATAACACAGAAGGAATTCAGAATCATGAGATAAAGAGTGAAATAATAATAATTAAGCAGAAAATCTGGAGCTGAAAAATTCAATTGACAAACTGAAGAATACATCAGTCTCTCAACAGCAGAACTGAACGAGTGGAATAGTGAGCTTGAAGACAAGCTATTTGAAAGTAGAAAGTCAGAATAGATAAAAGAAAAAATAAAAATTAATAAACCATGTGTATAAGATCTAGAGAATAGCCTCAAAAGGGCACATCTAAGAGTTATTGGCCTTAAAGAGCAGGTAAAGACTGAGGTAGAAATTTTATACAAAAGGATAATAACAGAACTTTCCAAACCTAGAGAAAGATATCAATATTCAAGTACAAAATAATTATGTAACATCATGGAGATTTAAGCCAAATAGACTACGTCAGGACATTTAATAATCAGACTATCAAGGTTAAAGAAAGAATCCTAAAAACAGCAAGAGAAAAGGAAAAAAACACATAAAGGAGCTCCAATATGTCTGGCAGCAGATTTTTCACTGGATATTTTACAGTCCAGGGGAAAGTAGCATGATATATTTAAAATGCTGAAGGAAAATATATTTATCCTTGAATATTATATACAGTGAAAATATCCTTCAAACATGAAAGATTTTCCCAAACAAAAGCTGAGGAATTTTGTCAATACCAGACCTATCCTACAAGAATATTAGAGGTAGTTAATCAGAAAGAAAAGGACATTAAAAACCAATAAGATGTCATCTGAAGGTACAAAACTCACAGGTAAAAGTACACATACAAATACAGAATATTTTAACACTGTAATTGTGGTTTGTAAACTACCCATATCTTGAGTAGCAAAAGAGGAGCCTATCAAAAATAAAAACTAAAAACTTTTTAGACATAGACTGTATAATAAAATATAAACAATAAAAAATTTAAAAAGTAGGGGTGGAGATAAAGTGTTGAGTTGTTTTAGTTTTCTTGTTTGTGTGTTTGTTTTGCAATTACATTTAAGTTGTCATCAGTTTAAAATAGGTTATAATGTGTTAATTGCAATTCTTATGGTAACCTTAAATGAAAAAACTAACAACAGATAAAAAAATATGAGGTAAGAAATTAAAGCATATCACTAGAGAAAATCACTTCCACAATAAGGAAAACACAAAGAATAGAAGGAAGAATGATAAGACCACAAAATAGCCAGGAAAGAAATAACAAAATGACAGTAGTTTACTTATCAATAGTAATATTGAATGTAAATGGCATAAACTCTCCAATCAAAAGACAGAGTGATTGGATTAAAAAACAAAACCCAGTGATCTCTTGCCAATAAGAAACACAATTCACCTATAAAGATACACATAGACTAAACATAAAGGGATGAAAAAAAAGATAATCCATGCACATGCAAACCAAAAAAGAGCAGAAGTAGTTATATCAGACAAAATAGATCTCAAGACAAAAACTGTAAAAACAGACAAAGATGGTAATTATTTAATGGTTAAAAAAATAAATTCAGCAAGAGGATATCACTATCGTAAATATATATGCATCCAACACTGGAGCACCCAGATATGAACAATAAATTTTATTGATACTAAAGAGAAATGAATCTGAACACATGGATAGTGGGAAATCTTAACACCACACTTCCATCACTAGACAGATCATCCAGACAGAAAATCAACAAAGATCCATCAGATCTCATCTGCACTAGAGACCAAATGAACCTAATCAGTATTTACAGACTATTTCATCCAGCGTCTGCAGAACACACATTCTTCTCAGCACAGGAATCATTTTCAAAGATAGACAATATGTTAGGCCACAGAACAAGTCTTAAAATATTCAAAAAATTGAAATAATATCAAATATATTTTCTGATCACAATGGAATGACTAGAAATCAGTAACAAGAGGAAATTTGGAAAGCATATGAACATATAGAAATTAACCCCCAATAATCCTGAATAACCAGTGGGTCAATGAAAAACTTAAGAAATTTTAAAAATTTATTGAAACAAATGAAAGTGGAAACACAAATAGCAAAACCTATGAGATACAGCAAAACAGTACTAAAGAGGGAAGTTTGTAGGAATAAGTGCCTACAACAAAAAGTAGAAAAACTTCAAATGAACAACATAATGATGGATCTTAAAGAACTATAAAATCAAAAGCACAACCCCAAATTAGTACAAAAAAGAAATAAATGTCATAGCATAAATAAAATTCAAATGGAAAAATACAAAAGATCAATTGAAAAATTGTTTTTTTGAAAAGATAAACAAAACTTAACCTTTATCAAGACTAACAAAAAAAGAAAATCCAAATAAAATCAAAAATGTAAAAAGACATTGCAAGTGATATCACAGAAACTCAAAGAATTATTAGAGATTATTATGAGCAACTATATGTCAGTAAACTTGAAAACCTAGAAGAGATAAATAAACTCCTAGACAGATACAGCCTACCAAGATTGAAACCCAAAATGTGAATGGACCAGGAACAAGAGATTGAAACCATAATAGTCTTCTAACAAAGGAAATAACTTTACCTGATGACTTCACTACTAAATTCTACAAAACATTTGAAGAACTAATGCCAATCCTACTCAAATTATTCCTAAAATTAGTTTGAGAATATTCCATCCCAGAAGAAGGGAATACTTCCAAACTCATTCTATGAGGCCAGTATTCCCCTTATACCAAACTCAGACAGACATACTAAAAAACAAGCAAACAAAAAACAACTATAGGCCAATATTGCTAATAAATATTGATGCAAAAATACTCAATATTAGCACACCACATTCACCAACATATTAAAAGATTATTTATCATGCCCAAGTAGGACTCATCCCAGGGATGCAAGGATGTTTTGACATATGCAAACCAATCAATATGATACATCATTTCAAAAGAATAAACGTAAAAGCCATATTATGCTGAAAAGGCATTTGATGAAATTCAGCATCACTTTACAACCAAAAAATCCCAGACAACTGGGTGATATGGTTAGATTGTGTCCCCACCCAAATCTGATTTTGAATTGTAATCCCCATAATTCCCACATGTTAAGGGAGAGAACACATGGAGATAATTTAATCATGGGGGTGGTTTCCCCCATGCTGTTCTTGTGATAGTGAGTTCTCATGAGATTTGATGGTCGTATAAGGGGCTCTTCCCACTTTGTCACTTTTCCTTCCTGCTGCCTTGTGAAGAAGGTTCCACTTCACCTTCTACCATGATTGTAAGTTTCCTGAGGCCTCCCCCAGCCATGCTAAATTGTGGGTCAATTGAACCTCTTTCCTTTATAAATTACCCAGTCTTGGACAGTTCTTTATAGTAGTGTGAAAATGGACTAATACACTGGTTATAGAAGAAACATTTCAACATAGTAAAAGCCATCTATGACGAAGCCACAGCTAGTATCATATTGAATGAAGAAAAATTGAAAGCCTTTCCTCTAATATCTGGAAGGAGAGAAGGATGCCCATTTTCACCAATGTTATTCAACATAGTATTGGAAGTCACAGCTAGAGCAATCAGACAAGAGAAATAAATAAATGGCTTTCAAATTAGGAAGGAAGAAGTAAAATTCTTTGTTTGCAGATTATATGATCTTACATTTGAAAAAGACTAAAGATTCAATAAAAAATTATTAGAACTGGCAAATTCAGTAAAGTTGCAGGATACAAAACCAACATACAAAAATCAGTAGCATTTCTATATGCCAACAGTGAAAAAATCTAAAAAATCAAGACAGTAAATCCCCTTCACAATAGCTACAAATAAAATAAAATACCTATAAATAAACTCAACCAAAGGAGTGAAAGTTCTCTACAATAAAAGCTATAAAACATTGATGCAGGAAATTGAGGAGAGCACAAAAAAATGAAGATATTCCATGTTCATGTATTGGAAGCAATCAATATTGTTAAAATGTCCATACTAATCAAAGCAAACTACAGATTCATGAAATCACTATCAAAGTACCAATGGACATTCTTCACAGAAATATAAAAAACAATCCTAAAATTTATATGGAACCACAAAAGACCCAGAATACCCAAAACCATTTTTAGCAAAATAAACAAAACTGGAGGAATCACTTTGTGTGACTTCAAATTATGCTACAGAACTATAGTCACCAAAACAGCATGGTACTGGCATAGGAAACACATACACATACATAACGGAACAGAAAAGAATATCCAGAAATAGATCCATATATCTACAGTGAACTCATTTTCAACAAAGATGTCAACAATATACATTGAGGAAAGGACAGTCTCTTTAATAAATGTTGCTGCAAAAACTAAATGTTCATATGCAGAAAAATAAAACTATACCCCATCTTTCACCATATAAAATCTAATCCAAGTGGATTAAAGACTTAAATCTAAGACTGGAAAATATGAAATTACTAGACAAAATCCTTGGGGAAATTCTCCAGGACATTGGTCTGAGCAAATATTTGAGTAATATTCCAAAAGCACATGCAAATAAAGCAAACATGGACAAATGGGATTAAATCACATTAAAAAGCTTCTGCACAGTGAAGGAAACAGTCAATAGAGTGAAGAAGCAACCCACATAATGGAAGAAAATTTTTGCAAACTATCCATCTGACAACGGATTAATAATCAGAATATACAAGGAGCCCAAAACAACTCAATAGGAAAAAATCTAACAACCCAGTTAAACAATGGGCAAAAGATCTAACAGATATTTCGCAAAAGACACACAAATGGCAAATGGGTATATGAAAAGGTGCTAAACATCACTGATCAGAGAAATGCAAATCCAAACTAAAATGAGTTATCTCACCCCAGTTAAATTGGCTTTTATCCAAAAGACAGGCAATAATGAATGCTAGCAAGGATGTGGAGAAAAGAGAACCCTTGTACACTGTTGGTGGGAATGTAAATTAATATAGACACTATGGAGCACAGAATGGAGGCTCCTCAAAAACTAAAAATAGAACAAAACCCTCTTCTAGGTATATACCCAAAAGAAAGGAAATCAGTATATGGAAGAGATATGTGTACTCCCATGTTTGCTGCAGCACAATTCACAATAGCCAAGATTTGGAAGCAACCTAAGTGTCCATCAATAGAAGAATGGAATGGATAAAGAAAATGTGCCACATATACAAAATGGAGTGCTATTTTAGTCATAAAAAGAATGAGATCCTGTCATTTGCAACAACATAGATGGAACTGGATGACATTTTAAGTGAAATAAGCCAGGCATAGAAAGACAAACTTTGCACGTTTTAACTCATTTGTGGGAACTAAAAATTAAAACAATGTAACAGATGGAGATAGTAGAACGATGGTTACCCAGAGGCTGACCATGGTAGATAGGGATGGTGGGGGAGTGGAGATGGTTAGTAGGCACAAAAATATAGTTAAATACCATGCATAAGATCTCATATTTGATAGCACAACAGGGTGACTACAGTCCAGAATAATTTGTTGCATATTTTAGAATTGAGGGAGTACAAATCGAATGTTTCTGACACAAAGAAATAATGAAAGCTTGAGGTGATGGATATCCTATTTACCCTGATGGGTATATTATATATTGTATGCCTGTATTAAAATCCCATGTACCTAAATACATACACTTACTACGTACCCATAAAAATTAAAAATTTAAGGGGTAAAAAACTTTATGTTGTTACATTAAAAAGCCTATATTAAACAATCACTATTCTTGCTTCTCTTATGTAAATAATCAGGCCAAGTTTCATGAGATTAAAGTTATCTTACAAACAAACTAGTCTTACTGTGATTATCTTTGGTAAAATTGGGGGTGACTATAGAGGGAAATTTTGCTTCAGTATAAGCCTACCTATATTGTAGCTATTAATAGATTTTAATCCTGTTCTTTGAGGTTTTGTTATTCAACCTTTTAAAGTGGACTGGATCCTGAATTTCTCCAGTATTTGCCTAGAATTCTTCAAATATTTACATTTTTCTCCCGCCTTTCTCACTTAGTATGACTAAGAACAAAAATCGCCCTTTTCCTGAAGCTCTGCATGCTGAAGCTGGATGACTTGATATGAACATTACAGAGATGAACATTACAGAGATCACAACTTTTATATGGAAAACCTTTGTGCCTGTTGCCCCGTGGGCCACTCAGACATCACCAGAGACATTTAGACACCAAAAGATACTTTTAACCTACAGTTTAGAAGTTTTGACTGGCTGCCCTACAGACTCAGAAACATGATTTATAGTCTGCTGCAATTATTAACTTTCCTTTTGTTGCCATAGAAATGCCTCTTCAGTGGGTTATTAGATAGTTTACCAACTCAGTTTCTGGATTTTAAAGCTTCTTGGGGAAATTTCAGATGGAGTAATGTTGAGGCTCAGGAGACACCAAAGTATGAACATACCCCCAAAATATGATGATAGGGGACCAGAATATACCACCCTAAAATATATTTGGCAGTTTTGAGCTGCTTATTCTGGTAAATGGCAGGTAAAGGAGTATCCCTGAAAAGCTGTCCTATTATAAAATAAATTTATATCCATAAAGGAAGAGTATATTCATAAAAGTACCTGTATTAAAAAGAGGACTGCTGAAGATAAAAAATCCCTCAGATAGTAAAAGTTAATTGCAAACAAGATATAACCTTTATTCACCAAACATTTCCTTCCCTCTCTCTCCTATGACTTATGTCACCACCAACCATCCCTCAGAAGTCCAAAGCTCCTATTCCCTTCTGTTGCTCAGGATGCTGTAGAAGCTTCAATCATGTGACTTTTAAGGCTCATGTTCTGTCGGACCCCTGTGCATACATACATAATTAAATACAGTTTTACTCCTGTTAATCTTTCTTATGTCAATTTAATTTGTAGCCCAAAGAACGTGGAAGGATAGAGGGAGGCCATTTTTCATTCCACTGTACTGTTACAATTTCCCACTCAGAATCATGTGATGAAGGATAACTGATAATAATTGTCAAGGCCAGGCATGGTGGCTCATTCCTGTAATCCATGCACTTTGGTAGGCCAAGGAAGGTGGATAGCTTGAGTTCAGGAGTTTGAGAGCAGCCTGGGCAACATGGTGAAATCTCGTCTCTGCAAGAAGTGCAAAAATTAGCTGGGTTTGTGGCGTGCATCTGTAGTCCCAGGTACTAGGGAGGCTGAGGTGGGAGGATCTCTTGAGTCTCGGAGGTGGAGGTTGCAGTGAGCTATGTCAGCCCACTGCACTCCAGTGGCGGCAACAGAGTGAGACTGTCAAAATAATAATTTTTGAGAAGCCAGAACCCTCAGTGCTAGACAGGTACTAATTGCTGAACTTGTATATAAAACTTAGAAAAGAATAAAGTAATGAGTCAAAGAAATAGGATTTGCTCATCTGGATTTATTTTATGACTTTAATGACCATTTTCTCCAATTTTTTTTTGAAAAGTTATTTATATACAAATGAGGAAGAACATTTCTTTCATATTACATTTTTATTCCTGAGTTATCCCTTTGAGATCTTGCTTATTAACAATTTTGTTGTGATCTTCCATCTTCATCGGGTCATGCCATCTACTTTATTTCTCTGACTTAAATGCTAACTGATGGCAAGGTCCAGGCAAAAAGCTTCAGACAAGTAGGGTAACTGGACATTTTTTGTTTCTTGGGCTTAACCAGCACCTGCCTTGCAGGCTGCCTTTGGAAATGGCAGGCTTAACAGCCTGGTGAGCAAACAGGAGAGTTGCTTTCACACTTGAGTTATGATCTGTTTAAACTTCGAGTCAACTACCATTCAGGGCTCACATTTCTTGAACATGTGGGATAGGAGGAGTTTCAGAATAACAGACAATTGCCCAAGCCCAAAGGGGAGGTTTCCAGGTTTTTAAAGGAAGTACAAATTATGGATTGGTCTTTAAAAATGTTCGAGGAGAAGCCTCCCTTAGTGTAACCTACTGAAATAAATTTGAGGTGTAAGCAAGTAAAAATAAAAAATATTCTAAAAATGATCTATCATGTATCAAAATTTAGGCTGCTATTCTGAGACATAACTTTAAAAGCTTCCCCAGGTTGGCTACAAATATAACCCCAAACTGGTAAAGTTTTAGGGTTCTACTCTGCCATTTCATTATTTAGTACCTCCATATAAAAGCTATAAGACCTAAACTGGTACTTCTGCCTTACTATTAATAGATAAACAAATGCTTCTGGAATGAAGTGACTAACTCAGATTAAAAGAATTCCTTATTCCTGGACTCACCTGTTGGCTTGGCCTGGCCCTTTTGACTTCTGGGAGTTATTTCCTTTATATATGGAACTTATGACCACCTACTTTGCTCTGCCTTCAGAATTTTTGCCTCTGACCCCATCTTCCTATTTGAGTCCTTTTTTCTGGTCTGTGCTGACTATACCAGCCCTGATGGCTCTGTTCTTACTTGGAACACCTACATATTCATGCAACTATGCCCAGGTCATTGAGCCTTCCATCTCTTTGGCACCAATACCCTTTACAGAATGGGTTTTTGAGACCTGTTACCCTCTGCTGACTGACATCCAGACTCTGGAGTGAGCAGCTATTTTTGTGAAGAGTTCCATGGATTTCTGGTGATGTGACAAGAGGTTAACTTACTTGCCTCTCTTCTCCTCCATGGGAAAACTGGGCAAATGATAAAGCAATCTGTTTCTCTTTTCTTTTATGCTTCAGAAAACGAAGGTAACAATTGGACATTTGCAATAGGCTAATGGCCCTGAAGTCCATCTACAGGTTTTGTAAGAAACAAAACTTCAATGGTAGGATGTTCAAACTTAATCCTTTCAATGGAGGGATGCTCAAACTTAGCTGTGGCTCCTGCTCTGATGAAAGCCTAGTTTCTTCATCTCCTACTCAAAATCCAACCACCTCACAATACTTACGGAACGAAGGATAGGAATGCTTCTTGCAGGTGTCCAAGCAAAGAAAAGAAAAAAATGCTTTCCCTCCTTCCCCAGCTTTATTGAGGTATAACTGACAAATAAGATTGTACCTATTTAAAGTGTACAATGTAGTAACATATGCATATACATTGTGAAATAATTGCAACAATCAAGTTAATTAACACATCTCTCTCCTCATATAGTTATCTTTGTTTTTTTTTGGTGAGAATACTTAAGATCTAGCAAATTTCAAGTATAATATTATCTGCAGTCACCCATGCTATATGCTAGATCCTCAGAACTATTCATTTTATAATTGAAAGTTTGTACCCTTTCTCCTACGTCTCTCTCCATTTCCGTCACCCTTTGTACTTAGCAATCATCCTTCTATTTCATGCTGTTTTAAAGAGTTGGAGTTTTTTTTTTGTTGGTTTTTGATTCCACATACAAGTGATACTATATATTGTCCTTCTCTGGCTTCTGTCTCTAAGAATAATGTCCTTCGGGTTTATTTATGTTGTCAAAAATTACATATTTGCTTTTTATAAAAGTAATATTGCATTGGGGCATATGTGTATAAAATTTTTTTAATCCATTTGTCCACTGATGGAGACTAAGATTGTTTCAATAGCCTGGCTGCTGTGAATAATGCTGCAATTAACATGGGACTGCAGATGTCCATTAGGGAAATTAACTTCATTTCCTTTGGCTTTATATGAAGAATACAGAGAAGTGAGATTGTTGGATTTAATCATAGTTCTTTTTCTTCCCCCCCTATTTTTTTAAGGAAACTTCATGCTGCTTTTCAGAATGGCTATACCAATTTACATACCCAACAGTAACACAAAGGTTCCCTTTTCTCTACATCCTTGCTAACATTTATCTGTCTTTTTGATAAAAGTCATCCACACAGATGTGAGACGTTATCTCATTATGGTTTTGATTTGTGTTTGAGTAGTAATGCTGAGCACCTTTTCATGTACTCATTGACCATTTGTATGTCTTTTTTTGGGCAATGTCTGTTAGGTCCTTTGCTCAGTTTCTAATCAGATTATTTGTCTGTATTTGCTATGGAATTGTATGAGTATCTTACGTATTTTGGAAATTAACCCATTATTGGATATATAGAGTTTGCAAATATTCTCTCCCATTCCATAGATTGCCTTTTCATTTTGTTGTTTCCTTTGCTATGCAGAAGCTTATTAGCTTGATAAAGTTCCACTTATTTTTACATTTGTTGTTCTTGTCTTTGGTGTCATAATAAGTTATAAAAGAAAATAATTGACAAGACTAATGCCAAAGAATTTTTCCCCTATGTTTTCTCCTTGGAATTTCACATTTTTTCAGTCTTACTTTTAAGTCTTTTATCAGTTTGGAGTAAATCTTTGGAAGTGCTGTAATATAGGAGTCCAGTTATATTTTTGGTATGTGGAAACCTAGTTTTCTCAACACCATTTATTTAAGAGACTATCCTACATTTTGCATTAGCTTCCTGTCAAAGACTAGCTGACTGTATACTTGTGGGTTTATTTCTGGGCTCTCTGTCCTGTCTCAATGCTCTTTGTGTCTGGTTTTATACCAGTACATACTTTTAAAGTTACTATAGCTTGGTAATATGGTTTGAAATCAATCAGTAAAAGATAACCAGCTTCCTTCTACTTTCTCATTACTGACTTGGCTACTCAGGGTCGTTTGTGGTTCTATACAAATTTTCAGATTTTTTTTTCCCTGTGAAAAATGCCATTGGGATTTTCATAGGGATTGCATTGAATCTGTAGGTCCCTTGAGAAGCATGGACATTTTAGCAATATTAATTCTTCCAATTCCTGTGCATAGGCTGTTGTTCCATTTATTTCTGTATTCTTCAATTCCTTTCATCATCACTTTATAGTTTTTGGTGTAAAGATATTTCACCCCCTTGATTATGTTTATTTCTACATATTTTGTGGTTTTTCGTGCTGCTGTAAATGGGATTGCTTTCTCAATTTTACTTTCAGTAAGTTTGTTATTCTTGTATAGAAATAGAACTGATTTTTATGTTGATTTTATGGCCTATAACTTTACTGAATTAGTATTAACAGTTTTTTGTTGAGTCTTTAGGGTTTCCTACCTTTAAGATCATGTCATCTGTAAACAGAGACAATATTTCTTCCTTTCTAATTTGGATGGCTTTTCTTTTTCTTGGTTAATTTTCTAGGACTTACAAAACTATTTTGAATAGAAGTGGCAAAAGTGAGCATTCTGGTTTTGTTCCTCGTTCAGGAGGAAAAGCTTTTAGTCTTTTACTATTGATGATGGTATTAGCTGTGGGTATGTCATACATGGCCTTCATTGTCTTGAGGTCCATTTATTTTAAGTCTAATTTAGTGTTTTTATCATGAAAGGATGTTCAATGTCACAATTCTTCTTCATCTACTAAGGTGACCATATGATTTTTATAAATCGTTTGGTAAATATGGTGTATCATTTTATTGCTTAGCATATGTTGAACAATTCTTGCATTCCAAAAATAAGTTTCACTTGATCATAGTATAAGAAACTTTTAATGTGCTGTTGAGTTCTGTTCTCCAGTATTTTATTGAGGACTTTGGTATACATGTTCATCAGGGATATTGGCTTATACTTTTCAGGTAGTATTCCTTGTTTGGCTTTGCATCAGAGTAATGCTGGCCTTGTAAAATAAGTTTGGAAGTATCCCTCTTGAATTTTCATAAGGGCTTGAGAGAAATTGATGTTAATTCTTCCTTAAAAGTTTGATAGAACTCAGCAGTGAAGTCATTAAGTCTTGGGCTTTTCTTTGTTGAGAGATTTATGATTATTGATTCAGTCGTACTTATTATTATTGGTCTGTTAAGATTTTCCATTCATTCATGATTCAGTCTCGGTAGGATGAATATTTCTAGGAATTTATCCGTGACTTCTAGGTTATTCAATTTGCTGGTGTAAAATTGTTCATAGTAGTCTTTTATGACCCTTTGTATTGTGATGCTATCAGTTGTAATATCTCCTTTCTCATATCCGATTTTGTGTCTTGTTTTTCTTGCTAAAGTTTAGTCAATTGTATTTTTAAAAAATGCCATTTCTTAATTCCATTTATCTTTCTATTTTTTTTTTTCTAGTCTCTATCTTATTTGTGCTCTGAATTTTGTTATCTTCCTTCTCCTGGCTTTGTACTTATTTTTGTTCCTTGTGGTATAAAGTTAGGTTGTTTCTTGACTTTTTTTTTCTTAGTGTAACTATTTATTGCTATGAATGTTTCTCCTAGAACTACTTTTGATGCATTCTGTAGATTAGAATGCTGTTTCCAATTTTGTTTGTCTGAAGGTATTTTTGATATCACTTTTGACTTATTCTTTGATTCACTGATTTTTTCAGGAGTGTCTTGCTTAATTTCTACTTATCTGTGACAATTTCTATTTTCTTTCAGTTAACTGATTTCTAGTTTTATGCCACTGTGCCTGGAAAAGACACCAGATATGATTTCAGTCTTCTTAAATTTGCTAAGGTTTATTATGTGATGTAACATATAATCTTGGAGAATATTCTGTGTGCAAAATATTCTATTGCATTGCTGTTTATTTCTGCCTTCCAACCTGCTAATATTTGCTTAATATATTTAGTTGCTCCAATGCTGAATGTATATATTTATAATATCCTTGTAATTAATTGACCCCTTTAGTATTATATAATGATCTTTTTTGCCTCTTGTTATAATTTGTGACAACGTTTATTCTGTCTGAAGTATATCTATCTCTGCTACCTTTTGTTTTCCATTTGCATGAGGTTTCTTTTTCCATTCCTTCATATTCAGTATATGCTTTTCCTTATAGCTGAAGTAAGTTTCTTGAAGGCGATATATAGTTCAGAGTTTGGGTTTTTTGTTGTTTAGTTTAGTTTATCCATTTATCCACTCTGGTTTTTGATTGGAGAATTTAATCCATTTACATTCAAGGTACTTACTGATAGATACTATTACCATTTTGTTCATTGTTTACTCTGTTTTGTAGTTCCTTTCTTGCTGTCTTACTATCTTCCCTTGTTACTTGATGATTTCCTTTAATGGTATGTGTCTTAGTCCATTTGTGTTGCTATCAAGGAATTCCCGAGGCTGGGTAATTTATAAAGAAAATAAATTTACTTTGTTCCTGGTTCTATAGGCTATACAAGAAGCATGGTGTCAACATCTGCTTCTGGTGAAGGATTCAGGCTGCTTCCCCTCATGGTGGGAGGTGAACGGGAGCTGGCATGTGAGATCACATAATGAAAGAGGAAGCAAGAGTTGGGGGAAGTGGCAGATTCTTTTTAACAATCAGCTCACTTTCTCTCATCTGCTGTGATCCGCTGAAAATGTGCTGGGGTTTGTTCTGCTGTCACTGTTTATGCTGCTGGAACTTAGCACTGTCTTGATTTGAAGCATATGATTGAGAGCCATTTGAAGCAATCTTCATTAACGCAGATAAAACAAGTTTACATGTGCAGAGTTAGAAAATGACATGTTCAATTCTGTAAGTGGTGACTTTTTGAGCACCTTTCAGTATTATGTATTTGTAAAAACCATTGTTTTTGGATATAAAGCTAATAAGCACTTTAAAAAGGAAAAGGCAGCCTTTACTATTTTTTCTGGTTGAGTCATTGCTCTTCAGACCTAGCATCAGCAATAGATCTCAAAGATTAAGCGCTACCATGAAGTGTGTAAATTTTTCGTTTTGCCATATTGAAAAATTATTTGCATAGTACTGCATGCTGAGACACAGCTTATATGTATTCACAAGAATATCTTGAAGTGTGTTTTTGACACATTAAAAGAAAGGAAATAAGGAAAAAAAATAAACAAAACAAAACAAAAAAAACCAATCAGCTCTCACAGGAACTAATGGAGTGAGAATTTACTCATTGCCTTTAGGATGGCCCCATGCCGTTCTAAAAGAATCTGCCCCCATGACTTGCACATCTCCTCTTAGGCCCAGCCTCTAACACGGGGGATCAGATTTCAACTTGAGATTTGGAGGGGACAGATATCCAAACTATATCAGTATATTTGGATTCCTTTATCTTTAGTGTATCCATTACAGAGTTTGTGTGTGTTTATGATGAGACGTACATAAAACATCTTTTAGCTATAACAGCTTATGTAAAGCTGTTAAAAACTTAAATTCCAACACATACAAAAATTATATTTTTACCTTCCACCCACATTTTATATTTATGTCAAAATTCATATATTTTATATATTATGTATCCATTAACAAATTATTGTACCTACAATTACTTTCAATATTTTTGTCTTTTAATCTTTATGTGAGTTAGGTGATTTACACACAACCATTATATAATATTCTGAAATTGACACTACACTTACTTTTACCAGTGAGTTTTGGAATTTTATATATTTTCTTGTTAAATAACATTCTTTCATTTTAGCTTAATTTCCCTTTATTCCCTTTACTTTCAGCTTTCATTTGCCTTTAGTATTTCTTGTAAGTTAGGTCTAGTGGTGATCAACTTCCTCAGCTTTTGTCTGGAAATGTTGTTATCTCTCTTATTTCTGAAAGACAACTCTTCCAGATACACAGTTTTTGGATGATAGTTTTTCTTCCTGCTTTTTTCTTTTAGCACTTTATTCTCCCACTTTTTTCTAGCCTGCAAGGTTTCTGCTGAGAAATCCGCTGATACCATTATGGGAGTTTCCTCAGATGAGTTTCTCTTGCTGAGAAGCTTGTTTTCAAATGGTCTACAACTGAGACTCAGGATGCCCGTAATTCTAAATTTTGTAAAACATGACGTGTAAAGATGACTAATCATAAGTCTCCCCTACCTGTGATCCACATGCTTTCTCCTTTTCTGATTTTTAACAAGATAATTCTAACTATCCCTTTTGTCTGTGTTTGGACTAAAGTTAGTAGATTAATGGTCTGGCAATTCCTGTTCATTAAAGTTATACCATGGGGAAAGGAATGATAAAGTACCTTCACTCCTTTTTATTATAACCTACCACCATGAGGCTCTGCCTACCAGATATAGGCACTCTCACTACCAAGACCAGGGGGTCATCTTGGTAGGTTACTTTTCATCTTTCTTAATAGACACATGAGGAACATACTTAGGAGGTTCTCCTCTGCAAAAACAGAAACCTATGACATCAGAAAAGCCAGGAGACAGTCTGCTGGAAACATCCCAGTGCATCAGGACCAATGAAGTTAACAATTTTTTTTTTTCTGGACTAGAGATGAAGCACAGATGGAATGAGAATGTATCTGGACTTCCCTTTTGTGTTGGCTTTTTGAGAACTCAACTGAGTCTAAGCAACCAGAACGTTCTGGTTGGTTTTGTTTTGTTTTAAAAGTCAACTATATGCCATTATCTCAAATTAGCCACTCCCCAGAAGATATGGCGAAGTTTACATCCATTCCACAAAGTTGGTATTGGCCATGATGAAAGAATGCAGCTGCTTCTGTTAGTGGTAATGCTTTCAGGGAGATATGAGAGGCCTCTTTCAAAAATGATCACTTCTGTGTTGAAAGGTCCCTTCTATCTGCCTTGTTATATAGGTTTATGGAGCTATTTCCAATTCTGTGATTTTTGATAATTATCAAAGATGAAGTAAAGCCCTACATCTAAGACCCTACAGGACTCCAGTATCAGTGTAAGAACAGGATAAAGCAATTGACAATTGTCTTTCACACTAAGTTAGCTGTCTAGACATCACTTATTTATGTGAGTCACAATCTATTTACTAAATTTTCCTGATGTATTTCACTTACAGTGCTTGTAAAAAAAAAAAAAAAATGAATTCTGATTCCTTCTATTTTGGCGATTGGTTCTGTAAGTCTGCTGAGGAGTAGGGGTACTGCCACTCTTAACAAGCACCACAGACAGCTGATCTAGTTGTATGAGCATGTCCGAGTTTTTGCTGTCCTTTGTGCTGTCCGAGTTATGCACTAACAAAAACTAGGGCCCAAATTATGTGACTGGACAGCACACCTGGGACCTTTGATTCTTGGCCGAGTTCAAGTGCATTAAAAATGTTCTTCCTGATATAGAAACTCAATTTCCAGGAAAATTCCTGACATCAGAGGAAAGGGGCAGCTGAAGCCCTTGGTGGGCCCATTGTTCCACCAATAAGTGAAACAACCCAAAAACTTCTTGTTGGTCATAAAGATCACCAGTGAAACATGTTAAGTTTAAATTTGAAAGGTAGTATTTACATAAACACACACCAACTTTTTATTTTTTTCCAGCTTTCCAGCTCTAACAGGATCGGATCCACTTGTCCTCATAACTATGCTCACTTATGCAAAGAAATGGGTAAAGTTACTACCCCAACACTTGGAAAATAAAACCCTGCTGAGGGAATTTAGAGGTGTTGTATTCTCCATTTCTCAAAGAGAATAGACTTGATGTTACTGAAAACTTACCACAAATTAGGGATTAAAATAGGGAGTTCATTGGGTAAATTATGATGTATTCATTCAATAAGATATGGTGATGCAAGCATCATGATAATACTTACAATTGGTAGTGGCATGGGAAAATAAGATATAATAGTAAGAGAACAAAATGCAGATCCACATATGTTGTATAATTCCAACAATCACATGTGTGCACATAATCATGCATGTGGAAACATGATCAAGATATAAGGTATTAAAATAGTTTTTTTTTTTTTTTTTTGCAATAGCTGGGTTACAAACAGCATTTATTATTTACATGTTTTCAAGGTCTCTTATTTTACTAAAATTTAATGCATCTCCATTTTTTTCATAATACAAAATAACATGCTTTTCTAATCATGGTTCTAGGACTCAAACTATTGGTAATATTCAATGCCTCCAGAGATAATCAGGGAAGCTTTTAGAACCAATCCCAGAAGGACCCTTGAGAACATTCAGAAACACCTAATGCCATGCCCTGTTTCATTCATGAATCCAAAGAAAAATCCCAAAAGGCAGAGCAGGTAAAGGAGCTGAGACAATAACTTGACAACAACTTTAAAAAAAAAAGTGATGATATTTTTACAGTATTTGTCAATATGCGTAACAGTTTAGGAATGAAATTTATTGTTGAGTCCAGAGGCGAAACAGATAAAAGTTACTAGAGGGCATAGGAAGACGTTTCTAACAATCAGATCTCCCGAGGGCAGCTCCACAGGCATGTCAGCATTCCAACTGAATCAAGAGGATGGTATTTGTCTAGGATGCTGGTGAGGGGAATGAATGCCTCCAACAGATAATGGCTCCATTAGAAAACATGTAAACTCCCTCCCCAGCTCTTGAACCCTAAGGTTTCAGAATTTAAAACTTGAGTTTTTATTTGGCCAAGCAGTCAAGACAGGCATGACTATCCACAACATATAGATGAGAAATTTAAGGCTCAGAGAGATGAAGTGAATGCCCGAAGTGATACAACTGAAAAGTGGCAGAATCACTAATTTCCAAACCAATGCTCTGAGCTCTGGTACTCAATTAACACAACACATACATGAGGCTAGGATATCAGTAGTTCAGGGAGATAGACCCCTGAATGGCAGACAGAAAGTAAGGGCCACTTTCCTTCCATCTTTGGCTTTTGTGCTAGCCTACCCTCCCGCAAGGGGCATCTTCATGTTTCATCCAGTGCCATAGCTTGCCAGGAAAAAGGGTCACAGCTGCGGCCACAGTCCTATCCTAAGCTTTTTTCTGTGAGAAGCCCTTTGAGTTCCCTCAGGCGGCTCAAAGCGACTCACTCCATGTAGCGCTGGTAATTGTGTTGGCTGGGTCTGAGGCTGACACAGTGGGAACTGCTGGAACAGGAAGGGAAAGGCCATGTACTTCCACATGGGTGAAGCAACACCTGATTCCCTGAGTGAGGAAATGAGTCTGCTGTATGAAAGCAGGAACCTTCTACCTCTGGTTTCAGGAAACCTCCTGTGCTCAGAGGTAAGTGGCTCCTGAGGAAATATGTGAAGCATTCCTGCCAAAGAAAACCCAGGAACACAGAGGACTAAGGAGGAAGGGCAGTCCTTTTTCACTTTGGTTTCTGCCAGTTTGGCCTTGCTGTAGTTGCTGTTGCTCTGCTACCCAGAGAAATCCGGGGAAAGAACAAAAGAGAAAAACAAGTCAGGTAAGATAAAACTGGAAGCATTAGATAGATTTTCCTTTACTTTGGAGATGGTCATAGTGTTAACATTTGTAATTAGCAGTGTACTCAGCATTCCAATTGTGATGATTGCTGATTTTACTCGAGTCAGGGTTTAAAAGAAATAAAAATTATGCTGATTAACATGTATTGAGCAACTACCATGTGACAGGCACTCTGCTAGAACACTTAAATGTGCTGATTTATGTCAGCCTCTTGAAAATCAAATGAAATGGCTATCATTTTTGTGCTTAAAGATAAGGAAGTATACACAAAGAATTTTCAGTAACTTGCCCAGGTAAGCATTTAGTAACTGGTAGGACTGAGAATCAAACTCAGGCAGTCTCAATCAGAGCCCATGCTACACTGGACGGCAGTATTACGCTTGCATCCCAGATGAGGAAACTAATGGTTCAGTGACTTATCTAAAAGGGCATTAGTTTGCCCATTAGTTCATTTGCAAACTAATGAATCACAAATCAGAACTAAAACTAGTTACCTAGATCAGGTCTGAGATCTTTCTCCAGTCACCAAGTGTCTCCTAGTACCTTACAAAACTCCTTGACTCAGAAATTTCCTGAACAAATTCTCTAGACAAGATTGACAAATTGAACCAAACATTCACTGGACATCTGGAGTGAGCTAAGCCCTTCCTGTGCCAGCCGCTCTCATAACTTCTGAATTCCTCGCAACCAAAGAAATGGGTATTTTCATCTCCATATTTATTAGTACCATATTTGAGATTGTAGAATCGATCAACAGCAGAAAATGACGTCAGTATCCTTAATCCAGGCCTCTTTACCTCACATGTTTGCCTCCACAAATCAAGGGAGTTCTTGAAACAACACAGTGGTTAGAGCCATTTAAACCTCAATCTTTCTCACTGTGACCTTAATACAATGTTGTTAAAAATTTCTCTAAATGTCTTAGCCTTTAGTAATTAATTAAATGGAGCTCGTAAACTAGGTAAGCCCCACTCCACTGTAATGAGCCGCTTTACTCTCCCCTCATATAATTTTACTGATGTCTGCAATCACTTTTTGCAAAAGCAATGTCCTTAAGGAAGCAAGTTGGCTTCTCTAAGGTTTAGCCCCCATGTGGTCTTCTCACAGAACAAGGGATCCAAACACACAACTCAGGTCAAATGTGGAGGCAAGCATTTCCAAAAGGAACAGAACGGATTATTTTTAATCAGGATGAGCCTTTGGCAGGGGAGTGTGGAGAGAGAGACAGCAAGTGAAAGACTTTATCACACAAGCAGTCAGTGTGTGTAGGAATGAACTCAGCCAGCTACTGGCACTTAATGAAACTCAGGGTTTTACACTGATGCTCTCAGTGAAGTACTGAAATCAGCAGCATGAGAATACTAGCATCAAGAAAGTGTAAAACAGTGGTCTGTTTTCAGAAGAAATGAAATTGAACTGGAACACAACTACTCACATTAGAATGGCAAGGGATTCACTGGACAGAGATCCTGAGCATACAGAGGTGCTAACTCTCGGAATAACTTCATTACATCCTGGAACAGAATAAAATAGACCTGAGACTGTTACTGTCCATTAGTGAAGGAAAGTCTTTGCCAAAAAGTCTTAAGACTTTTAGTAGTTTACTATTACTATTAATAGCAACACTTCAATTCAATCAAAACTTTTGCTTTCTACAGAGTCTGTTAAGCTGCTTTCTTAATTAGGTTTTTCCATTAGCCACATTCACAATTTCCATTAGCAATGGAGCATTAAACGTCATTGCTGTGAACCATTGGTCAACTGTCAGTCACACATTCTAATTGCTCTTTCTATACCACTTCCCACATCTTCTCAGTCTCTCACATCAAGCCCCAACTCAAATCCTATTTCCTGAGATACTTGCATGCAGGATAAATTTGAAGAAAGCGGGATGCAAGAGAAGAAAATTAATGGAGGAGCATCCTTCATTACTAATTTATTTATTCATTCCTAATTGAACAAACAAACCTTTTTTTAAAAGTCCTCAGGAATTTGTTGGTATACAGGACTGATAATTTAATGGACTGGACAGAAAACTTTGATTCCCTCAATTTTTTAACGTGAAAAAGAAAACCTTGTTATGGAACAAACACATAGTCTTTTATGACAACTGAGCCATATTAAGATATTTCAAGAAAGGGTGGGTATGCATCAGAAATGATTTTGGTAGTAACAGACTTGGTGGATAGAACTGGCTTAGCAATTTTATCCAGTAATTCAATTATTCATCAATTCTCTTGACTTAACTCATATAAAGTTTATAGCAGCCATTGATTCACATACTTTTCTTGACCATCAGCATTAATAATGTACACCTCATTCAGGAAGCTTCAGAGAGATAGCCAGATGATACAAGGGTTCAGGAGTAGCAGCTCATCTCTGTGCTACCATGAGAAGATCATGAGTTTATTGTGGACCTCACCAACCTTGAGAATGGCTTTGCTCAAGAATATGCTGGCCCATGTATCTGATCAACACGTTCTCCTCCTCAGGGAAAGTTCATAGCACAAGTCCTTACTCCTGTACTTCTGCTCAGAATGACTTGTAGGGTTAAGCACGGGATTTGTTATTTGACATCCAGGGCAGACACTGTAGGGAACCCCAAGGTTATTCAGCACACAGGACTCAGTCAGGCAACAAGAGTTATTCATATCAGGGGCTTCTGTATGGTCATCATTGATTTAAAATCCTGCAGTAAGGCCAGAAGCCAGATGCCATAGACTGAATGCTTTTGTTCCCCTCAATTTCACATATTGAAATTCTAACTCCCAACGTGATTGTATTGGGGGGGGGGGGGGGCGGGTGGCGCATTGGCAGTTGATTAGATCACGAAGGTAGAGCCCTCATGAATGGCATTAAGTGCCTTTATAAAGGAGACCCTGGAGGACTCCTTCACCCCTTCTGCCATGTAAGGCTACAGAAAGTTGATGTCTGTGAACCAGCAAGGGAACCCTCATCAAACGCCAAATCTGCCAGCACTGTGATCTCAGACTTCCCAGCCTCCAGAACTCTAAAAAATCAATGTCTGTCATTTATAAGGCACTCTGTCTATGGTACTTTGTTATAGCAGCCCAAATTGACTAAGACATCAAAGAAAATCATAGACTATATTCTCATGAGCAAGTGTAGCCAAGCTGAAAGTAAGTGCATATGTGGACACACAAACACATGCACACACAAAATTACCCTCAGCGGTACTGGAGGCTCCATCTACCTTGCAAAGTACAAACAAAAGCAGAGTCGAACAGCATTTCCTCTTCCTTACTGGCAACTCCACATCCCGCATCCCTGACTTTCCCCTATCATAATGCATAATGCCATTATCCACTCAACTGCCATTGCTGGAAACATGAGCATTTTCCTCCTTGAGTGTTCTTTTCCCCACCTTCCTTTCTAGATTCCCCAAGATCACTAAAATATATCCTACAATCTATATCAAATCTTCTTTAATCTATGTCAATGCATGTTAATATTTCACTTGCTAATGCTGCCAACCAAAATTTCGTACCTAGATTGTCCTTCTAAATGCTCTCTTCACCTCCATTCTAGGATATCTGTATTTTCAGGTTGTTTCATAAGACATTTGCTGATTTCTGAGGATGCATGGGAGCACAATCTGAGTAGACAGCCGAACAGTCATCTAAAATGTTGTAATAGTTTTATTGCACACACACAGCAAAAATATTTCAAAATAGCACAGGCAAATATAAAAGGAACAGTTAAAAATTTCTTCATGATCTAGGAGAGAGGTGAACAAACTTCTCCTGTAAAGGGCCAGATCGCAAAGATTCTAGGCTTTGTGGAACATACGGTCACTATTATAGCTACTCAACACTGCTGTTACAGCCCAGAAACATCGATAGACAATACGTAAAAAAACAAATGAATGTGGCTGTGTTCCAATAAAACTTTATTAAAAAAACAAGCGGCAAACCAAATTTGCCCCGCAGGACATAGTTTGCCCACTCCTGTACTAGACCATCAGTCTTATGGCCCAAATTAACAATTGTTAACAGTTTCTTGTAAAACACATTGCTGTTTGAGTAAGTCTTTTAAGCAGCCCCAGCTAAACAAAATGTAGCTTTTACAGACAGCAAGAATACACAATGGTTTACCTGTGCTATTTTTTTTCAAAGAGGGAAAAATGACAAAATCACTTTTTCTATAAAGAAGAGAAGTACAATGTGGCTTGGGTACATACCAATTACCTTTTGTTCAGTGGCTCTGGAGAGTCAAAAAAGGACAAAGATTCAAGGTTTTGGCTACCACAACTATTCAACATGAGTTCTAAACTACAGGTTTTTTTTTTTTTTTTTTTTTTTTTTTTTACCAGAAATGAAATTGCCAATACTAGTTTGATGCTTGGATAAGCATGTAAAGTATCTAACCCACCTGATGGCAAAAATCACAGCATAAGCCCTAACGAGAACCCTGGCATTCTGTGGTTTGACCTAGAAATTTAACCACTACAGCAAATACTGTTTCAAAGGTAACATGCATTCTGAGCCAAACAAGAAAAAAAGAAAAAAAGAAAAAAAGTTTGAAAATTCAGGAGCCACATGAATACACCTTTGCAAAAAAACTGTGGGTGGCCTGTGCCCTGCAATCTGGTGCACATTTCGTGGGTAATTGAATAGCGCAGTGTAGCATCTGTGAATCAAAAATTCAGAACTTCCACCAAATGTAGAAAAGTGTATTAGTATATTAGGAAAAATTGTGACTATAAGCTCATGTTCCACTTTGGTACTTTTTAAAAATATTGATTACAAGTTCTCCATGGTCATTGCCTTTCTTTTCTGTGATTCTTTTTGTATCTCTGAATCTCCATGTTTCTGACTTACTATCTGTTTCTGACTTTGTCTTTTCTCTTTCTTCATCTCTCGGTATCTCAGTATCTGTCTCTCACCTTCTCCTCCAATTTCCTTTGCCTTAAGATTTTTCCATTTAAGCAGAAGACCATTTAATACCTCACCTCCATGAGTGAGGAGTTACAGGAAGAGTATAAGTGCTTGACTTACTATGTATAATACCTATGGCTAAGTGCATGTGTGTGTACATATATTAATATCTATGCATAGACAGATGAATATCAACCTCAAGCTAATGTCAGATTTAAATTGAAATATATTTATATCTATCTAACCAGCTATCTATGTATGTATCTACTCATTCATATATATTCTCTTTGTTGGAAGCACAGGTCACCAGAATGTCTAAAAACTGTATATGGTCTCGTTGGTGCAAATACCTTCAAATATATCTCTTCTGTAATTAAAAGAAAAAGAAAACTCAAGAAAGGAGTGAAAATATCTGCTATTATACATTCAGAAGAGAAGAGTGATCTTCTTGCCACCTTTGTCATCAAAACCAGCTACCAACCGTAGCAATCAGATACATTTTGTCAAATTTAGTCACCTAAAATTAAGTATAATGAGGCTAAGTTCATCATCCCTTTTTCAGCCTGCAATTATTTAAGAAAATCATACAAGTAGTTTATGTTCATAAAATAATCAGAAAATACAGAAAATTTTTAAGGATAATTGAAACCCTCAGTCATAATGTGGTAACATTTTAGCCACATCTTTCTAGATTTTTACAGCTTCATTTTATTTTACAAAAACAAAAATGTATTCAACAAAATTGAGATCCTTTTATATACCAGATGCCCAATTAGATATTTGAGAGGCATAAGAGAACTCAGACAAAAATTTTTGTCTTAAAGTCTTAATGTTTTTCAAATTTATGATTTTACTTTGTTTTGCTACACATATTTTACAAGCCATTACATATAGATTCTACATTTAATGACTATATAATATTCTCTCATATTCTTGTACAAGGTCATAAGTCTTATTAACTTATGCTTTTCTGCACCAAGAAAAGTTAAAGAAAAACCAGCATAAATTTAGTATTTACTCTGGGCAAATAGTTACAAATGTTGTAAGGGAGATGTGAACAACAAAACAAAACAGCACAATAACAAATACAGTAAGAAATAGCTCCAGCCCTCAAAGAGGAAAAGGGTAAAAAACAGAAAAGGGAGGGAGCACATTATAAAAAGATAGTAATATCACAAGTGATAGAATATATATATTATATATATAAAGTCGGTATTAGATATTGTGATTATCATGATTGTTAATAAAATAACAATAACAAAGTAATAACAATCAACATCTAACATTGGAGTGTTTATTATGTGCCAATCACTATTTTAACTGCTAGATATCTATCAACCTATATGTCTCCTAACAAACTTGTAAGAAGGGTATTTTTTTACATATGATGGCAGAGTCACAAAGTTATCTTCATGAAGTCACTAGGCTAATAAAAGTTGGAGAAAGATTTCATATCTAAGGCATCTGTTTCCAGAGTCATTGCTACTAACCATTACGCTACAGCCAAAAGACTGTACCCCTTTATCCTCACAACGCATACATTATTCATGCGGATATCTAGGTATGACGGTTCCGTGTAACTCATTCCAACTACAAGAATTACTAATCAAGGTGCTTATTTTAACAATAGAAAGATCACTTTCCAGGAAAAGGCATTGTCTCTTCTTGCTAAAGAGCTGGCAGGACATCCTACATGTGCAACAATAAAATCCTGTAGGGAATGGTTTTCAATCTTCAGTATTTGTAAGAATCATCTAGGGAGTTATTAAAACATGAATGTACCTGTTTATTCTCCTGGCCCCTCCAACAGAATACTAATTCTGGAGTCTAAATTTAGGTAATGCAAATACAGGCAAGTGAAGTCCACACTGAATAGCTGGTTTAGCAGCCTATGAGAAAGCCCAGAACTTCCTAGTTCAAAAATCCATCCACTCGGCCAAAGCCAGGGAAAGTCTTTGGCCGACTTTCCCAGGGGGACTGGAGACAGCATTTCCAAACCAGAGTGACAAATCCTCTGATGATTGTAATCAAAAGTGCCAAGAGAATTAAAGAGGTCAACAAGAACTTTTACTTTCCAAACAGGAGAGCCCTACATCAGATGGCCCACGAGTTTGGGTTCTGTTATTCTGGTTAGGAAATGTCACCAGAACCATCAAACTTTTGGCTCAAGGGCACAATCTGATTAGACAGTTACCTGATACCATGCCTTAGTAGCCCTGTCTTGAAACAAGTGTGCACAAATCCATGCTGTCTCTCTAGCCTCAATGGCCAGCATGGAGAAGTCAAATGTCAAGACCCCATATTTTCTTCCTGGAAAATAGCTGAAAAATGATATACATGAATACTACCATAAGAGTTACTCATAGGGATAGACGAAGGGCATGAAAGGAAGAAAATAGGTCAGTAACAGAATATGTGACACGGGAAAGGGGCACACTTAGATTTTTCCACTCACATCAAGAGTTCTCTCTACTATCCCTCTCAATGGGCTTAGGAAATCTCCTTGTAAGAAACTTCTAGATAAACCCATACGCAACTCAAATATCTGCTCTGCCACTTTTTAGATAGCTAATTTGGGGCAGATTTCTTAACTCCTGTGAGCCCCAGTTTCAACAGTTTGCATGGAGATATCTACTTTACAGGGTTGCTTTGACGATTAAATTGACTAACGTAGTAATATTATGCAATGTGCTTGCAGAAAATTGCTCAAAAGATGTAATTTTTAGCTTTTTATAATGTGGATAGCCTATGTGGCTAGAGCAGAGTTGCTCTAGTGTTCAGCAAACTCCCCCAGCCCCATTGCCAACCCTCAGCCCCCCTCAGGTACAAGAAAAGCTAAAAAAAAAAAAAAAATGGATAGCTTCAATACAATGGTGTCAGTATTTAAAATAACATTCGCATCAATAGGCAATGAATAAGTGGTTTGTACAGTGTTACTATGCATGTTATCCCAGCTTGTTATCTTGGGAGGATGTGTGAGAGCTGGTATTTGATTTCTCTAACTTCTAATAATTTTAGGCAAGTGAAATCTAGTAAAGCCAGGTGAAGTTGGAGCATACACATTGGAAGCGCTAATTATAAAGAGGGTTGTCAGGGTCAAGAGTCAACTTGGATAACTTAAAGCAATGAAGTTGTCCATGCTGTCTCTCCAGGGTCAGTAGCCAGCAAGGAGAAAACAAACACCACCTCTCACACATCCTCCCCAGATAACAAGCTGGGGATGACATACATTCTTAACATTGTGCAACCCACTTATTGTCTTTCCCTCTTCTCATCTTGCCTCTATTGCCTTCCTTCTCACCTTGCACTACACATAAGTTGGATAAATACCTGAGCAGGCACCTCGCTCGCAGTAAGTCTTATTAGGTCTTTTTAGTACCCTGTAAGGTCAGTTTTGAAAGGTGAGTAACTCAGGAGTCACCCTAGACTAAGCAACTTGCTCTAACACAGCACAGCACATATAACTTGTATATGTTCTCCTTGAACTCTTCTTCCCAATGGTGGTCTCTTATGGGCAGGAGCACAGACTTCAGCCAAAATAAAACTATGAATACCATTGTGTCTCTGTCCCAAGATCATGTCAAAACAAAAAACAAACTCCATGCAAGTCCAGGTATCAGTAGAATGCTGCATCCTAAGTTTCAGTCTCTTCTTCCAACAACTGATGTGTGTCAATCGCACTGATAAATCAGCAGTTCTTCTGTTTCATCTCCCATAGAATATAAATGATATCTGTCTTATCCCTTAGGACTATGTTGAGAATAAAACTGAAGTAATGTGACAAAATTCTTCAGAAGTGAAGCATTTTAAAAAGCAAAAAGGTACCTTACTGATCTAAGGGTAGTATAGAAACATTCCAGAGATCTATAGAAATCTTTTATGTACGTGTAGGATTTCCTACAGAGCATTCTGGTCCTTTTTTCCTCTGCCTATATTTTAAATTAGACTCTGTTCTTTCACTACAAAACTTGCACAGTAAGCTTTCACCTTTGTTTCTTGCCAATCTTTAACTATTGCATCCATTTGATCTGAGCAGAGCCAGCTCACGTCAGAAGTGACCATTTCATGCCATGCAGTCTGGTTCCCCTCACACTGTCCATGTGAGAAACCAGCATGAAGAAACATCCAAGATGAGATTTAAATGCGCAAACCAGGGCAATCACGTCTTTAAGGGCTAACAGATTTTTCCTGACATCGATTTTCAGTTTCTCACTGGGCATGAAATATACCTACATTCATTCTAAAGTGATCTTACAGATGAGTGAATCTTAATCTCTCTTCTCCCTACATTTGTTCTTGCAGTTCCTTTATCTATCCTGTACTTACAGCCATTTCAAAACACTCCTTTTAAACTTATCCCTCCTATTCATGATCTAGGTTAAGCACCACTCTTGCCACAGCCTTCATAACCATCTGAGCCAGAAGGTTCCCATCTCATCTTTACTCTCTAGCACTTTTGTCATTCAGGTAACATACATCATCTACTGTCTCATATGAATGATCATAACATTTTGTACCACTTCACACACATCCCAAGATCAGTGACTGGAACATATCAGGTGCTCAGAAGATATCTGCACAATTTAAAGTTAATAAGAAAAAGTATATAAGGTTGTTAGCATTTTCTCTGGAAGAGTTAATACTCCATAAATATTTGCAATTCTTAACAGCATTAATAAAATACTGCATGTATTTTTGTGCCCAGTTCTATGTTTTGTTTGGTTTTTGTTTTGAGACAGAGTCTCACTTTGTCACCCAGGCTGGAGTGCAGTGGCGTGATCTCAGCTCACTGCAACCTCCACCTCCTGGGCTCAAGCAATTCTTGTGTCTCACTATCCTGAGTAGCTAGGATTACATGGTTGTGCCACCATGCCCAGCTAATTTTTTGTGTGTTTTTAGTAGAGACAGGATTTCCCCATGTTGGCCAGGCTGGTCTACAACTCTTGATCTCAGGTGATCCACCTACCTCAGCCTCCCAAAGTGCTGGGATTAGAAGCGTGAGCCACCGCGCTTGGCCAATTCTACGGTTTTGAGAGTCCTTTCTACGAAACATGTAAGTCGTTCTCAGAGTCAATATTATCTTTTCTAGGGGGTAACAGTAAATTCAAAAAGATTTAAATTCTGTTCCTAGATTATGCATTTGGTAGCCAAGTATTGCATGTTTGCCAACACAAAGATATCAGACTAATAATGCTTTTATATCTTACTACAAATATCAATACCTGATTTAAGTATTGTCTTTCAAATTTCGAGGCTTCTATAAACATATGCATATGAATAATAGGAAAAAGACCCAACATAATGTTTTCACACTCTCAAGTCAAAGGCATAGATTAATGTGGTATCTGTTTCCCCAGAGCTTTACACATGCAAGATGCTCAATGCTTTCAGGTTGAAGACACTAATATATTGAGGGGAGCCTGGGCAGGGCCTCACAAAAGCTACTGATTATTCTTCAGAAAGCAGAATGCAGGTAGTCTACTTTTAAGATAGATATTAATGCGGTCTTATATTTGAACACAGGTCTGTCTACCTTCATATCTTATACTTTTTTCTTCTATAACACCTTGCCCTTTCATGCCACATTGCATTTGCATTTTTTATTAGGATCAGAGCCCTGATCATAAAAAAGATGTAGGCCAGGCGCGGTGGCTCATGCCTGTAATCCCAGCACTTTGGGAGGCTGAGGCAGGCAGATCATGAGGTCAAGAGAGACCAGCCTGGCCAACATGGTGAAACCCCATCTTTACTAAAAATATAAAAATTAGCCGGGCATGGTGGTACCATCCTGTAATCCCAGCTATTCAGGAAGCTTAGGCAGGAGAATTGCTTGAACCCGGCAGGCAGAGATTGCAGTGAGCCAAGATCGTGCCACTGCATTCTGGCCTGGCGACAGAGTGAGACTCCGTCTTTTAAAAAAGAAAAAAAAAAAGTAAGTTTGCTAAAGAATGCCAATTATACTAAAATCTAAAAAGCCAAGTAAAAAAAAAACTTATACAATAAACACCAGTTTTCAGTCAATTCTGAAATAAAGTCAGATTTAGTTGCTCATTCAGAAATGTATTAACAAAGACCAGATCTCAAGATTTTCCGATGACCTAATAATCAAATAATCACCCAAGCATTGACTTCAAGACTAAAGATGAGGAGGACAGTGTGAAAACAATGCAATTACTACTGAAAGTAAAGAATAAAATGTGAAGAGATTTACCTTTCATAAGATGAAGCTTCCATTACCAACATTTGCCTGCTTGCAGCTGCCGCTAAAATCCACGCAAGATGAATAATTTTACAGACAGTTCTTAAAAGGATCTGATTTCTAAGTTCTACATTAAAAAACTATAAGGCAGATTTGGAGTGAGATCAATGTGAATTCCACATTGTGTTCTATCATTGACCATTCACATCATCTTGGCCAAGTCAATGATCCTTTTTTAACCTTAGTTTTGTGTCATTAGAGTGATAATCCCACCTTCACAAGATTGTGAAAATTTAAAAGATGCTAAATAAAAGCATTTTATTAAAACAAAAAACTTGGCCCAGTGTAATTACCACCAAGGTTGTGTTGATACATGTCGTGCTTAAAAATAGCTGATGGCACACAAGCAGATGTCAAGCAGCCAGTCATGTAACAGAATGCAGCATTAATACCATCATAATGATGTAAGTAATATACTGCAGATAACGGTCTTAGGTTAATATCTCTTTGAACAACATTGCTAATGCTAAAGAGACAGTGAAAAAGTGAAACATTATGTTTAGCATAAAAATGTGAAGAGAAAATACCATCCACCTAATTAGAATTTTGTATGGATTAACTAGCTAATGCTGGTTAGCATTTGAGAATGCAATGGAAGACAGAATTATACACATTCACAGACACAAAGTACTACATATTATATGTAAAATTAGATCACAGCACATGACATGTATAAAATGAGTGGTGCAGATGAAACACGTTCTTGCTCGCAACAAACTGTCCCTACTCAGCATCTTTCATGCCACAAGATTCCCCCACTGGGTCTAGCAAAGGTTTCCGTTGAGAAAGGCAGTCCCATATAACAAGGCTGTATTAGTAAATGAATTTAAATAATGGCTCTCAAATTTTGGGAATTGCACTAAACACATTCACAACAAAACATACAAAACACACACAGAGGAAAGTACTAATCATGTACAAGTTTTAGTATATTTAGTGCTTTGTGTCTGAATGTGTGTATAAATTCTGTCTTCCACTGCACTCTAAAATGCTAACCAGCATTAGCTAATGAATCCATACAAAATTCTGAGTACTAATCATGTGCAAGGCAGAAGTTACATCTTCAAAAGGCTTCCCCAAAAGCATCAGCAAAAGGAACAGGAGAGAGGAATGCTGCAAGGAAACCATCCAGAATTCTTGAAAAGTTAGATGGGCAGCTCATAATGACCATCTATTTGTACCTGTCGTTCAGATGTTATTATAATCATTAGTCTCTCTTAGCAGCAAACTTTTAGATAAAGATCAGAGAACTCCAAAGGATGTATATTATGGCGTATGGTGCTTCTTTCTAAGGTAGGATATCTAAGTGAGAAACCATAAGTCTTCAACTTTATTATTAGATTTGGGGTTAATGAACTGTCCTTTATTAATCTGAGAGAAAGAAAAATAGTGGAAAGGCAGTGACACACCCATGTACAGGACTTTACAACAATAATGCCCTGTTATTTCTATCAAATTATGTGATTCTGTGGATGAATTCTGAGTGGCACTGACCCCATTTTACAGATGAGAAAATTCAAACGCAGATTACTACAACAAATAGGACTTGTCAAGGGTACATAACAAATAAGACTACAAGTCAGGTCTCCACTCTGCTTTCATTTAATTCAGTTTCCTCCATCTAAGTTTCATCTGATCCTCCCCTGCTCCAATTTACAAAAATAGCTTTAAACGTTACCTCCTTCATGATGCTGAAACAGATAAATGTGTTTAGATGAAATTAGCCCTTTTTGAAAACATGAACATACGTACTGAAAAAGTGTGTGTGTGGCTGAGGAGGTTGGCGTTAGGAAATACAAGACTTCAGAGGTGAGAGATCTCACTGCTTAGCAAACTTTGGGTGCTAAAACACTAAGTCACTTCCCCTATTACTTACTACATTCAATAGCCTTAGTAGACTTACTGCAAAAGCCACCTATCCAAAGCCTGACCCACACTTGTCTCTACTGGACTTGTAAGTATAAATGTGTGCACATGTACACACACACACAATCTGACAAAACATTGTCATTTAAGTGAACATTTGGTTTGCCAAAGATGCATAATCTCTCCGTCAGGCCAAAATATTTCAGGATTAATAATTTGCAGCTTAGTATAACAGTATCTATTTCTAGTCCAAAAGTTTTGTTTCCCAGTGCTTATAATATTTGATGCACTTAAAGCCAGCAACTCTGAGTTAACTACCAAAAGAAGGGAAACATTTTTTAAGTTTAGATTTAAGTGAGATGCTTATTTTAGTGGTGATGTGTTAATAGTATTGAATATTTTACTGATATTAAAAGATATGATTGTTAACGTAGGCAGTGAAGTCAAATGTCTCCAGGAGCTGGATAAAATCTCTACTGCAGTTACCTCAATAAAATTCTACAGAACGACATAAAGCAGAACCCTTTGTCCTAAGGTAACATACTAGAGCTGTGTGGATGTTCTCAGGACAGGACTATCAATGCTAAATGCCGTTATGATTTGCCTCAATACAATCTATAAGTATGTACAACAGAATTCCCAAGGAGTAAATGTGTTGTAAACTGTCCAAAACTGTTATTTTAAAAGCTAATAATGGGAATACAGTGTCATGTCTCTGGGAAGGTTTCTTGCAATTGCATTACAAACTAAGGTATGGTGACTGATACTGAGCTGGATAATCAGTGCATATTTCAAAGAGCAAACTCGCAATTTCCAGATCTAACTTCTATTTACTTATGTGTTCCATTTTTACCCACTTTTGATTACCGTGTTCTCACTGCCTGTTCTGTGGTAGCCTCGACAACTTTTAAATGGTCTTTAATCACCAAAGCTGTTGTTTTACTATTTGTCACTAAGTTTCCAGGTTCACTTTAAGTTGATACTTCTGATAGGTTAAAGAGTTTCAGATTTATTCACTCAAACAAAAAAACTTCCTGACATGGCCGGGGAAAAAAAAAAAAAAAAAAAAAAAAATGACTAGCTGTCAGCCCTGCTACTTTGTCTTGCAAAAGCTCACCACACACCCACTCTCCCTCCCCAGGCTCAGCCTCCTGGAATCTTAATCCCCTTCTTCATATGGAAAAGTCTTTATTTCAGGTTTCACTAGAGGTGGTCAGGCAATGAAGAGTGAACAGGGAGTTGTAGTCCCTTGGATATTGATGTTTCCAGGACTAAATCACATTGGAGAACAATCAATTCACAAGCTGTAAAGCCCCAGCTTTAATCACTTTCTCTCTCAGAAAGATGGTGCCTGCTCTCCATGTAACTTCCATCTCCTCAGTGCCAGAGACAGGGACCACACTAGAAGGCAGTGATTGTCCACTGAGATTTTGTCCCCTTTAAATTAACCTAGACATTTGTCATCACAGACAGGAGCCCCCAGAGTAAGCTTACAGCAAGTGAAGTGGGAATCCTTGAGGGCAATGTCAGCCTGCCCTACAACGTTAACCCTTTCACCACCGCATACTATGCACTTATTTAACACCCTACTCTGCCTGGTCTTCAGCTTCACAAGCCATATTGACAGAAACCAGGGATTTACATTCTTACTTGAAAGCTGTTTTTTTCCAGGTTTGGAGCTTAGAGATGAAGATGGGAGTTCCAGGAGGACTGAGGCCCATCTTGGAGATGAAATACTTCCTGGCGAAGGCAAGCATAGCCTTTATTTTGCACACTTCAAGTCAGAAGCCTCAAATCACCTTCTGCCCTTGACCCTCCAAGCCCACTTTCACACTCCCTCCCCGCTTCGCTCCCCGACCCCACCCCATCACCACTCTGCTACTCGCAACGCTGCCTGGTCGCACCCAGGAACCATCTTTGTGGGTGGGGTTCCTCGTCTCCGCGGACAGGCTGCTAGTGAGCCGCAGCTCCTCCATCCGGAAGCCAGGGATCTTCATCTTGCCGCGGAGTTCCATGCTGCCGTCGCCCCCAGTCTTCAGGGACTTTGCGCTCCCGCAGGCTCCTGCTCACCTCTCCCATCGTTGGGCGCTGGTGGCACCCCAGGAGGAGAGAGGAGCAGCAGGAGCCCGGTCTCGCAGTGCCGGCACGGACAGTACTCTGGGGGTCTGGGCCGCGTGCCACGAGGAGCAGAGGAGCCACCGGAGCCGCTTCCGCAGACGCCCTGACACGGAGGACCCAGAGCGCCGCGCCGCGCCGCCGAGGAACGCGCTCACCGGCGCCAAATTTTCCCATCCCGGGAGCGAGGGCGGCGGCGAAGGGTCCGGGACCCGAGGTGGCGGCGCGGGGCTCTGCGCGGGCGGCTGTGGGTGCTGGAGCTCAGGACCCTAACTTTAGCGAAGTCGGGCCGCGGCGGGGCGGGTGGAGGCGGCGTGGGCAGGGGCTGCCGCAGGTGCGGAGTGAGGCGCCGCCACACGGGCGGGGGCAGGAGTCTCAGGAACTCGGCAGCCGCCAGCAGAGCCCGGTGCGGGACCGGGAGCTGCCGGGGCCTCAGCTCCGCTCTCCCCACAGCTCTCCGTGGCTGCAGGTTGAGGTCGAACTGCAAGCGCCACGGACCCTGCCTGCTGTTTACTGCGTTTTCACTGGAGACTCCAGCAAATGTCCTGGAGAGGAGAGGGATTCCTGCTCTGTCCATTTTAGTCTCTACATTGGCACCTTGGTGTAAACCCACAGCAGAGGCTGCGTGTCCTGGCTGAGAAACACAGAAGGGCAGCGGGGACGGAGGTGGGGCCGTGTGCAGATGAAGTATGTTTATGAAGTACATGATTGTGAGCGTCAGCGTATGTGTGTTTAGGGTTTTTCCCATCAGTCTCCAGCTTTGCTCCCTTTTCTTGACCTTCTGTAGCACTCACTCTGCCCAAAGCCAGTCTTGCGTAATCCCATTTGAAAGAGCACTTTGTTACTAGCCATATTCTAAATGTTTTGTGAGCCTACACTATGGCTTTAGAAAAAAAAACCACACACACCACACTAGGGGAAAAGAAAGGAACTCAAAACTGTGGCTTGGGAACATTTTCATTTGGAGCACACCAATTAGTCCCAGGGTTTAGCTCTAAACCCAAGATTCCGTAGGAAATCGGACATCTATTGGAGACTTATCTACTACGTTTGTTATATGACTGTTAAACCAATTCATTGACCTGTATCACATTCCCCACCTCAACCCTTGAAGCAGCTGGCATGCCGTCTGAAATCTTGGAATAAACTTTGCATATGGTTAGCAATCTTCTATTTGTGTATGAAGGTGCTCACCACTAATATGCTGTGAGTTCCTGAGAATCACCACACTTGGTTGCTTAAAGTTTGAAAATGACCAAGTTGTAACTGAGGAACTTTTCTACAAATTAAGGAACAGTACGTTCCAAGTGTCAACGTCACGAAGTTCTTTCATGACTTAGGAACTGTCCCAGATTGAAGGAGATTTAGGAGTAAGAAAATACATCCTATGATCCTGAATTAGATCCTAGTCCAACAAAAGGACATTAGGTCAATTGGCAAAAGTTGACTAAGGTGTGTAGAATGGTCATATCATAACTTTTTAATTTCCTACTAGTTTTGAAGTTGAACTGTGGTTGTGTCAGATGTTTGTGGAAGCAGAATATAAGGTATGTAAGAAATTTTAAAAATAGTCTTTTTTAAATGACAATAGAAAATTTGGTCTGATAAACATAAAAGGATTGGATTAAATGACCTGGAAAATCTTTTGAGCCTAAAATTCAATTGTATTACAAAAATATGTGCCAAGCCAGGTCCCCTGCTGCTGGCTAGTATAAAGTTCAAGTGGAGATTTTAGGAAGGAAAAGGAAATTTGAAAATTTCAAATTATTTTTTTAAGCTTAAACCTTTTCCAGTAGATAGTTTTATTTCAGAAGGATGAAATGTCTTCAGATTCCTTTGCGGTCTTTACAAAACTAATAACACTCTTGTATGTATTAGTCAACAATCAAATATCCAAAAGATAACAGCTGTAACAAAATAGTAAAAATTCTAGTGTGTGTGTGCACGGACACATAACTCATTTCCTTCATGGTAACTTCATTAAAATTCTCAATCTGTGATCGGACCACTTTGAAGAGTAGCTGTTAATAAGTCAGCTTTTACTAACTTGTAATGGGAAAGTTTTATACGCAAGCTTTCATAAAATATGCTTTTGGAAGATAAATTTCATTCCATAGACCATTCTAAGACACAAAAGCAAATGCCAGCAGATCAACTATCTCAGCCTTTAAATTTCAGTGCTTCCATGAAGCACAGTGTCCTAAATGGTAAGCTGGCTAGTTCAGTCATGAAAAGAACATGGAATATGCCTCCAAAAATACCTTTACTACCCAAGAGTAAGGGCTTATCTTTGGAAAATAAACCTGCACCCTACTAACAAAGCAGTATTTTGGCCAGTTGTGTTGTATAGATGGGAGAAAGTAATCTGGGATTCTCGTGGCATCCCAAATCACAAATGCTACTCATTAGCCCAGAAGAGCTGTTTCTCATTTCACAAAAGCTTCACAGATTTGCAGAATTACTTGTTAATGTCTTTTTGTAAGCCTTACTTCTTTTTATGTCAGGATAAGTGTGTGAGAATTACACTATGTGGAGTAATTACTCCATGGGTAGGAATCCAGATTAATGTATCAAAGTACAGATAGATCCCTATGCAAAAATAGAACTGGAAAAAAGCAATGAAATTTAAGGGTAATCACTAATGATTTTGAAATAATGTTCTTAATATTTTAGGTCTACATTATTTATAATCATTGTAGCATGCTAGCAAAATGGATATGTAGACAATTCCCAGAAAAAAATTAGCAAAATGCAGGTGTTTTGCTTTGCTTCCCTCCACATAAATGCTACTTCTTCATCCTGCCAAATATACATCCCTACACCTACACTGAAGAGGTAGTCCAAGAGACTCATTAATGGGAATTCACTGAAGTTGAGCATTTCTTTTACCATGTTTTAAAAAATTTTAGGATAGGTGTAGAGTTATAGAAAAATTGTGATAATACAATAGAGAGTGCTCAGACTCTTGAGAAGGTAGCTGCTCAGTGAGAGGGCAATCTTAAGAGATCTGAGGCTGCTTCCCACCTTACATCAATTGTCATTTGGCAACTCAAGGTCACTCAAATTACGGCCTGTTGCTTTCCCTGCCTGGAGCACCAGAGCAGCAGCTCAAATATTTTGCCCAGAATGAGAAACAGGATATAGAACAGAGAGCTCCTTTTATACCTGTATACCCCAAAGGATGAGATTGAAAAAGTTCAACCCTGAGAGCACTCAGCACAACAGTGAAAGCGACGGTGAAAAGCAACTGGGAAATTGATTCATTGCTAAATGATAGGTTCACAGTTCAGTGGAGAGAAGAGGACAGTGTCAGCAGAAAGAGCACTACTGGTTCAAACAAATATGAACACTGACCTCAGCAACTGTCCCTTTAAAGCAGCAGTTTCCCAACATTTTCCGCACCAAGGACCAGTTTCGTGGAAGACAGTTTTTCCTCGGACAGTGGGGGATGGTTTCGGCTTGAAACTGTTCCACCTCAGATCATCAAGCATTAGACTCTCCTAAAGAGTGCACAACCTAGGTCCTTTGCATGCATGGTTCACAGTAGGGTTCACTCTCTTATTTGAATCTAATGCTGCTGATCTGATAGGAGGCGGAACTCAGGCAATAAGCTCCCTCACCAGCCACTCACTTTCTGCTATGTGGCCCAGATCTTAACTAGCCACAGACTGGTAATGGTTGGGGGCCCGTGCTTTAAAGGACTCTAAATTTGATTAACCTGTGATGGGCATGCCCCATCGCATCAGTGAAAACAACGGCACAATTGGTCAGAATTGGTCATCAGTTAGAACATAGCAGCTGTGTATTAGGGAAAGAGACCCTTAATGAAGGCCTTATAATCACTGTTGTCCTACTAACTACTGGGATACCCAAATGTGACAGTAACATTACTCTAAGATGATATTGAAAAATAGGAATTTTACAAAAAAGACAAATAGAAGTTCTGGAGTTGAAAGATATGTAATTAAAATAAAAATTCACTGGGGTGAGGGTTTCAGTGACAGCTTTAAACTGATGTAAGGCTTTAGAGAAATTATATAGACCTATAGAGATTATACTTCCAAAGGGCAAAAAAAAAATGAACTTCAGGGGCTTCACACTACAGGGGAGTGAGGAGGAGAGTTAGACTGCTCTAAAATAATCCAGACTATCACTAAGTAAGTAAGCAAACCTCAGTAATAAGCTATGGAGAGTTGAAGTGCCTAGGGTTGCTACATTATCTTAAGTTTCCAATTACTGTGAACAAAAATTGAGGAATGCAAAGCAGAAACAAACAGATTAAGTATGACCAATACACCAGAAAAAACAGTCCACAGAAACTGAAAGTGATAAAGTTGAGATTTAGGGGTAACCATTATAAACAGCTCAAAGAATTTTAAAAAACCTTGGTTAAAAGTATGACGGTAATGTTGCTTTAAAAAGATAGTATTGAAATAGGAATTATACAAAAAAATAGAAATTCTGGAGTTGAAAAATATAATTAAAATGAAAATTCACTAGAGGGTGGTTTCAGTAACAGCTTTAAACTGATATAAGGCTTTAGAGAAGTTATATAGATCTATAGAGATTATACTTCCAAAGGGCAGAAAAAGAAAAAATGAATAGAGCATCAGAGAAATGTGGGGTTACTATTAGATACACCTACTTATCTGTACTGGGAGTAATAGAGGTAGAAAACAAAAAAAGGAACAGATAAAATATTCAAGAATATGATGGCTGAAAAACTTCCCAAATTTATTGAAAAGCTGTAATCTACAAACTTAGGAAACACAACAAACACCAAGTAGAATAAGAGCAAAGAGATTCACAAATATACGTCATAGTGAAAATGCTGTAAGAAAAAGGCAAAAAGAAAATCTTGAAAGAAACAGTCCCCCCAGCACTGTGTAACTACTCTACGAAAATATAATCAAATTGTCTTCATAAGAGGATCTCTGTTGGGGTGATCAGACCCAACACCAGATCGTGGGGGTGACAAAGTCCAGCGGGGTTAAAGGATTGAGAAAAAGACAGCTTGAGAGAGAAAAAAACTAGGACCAGAGAGCCATCCCTAGCATATGGAAACCGCGAAAGCCCCCAGCTCTGGGAGCCCACGCTATTTATTGGTAAGCCAACAGAGAAACAGGTGGTGAGAATGTGGAGCTCAAAAGTGCACGTTGCATTAAGCACATGATTTACAGCTGTGATGGTTTAGCATCTGCTCTGCTACTTGAGATAATGGAGAGCAGGTTCTTTTAACTCAAGATACAATCAATCCTGGGAGAGCAAGGAGCAAGGAGCCAGCAAGTCTAGACACATTGCAGAGCCACGAGTCCTGGATTCTATCCAGGCCACGAGGGATTTTATGCCCTGGGTTTAGATGATGGTGCGTCACGGTAGACTCCCACCCTTTAGCACAGAGCTTGGTGTTCCAAAGGCCACAGGGGGTTTTAGACCCTGGACCCCGGACATGTTCCAAAACTCCTTTACATTATGTCAGACATGTAAGCCCTGCCTCGGCTTCTCCCAACACTCAGCTTTTCCCAATAGATCTCTGATCCCATTCCTTCTTACTGGGCAGGACCTGCCAATCAGGGTTCTCAGCCACCCTGCCAGTGCTCTTCTACTGATGGAGATTTGAAACCTCCCTGGATGGAGATGCCAGAGGTAGTGACAGGCTGCTATCTTTGGTGTTTGGATGACATAGCTATTCCGGCCTTCAGACTCTGGGTAGTCCAAGGCGACTGGGGACTGAGGTGCACCCCTGGCACAGAACAACTACCCTATAAAAATGTGGCCAGACTGCTTTTTTAAAGTAGCTCCCCAATCCCATTCCTCCTCACCAGGCAGGACCTTTCAACTGGGGTCTCCAGCCACCTCCTAAAGGTGCATTTCAGCCATCAACAGGTCTGTACCTTCTTGGGACAGAACTCTCAGAGCGAGAGGCAGGCTGCTATGTTTGCTGTTTTGCAGCTTTTGTTGGTGATACCCCTAAATACTGGAAAATCTGAGGTGACTAGGGACTGGAGTGGGCCCCTAGTCTATCACAGCAGCCCTACAGAAAAGTGGCCAGACTGTCAAATTGGTGCCCATTCCTGTATCCCCTCACTGGGCAGGTCCTCCAGGCCTGGGCCTCCAGTCTCCTGCCATCAGAGCTATTGAGCCAGTAGCAACTTGGCAACTCCCTGAACAGAACCTCCAGGGGCAACTGAAAGCTTCTCTGCCACTGACTCTGCAGTGGAACTCTCCTTGCTACCCTCAGACTAACCAACGAACAAAGACCCTAAGTGCCTTATCCACATCTCCAACAAGCTGTAGTCAAAATAAAGAGAGGAGGCCAGTCCATCTCCTACAGGTCCCACATACCACACACTGCTTGTCACCAGACAGGGATCCTGTGGCTTGGGCTCATAGCGCAGACCCTTTAACCTGGGCTGATTACACTCAGCAATTGCTGACCTGCATCTCTGTGAGGTGGAGCCTCCAGAAGAAAAGCAAAAGACCCCTTGGCCACACCACTACTGAGGTCCCTTTGCTGCCTCCAAGCTGGGGAAAGAACATAATTACTGAGATCACCCCAGAGCTGCAGTGGCTACCCCAGGAGTACCAAGCCATGATCTACCGCCAGCACTCAAGGAGGAGAGGAACCCACATTTTCAGAGCATTGAGAGGGAACACAACTGCAACTGTGAGAAAATATAGGGGAGCCACACAACCAAGTAAGAGTCTACCAACTGACCAATAAGCCTAAGAGCCCCTGCTGGATCACACTCCAGATCTTCCATACCAAAAATACCTTGCTAACATAACCCCTTCTGAAACCATAGACAAGAAGTCAGCTTCAAATAAAGACCCTGCAGAAAGCCTTGACCCTATGTGTACACCCAGAAAAGAAGTCTGTTGACTGTACTCAATCTACACTGTAGGCAAGGAACACCCACATGCAGCGATGAAAAAGAATCAACACAAAAACTCCAGTAACTCATGTGGCCAGAGTGTCACATGTCCTCCAAATGAGCGCACCAGTTCTCCAACAAGAGTTCTTAACCAGGCTGAGCTGGCTGAAATGGTAGAAATTAAATTTAAGATATAGATTGGAATGAAGATCATCAAGATTCAGGAGGATGGCAAAACCCAATGCAAGGAAACTAAGAATCACAATAAAGCAATACGGGAGATGAAGGATGAAATAGCCAGTATAAAAGAGACCCTAACCTACCTGACAAAGGTGAATAACAATATAAGCATTTCACAATGCAATCACAAGTATTAACAGCAGGATAAACTAAGTTGAGGAAAGAACCTCTGAACTTGAAGACTTGCTCTCTGAAATAAGACAGTCAGAAAAAAAAAAGAATAAAGAATAGAAAAGAATGAACAAAACCTCTGAGAAGTATGGGATTATGTAAAGAGGTCAAATCTACAAATCACTGGCATCCCTGAAAGGGAGGGGGAGAAATCAAGTCACTTGGAAAATATATTTTAGTATATTGTTCATGAAAATTCCCCAACCTTGCTAGAGATGCCAAAAGTCAAATTCAGGAAATGCAGAGAACTCCTGCAAGATTCTACACAAGAAGATCATCCCAAAGAAACATAATAATCAGATTTTCCAAGATTAAAATAAAAGAAAGAATGTTAAAGGCAGCTAGAGAGAAAGGGCAGGTCACCTACAAAAAGCATTCCATCAGGCTAACAAAAGATTGCTCAGCTGAAATCCTAGTCAGAAGAGATTGGGGGCCTATATTGAACAACTTAAAGAAAAAAATATTCAACCAAGAATTTCATATCCAGCCAACTAAGCTTCCTAAGCAAAGGAGAAATAAGATTCTTTTCAGATAAGCAAATGTTGAGAAAGTTCATTACCACCAGACCTGCTTTACAAGAGATATTGAAAGAAGCACTAAATACAGAAAGGAAAGACTGGTACTAGCTAATACAAAACACACTTAAACACACAGACCAGTGTCACTATAAAGCAAACACACAAACAAGCCAACATAAGAACCAGATAACAACACAACGACTGGACCGAATCCATGCATATCAATACTAATCTTGAATGTAAACAGGCTAAATGCCCCATTTAAAAGACACAGAGTAGCAAGCTGGATAAAAAAGCAAGACCTAATGGCATTCTGTCTTCAAGAGACCCATCTCACATGTGATGACACCCACAGTGTCAAAATAAAGGGATGGAGGAAAATCTACCAAGCAAATAGAAAACAGAAAAAAAAGCAGGGGTTGCAATGCTAATTTTGGACAAAACGGACTTCAAAAATAAAAAAGATAAAAAAAATACAAAGAAGGGCATTGCATATGGTAAAGGGTTCAATCCAACAAGGAGACCTAACTATCCCAAATATATATGCTCCTATCACAGAAGCAGCCAGATTCACAAAGCAAGTTCTTAGAGACCTACAAAGAGACATAGACTACCACACAATAATAGTAGGATACTTCAACACTCCACTAACACTATTAGACAGATCAACCAGGCACAAAATTAACAAAGATACTTGGGACCTGAATTCAACATTAGACAAAATGAGTCTGATAGACCTATACAGAACTCTCCACCCAAAACAACAGAATATATATTTTCTCATTGCCACATGGCACATATTCTAAAATCTAAGAACTGCCTATGGTTACTGCATGTTCATGCTTGTAAGTGGCAGCTAAATGATGAGAACTTATGAACACAAAGAAGGAAACAGCAGACACTGGGTGTCTTAAGTGGGAGGGTGGGAGTGGGGAGAGGAGTAGAGAAGCTAATTTTAAGTACTGGGCTTAATACCTGGGTGATGAAGTAATTAGTACAAGGAACCCCCATGACACAAATTTACCTATGTAATAGACCTTCACATGTACCCTTGAACCTAAAATAAAAGTTAAAAAATAAAAAATAAAATAAATTATGTTTGTAACACTTATAGCTACTATATATACAGCAATAATAGCACAAAAAAGGGAAGGTGAGCTCCATGGATTAGTTTTCTATATCTTACCGGAATTAAGTCTGTGTAAATCTGAAGCTGTTTTGACAAATTAGAATAAAAATGATAAGCATTAGGGCAAGCACTGAAAAAATAACACAACATTATATGAAAATATCATTAGAGAAATGTAATTGCTACATTAAAAAATATTGACTTAGTGCTAAATTATACACCAAAGAAGGAATAGAGGGGGAAAATGTGATACATAGAGAAAATAAAACAAAAGGCAAATATAAACCCAACTATTTCAATAATAACATTAAATGAGAATTAATCAAACAGTGCAACTAAAAAACTGAGATTAAATTTTAAAAAATGATCCAACCTATAAGATGGCTATAAGAAATATACTTTATATTTAAATAAAGAAATAGATTGAAAGTAAAAGGATAAAAAAGATATAATAATAGTCACGAAAACAAAGCTGGAGTTAGTATGTTAAATATTAGATTAAATAGACTATAAAACAAAAAAATTATTAAAGAATTATTTATAATGATAAAAGGGCCAATCCATGAGGAAGGTAAACAGTTATAAACGTATATGCATCTGATAACATGTCACCAAAATACATGTAGCAAAAACTAACAGAAGTAAAGAGAGAAATAGACAATAGACAATGTGACAATAATAGAAACTTCAATAACCCAGTTTTAGTAGTGAATAGAACAGTTATGCAGAATATCCAACAGGAAATGGAAGACTTAAACAATATTATAAACCAACTAGCTCTGTCAGACAACTATCGAACACTCCACTCAACAGCGGCAGAATATGCATTTACTTGAGTGCACATGGAACAGTCTCAGCTTAGACCTGTTGCTAGTCTATAAAACAAACCTCAAAAAATTGTCAAGTATAGAAATAATACAGAGTATGTTCTTCAACAAATTAGAAATGAATAACAAAAATTTGTGAAGCTTTCAAATATGTGGATGTTAGACAGCATGCTCCTAAATAACCAATGAGTCATGAAAGAAACCACAGGTTTAGGCGAATGAAAACGAAAATACGACATTGTAAAATGTGTGGCATTCAGTTAAAGTAGTGCTTAGAGAAAAATGTATAACTTTAAATATCCATATTGAGAAAGAAGAAATTTCTCAAATCAATAACTTAACTTTTTACCTTAAAATTCCAGAAAACGAAGAGCAAACTAAATCTGAAGCAAGCAAAAGAAGGAAATAATTGATTAGAGTAGAAATTAATGAAATATGGACTATACAAGCAATAGGAAAAATAAATAGAATGAATTAGGGTGTGCTTTATGGCTCAGTCTATCTTGGGTTTATCTTGGTGGATGTTCCATATGAGCTTGAGAAGAATATGTATTCTGCTATAGTTAGATGGAATATTCTATAATTATCCATTAGATTAAACTGATTAATTTTGTTGTACAGATTATATTCTTACTTATTTTTTGCCTGTTTGATCTATCAATTACTTATAAACCATAGGCAGTTCTTAGAGAATATTTATAGACATAAATGCCTATATTAGAAAAGACGAAATCTCTCAAACCATTAGCCTTAGATTCTACCAAAAAAAAAACTAGAAATTGGAGAGTAACTAAACAAAAATTAAGGAGAAGTAAGAAAATAATAAAGATTAGACACCAACAAATAGAAATAAGAAAAATAGAGAAAACAAATGGAACACCAAAACAAACAATTTACAAACTCTTAGATTAACTGACCAAAGAAATAGAATACATAAAATGTCAACACTAGGAACAAAAGAGAGGATATTATTACCAATCCCAAAGAAACTAAAATAATTACATTATGAACACATTTGTGCTAACAAATTACACAGATAATTTAGATGAAATGAGAAAAGTGCCTGGAAAGACATAATATAAATGACTCCAGAAGAAATAAAATAATCTTAAATACATGTAATAAGTGAAATAACTGATTCAGCATTCTTGACAAATACCACAAAAAATTGGCCCAGATGGTTCCACCGGTGAATTTGATCAAATACTTAAATAATAAATAATAAGAGTATGTTACACTTTCAAAAAATAGAAAAGATGAAAAAATTTTCCAACTCATTCTGCAAATAATGTACTAACATAAAAGCCAGACAATACCACAAATAAACAAAAAACTCATATAGATAGACAATCCTTAACGAAATTTTAGCAAACAGAATTTGACAACATATAAAAATGACTTTACACCATGACCAAAATAGGATTTTTTTTTTCTTTTTTTAAGACGGGGTCTTGCTCTGTAGCCCAGGCTGGAGTGCAGTGGCATGATCTCGGCTCACTGCAACCTCCACCTCCCGGGTTCAAGCGATTCTCCTGCCTCAGTCTCTGGAGTAGCTGGGATTACAGGCGCCTGCCACCGTACCTGGCTAATTTTGGTCTTTTTAGCAGAGACTGGATTTCACCATCTTGGCCAGGCTGGTCTCGAACTCCTGACCTCATGATCCACCTGCCTCGGCCTCTCAAAGTGCTGGGATTACAGGCATGAGCTACCGTGCCCGGCCAAAAGTAGGATTTTTACCAATACTCTAAGGTTTGTACACCATTCAAAAATAAATTAATGTAACACACAATAGTAATAAAGGCTGAAATAAAGGAACATCGTATCAATAGATGTACAAGTTCTAAATCATGTCATCATACAAATGTTGGAAGTATTTTTTCCTGAAATCCAAATACCGCATGCTCTAATTTATAAGTGGGAGCTAAATAATGAGAACACATAGACACAGAGAGAGGAAAAACGCACACTGGGGACTTTCAGAGGGTGGACGGTGGGAGGAGGGAGAGGATCAGGAAAAACAACTAATGGGTAGTAGGCTTAATACCTGGGTGATGAAATAATCTGTACAATAAACCCTCATGACACAAGTTTACCTATGTAACACACCTGCACCTTTACCTCTGAACTTAAAAAAAGAAGGAAGCAAAAGAAAGTTTTTCCACCTAATAAAGGACATGCATGAAATACTAACAGTCAACATTGTTCTTAATGGTGATACACTGAAAACTTTCTCTCCAACATTAGAAACAAAGCAAGAGTGTCCACTCTCATCACCTCTATTAAATATTATGCTGGAGGTTCTAGCCAGTGCAATCAGGAAGTAAAATCAATGCCCCAAAATAAATTACATTTTTATTAGGGCAAGAAAAATCCTATAACAATACTTTCCATTAGAAAATATACTAAAAGCACACTCCATAAAAGAAAAATAAAGGTATATTGGACTTCATCATTTTTTTAAATTGCAATTCAGAAGACATTATTAAAAACATGAAAAGCAAGGCAAAGATAAGGAGAAAATGTTGATAATCACATATCTGATAATAAGAAATGTACCCAGAATATATATAAACTACATTACTCAATAGTAAGACAACCAAATTAAAAATAGACATGCGATTTGAATATATATATATATATATATATATATATATTTCACTAAAGCAGCTATGCTATGCACATAAGTAATAAGCACATAGAAGCATGGTCAACACCATTCAACACTAATTATTAAGGAAATGAATATTAAAACCACAAAAACTATTACAAATGCATCAAACTTGTTATAATTCAAAAACGAAAGGCAGGCAATGCTAAGTGTTGTTGAGAATGTGGAGAAATTAGAACTACCCATATATACTGCTGCTGGGAAAGTAAAATTCCACAGCTATTTTTAAACCAATTGGCAACTTTTAAAAAATTAAAAATGAACTTTCTATACCACACAGCAATTATCCTCCTAGAGATTTATTCATGAGTAGTAAAATGTATGTCCACATAAAATGTGTGTACACATATCCATAGCCACATTATTCATAATAGCTTAACTACAGGAAATCATCCAGATGTTGTTTAACTGGTGACTGGATAAACAAAATATGGTATATCCTTCCAACAGAAAAACATTTAGCTATAAAACATAAAATATTATAAAACTCTCAGTAATATTGGAATCGAAGTTTTTTCCAGCTAATAAAGGACAGTTATAAAAAATCAACAGTTAACACTATATTTAATGGTGAAAGATTCAATGCAACATGGGTAAACATAAAAATAATATGCTCACTAGAAGAAGTCAGGTGAAAAGGACTACATATTGTGTGGTTCCATGTAGTGGAATGTTTAAAAAAATAAATTATGGCAGAAAGGAGGTCAGTGTATAGACACTGACAGTGACAGAGCTGGGTGTCAGAGTGGAGGGATAAACCACAACGAGGCAGGTGTAAACTTTTTGGAGCAATACCAATGTTCAAAAACTTGAATGTGGCCACGCACGGTGGCTCACGCCTGTAATCCCAGCACTTTGGGAGGCTGAGGCGGGCGGATCACGAGGTCAGGAGATCGAGACCATCCTGGCTAACACGGGGAAACCCCCTCTCTACCAAAAATACAAAAAAAATTAGCCAGGCGTGGTGGCGGGTGCCTGCAGTCCCAGCTGCTGGGGAGGCTGAGGCAGGAGAATGGCGTGAACTCGGGAGGCGGAGCTTGCAGTGAGCTGAGATGGCGCCACCGTACTCCAACCTGGGCAACAGAGCGAGACTCCATCTCACCAACAAACGAACAAACAAAAACTTAAATGTGTTAATGGTAGAACAATTCTATAAATTTAGTAAAATAAATGTTTACTTTTAATGGATGGATTTTATCGTATGCAAATTTTATCTCAATAAAGTTCTTACAAAATTCCTGCTCTTTCAAAAACGCTATCAACAAAATGAAAAGGTATGACAGCCTAACGCAGTCTGAGAAAAATATCCACAATGAATAGAAAGGACAAAGGACCTGTAGAGGACATATATGAGAAATATCTACAAATCAGTAATAAAAGTACAAACAATACAATCTGAAAAATTTATGGAAGACTTAAACAGCACATACACCAAGGTACAAGAAATTAAAGAAGTTCAACATCATTAGCCATTAGAAAATGCAAATTAAAACTATTAGGAGATAATACTTCACTTCCACTTGAATATAAAGCTTAGAAAAAAATGGCAAAAAAATAAAAAAATGAGAGATGGATAATATTAAACATGAGTGAGGATGCACAGTAAAAGGATTGATTTCATATTGTGGGTAGAAGAATAAATTGTTACTGTCATTTTACAAATCAACCAGAGTACTAGCAAGGCCAAATGTATGTAAAACCTACATTCCATCAATTATACTCCTGATTATATACTCAACATAAATGGAACTATGTACATTATCTTATATTTATTGGACATGTATCCCATCAAATCTATACACAGTTTCTCCATTTATTTTCTCTAATTTTCTTAGTCTTACAAAAGGTTCAAATGATAAATGAGTGGTGGGGAATAAATACCTATTTATCATTTGAGCACATGAACTTTCTATGCAACACAGCAATCTAAAAATAAATTTAGATTTAGAGACAAAATAAAATGCAGAAATATTGTATACCTTTTTCCCTTAGATTAGTCTTATCTCCTCACTCTTTTTACATACACTGAATCTACAGAATGCTTCCTAGGTTTATGTACTACTTTCTCAATTATTTCAGGTTTCTAAAAAATAACTTGTGTGATAATGTTGCAAAAGAGAATAGTAAAATAATGTAATTGCCAATGTATGAATATACATGCATGCACATGTACATATTATATATATATATTTATATGTGTGTATATATAATTTAGAGGAAGTCATACTGAGTAGAATAACAATTAAATGAAATGTGTATCGCATCTCAGTAGAGGCATTTACAAATCTTATTAGATTTCTTATTTTATGGCAAAGTCTTAAAATACATTAGCATTACATCAAAATAGTCTTGAAATGACCTAACATACCTTAGTCTTATTTCATACGTTTAGTCTTGAAAAGAACAATCCTGAACCCCGTTAGCTCTCTAACATACTAGACCGGGTTAAAAATAACATGATGTATTATTTTCATTTAATTCACCAACCCAACTCTGAAAGGCACAAATGAAAGAACAAGTCAGAGAGCCCCAACTGTCCTTTATAATTACCTTGGGATCACCAGCTAGAGGAAGAGCAGCAAGGGAGGCGAATATCTTTCTACACGTTTCTCTAAGGAATAGCGACAGGCTATGTCGAGGGAAGAAGCCATTAGTTCTTTCCATGTATTTTCAAAGAACTTACTCAAAGATGAATGAGATTAACTGAAACTAAATTCAGTAGAATTGAGGGGTAAAATATTCAGATAGCATATATCTGCATAAACAAATAGTGGACATTGCAGCGGAAAGCAGTAGAAAATCACAACTCTCTTTCTCACAGTAGGTTTTGTGTGTGAAGTAGGCTCCAACTGGGGCATAGGGAAATTTCAATGCTAAATTAAGTTTCAACTTTTGATTAATATCTTAGATTTGGAGATTCTAATTTCTGATTTGAGATGACTTTGTGACTTAAAGTAGAATTTTCTGTTACCAAAAAGTTAACATGAAAATCATGAACGTTGGGAATTTTTATTTAGGGTCAGAGAAAGACCTTCTCTTAAGCAAAATTTTAAAGAAATAGTGAGAGATAAATATAAAGTGTGTTTTGATTACGTCATGAGTCATATTAATCAATGTACTAGTCTCACACATGTTGTATCTTAAGCAATTTGCCTTAAATTCAGGAAGTCTAATGAGCCAGAGCTGAACTAACAGCAAGTATATGCATTGACAAACACCAGATTTTCCAGGCAACATAAGCTGTGAGTTTAACTTTTAAAACCATTTGTAATGATATGGAGTAATCTTGCAATGGCAATTCAGCATCATGAATGAAGATTTTCAGCCTTTCATTAGAGTTGTTTCTTGGGAGTTCTAGCTCTGCCACCCAGTAGTTGTGTTATGTGGAACATCCTATACATTCCATAGGCCAGCAAAATGAATGGCTGGTCTGGGTGATTCTTAATATCGACAGGATGCCATTACGTAGAATTATCAAAGGATATTGGTAGCTAAATGGATTGTACATTCCTGTTTCTGTCCACTTACTTATAGTGTAACTTTTAGCAATTTGTTTACTTTCTCTAAATCTCTTTGTCGCATGCTAAAATGACTGTCCTGCATTCCTATAGAGTATGTGTGGGTTCAAAAAAAAATCATACTGGATACTTTTGAAAACTTTAAAATTATTTGGAAATGTGGGGTTTGATAGTAATTTTAAAAGATATTCTAATACAATGTAATATGAGCATCAACCCAAAACTTTCCTATTTTCAATGGTGAGGAGGGAATTCTAAGGGTTATCAGATATACCTGCTCCCGCCTTCTTAGTCTATTCTTATCTTGAACCATATGCTATTTTTTCCCTTAACTATGACAGACACAGGTATTCACCAAAATGTAGAGGTAACAATTCCAGGTTGTCAAAAATTTATTTCATTTTAAACAAGAGGGGTTTAAGAAGCAAACAACATTTGTTATTATCAGCTTTGCTGCCAAAAAGGAAAAGGATTGCTCTAGATATGACTGTGGTGAGAAATCCTCACATTAAACAAGCTGTCAGTTTATGCCAAAGGGCCTTGAATTCTTATTTTTAGGTAACACTTATTATTTGATTGTCCAAATTTATTCAAATAATTCAGGTGAATGTCTACAAACTAAAACAAAGTTATTAAATATGGTGCAAATAAATGACTTGGCAAATGACAAAAATATGTCATTGCAGATTTAGATATTGACAGTAAAACTCCATTTTTTTCATATATAATTTCCTTTGGGAAATTGATTATTTTATAAATTCAGAATACCTATAATGGATTTATTACCACACATAGGTTTACATACCTCTGAGTGTTTCTATACAGTAGAAATTTCAGTCAATTTGGAAACCTACACATTAGGTCTGCAAAATTTTGACACAACTGAAACTCTTTTAAATCTTGTGTCTGTGACTTGGAATTCTTTCAGTCATTAGTTATAATATCTCCCATTGTATTTATCCCTCTATAGCTTCTATATAAAAAGATAGAAGCAAATTTTTATGTCATAGATCATCTTTCTCAGAATGTTTTGGTTATTATCATGCCCAGCTTATTAAAGAATTTCAGTGGGTGATGATAATAATATGTAGTTACTGATTTTTTCAATTATTCTGGTGTGTGTGTTGGCACTATACTATTACTAGACTAATAGTTTGTTCAGCACTCTCAACATTTTATTATACAATACTAAATTATTTTTGGTTTTCTAGTTTTTAGCTCCTCTGCCCTGGCTTTTCTTATGGCTTACTTGCTTGGTTCTCATTGAAGGACTTGAATCACACACTAGAGAGGAGAGAGTCAGCAGAGTTACAGCTTCTCTCCCGCCCTTTCACTCAAGCTGGCCCTCTATGCTGAGAGCACCACTGTGATTGCTTCTTCTCTGTTTCCCTCTACTGGTTAAATTTCTAGATATAGTTTGAATTGACACCAGATGAAGCAAAGTACATAATGACTCCCTGCCTCACAGAACTTTCCTCTTAAAGAACAAGATATATAGTTGACATTCCCAATTTTCTAAAAGGTTATTGTATTAGGGTAGTAGGGCTGCCATAAAAATACCACAGACAACATGGTTTAAACAATAGAAATTTATTCTGTCACTAGTCTGGAGGCTAAACATCAGAGACTAAGTTGTTGGCAGGGTTAATTTCTTTAGAGCCTTCTTTCCTTGGCTTGTGGATGGCTGCCTTCTCCCTGTGTCTTCTCAGGATCTGCCTTTCACAGGTATCTGTCTTCTTCTTTTTCATATAAGGACAGCTGTTACAGTGGATTAGGACCCACCCTATTGATTTGAATTTAACTTAATTACTATTTTGAACACCCTTTCCAAGTATGGTCACATTCTGAGGTACTGGGGGTTAAGATTTCAACATATAAATGGAGTGAGGATACAATTCAGCAGCTAACACTTAAAAACGCTCTCCAAACGTCTTTCACTGGAATTTTTGTAAAAAACTTGGTTATTTTCAAACGTATTTTAAATGTTAGACATTGGCAAGAGACAACTAGCTAGAATGTTTAGGAAAATCGTTTTCTGTATTTTTCACACTAAATCTATTTATTCATTCAGATTCTCAGGAATTACTTTGAACTTTTTATATCTTCAAGCAAATAATGGCTGCAAAAGAAGAATTAATTTTCGAGTTGAGTGTTTCTTTTTTTTTTCTAGTGAGGATTTGAACTTCTTCCAATGTTAGAGAGCACATGCAATAATAGCAGTGCACAGAAATGCTCTCCACACCATGTTATTTAGGAAGGGAGAGTTTAGAGGTTAAGAGGTTGCACTCCAAACTCAGAAAGACTACCCCAGAATTTCACCTTCACTGCTTTCCAATTTTGTGACATTAAGAAAGTCGATTGATCTCTGTGAACAAGTTTGATCTGTTTTATTATAAGGAAAAAAAGAAATGATATATTTGTGTGTGTACACACACACACACACACACACACACATATATAAATAAAACAAAGCCTCTACAATGACTAATATACATGTCTTAAGATTTTTAGCAATTTTCACAATTGCGATTGAAATCATCTCAGCTAAGCAAATTAAAAAAAAACTTTTCTCAGTTGTTAAGCTTGGATTCACATTTATCGGAATTTTGGCAGCAAAGAGATCCAGCTCAAGTGATGGAAAATGGTGGCTGCAACATAAGAAACATATTTTCACACATTGTCAATGAGGCTTTAGTAGAGCTGGGATTCAAGTTTAAATTTCCCTAGAATTTTTCTGTTGTTCAGTTAAGGCTAACCTCAATAAATGGTGAATCTATTATAAGCTGGGATAAGTAATTTAAAGGTTACAGAAGTGAATGTGCAAACATGAGTCTTGTCCTTAAAATCTTTCAATCGAGTGAGGGTGGGTGATAATTATGGAAGGCAAAATGCAATTTTTGGACAAATGAGATATGGAAGCTTTAGGAAGTTCACAGGAGAAGAAAATTAAAACAAAACAGAACATTTAAGCCACTTGAGTGGCTAAATGCTCAATGATAGAGGTATTATGAAGACATAAACCTTAAAATTGTGTTCAATGGTGTAAGAGGGCAAAGGAAAGGTAAAGAGTTTTGCTTGGATTAATTAGGATGATAGATATGTCAATTACATCACTTTTTAAAAATATAGTCTATTCACTATATTCTTCAATAAAAAAAATTGAGAGAAATAGTCTGAGTCACAATTAGAAGGCTTTTGGTGTTTAGAGAATAGTCACAACTAACTGGTAATTCACACATTATTACTGCAATCCATCCAAGGATATTTCTTTATACATGAAGGTATGATTCTTACGTTTAATGCTATGAATCATATCAGATAGTTCAATAACTTAAAATGGTATTTAGTGTTCTGGCGAAGTGTGATGTCATTAAAACATCCCAGATGATAAGCAAATGGAACATTCTTTCTTGGCAAAACCAATGGTATTGGTCAAGGTCAATAAATCACATCTGTTGGGTTTTTGCAAACATAAGAGTGGCACAATATCAGCTGATATCCTGGTGACCATGATATAGGTCTTAGAATAATGATTATCATAGATTGTAGTTTGGCTGGAGGTGGGGTATATTTGCAGCTGAGCAGCCCATATGACATAGAACTGTCATTTGGGCTTGGGGTCTCTAAACTCTTACTGAATGAGTTAAATAGCCACTGGAATTTTCATCTCATTTCTTATACCTCATTTACTTGCAACTTTTCTTTATTATTTGTTTTTCATTAACTGCTTTGCAAATTAACACTGCTGAAAGCCCATTGTCCAGGACAGGATGTTGAGTTCCAGAGATTCTTCTTGGAGTTGAGATAAAGTGGACTATTACTTCAGGAACAGGTGTATCACTTTAGCAGTGACTGGTACACAACAGCTCAATAGGTAAGAACCTAGTATTGTTCTCTGATTAATATTTTTCTCTTCTGTCCATGCAGTCCTGCTACTTTTCTTCCTTTATCTATTTTAACAACATTCCATTGGATTCATTTGATGATTTGGATAAAGACACCCCATGAACTACAAAATCCGCGGTGGCAGAAACATGTTTAATTTTATTTTTGTTTATTTTTAATTTTTTATTTTATGTATTTTTTTCAGAGATGAGCTCTCACTATGTTGCCCACCTGGCCTCAAATCCATGGACTCAAGTGATTATCCTGCCTCAGACTCCCAAGTAGCTGGGACTACAGGTGTGTACCACCAAGTCCGGCTTATTTTCTAATATTCTATCTTTAGTTCCTAGTATTGTACCTAGCACCTAATAAAAACATTTGCTAGAATAATTTTCTTTCTATTAAAAATATTAATTGATCATCTACAACTGAATGCAGGAAATAATGATCCAAATGAAAGAAGAAAAATAGTAAGGATAATGGTTTCAGAAAACAGTTAAAAAAAGAATAAAAGAAGGGACAGAAAGAAATAAATTGAAAAAGACAAATGAATAGAAGATAAAAGTAGAAAACAATATCAGGAATAAACAAAGGAAAAGCTCCTGGCTTGTCCCTCTCTAAGTGATTGACACAGCCAGCACTTCCTCTTTAAAAACCAAAACAATAGAGAAGAGTTATTTCAAATTCTGAAATTTAATGAAAAAATATTTTATTGATTTAGTAAATATGTATTGAGAAGTATTCTTTTAAGAGTTAGCCATATCCTGTAAGGAATAGCCGTACCATTATTATCTGTACAGAGATGATAGAGCGAAAATACTGAATGTGCTTTAAGCTGTTAGGATATGTCACAGACGAGATTTAATTTTGTCTCTAAAGAGGTACAGAAAACAACACTTTTGAAGATTCAAATAAAAATGTCCAGATGAGGAACTTTATTTTTTGTAACAGCATGATCATTTAAAAGCACCAGTCTGAGTCTTCATAGTCTAATAAACTATAGAGCAAATAAAATATACCCAATCTACAACAGGCATAACATTGTAAATATTCTGTGCCTTGAAACATTTATGATGATTAAGAATATGGTTTAGCATTTAGCTGAATAATGTTTTAAAGCATCAAAATAAAAATTCTTTCATTCCAAACAACATATTTTGGACATTTTAAAATATATTACAACATTAACTCCATCATTTATACGTTAGAAACAAGCCCAAATTCTCCTGGTAATACAAGGAATAAAAAATTACAGAGGCACCTTAGACTTTGTTTTCTAGGAGGAGATTTGGCACAAATATGGATAGAAATTGCTGAGCTGTTCTATAAATTTGATTTGGTTTTAGAAGAGATTAATTCATTACCTAGTGTCCTCAAAGAAAAGCAAATAAATAAACTTGTAGTCAGTATTCAGCAAATATTTTGATCATTTATGTCTAAAGCTTTTCAGTGTCCAAGAAAATTTGTGTAAAGCAGGATGTCAATCAGGATCTCCTGGAACCATGGTGATTTAGACAATGCTGGTTTAAACCTCTAATTTCATACCCTGTGGAAGGAGATATTTATCTGGTCCTAGATAAATGTAACATTTAATATTAAAGAAAAGACAATATGGAAATAACCACAATACTGGAAAGAATTGAACTAATGACAGGAGAAAGGCTAAGTATTTTGTAAAAATATGTGATAAAGAAGGAATACTTAACATCTATGAGAATCAGGACATAGGTCATCAAAAGGCATAAGGAGATAATGCCATTAAACGTGGAAGAGAGAGTGTGAGTAAGGCAGTGTGGCAAGAAAGCACGGGGCAGTTCTGCTTCTGACACTAACAGACATATTGGTACTGGCTCTACCATAAAAAAATGAAAGTACCTGTGATTGGTCCCTCCTGCAACCAATCAGCAATCAGACTGGTCTTACGCCAAGACTTCGTGTAACAGACTCTGTAACTTCACTTCAGCCTCTGATTGGTCACCTTCTGCAATCAATCAGACTGATTGCAGGCCACTACTTCAGTTACATAGGGTGTAAACCAAGTAACCAATGGGAAACCTCTGGAGGGTATTTAAACCCTGGAAAGTTCTGTAACCAGCACTCTTGAGCTGCTTGCTCAAGCATGCTCCCAGTCTGTGGAGTGTACTTTCATTTCAGTAAATCTGTGCTTTCCTTGCTTCATTCTTATCTTGAAACAAACAAACAAACAAACAAAAAAGCATAGAAAATAGCTGAGGTAATGGGATTCCCAATTTATTAACTTCCTTCTTTCATAATAATAAAAATAATGTATTTAATAGCCACTTTCTTTCCTTAAAAGGGCCAAAGTGACAATGTGCAGATGTTCCAAATTGCCATTATTTTATTCAAACTGATAACAACGGAGCTGTCCTCTTGCTCTAGCAAAAGAGAATCATTGCCAAACCCGATGTAGAGGGTTGGATAATAAGGACATGGTCAACAATAAAGATAACTGTTGCAAAGTAAAACTGCTTAAATTGTCATCAAATACCTCCATCCTCTTCAGTAGGGAAAGGATCCCTACTAACTTTTAGTCGACCATGGTGAAAAGAATAAATGTTTCCCAAGTGCATTTTCTTTTCTATAATATTTGATCATTCCATGATGTTACCCAAAAATACATTAGACATACGTTATCACTAAAGGGAGATTTAGTATACTGCTCAGTCTGACAACAACCTGGCAAGTTTCATCTATTTGAATCCTACATATTGTTCTTCACATTGTAAAATACAGGAAGAACAGACATGTTCTGTTCTTCTAACTTACAAATGATAAAAGGTTGTCAGTTAGCAAGCAGCTCCTCATCTCAAGGAAAGTGAGAAAATAGTTAAAATAGCCGGCTCTCAGTAACTGGGAGACTTTAGCATGAAGTCAAAGTTTGGACTAGATCACATCTAAGAATCTTTTTCAAAGATTTTCTGCACAGTGCTTCCTAAACATCTTCCAATACCATTTTTTTTCATTCTTATAATTTATAAGAAAAGCAAGCTGGATCCCGGAAACAGTACTATCACCTGCTGATGATACCACTGCATGTGTCCTTCAGCTCAGTTAAACCTCCATTTACTCAACAGCAAAATGAATATAATAACATACAGTGTGGGTCCATTTGTGGGAGTCAAGACAAATGGTGTTTTACAAGGCATATTACAAATATTGGGAATTTTTTGTGTAGGCATGTGCCATGTCCATGAAATTTTCAAGCTAGAAAGGATTTGGAAATCTAATGTTATTTCACAAATGAGAACACTATAGCTTAGAAAGGTTGAGTGACTTGTCCCAGGTCACATATGTAGTTAGGGGCAGAATAAGCAATAAAATTCAGACTAAATCTTAGCCTTTTGTTATAATATCACAACTAACCCAAATACTTAGAGACAACCAAATCCTTGTGTCTTTTATCTTCTACTGGGATAGACAGTAGTAAAACTTATACCAATCATTCATTGAAATGGGCGAGTTCAGATTTACATCCAAAATCTAATTTTTTTTTTTTTTTTTTTTTTTTGAGATGGAGTCTCACTCTGTCACGCAGGCGGGAGTGCAGTGGCGCCATCTCGGCTGACTGCCAGCTCCGCCTCCCGGGTTCACGCCATTCTCCTGCCTTAGCCTCCCGAGTAGCTGGGACTACATGCGCCCGCCACCACGCCCGGCTAATTTTTTGTATTTTTTAGTAGAGACGGGGTTTCACCGTGTTAGCCAAGATGGTCTCGATATCCTGACCTCGTGATCTGCCTGCCTCGGCCTCCCAAAGTGCTGGGATTACAGGCGTGAGCCACTGCACCCAGCCTGATTTGTTATTTTTAATCTTTCCCAAATAGTATTTTCTTTTTTTACAATTTTATTTTTATTTCAATAGTTTTGGGGGAACAGGTGGTGTTTGGTTGCATGGGAGAGTTCTTTAGCGGTGATTTCTGAGATTTTGGTGCACCCATTACCTGAGCAGTGTACACTGCACCCAGTGTGTAGTCTTTTATCCCTTGCCCCCTTCCCTCCCTTCTCCCTGAGTTCCAAAAGTCCATTATATCATTCTGATGCCTTTGCATCCCCATAGCTTAGCTCCTGCTTATAAGTGAGAACATACAATATTTGGTTTTCGATTCCTGAGTTACTTCACTTAGAATATATCGTCTTAAACTCCACCCATGTTGCTGCAAATGCCATTAATTTGTTCTTTTTTATGGCTGAGTAGTATTCCATTGTGTATATATATATATATATATATATATATATATATATATGCACACAATGTGTATATATATGTATATATATACACATATATATACACCATGGTGTATATATATATACACACACTATGGTGTATATATATATATATATATATATATATATACACACACACACTATGGTGTATATATATATATATACATATATACACACACAATGGTGTATATATACATATATACACACACAATGGTATATATATATATATATATATACACACACACTACATTCTCTTTATCTACTCATTGGTTGATGGACATTTAGGCTGGTTCCATATTTTTGCGACTGTGAATTGTGCTGCTATAAACATGCATGTGCATGTGTCTTTTTCATGTAATGACTTATTTTTCTTCAGGTAGATAACCAGTAGTAGGATTGCTGAATCAAATTGTAGTTCTATTTTTAGTTATTTAAGGCATCTCATACTGTTTTTCATAGTGTTGTACTAGTTTACATTCCCACCAGCAGTGTAAAAGTGTTCCCTTTTCACCACATCCATGCCGACATCTATTATTATTATTATTTAATTATGACCATTCTTGCAGGAGTAAGGTGGTATCTTATTGTGGTTTTGATTTGCATTTCCCTGATCATTAGTTACATTGAGCATTCTATTTTCTAGGGAAGGGAGGTAAGTCAGCATTTATCCACCCCTACTGGTTAATATAATTTAGCACCTTCTCACTTGTATTCCTGTCTGTGTCATATTTAATGAGTCAAAGGCTGCATTTAGGGTACACACAGGGCTGAAGCTTATAAAATAAGAGATTGCTATCAGCCTCATAAAAACAAGCCAAAAAAAGTATATTTGTTATATCTTGTTATACCTTTAATTCCAGGAACCTTAGACTTGGTGGTTGTTGAATTAAAAAAAATGTTGCAATGACAAAAATAATACACTGACAAGAATAAAAACAATGATAGGAGATATTTTCTGACACCTATATATTTTGTAATGTTTTTAGTTTCTATATTGATTTAACACCAAGGGAAGATTATACTTACCATTCTTCCCAGTTTACAAATACATTTTCTACTTCTGAAGGAGGATTCTCAGTTTGGAGTGTAAATGTCACCATTGTTTAAATGCCACCTAGCTTGTTTATGCATTTGGCATTTGGCCACCTAAATGCGTGGCAACCAATTACTGCATTTCTCATGGGAAAGGACACAATCAGGAGATGGAAGGAAGACTCGCCTTTTTGTAAAATATGACATTTTGTAAAGCTAATCAATTTACACATGTTTTTCTAGGAGTCTGTCCCATTTTTCATGTTGGGCTATTGTTATTATTATTATTATTATTATTAATTTTAGCCAACAATTGGTACATGAACTTGTAACCAGTGTTGAGATTTGGCATCTAAGACTGAACATAATTTGTCATGAGTGAAACTTTCCACCCCTGTCTTCCATTATTCTCTTTTCCAAACCAGATGGGTAGGCACAGTGGGCAAACTGTTCTTTCCTGTGCAGTTATTTTCACTTATTAAAATAGAATAAACAAGTAAACTGACAATTCAACAAAATAATATATGTAAAAAACAGACATTTGGGTGGTAGAAAGAAGTGGTGATCAAGGTAGACTTCTGTGAGGAGATGTCATTTAGGCTGAGACAAGAACAATGGGGAAGGGGGCCGGGCACGGTGGCTTGCACCTGTAATCCCAGCACTTTGTGAGGGCGAGGTGGGCGGATCACCTGAGGTCAGGGGTTCAGGACCAGCCTGGCCTACACGGTGAAACCCTGTCTCTACTAAAAATACAAAAATTAGCCGGGCTTGGTGGCATGCGCCTGTAATCCCAGCTACTTGGGAGGCTGAGGCAGGAGAATCAGTTGAAACCGGGAGGCAGAGGTTACAGTGAGCTGAGATCGCACCATTGCACACTCCAACCTGGGTGACAGAGTGAGACTCCGTCTAAAAAAAAAAAAAAAAAAAGAACAATGGGGAAGGGAAACAATGTTAATGTTCTCCATGTGAGAAGGAGGAGTGTTTCAGGAAGTGGAAGCAGCAAGTATAAAGAAGCTGAGAAAGGAATGGTTATCACATGTTACAGAAGAAGGGAGAACAGTGTGGATGGGACGCAGTAAAGAATGAGGGAGAAGGGTATGACACAACAGTAGAAAAATATTCAGGAGACAAATAGTGTGAGTTGTATATTAAGGCAAGGACATAAATCCTACCTTGAAAAAACTTGAAATCTGGTAGTGGATTTAATTTTAAGTATAGCAAAACACAAAAATTATATTATAGGAATTAGCTAGAGATTGAATCATTACAATTACCCTATTTAAGACATTATTTAATTCTTGGAGTTCAACAATTTTTTTATGGCTTATTTTGAGCCAGGTCATGTAATAGGCACAGTACTCTACATAAAAGGTAGCAGCATGGTTTCTTCTTTGAAGCACTTACAACCTAGTTGGTATATTACATTGTAAATATCATGGCGGAGAGGATCCCAGGGACATATGGGTAGACACACCAGACCAGGTGTAATGGGATAGTTTCCAGAAGGAAGCCTTCAATTGACTCTTGAATATGGAAAAGAAGTGAAGGGAATTAAGATCTGGGTGAATATATAGCTAGATTAATGGTATATGGAATTATAAAGTGGCACAACGCAACTGCGCAATTCAGCAATGCTGAATAGAGTGAAAAGCATTGATTTCACTTCTGCTTTGGATGTTCTTCCACCCATCTTCCCAACCCTGAGTTCCACATGTGCGTGTGTCTCCACCGATTCTTCCAGGCTCAACTCAAACATTACCTCATCCCTCCATGAAGTATTCCAGATGTTCACAGAAAGAAATTTCGTTCTTTATAGGTAAGACCCAAGTCTAATTTGTCTCTATTTCTACTATGATGCCCAGGGGATTGCACATAGTAGGTGGTCAAAAAACATTATTGAATAAATAAAATAAATTAACCTATCAACACAATCTCAAAGTTCATTACCAATTTCAGCTTCTATCTCAAAATAGTCTTAACTAGGTTGCTCTCAGTCTCAAAAATGGTTCCCAAACTAATTAGGCTACCATACTTTCTACTTGAAACGTATCATTTTCATTGACCCCTTTCAGTTCCTCCAATAGTGGCCCTACTCTTTTTTCTTTCTGGTGGTTACTTTCTGGTATCTAGAATCTTAGACATATACTAGATCTTAGAAACCATCTATTTCAGTGATCTCAAACCTGGTTTCACATTTAAATCATTTTTGTGCTCCTTAAAATTATCTGACTGAACCCCATCCTCAGGAAATTCTCATTTAATTGGTCTGAAGTAGGTCTTAGACACTCCTGAGGTGATTCTAATGTGAAGCCATGACTTAGAACCACTGAAATTCATCATATTACGTATTTTGAAAGCCACTTAATACAAGTGAAGAAAGTATAATCCAAAAAGATAAAGTGACTTGTCTAAGAGTCACAAAAATAATCTAATTGTGGCAAAGCTATATCTGGAGCCTAATCCTTTCTTTCTTCTCAAATTATCAAGTACAAGAATCCTTAGTCATGTTTTCTGAATGCTCCTCCTGGTACACACACACACACACACACACACACACACACACACACACATTCTTTCTCTGAGAATATACACAGGTTGGTCTGCAAGCAATGCTTAGTTTTCATTAAGTCTTTCCTAATTGCCTAGGTTTGAGGAACAGCATTTGTTTTCATGACAGAATCGAACTCTGTTTCAGAGTTCAGAGACATACTCACTTATCCGGAATTGACAGCAAAAGGAAGGAATTCCAGAGGTAAGCACGATGAAAAATCTTTACAAAGATAACCTTAAACTGGATTTGTTTTTCTTTCTTGAGACTAGTTGTGAGAATTTAATGAGATAAGGCACACAAAGTATTAATACTTAGTAAAGCTCTTAGGTCATATTCTGTCTCTATCAGTCATGACTTCTATTATCATTATCATAGTAGATTAGTGCTGAATTGGCAGCAATGCAGATACTTAATGAACAGAGTAGGGAAGGAAGTCACATACATACATTGTGCATCTTTCTGACATCATTATATATGGACAGTTTAATTTAATTCAAATATTAGCCTTGTGAATTAGGTATTATTGTCCCAACTTTACATATGAGAAAACTGAAACTCAGAGAGACTTAGTAATTTACTAAGTATTATCCAGCTGGTAAGTGATGGAGCTAGGAGTTGAGCCCTCATCTAACTGCTCTCAAAGCATATGTGATTTTTTATCCACACCAGATTTTCTCAATTTTTGTTATGACATTTTGCAGAAGGAGTTAGATTAAATGCATGGGTAACTGACCATAAATGGGAAATTAGGACTATTATTCTTGCAATCCTGACATTTTGAGGTTAATAATAAAATAAGTAAATGTTTTTATCTTTCAAATAATGAACATTGGTGATATTCCAGTTTAAATGTACCACAAACATATGATAGAAACCTACTGTGGAAACCAGGTTGATCCCATGCTCTCCATATACTATGTCCCTTACTCTCTTTGCTTTTGGTCATACTGTTCATACCACTTGTGATTCCTTCTTTCTTCTTATGCCTCTCCAAATATCCCTCATTCTTTCAGGACCAACAAAGTCCCACCTTGCCTGTTCTGATCTACTTAAACCTCCCCTTTCTCGGCATTCATATTGCAAGCATGGTTGGGACCATAAAGATTAGTGTCTTTCTTTGTGAGACAGCCTTTGTTCAAAAGTATCAGACATGAGTCAAACTAGCTTACACAAGTAAGAGGAAAGAACTAGCAAAACGAAAAGGCATATTTGGTAACCCATGGGCACATAATATATCTGGACTTTATGAGGGATTCAAACCAAAATGAGAAAACTTTTCTTTTTCTCTCACCCTCTCTCTCTCTACATCTGTTCCTTGTCTTCTCTCTTTACACGTGTTTTTCTGTGCCACATTATGGCTGAACTCTCTAAAGGTTACATGTCCTTTTAGGTCAAGTGCACAGTAAAGACTCCTATAATTCGAATTTTGTGGGAAAGAGACTCTTATTATTCTAGCTTTGCTCATTCAGACTGAGATATAATCACAGCTTCAGTGGAGTTGGGGGTGATCAAATTTACTTCACCATTTAATAAATTGCTCTGGATCATTCTCTCCTTCTAAATATATAATAAATAGTATTAAAGTTGCAGAAAAATGTAAAGATCCCTATGGAAAAGATAGTGACTTTTATCTCTTTTGTGCTCTTCACAATGCAGATACTTAACATCTCATGGATGATTAATTTATCAACTGATGGGGTAAGATAAAAAACACTATTGAGACATCTTGTGTTTCAGTAAGTGGGAGGGTAGGATAATAGATGTTTAGCACCCTACAACCTTGCCAGAATGAAGACACTGCCAAGCCTACATAGAAGGAGCAAGAGAGATGCATTGGAATAACCAGGCTTAAACAGAACAAAATGGGACACAGTGGGCAGGAACTGGGTTAATATGATCTCACTGCATGAGGAAACCGTCACTTAAAGTTACCCTAAGACACTTTGGATGAACATAAAAACATGATCTTTATGTTTTATCTCCAGCTCAGGATGAACAGACTGGAGAAAGAGCATGGATTAGCTTCAGCATCTCTAGGAAATCAAATCTTTGGAGGACTGGACTATGTAGGGTGATGCTATGGCCTAAGACACTCTTTTCAGCCCACTGTCTATTTTTCCAGCAGGCCTTTCTTTCTGCAATAGAGCAAAAAAAATTCCTTAGCTATGATCAATGTCTATTTTGGACAAAGGCTCTGAGAATGGCAATCACATCTTACTACAAATGAAAGCCTTTGTGTGGATCTCCCTAGGAAGTTAGGAATTTTATACTCATCTCTATAAAAACTACTACTTTTATGTAAGTGTGTATTTCTCATAGTGACTAGTACATGCCTGAGCATATAGGGATCTTTACACAAAGTACACTCATTGAAGTACAAATGAACTCTGTAGGCTCAGCTAGGTTCAGGTGACCAGTCACTGTCTAGTGAATAAGGGGGTAAAACTGGAAGACTATGGATGAGAAAATCAAACATTTATGTGATGTGAATACTTTCTTCCTTTATCAAAAGACTGCCAACATTCAGCAGGCAAGAATACAAGAACTCTTAAAGTGATGGGGCCTTCCTTTTGGCCAAGAACTAAGACTATCTAAGAAACCAAACCACCTGTCCAAATTTGGGTACATTAGCCTACGTCTTCTGTGCCTTAGGGCTTAATAATAATTTTTACCTGTCCTACTGACAAGAAAGACAGATTTTTAAAAATATAGGAAATAGACTAACTATGATATCTGATTCAAATCTAACCATGTCTAAAACAAGCCACATAAAATTCATATATAAATCAAATGTATATATCCTTAATCTTGATATGCGATAGATCCATCTCACTTGTAGTTGGCAGAATTCATAGATGGACCCACATTCCTACTCCATTGGATAGTCCTCTTCCCCTCTACAGGCAGAACCTGTGAATATGATGAGATAGTTACTCCTTTGATTAGGTTATGTTATATTTGACAAGTGGTGATGGGATAGTCACTTCTATTATTATTTTACATGATGTAAGACTTCCTTATAGCAGACTGGAGTGGAATTAAGAAGTCAGAGAGATGCACTCCTGCTGCCTGGATGAAAGCAAATAGGTTTGTGTAAACTGCCATGGAGCCATGAGGGAAGGAATGGAGGTCACCTCTAGGAGCTGAGAGCTGCCCTGGCTGACAACTAGCAAGAAGATGAGACTGCAGTAAAATAGCTGCAAAAAAATGAATTTTGCAAAGAAAAAATTTCTGAGATTGGAAAAGGATCCTGAGCCTCGGGTGATAACTGAATCCCCGGACAATGCTTTGATTTCAGCCTGGTGATATTCTGAGTGGAGTACTCAGCTAACATGAACCTGGACTCCTGATCCATGGAAATTGTAAGGTAATAAGTGGGTGTTGTTTAAACCATTACACTTGTGGTAATTTTTACACAGTAATAGAAAACTATCAGACTGTTCAAGTAGTCAGTACACTCATTTACTAATTGACTAAACATTTAGTGGGAAACTACTTCATACTAAATAGCATAATATGAAATGGAGAGCAAGAGTCAAATGTGACCATCCACTACCCCTATGAAAATGGCAAAATGTTTCTTAGAAATGCATGTACCTTTAAATAGAGAAATTATTTCCTGAACTTCTCAGAATATGGTCTTGTTTTTATTAGGCATAAATAAATAGATACACATAACAAAAGAGACTAACTAGAATTTACACCCAGACTTCAAGGTTTTCACAGAATTGAAACTGATTCCTTCATGTTGCAACTGTTTGCTTTCCCACCCATTTTTCTCTTTTCCTGTCCAAGCCAGAAACAAAAGACAAAAGTCCCAGTTTATGAGAAAAATATTTGTAGGGCAAAGGATTTTCCAAATTTCTGAGATGCCTGGACTTGCAAAAGTATCCTTTCTTCTCCCGAAGGTTTTTAGCCCAACCAGGCAGAGGTTGAGATACGTGGCTGCAAAAACCATCTGTGGAGTCCTTGCTTCAGCCAAACTAAGCTAGGAGAGACAGTGAATGACATATGGCTATAGAATACCAAGGGTTGATGAAATTCTTTATAGCTTCTCTGACTATAACTCTTGCATAAAACAGCCCCTCCCAGCTACCATCTTTGCCACAACACCTACGCGCACAGAGCCTATTTTCGTTGTTTCACACCTCTTTCATTCCAGATGGCAAAACTGCAAGTATTTTTTCTTATATTAGAACTTTTAAAGTCCAATTTAATTTGTATAGCCTGAAATACAATTTGTCCCTTTGGAAGTTTGTTTTTCTTTAACTCTTTTAGCTTCTGTATTTGGGTAACAAAACTAGAGACTTGGGGCAGCAAGAGTGATTAGAAGCATTTGATATTTCTACGAAGTGACCAATGGCCCAAATTGAGAAATGAAAGAGAAAGAGAAATACAAATAAAAGAGGGAGAGGGAAAAAGAGAGATTAAGAGAGGCAGAGAAAGGGAGACAGAAAGAGAGGCTCAAGGGATGGGGCTACTTCTATCATTGAACAGCTAATGAATATGCAGGAGATTCTACGCTAAACATTTTGACTGATCAGTGATAAATCTGACAAACTGTCTATCCTCTAAGCCTTCACCATATAACAAAGGAAAGGTACGTAAATCTAATTAATCACAATTTCCAGCAGGCCATGAAAAGCATTCTAACACAGGTGAAGGGGGCCAAAAAATGAGAGAGGGATTCTGCCTGGCCCTTGTGGGAAGACTGCCTGGTAGCTTAGGAATAAGGAATTGGAATGGATTTTGAAATGGATGGAGACCAAAGAACTTCTTCAAGGCAAATCATCCCTCTAAGCTCACCTCAGGGGCATGTCTAGTAAAGACTTCAAGTTTTGTGGTTTTAGCCTTGTCATATACCAAATAAAATATGCTAAATGTTTATTTTCACTAATTATTACTTACTGATACTTAATTGTAGTTGTAGTTCTGTCTTAGTCCATGTGTACAGCTGTAACAAAATGCCTCCAAAAGGGTAATGTGTAAGTGAGAGAAATTTGTTTCTCACGGTTCTGGAGCCTGGGAAGTCCAATATCAAGGCACTGGCAGATTTGGTGTTGATGAGGGCCTGGTCTCTGTGTTCAGTTTTGCTTGTTTCTGTGTCCTTGCATGAAAGAAGGCAGAAGGGCAAAAAGGGCCTAGCAAGCTTTCTTCAGTGCTAATCCCATTCATGAGGGCAGAGACCTCGTAGCCTAATCACCTTCTAAAGGCCTCACCTCTTAATACTGTTGAATTGAGATTAAGTTTCAACATGAATTTTGAATGAGACACAAACACTGAAACCATAGAAGATATAATAGGCTCTTCTTACATTACTATAAAAAAATACATGAGGCTGTGTAATTTATAAATAAAGAAGGTTTAATTGGCTCATGGTGCTGCAGATTTTACAGGAAGCATGGTGGTGGTAAGGCTTTAGAAGGTAACAATCAGGGCAGAAGTTGACGGGGGAGCAGATATGTCACATGGTCAGAACAGGAGCAAGAGAGAGTCTGGTGGGAAGGTGTCACATACTTTTATATGACCAGATCTCATCAGAACTCACTATCGCAAAAACAGCACCATACCATGACTCAAGTCCCAGCCTACATCTTTCTCACATGATCACAAGGTCCCACAATAGGCCATCTGCCTGCTGAGGAGCAATGAGATCCAGTCTGAGTTCCAAAACTGAAGAACTTGAGTCTGATATTTGAGGGCAGGAAGCATCCAGCATGGGAGAAAGATGTAGGCTGCGAGGCTAGGCCAGTCTCTCTTTCCACATTTTTCTGCCTGTTTATATTATAGCTTCACTGGCAGCTGATTAGATGATGCCCACCCAGATTAAGGGTGGGTCTGCCTTTCCCAGCTCACTGACTCAAATGTTAGTCTCCTTTGGCAACATTATCACAGACACACCCAGGATCAAAACTTTGTGTCCTTCAATCCAATAAAGTTGACACTCAGTATTAACCATCATGCTATCTATCTGTTGTTAGGATATTTAACAGATATCTATATTTCTATAGATGGATACATATGAAGAAATTCACCATGAGGGATTGGCTTACATGACTGTGGAGGTTGAAAAGTCCCATGATTTGCCATCTACAAGCTGGAAGTCCAGGAAAGCTAGTGGTGTAGTTCTAGTTTGAGTCTAAAGGCCCAATACCTGGGAGTATCAATGTCTTAGGAAAGGAGAAAATGAATGTTCCAGCTCAAGCAGAAAGAATAAATTCACTCTTCATCCACCTTTTCATTCCATTCAGACCCTCAGTTGATTGGATGATGCCTGTACACATTGGTGAGACATCTATTATTAGTCTTATTTGTTATCCTTACTGTTAGACCCTGACTTTCCTAACTTTATTGCCTTTCCCCCACCAGGTGAATTCCAGTGTTCTGTCTTTAGACAGTCTACTGATTCAAATGCTAATATCTTCCAGAAACAACCATATGGATACATCCAGAAATAATGTTTCACCAGCTATGTAAGCATTCCTTAGCCCAGTAAAGTCGACACATAAAATTAACCCTCAGAGTTGGCATGATATTTTATCCTTATTCTTAAACCATTTTATGAGTAAGCAATATGATTGTAAAATGATGAGGCTATTTTTTTCCCTGTAGATACAAATGTTATAGTTAATAGTATAAATAAGTCTTTTCCCTTGTAGAAGAAATTATTTAATCTCTCCTCATTGTTATGACATATACATTATAATAGATTCCCTGCCATACAAATATTAGGGTTAATATAGGTAAAGTACCTATATTAATACTGATATTAAAGAACTGTCAATATATTGTAGCTATAGTTATTAAATATCAACACAATGTGAAGCATACTTGAGTTGAAGGACAGTTGTATATATTTTAAGGTAGATGTCTCAAAATGAAACAACTAAGAGATATTTTTATTTTTCATAAATGATTCTTTTTCCACTCTTCAAATGCTTAATTCACAACATGGAGTTATCCTTCCTGTTAGACTCAAACTTTCTTAAATTCAAGCTTAAAATATCTGACTTTCCTAACTTTATTGCCTTCCCCCACCATGTGAATTCCAGTGTTCTCTCTAAAGAATAGATCCTGCTCTCTCCATTGAGTAAATGTAGCTTATAAAATTAATTACAAGATTGCAAGCTGCTGGCTGGGCATGGTGGCTCATGCCTCTAATCTCAGTACTTTGAGAGTCCAATGTGGGAGGATCACTTGAGCTCAGGAGTTTGAGACCAGCATGGGCAACATGGCAAAACCTCATCTCTACAAAAAAATACAAAAATTAGCAAGGTATGGTGGTGTACACTTGTAGTCCCAGCTACTAGGAAGGCTGAGATGGGAGGATGGTTTCACCTGGGACAGGGAGATTACAGCGAGCAGAGATCTCACCACTGCACTCCAGCCTGGGAGGCAGAATGAGAGCATATCTCAAGAACAAAACAAAACCAACCAACCAACCAAAACATTGCAGGCTGCTATGGTTTGGAGAATTGTTCCCCAGAGATTCTATTGAAATTTGATCTTAATGTTGGAAATGGGAGCCTAATGGGAGGTGTTTGCGTCATAGGTATGGGCCCCACATGGATAGATTAATGCCTGCCCTTAGGGAAGATCAGTGAGTTCTTGCTCTATTGGTTCCCCACAAAGCTGGTTTTTTAGAAAACCTGGAACCTCCCCTCTCCTTCTCTTGCTCCCCTCTTGTCATGCGATTCCTGCACGTGCTGGCTCCCCTTTACTTTCTGCCATGAGTGGAAGCAGCCTGAGGCTTTCACCAGATTCCCAATCTTTCAGCCAGTGGAATCATGAGCCAAATAAACCTTTTTTCTATATAAGTTACCCCTCCTCAGGTATTCCTTTATAGCAATTCACATAGACTAGGACACAGTTCTTGCCTCAAAAATAAAGCTCAGACATGGCATATAGACTTTATCTTTTTCAATAATATTAGGTCTCCTGCACCCATCAAAGTATTCGATGGATTGTAAACTGCACTCCTCTAAGTGGAGGAGACATGAGCCCTTTATATGTACTGGTCACTTGTTGAGGTATTGAGTTGACAGTGTGCTGGCAGCCCTCGCAGCCCTCGCTCGCTCTCGGTGCCTCCTTGGCCTTGGCGCCCACTCTGGCCGCACTTGAGCGCTTCAACCCGCCGCTGCACTGTGGGAGCCCCTTTCTGGGCTGGCCAAGGCCGGAGCCGGCTCCCTCAGCTTGCGGGGAGGTGTGGAGGGAGAGGCGCGTGCGGGAACTGGGGCTGCGCACAGGCTTGCGGGCCAGCGCGAGTTCTGGGTGGGCATGGGCTCGGCGGGCCCACACTCAGAGTGACCAGCCGGCCCCGCCAGCTCCGGGCAGTGAGGGGCTTAGCAACTGGGCCAGCAGCTGCTGCACTCGATTTCTCACCAGGCCTTAGCTGCCTCCCTGCTGGCAGGGCTCCGGACCTGCAGCCCACCATGTCTGAGCCTCCTCCCTCCCCAGCTGTGGGGTCCTGCGCAGCCTGAGCCTCCCTGACAAGCACAGCCCGCTGCTCCAGGGCGCCCGGTCCCATCAACCGCCCAAGGGCTGAGGAGTGTGGGTGCACCTCAGGGGACTGACGGGCAGCTCCATCTGCAGCCTACTGCAAGATCCACTGGGTGAAGCCAGCTGGGCTCCTGAGTCTAGTGGGGACTTGGAGAACCTTTATGTCTAGCTGAGGGATTGTAAATACACCAATCGGCACTCTGTATCTAGCTCAAGGTTTGTAAACACACCAATCAGCACCCTGTGTCCAGCTCAGGGTTTGTGAATGCACCAATCGGCACTCTGTATCTAGTTAATCTGGTGGGGACTTGGAGAACCTTTATGTCTAGCTGAGGGACTGTAAATACACCAATCGACACTCTGTATCTAGCTCAAGGTCTGTAAACACACCAATCAGCACTCTGTGTCTAGCTCAGGGTTTGTGAATGCACCAGTCGGTACTCTGTATCTAGTTAATCTGGTGGGGACTTGGAGAACATTTATGTCTAGCTAAGGGATTGTGAATGCACCAATTGGCACTCTGTATCTAGCTCAAGGTTTGTAAATGCACCAATCAGCACTCTGTGTCTAGCTCAGGGTTTGTAAATACACCAATTGACACTCTGTATCTAGCTAATCTAGTGGGGACGTGGAGAACTTTTGTGTCTAGCTCAGGGATTGTAAACGCACCAGTCAGCACCTTGTCAAAATGGACCAATCAGCTCTCTGTATAACAGACCAATCAGCTCTCTGTAAAATGGACGAATCAGCAGGATGTGGGTGGGGCCAGATAAGAGAATAAAAGCAGGCTGCCTGAGCCAGCAGTGGCAACCCGCTGGGGTCCCCCTTCCACAGTGTGGAAGCGTTGTTCTTTTGCTCTTTGCAATAAATGTTGCCTACTGCTCACTCTTTGGGTCCACACTGCCTTAATGAGCTGTAACACTCACCGCGAAGTTCTGCAGCTTCACTCCTGAAGCCATTAAGACCACGAACCCACCGGGAGGAACGAACAACTCCAGACATGCCGCCTTAAGAGCTGTACCACTCACCCCGAAGGTCTGCAGCTGCACTCCTGAGCCAGCGAGACCACGAACCCACCAGAAGGAGGAAACTCCAAACACATCCGAACATCAGAAGGAACAAACTCCGGACATGCCGCCTTTAAGAACAGTAACACTCACCGCAAGTGTCCAGGGCTTCATTCTTGAAGTCAGTGAGACCAAGAACCCACCAATTCCGGACACAGTATCATTCTTAAGGACTGTATGAGTGGTGACATACAGAAGACACAGAGGCTACTTTGATAAATGGAAAGGGTAATTTTAGGGTTTTAAGCAGTAGCAAATAAATACATCCACTTCAGCCTACTTTAAAGGCTGAGACCATGGTAAAAAGCAAAATACAGCTTGAAATCTTGTCCAGAAGGGTCTCTGCTGGTTTCTCAATGTAACATCTAATAAAAAATATGTTTTAATATCTATTATATTCAACCCAGGCAACCCCAGCTGTCAATCAGGCTGACATTCTTTTGCTTACAGTATTTAGATAAATTAAACTGCCAGTCTTCATTTTTCCTGATGGCTATACCAACATGTCCCATTTTTATCTCAGATCTTATTTGAATTTAAAATCATACTAGTGCCTTCAGAGTCCTTACTTTCAGATTGCTATCTTCTGCGATGAAACCCAGGATACTAGGGCCCAAGCCTTCAATTCAAATGAAGTCTGACCGCTACATCAGAGGGGGACGTTGTTGCTGAGTCAGGAGGGAAGAGGCTTGAGAGCTGTGTCCTAAGATGACAGCAAATGGCTAAAAGGTGAGGAGAAATCTTCCCATCTGTGAAGCTGTAAGTACAACAACTCAGCCAGCCAGGGTTTGATTACCCCCAAACCTGAACCACTGAGGATGTCCCTGAAGGTGGCATTGGGTTAGATTTCTTACCATTTTAGAAACCTGAGCTACATCATGTGGGGGCTTTGGAGGTTCAGGACCTCAGACAGTAGTCGCGTTAATGAGATTCACTAACTAAAGCAAGAGCAATGAAGAAACACTGGTCACTGGCCTCCATTTGCATCCTCAACTTAAATTCAGTCTAACTCTAGGCTAAATCACCCAGTAGGCAAGTTTGACACTAAGGTCTGCCTATGCCTGTTTCCAGGTAACACTACTTTTGCTGTTTATTTACACTACCTCTTAGCATTCTCACGTTACTTTGTTACTGCCATCACTCCAAACCCCCAGGCTATATCTAATTTTCACCCTACTTAGCAATGTTATTTAAGCCATGACCACTCATTTGCACATGTATATCAGCAAAATTTACATTTCTTCGCTGCTCTTAGGAAGTATGAAAACTACCAGTCACTCAGCAATCCATGGGAATCAATTTAATCAGCTAACAGAGCAGCAAAGCAGCAGCTTTCCATATTTATTCTGAACGAGCAGCATTAGCAACCCTAGGAAACTTGTCAGAGTTGCAAATTTCCAGGCAACACGTCAGATTTATTGAATCAAAAGGTAAAGTAGGGGGCACATAGTCCTGTAACCTGTGTTTAACAAGTCTTCTGAGTGATTCAGACATACAGGAAGGTGTTTGAACCACTGAGCAAGAATAGCTCAATTTGAATAAAGTGGCCAGATCTGCAATTTACTGAACATCTATTTCTTTTTAAATAGAACACTTTTTAACCCAAAATAAAGCTCCTTGGAACATGGCTATCTTTTATTTATGTTTCCATGTCCCAAATGTTACCAGTATGTGTTGAATACAATGGTAAGTTATAAAAAATGCTGAATGTAAATGAACCAACAGAATTTCAAATCACAGAGTTAAACTAAATAGAACCTACGCTCTTAGGAGGCAGGTTGGCCTTGTGGTTAAAAGTAAAGGCTTTCCAATCAAATGGATCTTGGATCAAGTGCCAACTCAACCAATTCCTGGGCATACATTTCTTAGGCAGCTTATTATTTATCTCTAGATGTCAATTTTCTTATCTGTAAAATGTAGATAGCAGATCCTATGCAAAATAGTTGTTGATTGGGTTTGGTGATGTCTTTTTAGAGTGAAAAGATAAACCACAGACTGGGAGAAAAGCATTAGGCATAACTGATAAGGGACTATTATCTAAAATATACAAATAGCACTAAAGACTCAACAATGGAGAATGAACTATACAATTTAAAAAAATAAGCCAAAGACCTTAATAGACATTTCATCAAAGAAGACATACAGCTGGCAAATAAGCGTATAAAAAATGTTCCACATTATGCCATCAGAAAAATGCAAATTAAAGCAATGAGATACCACTACCTACCTACTAGAATGGCCAAAATCCAGAACACTGACAATATCAAGTGTTGGTGAGGATGTGGGGCAATAGGAACTCCCACTCATTGCTGGTGGGAAAACAAAGTACAGCCACTTTGGAAAACAGTTTAGTGGCCTCCTACCAAGCTAAACATACTCTTACTATATGATCCAGCAAACTTGCTCTTTGGTGTCTTCTCAAACTTATGTCCATACAAAAACCTGCACACAGATGTTTACGACTTTATCCATAATTGCCAAACCATGGAAGCAACCAAGATACCCTTCGGTAGATGAATGGTAAATAAGCTGTGATACATCCAGACAAGGGAAGATTATTCACCAATAAAAGGAAATGAGTAATCGAGCCATGAAAAGACATGGAGGAACCTTAAATAAATTTTGCTAAATGTAAGAAGTGTAAAAATGCAATTTGAAAACTCTCCATAGTTTTGACATTCTGGAAACGTCAAAACTATGGAGACAGTAAAAATATCAGTGGTAGCCAAGTGTTGTGGGGAGGGAGAGACGAATAGGTGGAGTACAGAGAGAATATTTAAGGCAGTGGAATTCTACTCTGTACATTATAAGTTTGGATGCATGTTATTAGACATTTGTCCAGAACCATAAAATGTATACTACCAAAAGTTAACCCTAGTGTAAACTATGGTCTTACGGTGAGAATATTTTGCCAATATAGGCTCATCAGTTACAACAACTGTGCCACTCTGACGGGGGATATTGATTGATACATGGGGAGTCTGTGGATGTGTGGGGGGCAACAAATATATGGGAGATCTCTGTGCTTTTTTCTCAATTTTTTTGTAAACCTAAAATTGCTGTAAATAATAAAGTCTATTTTAAAAAAGAGGAAAATTCAATTAGATGATATTAATGAGGTGCTTTGAACAATTGTGGGCATAGTATAAATCTGCTAATAGTTACTATTATTGGTGTTTACCATTTAAAAATATGGTTCTAAGGTTTGTTTTAATGAGTTAAAATATCCCATAAGGAATATTTATTTGTATTCCAGAAAGCTGCTAGAAAAGTAAAATTCTTAACATTTAATTCTCAATGCTCATTCTATTTCTGTTAATTAACAGTCACTTGTTCAAAGCTGATTAGAATGAGAGAACATAGGCCACATCTAACTAGAACTCCAGTGGGTTTACTTTATTATCTGTGTCAAAAACCCACCTACAAGTAATCCTAGAAATGCATTTTCTTTCTTTCTCAGAGTTTGTTAGATTATATCACTGAACACATCATTGACCAGGAAGCTTATGAGTCTTAAGTTATTGTTGTCAAGGCCATCTCATTACATGTACATACAAAGATCCATAAATTCAATAGACAACTTTAGTTTTCAGATTTGTTAATATATTGTTGTCTCTCAGTGTCAGTGGGAAGTTGGTTCCAGTACCCCGAGGATAAGAAAACCGTTGGATGCTAACTTCCCTTATATAAAATGGTGATATTTGCATATAATCTACATGCATTCTACTGTAGAATTTAAATCATCTCTAGAGTACTTATAATATCTAATAAAATGTAAATACCATATAAATAGTGTTTACATTTTTATATTTGTTATTTTTTATTGTTATATTCTTATTTTGGGAGAGTTTCTTTTGTATATTCTTGATCTGCAGTTGGTTGAATCTGCAGATGCAAAACCCTCAGACATGGAGGACCAACTGTAATAGTCTCAGATCCCTTCACTGGGGAAAACAGTTTACTAAAACGTCTGTTACTACAGCAGGCTTGCAATTTTGCAAACAAACATCGGTCTGTTCTGCACAGGCACACAGAGTGTGTGAAGCCAGGAGGGAAACACTGGATCCCATTGGTGTAAATTGTCACAAAACCGAAGTGTTGTCTCTTGGTGAGTTCTGTGTGGAGGTATACACAGCTGCTCCATTACAGTGAGCAATCAACCACTGAGAAGGTTCACTGCGTTTACTGTGTGAGAGAAGGAAGCCTGGCCTCAACTCAGTATTGTCACTATGGGTGACTTGGGAGATTTCCATTTGTATCACCCCAAGCTTTATTAGCTACATCCCCAGACATTTCAAGTAAATACACAACAACAACAATTCTGAATAGTCAAATGCAGTTTAAAAACAACTATTGTAGCCCCGTTCACAAGTCTAGCAGATGCTGTCTCTAGTAAAAAATATGTGAATTATCAAAATAGCTAGAATTAGACCATGAACAAAAGGCAAGCGATTTTTCTATTTGTCCTGCTTCAAGAAAATGATAAAAAGACTAAATAATTGATTTTGATGTTAAATGAATGCTAGTTACAGGCTATTTTACAATAGTCCAATTTTGGCCCACCAGTGATAATGTTTTAAATGTCTGTATTTCTAAATTGTTTATCTTCTGTTACTTTATACCTTATTTTGCATATGATCTGATTTCAGAAAGAAGGCTGTTTTCCCTTTATTTTGAAATTGGAAGTGGGGGTAAAGAGATTATTCAGTAAACCAGATTATATTCAGAGTGTAGTCCTTCTCATATTCCAGCTAATCATCAAAGGCATTAAACTCAAATGCACATTGTAAGAGCGAAAGCCAGACTAAAGTGGTATATTTTCATTTCAATTCCACTTGTTATTTTTATAGTATTACTATAATAGAAACTGTTTAATTTTGCCATTATAGAAAGAAGTTCACTCGAGTAAGTGTGGCTTGAAATCAAGAATATCAAACATTATTTGTTTTCTAAGTACCCAGATGTAGGTGGCGTTCCATTCAGGAAGCTCAGTGTATTAATCAAAGCATAGACATGTAAAACTGGGGAGAAAGAAGCTCTGGAAAGAGCACTGAGCTTGACCCTAAGCTCTGTCACTGAAGAGGTACATGACCCTGAACAAGTCATATCACTCCCACAATAACGTTTCATGAGTGGCACCTTGCTGTAAACTATTCAATGTTGCCATGCCTTTGCACAAGCTCTTCCCTTTGCAAGAATATCATTCCTTCCTCCTCCCTAATTTCTAGTTAGTATGTTCTTTCTCTTTCCTCAAGTTTTTACCCAAGCAATGCCTCATTAGATTTTCTTTTGCTCTTTTTACATAGAGCTGGCTGTAAATGTTTTAAATATAAAAATATACATCAATATATTGAAGCACAAATTTTAATATTGTGCGTCTAAAATATTTCGGTGATAATAGGGTTCCTGAATCACTCTCTATTGTGATTCTTTTTTGTCTACATGTTTCCTGGCCCTGTCAGATATATATGTCTTAAAAACAAAGTGTACCTTGCTCAACTATGTTTTTATACTATCCAGTATTCACTAGTATACATTTAGTAAATAATGGATGAATCGTTTCTCAATAAAGTAACATAATGTAACTGTGCTCTCCACCTCACAGAATGTTGAATTTGTGAAATTATGACAATTAAAATGTCTTCCAACTTTACCAAAGTATGCATATGTCAAAAATTTTTATAATCTCCCAAAGAGACAAAGAGAATCATAATTGCTCATCAACAGAATACAAATTTCGGTGTTGTGAAACCACTAATGACCAACCTCAAGCTGTTCTTTGGGAAAGGATAACCAACACTGGATATTGAGTCAGAAAAGGAAAATGGATGGCCAGGCTATGTGTGTTTGTTTCTTTGTTTTGTTTTGTTTATAATAAGATACAGAGCATATAGAGATGTAAGAAATTGCAATGGAGACATGCTTTGAAACAGAATCAGAATGTTAAGAATGCTTAAAAACATTCTTCCACAAGCCTACATTGTATTTGGCAAGTCTGCTTCTGAAATCCAGGGCCTTTTCCTCCTTGAGAGCATCTTGGTTGATTTCCGCAGGGTGCATGATCCTTCAATACTATTCAGGATTATACGAGGCATCAGAAATACCAGAGAACTGGACGTGGCTCATGGAAAGAGCTCAGGGAGAAAGGCCTTTATGGCCAGAACAGCACTGAGTCACCCACTATTGCTGCTGGTGGGTGGTTATTCAGGTTACTACATCTTTAATTCTGAATTTATTGCAGAATTTATTTATGGATATTCGGATAACATGGAAGCAAGCACTTACTTTCTTTGGTAGACTTGAGGAGGAATACAATGTATCCCAACTAGAGTGGCTGGAACATTTTCCCCTTGCTGTTAAAACTCCTGCTGGGGTGAGGATAGGGAAAGAGAAATACAGGATACCTACCAACTGAGTATATTCATAGTCAACTTTCTCTCCCGCTAGTCTAAATATAATAAACTCCATGAAACACCTCTCATCTAGCATGAAGCCTAACACCCTAACACATAACTGGTAATTAACAAATGTTTGTTTAATAAAAATGATTAAGTGGATATATTCTTTTTTTTTTTCTTTTTCTTTTTTGAGACAGGGATCTGCTCTGTCGTCCAGGCTGGACTGTAGTGATGCAGTCTCAGATCTCTGCAACCTCTGTCCCCCAGGGTCAAGGGATCCTTCCACCTCAGCCTCCTGGGTAGCTGGGACTACAGGCACGTGCCACGAAACCTGGCTAATTTTTGTATTTTTCATAGAGATGGGGTTTCACCATGTTGCCCAGGCTGGTCTCGAACTCCTGGACTCAAGTGCTCTATTCTCCTCGGCCTCCCCATGCGCTGAGATTACAGACGTTAGCCACCGTGCCTGGTGTAAGTGGATATTCTTAGTAGTGACATACTCAGAGATATTGGTGCCTCAAATCTACTCAATGAAGAGAATGCTACAAATATGAAGAATCAGGGAGTTTAAAAGCTTAGTTATGCAACAGTAGCTCAGGTATTCATCTCCCCACAGAAAGAGAATTCAGGGGATGGGTTTCTACCTTGAAGCATAAAAGTGGGGCAGATATGGATATGTCTGTACCTCGATTCCAGTTTTACTCAGCATCCTCTAAGAGCCCCAGTAGGAAAAGAACCCTAGAGATAAAGAAATGAGAACCCAAGTCAGGCCCTGCCATTGTCAGCTATGTAACCTGGACATACCACTTTGGTTTTCTAGATCCCCCATTTTCTGAAAAAATGGTGAGGAATCTGGCAGGTCACTCTGTGCTTCTAATGAAATTTCTTCCAGATAAACCTGACAGCAAAGGTGAGTGAAGGTCTGAGCCCAGGCTCAGACTAACAAGTCAACAAAAACAATCAATGCATTTCTATGATATTTAAATTTTCCTTATTTTTATTTTTATTATTATTATTTTTTGAGATGGAGTCTCGCTCTGTTGCCAGGCTGGAGTGCAGTGGTGCAATCTTGGCTCACTGCAACCTCTGCCTCCCAGGTTCAAGCGAGTCTCCTGCCTCAGCCTTCTGAGTAGCTGGGATTATAGGCACATGCCACCATGCCTGGCTAATTTTTGTATTTTTACTAGAGACAGGGTTTCACCATGTTGGTAAGGCTGGTCTTGAACTCCTGACCTCGTGATCCACCCACCTCGGCCTCCCAAAATGCTGGGATTACAGGCATGATCCACCATGCCTGGCCTCAATTTTCTTTTTTGAGATTCAAGCACATCCCTCACTGGACTTCAAAATCTGCCTGTGTTTGTTCAAATATAAAACAAGTTTTTGTGTATATAACCTTCTAATGGAAGAAAACACTTTCTGGAAGCTAAGACAGTTGTAGCCTTTGATTTCTAGTAGTGCTTAGTGTCCCACCTCATGCCGTCATGGGTACCGCATCTCAGCTGCAAAAGCAAAGAGATACATGGTATCTCTTTTATATCCAAAGTCTATTTTTGAAAATAATTTTGAAGATTACTCTCCCTCTTTTCCTCAAGCTTACCACAATTTTCTCTTCTGCTATATGATATTTTGTATGATTTCTTCTGCTGTATGATAATCAAAATTTGCCTTTGATTAGTAAACTTAGGAAACAGTAAACTTTAAGGGTAACTGTTAGTAAATCCTTGAATTAATTAACCATCCTTTATTGATTGCCTGGATTCACTGCCTCTGAGCTATCCTACTTCTCAGTAAGTCAAACCAAGTTAAATATAAAATGTCACCTTCATTAAAAACGTGGCATAATGTCATAATATTTTACCAGCGGGCCCACTTGCTTCTTGATCATAAATTACCGAAATTCCTACAGTTAGAATATTTATTTCCTTGCTCTTATTTTTGGTGTTACTGTTGTCATTGTTTTACTACTCAGTTAAATAGTAAGTAGAACTTTATTCAGGGGTAAACTATTTTGTTTTGTGTTCAAAGAAAATGCCTGGTTTGCCTGGGTTGCTGAGGGTTAATATGTAATAAGGGGCTGGGAGCAGTGGCTCATGCCTGTAATCCCAGCACTTTGGGAGGCCAAGGCGGGTGGATCACTTGAGGTCGGGAGTTTGAGACCAACCTGGCCAACATGGTGAAACCCCGTCGCTACTAAAAATACAAAAATTAGCCAGGTGTGGTGGCTCATGTCTGTAATCCCAGCTACTCAGGAGGCTGAGGCAGGAGAATTGCTTGCACCCCGGGAGGTGGAGGTTGCAGTGAGCCGAGATTGCGTCACTGCACTCCAGCCTGGGTGACAGAGTGGGACTCTGTTCCCCTGCCACCCCCCCAAATGTAATAAGGAGTTCCAAGATTATTTCACAAGAAGAACACATTCTTCCTCTAAGTTTCCTGCAAAAAAAAAAAATAAAAAAGTACCAGCTTTTCTTCCACATGTCCTAAACTGAGTAAAGATCTGCTTCACTGCTACAGACCAAAAAGAAAGTCCCTACTGGCAGTAGTTTTTGGGAGGTAAATGTCACCAGAAGGTTATCAAGGCCTTTAAATCAGAATGCCATCTTTGACCCTTGGGATAAAAAGGCAAAACTTTAGCCTTACAAGGTGAAATATTAGCAATTATTTGCATCCAGGCTACATGCCCAACTTTGAAAGACTCGCCCAAGAATATGTTCCTAAGTCATTACAGATGACAATTCATATTGTGAAAAGAATTTTCCAGCATTCAGAACAACAACTCATCAGCAAGTCGTCTTCAGGGAAACAATTAAAACTGATGATAGAATTTAATCTGAATTGAGAAAAAGGCATCATTACCCTTGCACCTGACAATTTCTTTAAGTAACAATCCATTATTACTAATCCACTTTGAAACAGTTATCTAAAGGTAATTTGTATCAATATAAGCCAAACACACAGGTTATTGCTGACCTAGTACTTGCGATTACATAAATAAAGCTTTTCTTGCTGTACAGAAACATTTCTTCGTATCAACATATTATATGATTCAAAAATATCTTCAGTCTGAGCCAAATGAAGTCACGTAGAAAAGAGTTAAATCACTTATTGAAGGCCCTCTAACTGCTGAGAACACTGCTCAAATATGATCATAAATGACATTTGATGATCTCATCCTTTTCAAGATCAATATTTTAATTACATACAGTTCTGGTTCAGAATTGAGGAATTTATATAAAAAGTTATCAAAAAGGAAGGGCTATGGCTATTTGTTTGGTATAATAAAGCATAATTCATACTTTAATAACTTGTTAAACTTATTCTGATATGACACCATATCAGAAGTTATATGTGTGTGTGTGTGTGTGTGTGTGTGTGTGTAAAGCTCAACATCACTAATCATCAGGGAAATGGAAACCAAAAACACAAGATACCACCTTACATCTGTCAAGTTGACTATCATAGAAAAGATAAAATAAAAAGACAACAAGTGCTGACAGGAATGTGGAAAAATTGGAACCCTTGCACACCATTGGTCTATGCCTTAGTCAGTTTTGTGTTCTTCTGACAGAATACCAATGACTGCGTAATTTATACAGAGCAGGCATTTATTTGGCTTAATGTTCTGGAGACTGGAAAACTCCAAGAGCGTGGCACTGGCATCTAGCCAGGGTCTTGGTGCTGCATCATTTCATGGGAGAAAGTAGAAGGGACTTCTACTGTGACAGCAAAAGAGCACAGGGGAGGCTGAACTCATTTTTATAAGAAACCTACTCTCGCAGTAACTAATCCACTCCCACAAGGTGAACATTAATTAATCACCTCTTATTAAGTCCATCTCCTAGTATTGTTGCTTTGGAGATTTGGTTTCTGGCACATGAAATCTGGGGACACATTCCAATTATACCGGTGGGAATGCAAAAGGATACAGCCACTACAGAATACAATATGATGGTTTATTAAAAATTAAAAGAACTGTCATATGAATCAGCAATCCTGTTACTAGATATTTATCCAAAATAATTGAAATCAGAATCTCAAACAGATATTAGCACTCCTATATTCATTGCACACTATTCACAATAGCCAAGTTATGGAAACAACCTAAATATCTATTGATATGTGAATGGATAAGGAAACTATGATATCCACAAACAGTGGAATAATATTTAGCATTAATAAAGGATGTTATGCAGTGTGACAATGTGATCGAACCTTGAGGGCATTATGGTAAGGAAAATTACAAATGTCACAGAAAGACAAATGTCGCATGATTCCACTTACATAAGGTATCTAAAATAGTTGAATTTATAGAATCAAAAAGTGGAATGGTATTTATAAGAGGCTGGAGAGAGGGAGATATGAGGAGTTACTTATCAATTGACATAAAGCTTCAGTCAAGCAAAATGAATAAGCTCTAGAGATCTGCTGTGTAACACTGCACCTATCATCAACAATGTATTAGAAGCTTACAAATTTATTGAGGATATATCTCCTGTTAACTGTCTTTAACACAGTAAAATACAATTAAAAACAAACTTGCTGTGCCAAGATGCCTTAAGAAAGAGATAAATATTCGGCTTTTATTGGTACTAGTGGCAATGGTAATTGAAGAAAGGAAAAGAAAAGCAAGAAAATGTACACAAATTATTCACTCATTCTTGAAGGTGAGATCAGGAGGCAAAGCCTCAAGTCTTCTGTAGTAGACATTTAATAAAGGCTGCAAAATAATTGCTTTGGTAAGTGTATTGTTTTTATTTTTTAAATATTATATATAAGTATATATCATATATATTATATAAAATATAATTATAGGTAGATACAGTATGTGGACAACTTCAAAATCAGAAAAAATGAACACCCCATGTGACCAACATTCAAATCAAGTAACACATCAACATTTTAGAAATTGCTACTCTCTTAAAGATAACCACTATTCTTCCTTGAAACAGCATAGATTAGTTGTGCCTGTTGGTTTTTTACTGAATATAAACAGAATGTTATAGTATGTACCATTATGCTGGCTTCCTTTAATCAACATCGTGTTTGTCGGATTCATCTCTTTTTACATACATTCCTAGATTGCTCATTTTCAGTACTGTATTGTTTATCACTGAGTGAATATACCATATTTTATTTATCCATTCAAATTTTTATAGAGTTTTGAGTAGTTTGCTCAAGTTATCTTTAAATGATTTGGCACCAAATAGTTATAATTCTCATGTTATAAATTTATGTTATTCAAAATACAAAATAATATATGTTATATACTAAAATATGTCTAGAAAATACCTGTAGCAGGTTTACTACACACCTCTTGTGAACCTTGGATCATTTTTATATACCTTTGTTCTATTCTTTATTTTAAAACTTTTCTAGGAACATATTTTGGTAAATTATCTGGGGCAAAATAACTCATAAAATGGGTTAATCTAATCATGTTTTATTGGAATCTACTAATTATTTAAAAATATACTAAGCCAAGCTTTTAACATAGGCATAGAACAATTTTTTTTCTCTGAACTGCGTCCCAAAGGTGAAAAAAGGAGGTTAGTAAACAATAATGACTATTTGCTGACCTATGTGTGTGAAACTTACTAATTAGTTTGACTTCACCTCAGGGGATAACAGAGAAGATCACTAATCCTCAGATCCCCTGGCAGAATATATTACAATCACAAAATCCTATAGGGTTGGGAGATGTGCTCTCATATTGACATATTCACATATTAATGGTGCAATCTTCATAATGTAACATATACAGCACAATTTTTAAAAATTAGGTAATAGCATGTTTACTTATTTGCAGGATTGTTTCCAAAATTCTCATATTTGTCAAGATTCCAGTATACAGTTCCCTGTCTTTTATCATTCTTCATATGTACCTTCTATCCATCTTTTCATCATTCCCAGATGATTTATTAAGTTTACCGAAGGCGCTAGTTGGCTGGGGTGTATCTAAATCCAAACAATTAAAAATAGACAAAAACATACGTGATCTCTTTCACACCCTCTGTAGTACACATTTCCATGCTCAGCTTCTTTATCTTTCCGCTTACTAGTAAGATCTCCACAGGAATAGGGAAGTTCATGGAATACTGACAGTTTCTAAGCTCTGTGTCTCTCTGCTTCTCTGGCTGAGGGTTTTTCCTAGTAACACGGGGCCTGATCATCAATGTTCAGAGCATATCTGAAGTAAAGGACACATAACACACTCAGAGACAACCCTCAAATTCCAGTTTCTAACCATTCCAGCAAGATGGAACCCTGGTTAGGTGGTAAGTCACTCATCAATCTGCATAATGTCTTGGCTTTTTCTCCCACTCCTCCTTTATCCACTCCCTTATTGTGTTCTGCTCTCTGAAATTGTCTCCTAAATAAATCATTTTATCCAAATATTTTTCTCAGATAGAGCTTTGGGAGAAACTGAACCCAGACATTTCTTAGGAATTTAAACCCATCTAAAGCCGTATTAATAGACATCAACTGAATTCTAAAACTTCAAAGAGCTGTTATGTTAATACGTCTATTTATAGAGGAGGGTGATTTAAACAGGAATCTTTACTGAAGCATTTATCAGAACCTTAAGTGAATTAAAATGATCCCTGAGGAGGCAGAGATTATTAAAAAGCACTTTCCAAATTTAGTTGATCAAAGGACTCCTTTAGTTGTGTATTCATTTACCAAGCTGCTGTTTATTGTTAGTGCATATTTTAGTAAATGATGAAAACTTCAAAACTCAGATATTTAAACTATCCATGCTACTAATGGAAAGGAGAAATGTCAAGGTAGTAGAGATGCTTGCAAAGAGAAAGGTGAAAATCTTCTGTAAAGACATGGGGTTCCTACCGTGCTGTTCTGCAATCAGCTCCTACAAACCAGCCTTGTTCCTCACTTATAGAGAACCTTTCTTAATACATTACAGCCCTTAGTATTCTCAATTATGAAGGATGTTGGACTCAAAATCCAATACACTTTACCATTCTGCAACTTTATTATCCATTGACGTATTTTTCTGTTGAGATTGAATCTAGCAAGAAGGCTTATCTGAGTTTATCACTAGCCTGTTTATCAAGTAAGGCACTTTCTGCTGCAAAGAACCAACCAAATGATTGTAAACCATAAAGGAATTTACCAACTCACATAACTACAAAGGCAAAGCTTAAATGGTTTCAGAAGTGACTTAAAGCAGGGCTCGGAAAATATCACCAGGACCACTTCATTCCACCTCTCTGCTCAGCTTTGTTCTCTTACACTGTTGGTTTTGCTCTCAGGCAGGTATGATCCTTGTCCCAGGATGTGAACAGCTGCTCTGAATCATGTATTTTTAGCTTCATCTTCAGTTTGGAAGAGAGAGATTATCTTTCTCTCAGAATGACACAAACGCCCAGGGTAAACCTCTTATTGGTTAGATTAGGTTGACTTCCTACACCTGAAGCAATCATTGCATGTGGTGGGGAGGGGAAAAGTACTCTAAGTGGTTGGAAATCATTACAACCAAGTAATGTTACAACAACAAATCTGTACATTAGGATCACCTGCATAGGTTTTAAAACTACTTATGATGGGGCCTACCTTACACTAAGTAAGCCAGTACATCTGTGAGTGGAAATCAAGCATTAGCATATTTTAAAGCTCTTGAGTGATTTCAGCCTCTATTAATTAAGAACCACTACTTTAGATTTGGGCTGCAATAATTCAAGTTTATACAATTCACCTGGGGAACCTGTCAAAAGGGAGACTTTGACTCAGTAGGCCTGTGCAGGGCTTAGGATGCAGCGTTTCTAATAGGTTTCCAGGTGATCCTCCTCATGTGCTTAGTGATCCTTACTTTGAGAAATAAGGCATATCCTATTCAGTGTCTATCCTTACAGCTGTTGAGTAAGGTCAATCATAACTGAGACATATAGCTATGAGTAAAGAAGGTGCGATCCACCAAAACAAATGTTAGCTATTTTTTCCAAAGAAGAATTAAAATGATAAAAAATACAGGCTTACTATTCTGAGATGAACAAATATTAACCTCTTTATGATCCTTATATCTTTATTTTATCCTCGGTGTGGGCATACAGTATGGGCTTCTAAGGTCAGATGGTACAGGATGCAACCAGCTTAAGGGTGGGGAGTTCAAATCCAGAAGACAGCTAGACAGTCATATTCTCTCAAGAAGTTACGGATCCTTCCTTGTCATCAGATGATGACGTGTGGTCTTTCCCTCTGAGTATTTTCTTGAGAACTTTCCCTTTCCTTTGATTTCCCGGGTTGTAAATATCAGCTTCAGGATGAACTCGCAAGATTACTATGTTCTCTTAAAAATTCAATGGCTGTTACACTCAACTGATCTCTTTCTTTTTTTGTGCTCCCCCCAATACCCCAATACACCTCAAGGTTCACAAATTTTAAATGTAGTTATTAACTCCTGAACTATTGTCTTGGTCTCATTTGTAGGCAGTAAGACTTAACAAAGTAGCATGAAACATCAAGCATAAACAACCAGAGGCTAAAATAACACCCTGTGCCCTGACTATATTGTCTAAAAGGTGTACCTAAGATCCATGTGTACCTAAGATCTGTGTACCTAAGATCCAGACTGTGTGCCTAAGATTCATGCTTAGTTCACTTGGTATTTCTGGACTTCTGAAATTGACATCAGTTCTAAAGACTCTACCAAAGGTTCTATAGTAGTGACTCATGTTATTCCTTAAACACAATTTTGATGAGCCAACATATTTTCTCATGTACTAAATCTCAGCTCAGTCCTCAATGTTAAATATTTTACATCTAAACCACAGCTCTGCCTGGCTTCTCTGGATTGTCTTACCCCCAGCTACTCTGATCACATCATAATTATCTGGTGCTCTGTCCTCTCATTACTATATTCTACTAAGATCTTAGGAAAGAAATGCATCATTAGTAATTAGAGAGGAAACTGAAACTCAGAGAGTTCAGTCATTCTTTTCAAGTCATACAAGTGGAAATATGGTAAGCTGTGATTTATATCCAGGCCTTTTTAACATACAAAACCTAATGTGTTAACATTTCCGATCAATTTTCCTTTCCTTTTTTTTTTTTTTTTTTTTTGAGACGGAGTCTTGCTCTGTCACCCAGGTTGGAGTACAGTGGCGTGACCTCGGCTCACTGCAAGTTCCGCCTCCTGGGTTCATGCCATTCTCCTGTCTCAGCCTCCCGAGTAGCTGGGACTACAGGTGCTCATCACCAAGCCTGGATAACTTTTTTGTGTTTTTAGAAGAGACGAGGTTTCACCGTGTTAGCCAGGTCTTGATCTCCCGACCTTGTTATCCGCCCACCTCGGCCTCCCAAAGTGCTGGGATTACAGGCGTGAGCCACCGCGCCTGGCCCAATTTTCCTTTCTATAAGGATAGTCATTGCCTTAAAGTTTGAATTCCTGGAAAGGAGTACTTGTGTCTCATTCACTCTGGAATCCCCTGTCCCAGGCACAATGTCTGGCCAAAATTGCTGCTAATTAAACATTTGTTAGATCAAAGACCCGGACAGTGAGGTAGGTTAATGTCTACTGAACTCTCTGAGCCTGTTTTCTATCTAGTTATTAATTATACATTTCTTTCTTAAGACCTTAGTGGAATGTAGTAATGAGGACAGAGAACCAAAGAATTATGATACGATCAGAGTAGCTGAGGGGAGGGGATTCCAGAGAAACCAGGCATACCTGTGATTTAGACAAAAATATTTTGGTTTTGGAAGGAGATTTTAGACCCCTCTAACTTATATTCAAATTGACAATTTATTTACTGTTTCTATCCATCTTCACAAAGGAAATAGAAGTACAGATGGTCCCAAACTTAATACGGTTCAATGATTCAAAGATTTTTCGACTTTATGATGGGTTTATTGGGACATAAACCTATTGTAAGTCAAGGAGGTTATGGTTTCTATTGAATTTGTATCACTTTGGCACCATTGTAAAGTCAAAAAATTTTAAATTGAACCATTGTAAATCAGGAACTGTATGCTGTGCTGCCAGCACTAAAAGCATTTTCAACTTACCGTGAATGTATCTGGATGTAGCCCTACCATAAGTTGAGGAGCTTCTGTACTTTTATTTGTGTGGGCAGGATGGACATACATGACCACTTCCTCCCTGTTTCTTTCGAGGGCAAGAAGCTGATAAAAAGATATATAACCAGAACAATTATTACTGCCTTCCCTGTTCTCCTCTGACTGACTTTATCGTGATGTCAGTATCCTACATATTCACTGAATGTGAGAATTTTACTTACTTACCTCCAGACAGAAACATTTACTTCCTTTAAAAACCCATGGAATCTGTTATATAAGAGTTACTCAAACATAGTTTGAGTCATAATATTGGAAGATGATGCAATGGGAAATGTAAAGTATTCCAATTCCTTTATATTATTATTTAAAAATGAGATTAAAAACGAGAAGATACTTCTCCATAGACATAAAACAATAGATTACTTTTGTTGGTTTGACCACATTGAGATAAAAAATGATTTTCCTTCTCTACAGTCTATTATCCAGATTGCGAACTTCAGCTTTGGCGAATGTCTCGAGCAGTTAACGTTCTGACACAATGACATTTCAATCAGATATGAAAGTGGTGTTGGGACCCTTTGGGAATAATTTTGCTGCAGTTCACACCCTGACTTGCTAGTAACTAGCTGTTCATTGGTTAATGCCCAGGGTCAAAAGTAAGAATGCATAACAGGATGGGCTCTGGGAAATGCATTCTCCTCATGAACCAAAGTTAATGTGGCCTATGAAAGGAGGTTCAGGTAGCCATTAGGAGTTGTGGTCATACGGACTGAGTTTTGCCACTTGCAAGAATAAATATTATATAATGATATGGAACTTAACAGCTGAGACACTGATACATACCTTTCAGTGTTTTTTTTTTTTTTTTTTTTTTTTTTTTTTTTTTTTTTGAGACGGAGTCTCGCTCTGTCACCCAGGCTGGAGTACAGTGGTGCGATCTCTGCTCACTGCAAGCTCCGCCTCCCGGGTTTATGCCATTCTCCTGCCTCAGCCTCCTGCATAGCTGGGACTACAGGCACCCGCCACCAAGCCCGGCTAATTTTTTTTGTATTTTTTTAGTAGAAACGGGGTTTCACCAAATATAGATCTATGCAATAAATATATTTTTAAAATAAGTAAACTAATAACTGTCAAAGCATAGTAGTTATAACATTGGATCAAAAATTCTGGATTCCATCATCCTAAACATATATTTGTCGAGAATAATTTCTTGCTTAGCATTTCATGGAAAACGTTAAAAGTCATTTATATTATTGTCTATGCATGTTGGGGGATAAATATCATTAGTGTTTTCCAATGACTTCATATCTCTGAATCCTGAATCAGACTAGTGAGGAAGAACAAATATTCACTTAGCCTACATTTGATGATAAGAATTTTATTTGAGAACTGGATAATTATTGATCTTACGGACTTTGCCAGCTTCAATACTAAGCAACAAAAAAAAAATGTAGGTTCTTATGGATACTTAATACTGTCTAGGTACTGTGCTCCATTCTTCACATATATTATTTCACATAATTCTCATGCTACCCTAGGAACAGGTGTAACTATCTTAATTTTATGGATGTGGGAATTGAGGCATAGAGAGGTTAAGTTATGCAAGGACCTACTCTGTGACATAACCTAGACTTGATTCCTTGATTTTCTAACACACGGCGCTGCACTCTTCTGTTGGTCCCACGTGTCTGAGATTTGCTGACTTTCAGCACACAAATAAATCAATGACACATTAATAGGCATTAATAGGGAGGTTAAGCAGCTGTCATGTCACAGTAGTAGTGACACTGAAATTATGAGAGCACATCCATATGAATGACACAGTCATATTTAAAGTGCCAATCTTCCTTGAGCAAAACTTCTGTGAGAAAAATTAAGTTTACAGATACTTATGCAATCAAAGGTTTATATATTTATATATGTTTAACATAAAAAAAACCTTTGAGATCTTTTAATTGGGCCCCTTCCTTTTACAGAGGAGGAAAATGATGTGCAGGGAGGAGAAGTGCTTTGCTCAAAGTCACAAAGCAAGGAAGACTAGGCCTCAAGATGACCTGATTACAATCCTAGTTCCTTTGCAGCTCTTCCACGATTACTTAGTCACAGAATCTAGAGACAGTGAGAGGAATAAAAGCATTTTTGAGTAGCATTTTCTGATTTTGATTACATTAGTTAGGGAAAAAATATCAGGGCTATAAAGAGAGTCAGTAGCAAAGCAACTAAAGCCTGAAGTTTGAACAATGTTGGAGAAGCAGAGGACAAATATCATTAGCGTGGGCCATCAATAAACTTCTTACTGGTTTTCCTTTTCCCTTAGTCATGAGTCACATTAGTAAATAGGGGAATATGTCGTGAGTCTTGTCTAGGGACTGACAACATCGAAAGCAAATAAAAACCTTGAAATGATTGCCAATTGTTTTGGCAAATATCTCACATTCATGAAGCTGGCATGTAGAGCTTTCTAGTATAGAAATTTTAGCATATTCAACTATTCCATTAAGTACTGCAAAGGAACATTGACCTTCCTACAGTACTTTCTAATAGTAATAGCTGGATTTTTTAAAATGAGAAAACTCTATTATATCCCCTCTGGAAAAGGAGTCAAAAGGGTGATACTATCTCTGTTTAGCAGATGTGGGGATTTTATGGTCAGAGTGTGGAGGCGTCCGTGAAGTCTCAGGTGCCTTTCACGACTATAGCCTCAAGTCCCAATGCATCCCGAAGGAAACCAACTCTTTTCATAGGGCCACAGATGATCATATCAGGGCTCAAGCTCACCACATGTGATCAAAGCAGAGAGAGACCATGGGTCTCTCAGGTGACTAGGAATCAATCCTTGATCAATAGGGATACTCCATATCTGAGTAGCAATGTGACATAATCAAAACTTCTTAGTGGAAAGTATACATAATATGTATGCTCAAATATTTCACAGCAGTAAATTAAAGGGGATACACCATTTCTCAATGAAATAGTTGTAATAAAAAAATTTTAAGGCAACACACCCACCACGGACAACAAAATTTGAGTAGTAAATGAAGATGAATCTCATGATCCTCCATCTTCTTTTATTATTTTTTCTTCAACTGCACTTTGGGCTCAAATACAGTTGCATAAGTCTGTCTTATATTCTAAAAACCACACTAAAAACATCATGGATCTAGTTTATAACCTTTAACTTTTCAATTTCCAAATTTACTTGAGTCATTTTTACAATTTCTATGTCTCATCTCCCAATCCTGCCGATGTTCATTGCAGTCAGTTTCACCATCATGACTCACACTAACTATTTCATTTCTCTTCACTTGGAAGTATCTCCAATAATCACTAATGCCAAAATTCACTGTGCATTATAAAATCTGTATACTACTTCTATTTTGTAGATTTGATACCATTGACCATTTAATCCTTAGACTTCTATTTTTTGACATTTGTAATCATCTAGATCTTTTACTCCTTGTATAGTATTTCCTATTTTCCTTCCTCACCTTCTACCTTCCATTTTTTTTGCTCATTCTTCATATATATATATGTTTTTATATATATGTTTATGTATATTTTATATATATGAAGAATGATCATATATATTTCATATTCTCATTGTTCTTACTTTACTTTTCTAAACAGCCCTGGCCAATCTTTAATATAACTATGGCTTAGAATATGTATACTATAATGACTCACAAGCTTATCTCAACACCCATGACATTCCTCTAATGAATTACAAATGTACTTATTTGGACACTTCACAGTACATATAGTAAGAAGATGACTAGCTGTTCTTTGTTTTGGATGAGTCATTGGATCATTAAATTTGAATGACTAATATGGTTTGGCTGTGTCCTCATCCAAATCTTATCTTGAACTATAATCACCAGGTGTTATGGGAGGGAGCCAGTGGGAGGTAACTGAATCATGGGGATGGTTTCCACCATGCTGTTCTTGTGAAAGTGAGTGAGTTCTCACGAGATCTGATGGTTTACAAACATCAGGCATTTTCCCTGCTGGCACTTATTCTTTCTCCTGCTGTCTTGTGAAGAGGTGACTTCAGTGATGATTGTAAATTTCCTGAGGCTTCCCCAGCCATGGAGAACTGTGAATCAATTAAACCTCTTTTCCTTATAAATTATCCAGTCTTGGGTATTTCCTTATAGCAATGTGAGAACGGACTAATAATGTAAATTTGTACCAAGGTGGTGGGGCATTTCTGTAAGATACCTGAGAATGTGGAAGCAACTTTGGAACTGGGTAATGGGCAGAGGTTGGAACAGTTTGAATGACTCAGAAGAAGACAGGAAGATGTGGGAAAGTTTGGGACTTCCTTGTAGAGACTTGTTAAATGGCTTTAACCAAAATGCTGATAGTGACATGGAAAATGAAGTCCAGGCTGAGTTGGTCTCAGATGGAGATGAAAAACTTGTTGGAAAATGGAGCGAAGGTTGAAACTGGCAGCTTTTTGCCCCTACCCTAGAGATCTGTGGAACTTTGAGCTTGAAGAGATGATTTATTTAAGGTATCTAGTGGTAGAAATTTCTAAGTAGCAAAACACTCAAGAGGTGACAGATCATAAAAGTTTGAAAAATTTCCAGCTTGATGATGGGGTAGAAAAGAAAAACCCATTTTCTGGGGAGAAATTCAAGCCAGCTGCAGGAATTTGCATAAGTAAGGAGGAGCCGAATGCTAATTGCCAAGACAATGGGGAAATGTTTCCAGGACAAGTCAGAGACCTTCTTGGCAGCCCCTCTCATCATAGACCTGGAGACCTAAGAGGGAAAAATGGTTTCCTGGGCTGGGTCCAGGGACCCCTGCTGTGTGCAGGCTTAGGAACTGGTGCCCTGCATCCCAGCCACTCCAGCCAAGGCTAAAAGGGGCCGAGGTACAGCTCAGGCTGTTGCTTCAGAGGGTGCAAGCCTCACACCTTGGCAGCTTCCATAGGGTGTTTAGTCTGTGGGTGAGCAGAAGACAATAATTGAGGTTTGGGAATCTCCACCTAGATTTCAGAAGATGTATAGAAATGCCTGGATATCTAGTCAGAAGTCTGCTGCAGGGGCAGAGCCCTCAAGGAGAACCTCTGTTAGGGCAGTGCAGAAGGGAAAATGTGGGGTAGGAGCCCCCACACAGAGTCCCCACTGGGGCACTGCCTAGTGGAGCTGTGAGAATAAGGCCACCTTCCTCCCGACCCCAGAATGCTAGATCAACTGACAGCTTGCACCGTGAGCCTGGAAAAGCCACAGACACTCAACATCAGCTGTGAAAGCAGCTAGGAGGGATGTTGTATCCTGCAAAGCCACAGGGGCAGAGCTGCTCAAGGCTGTGGGAGTGCTCCTCTTGCATCAACATGAGCTGGATGTGAGACATGGAGTCAACAAAAAAAAATTTTGGAACTTTAAGGTACAATGACTGCCTTATTGGATTTCGGACTTGCATGGGGCCTGTAACCCCTTTGTTTTGGCCAGTTTCTCCCACTTGATTGTATTTACCCAATGCCTGTACCCCCATTGTATCTAGGAAGTAACTAACTTGCTTTTGATTTTACAGGCTCATAGGCAGAGGGGGCTTGCCTTGTCTCAGGTGGGACTTTGGACTGTGGACTTTTGGGTTAATGCTGAAATGAGTTAAGACTTTGGGGGACTGCTGGGAAGGCATGATTGTGTTTTGAAATGTGAAGACATGATATTTGGGAGGGGTTAGGGGCAGAATGATATGGTTTGGCTGTGTCCTCACTGAAATATCTTGAATTGTAACCCCCATAATCCACATGTGTTGTGGGAGGGACCCAGTGAAAGGTAACTGAATCATGGGGGTGGTTCCCCCATGCTGTTCTCATGATAGTGAGTGAATTCTCATGAGATCTGTCTTCTATCATTCTCTGTTCTCATCACGTCTCACTTGGCCTATTTAAGTAGCCTCTGGACTAGGTTCCTGATTGCAGCTTCTCTACCCTTCCAATCACTACTCCAGATTTTGAACAAGTGGTCTTTCAAAAATACAAATTTAATTACTTTGTTGCTTAATATATATTGGTGCTTTCCATTTTTTACAAAGCAAAGTCATAAGCATTTTATATATATATATGTGTGTGTGTGTATGTGTGTGTGTGTATATGTATATATGTATACACAGACACACACACACATACACACACACACATGTGTTTAAACACCCACACCAAGATATAGATTACTTACTTCCAGGACTCCATAATCCCCTCTAGGGCCCTAGCCCAGCCAGGATTCCTCCCATTCCAAATTCAAGAAATTGGCCAAAACGAAGGGGCTACAGACCCCATGAAAGTCTGAAATCCAGCACAGCAGTCAAATCTTAAAGCTCTGAAATGATCTCCTTACACTCTATGTCTCATATCCAGGTCATGCTGATGCAAGAGGTGGGCTCCCATAGTCTTGGGCAGCTCCACCCATGTGGCTTGGCAAGGTAGAGCCTCCCTCTTAGCTTGGGCCTTCACAGGCTGGTGTTGAGTGTCTGTGGCTTTTCCAGGTGGGTGGTGCAAGCTTTCGGTGGATTTACCATTCTGGGGTCTGGAGGACAGTGGCCCTCTTCTCACAGCTCCACTAGGCAGTGCCCCTGTAGGGACTCTGTGTGGGTTCTTCAACCCCACATTTCCCTGTCACACTGCCCTGGAAGCAGTTCTCCATGAGGCCCCTGACCCTGCTGAAAACTTTCACCTGGGCATACAAGCATTTCCATACCTCTTCTGAAATCTAGATGGAAGTTCCCAAACCTCAATTCTTGACTTCTGTGCACCTGCAGGCTCAACACCATGTGGAATCTGCCAAGGTTTGGGGCTTGCAGTCTCTGAAACCATGGGCCAAGCTGTACCTTGGTCCCTTTTAGCAACAGGTGGAGCAGCTGGAACAGAGGGCACCAAGTCCCTAGGCTGCACACAGCGTGGAGACACTGGGCCTGGCCCAGGAAACCATTTTTTCCTCCTAAGCTTCTGGGTCTGTGATGGTAGGGGCTCCTGTGAAGACCTATGACATGCCCTGGAGACATTTCCCCATTGTCTTGGGGATTAACATTCAGCTCCTTATTACTTAAGCAAAATTCTGCAGCCAGCGTGAATTTCTCCTCAAAAAATGGGTTTTTCTTTTCCACTGCATCATCAGGCTGCAAATTTTCTGAACTTTTATTCTCTGATTCCCTTTTAAAACAGAATGCTTTTAACAGTACTCAAGTCACCTTTTGAATGCTTTGCTACTTAGAAATTTCTTCTGCCAGATACCCTAAATCATCTCTCTCAAGTTCAAAGTTCCACAGATCTCTAGGGCAGGGGAAAAATGCCACCAGTCTCTTTGCTAAAACGTAACAAGAGTCACCTTTGCTCCACTTCCCAACAAGCTTCTCAACTCCATCTGAGACCACCTTAGCCTGGACTTTATTGTCCATATTGCTATCAGGCTTTTGGTCAAAGCCGTTTAACAAGTGTCTAGGAAGTTCGAAACTTTCCCACCTTTTCCTGTCTTCTTCTGAGCCTTCCAAACTGTTCCAACCTCTGCCTGCCACCTAGTTTCAAAGTCGCTTCCATATTTTCTGGTATCTTTTCAGTAATGTCCCATTCTACTGGTCCCAATTTACTGTATTAGTCAGTTTTCATGCTGCTGATAAAGACATACCCGAGTCTGGGAAGAAAAAGAAGTTTAATTGGACTTACAGTCCTACAGGCTTGGAAGGCCTCAGAGTCATGGTGGGAGGCAAAAGGCACTTCCTTCATGGTGGTGGCAAGAGAAAATGAGGAAGATGCAAAAGCAGGAACCCCTGATACAACTATCAGATCTCATGAGACTTATTCACTACCACTAGAACAGTATGGGGGAACCGGCCCCATGATTCAAATTATCTCCCACCAAGTCCCTCCCACAACACGTGGAAATAATGGGAGTACAATTCGAAATAAGATTTGGGTGGGGACACAGAAGCAAAGCACATCACAGGCATGAGCCTCCATGCCTAGCCCTAAGGTCTTTATTAAGAAAACTTTTTCTTCTGATCTATATTCAAATTAATTAAATCATTATGTATTTATTCACTAGTTTATATCTTTGACTCTTTTTAATTTGTGTGGTTTTTTGTTTTGTTTTGCTTTGTTTGAGACAGGGTGTTGCTCTGTCACCCAGGCTGTAGTGCAATAATGTGATCATGACTCACTGCAGCCTCAGCCTCCTGGGATCAAGAGGAGCTGAGCCTCCTCAGCCTCCTGAGGAGCTGAGACTACAGGTGCTCACTGCCATGCTTGGCTACTGTTTTATTTTTTTTATTTTTATTTTTTTTTTGTACAGTGAAGGCATCACTACATTGCCCAGGCTTATGTCCAACTCCTTGGCTCAAGCAATCTGTCTGCCTCTGCCTCCCAACGTGCTTGGATTACAGCCATGAGCCACCGTACCCAGCCCTTTTTCATTCTTAAGATGAGGCTTGACTTTTTAATTATAGCCATTCTGACTGGTATGAGATGGTATCTCATTGGGGTTTTGATTTGCATTTCTCTAATGATCAGTGATATTGAGCTTTTTTTCATATGCTTCTTGGTCACATATACATCTTCTTTAGAAAAGTGTTCATAACTTTTGCCCACTTTATAATGAGGTTGTTCATTTTTTTCTTGTAAATTTGTTTAAGTTTCTTATAGATGCTAGATATTAGACCTTTGTCAGATGCATATTTCGCAAATATTTTATCCTATTCTTTAGGATGTCTGTTTACCCTGTTGATAGTTTCTTTGGCTGTGCAGAAGATTGTTAGTTTAATTAGATCTCTTTCGTCAATTTTTGCTTTCGTTGCAATTGCTTTTGGTGTCTTTGTCATGTTGCCCATTCTTATGTCCAGAGTAGTATTGCCTAGGTTGTCTTCCATGGTTTTTATTGTTTTGGGTTTTACATTTAAGTCTTTAATCCATCTTGAGTTGATTTTTGTATATGGTATAAGGAAGGGATCCAGTTTCAATCTTCTGCATATGGACAGCCAGTTATCCCCACACAATTTATTGAATAAGAAGAGTTTTTCTCCATTGCTCTTTTTTTTTTTTTTTTTTTGGCTTTCTCAAATATCAGATGGTCATAGGTGTGCAGCCTTTTTTCTGGGCTCTTTTGTTCCATTGGTCTATGTGTCTGTTTTTGTACTAGTACCATGCTGTTTTGGTAATTAGAGCCTTGTTCCATTGTTTGAAGTTGGGTAACGTGATGCCTCCAGCTTTGTTCTTTTTGCTTAAGATTGCCTTGGCTATTCAGGCTCTTTTTTGGTTCCACACGAATTTTAAAATAGTTTTTCTACTTATGTGAAGAATGTCCTTGGTAGTTTGATAGAAATAGAAGTGAATCTATAATTGCTTTGGGCAGTATGGCCACTTTATATAACAGATTTTGCAAGGTATTGAGAAAAGGAAGCTTATACACTGTTGGTGTGAGTGTAACCACCATTGTGGAAAGCAGTGTGGCAATTCCTCAAAGAGCTAAAAACATAACTACCATTAGAGTCAGCAATCCCTTTACTGGGTATACATCCAGAGAAATATAAATCATTCTCCCATAAAGACCCATGGACATGAATGTTCATTGCAGTACTATTTACAATAGTAAAGACATAGAATGAACCAAAATGCTCATCACTGAGAGACTGGATAAAGAAAATGTGGTACATATTCACCATGGAATACTATGCAGCCATAAAAAAGAACAATATTATGTCTCTTGTGGGAACATGGATTGAGCCGAAGGCCACTATCCTTAGGAAACTAATACAGGAACAGAAAGACAAATACCACATGTTCTTACTTATAATTGGGTGCTAAGTGATGAGAACTCATAGACACAAAGAAGGAAGAAACAGACGCTAAGACTTCCTTGGGGGTGAAGGATTGGAGGACGGAGAAGATCAGAAAAACTAACTATTGGGTACTAGGATTAGTGCCTGGGTGGCAAAGTAATCAGTACAACAAAACCCTGTGACACAAGTTTAGCTATGTAACAAACCTGCACATGTACCTCTGAACCTAAAACAAAATAAAAAAAAAGATCAAAATTTAAAGCTACTGATGGTTAACAATGTGCCTAGTCAGATTCAAGAGACAGTAGTCTCTTTGTCACAACTTAGTGAAAATACAAATTACCATTCCCATCTGTTGAAACCATAGCCAAAATTGGTTGTTTTTTTCACTTAAAATCTCTTTTCTCAAATCACATCAAAACATGCGTGGCTTGAAGTGGTTAAGGAGGAAAGGTGTTAGAGGGCTTTGCAGAGTGTACATGAACAGAGAACGGATCCAGGTCTTGGGCGATAAGGAGAGAGGTTAATTACTTTAACCGCGAAGTATATAGTCCAAAAGAATTTGCATGATTGCTTCCTTGTCAATAAAAATAAACCAATTGCAAGCAAAAACTTCTATTTATCTCAGGGCCATTAACTAATATACTGTATATATTTTATGTGTGTGGTTTTAGAACAAGAATATGTGTGAGAGTAGAAGACAGAAAGAATAATTAGCACATAAAATTTGTCCTCTGAATATTTTTAGAGAATGAGGTCCCAAAAATGCTTGAGAAGGGCAGGTATATAGAATGGAAAGAGTGTTGAGATTTGGAATCCAAGCTGGATTTGAGTATGGACTTATTCTCACTCTGAGCAAACCATTACTCTTATTTTTTTAATACATCAACTAAATTTAATAATAATACACACTATACAGGGTTGTCCTGAGGTTTAAATGAGATTGCATTTGTGAATGTGCTCCATAAACTACGGGTTCCATTTACAGTGGGACCCATAAATAATAAATTACATTTATAATTTCATTATATTGAATTATGAAGCCATTGTGGTACTTTCTATGAAAGGTTTATGATATTCTAAGAATAGTTTTTTATATATATATTACAGTGAAAAGCCACGGCACTATTGTGGTAGAAACATAGTTATATCCTTAAATAGCAATGCAAGTGTTTTACATATATTAGTTTAGGGAGATCTTCTGTAATATTCTTAAGGCTGATATGTATTATAATCATAATCATAATTACCATCATAGCACGTGGTAGTAGCAGTAGTAGTAGTAAATGGATATTAGAAAAATCATCTTAATCTTTTAGTTTCTAAACAGATATTAATTTAGGAACAACTTTACTTTTTGATTCATGAAATTGATATACAGACACTGCAGAGATCATATAGGCAAGTTTATCCTAAGATGTTAACAGTGTTATTGCATGTTGCCACAATTTTTTTTTCTTTGTTCAGAGAATCAGAAAGAGAAATTGACTTAGGACCCACTCTCTAAACACCACACTTACGATTTTCATTCATGAGACTTAGATATTTCTTTATAGTTACAGGTTTTCCTTAGTACTCCCACCCTTCCTTTGTTCTGGTTCCTAATCAATATTATGACAGAAAAACAGAGAATCTTGCTATTAATATCGCTGATTTCAGCAGAAATTACAGAATCCAGTTTAGAGAATAACTGAGCTAAAGAGAAAAAATATTTTGTGACGTTTTTGTCTTTTTAATTATTGTGTGGCTAAAAATAGGGAATTTCTGCCAACATATCCACTGTGACTTTGTCCATCTGAGTTTTAAATAAATCAGGTGATTGGTCTCTTATTATTGCTCCTGGGAACTTGTTCTGTCATGTAACAGAAGTGACTTTTAGGATTTTTATTTTTATTTTATTTTATTTTATTTATTTATTTTTTATTTTTTTTTATTTTTTATTTTTTTATTTTTGAGACGGAGTCTCGCTCTGTCGCCCAGGCTGGAGTGCAGTGGCGGGATCTCGGCTCACTGCAAGCTCCGCCTCCCGGGTTCACGCCATTCTCCTGCCTCAGCCTCCCAAGTAGCTGGGACTACAGGCGCCCGCCACTACGCCCGGCTAATTTTTTGTATTTTTAGTAGAGACGGGGTTTCACCGTTTTAGCCAGGATGGTCTCGATCTCCTGACCTCGTGATCCGCCCGCCTCGGCCTCCCAAAGTGCTGGGATTACAGGCGTGAGCCACCGCGCCCGGCCAGGATTTTTATTTTTGATATAATATCCCCAGGCTCAATTCTTGAGAAAATTTCCTCTGCACAATTTCACTTTCATGAAGAAATCAATGGGAATAAATTAAAAAAAAAAAAAAAACAGAAAAGAATTCACTTGGAAGATGGATTACAGTCAGGGGATCCTGGGGTGTAGGGGATGCAATACTGATAGAGCACATGCCAGGAAAGAAAAGAGCAGGGCAGAGCCAGGTGAGACCAAAAGACAGGACTAGCTGAAGAGAATAATAGCCTTTCCATTTGGACCTGAACCATCAATGAAATCAATGGAAATCCCCCTACCTCCTTCTTCCTGGCAACCTCTGAGCTGAAATGAGCCTCCAGATGCTGTTTTAGTTACATCTATGGAGTTAATTCTCATGTTGTTAACTTCAAAATATTTACTTCACTAAAATCACCCATTTTTCTTCAGGTTAACAGGCTTAGCATGTTAAATATCAGCTGTGGGGCAACTGGGGGAGTGGGTAAAACAACTCTCCTCCGGGTTATAATAAAAGGATTGTTTTCCCATAGACACCCACTCATCCCCACCTCCTGTGCTTATATCTCTGTGACTATCTGATTTGAACATTGGCTTCTTACAGTAGTGGATCTTTGAAAGTAATGACAGAAGGGCAGACCTACAGAACACAAAAAAATCTCTTATGGAACTAGCTTCTTTTCTATGTCTCTCATTTAGGTAGTCAAGAACAGAGTTTCCTGATGAATGTTATAAAGATAAAAGTGTCAGATAAATTTCTTAGGGTACCTTTGGGAAAGGGATCCAAGAAGGAGAGAGATTCATAGTATTATTTTACCCCTTCCAGCCAAAATTAGGCATGCTTTAATTCAAATATAACCCTTTCTATATTTTATAAACATATAACTCTGCAATTTCCAGACCCTTCATAAAATTTGAATACCCTGGGTCACATTGCTTTTGGGACAAAACTCAAAGTTGTCAGTGTGACACACAGGAGGCCGCATGAAGTGGCCCTTGTTTATCACTCCAGCCTTACCTCTGGCCAGTCTTTCCTTCTTTCTGGACACATCAGCCAATGTGACTTGCTTAAACTGTGTTCTTCCTATGCCCTGCTCCATCTTGTTTTTTACTAACTTTTGGGAGCATTACTTAATTGTCACATTCTCAGAAAAACTTCTGTTGACTAATTTCACCCTCAGACTGTGTCATTTATTTTCAGATAAGTTCTAATATAATCCAGCACTATTCCTCTAAAATAGGTACTATATAGACATATATTCACACTAGTCAATATATAAAAATGTTCCTCACTGAAGTGTAGCTCCATGAGGACAGATACTTTAACTCTTTTGTTCATAATCATCCTCCTAGCACCTGTTCAATACCTGTTGCATTATGGATATCTTGCATCCTTTTCTTGAATAAATAACTGTCATGTTATAGCTTATAATTTAAAAAGTGCTTATGTCTAGCAAGGTGTGACACCTGCGGGAAAAGCTGAATAGAAACGTTAACAACTACTCGTTTTAATATGAGTAAACAAAGCTTTTTGGAAATATAAACTAGCTTGCTACCTGCTTAACTCATCAAAGTGATGAATTTCTCAAAGACAAACACACACACACCCTCCACCATACAGCTAAACCATCCCTACACAGTGATTTCACTCCTCCTCATCATTGTTTCCATTCATGCTGTGTTTTCCCTATTTCATATATATATGAAATATGTATATGAAATATATATATGAAATATAATATATATGAAATATATTTCATATATATTAGTTTAAATTGTAAACCTACTGAGAAAGGATCATAGATTTTTTAAAAAGCAGTCAGCTCACTATTAAATAATGCTTACAATACTACTTAAGAATAACAACTACAACATACGTCTTGGGAAATTTAAGAGGCTCTCACAGTGCTTTTATCTTGGTAGTGGGTAGATAACTGTACTATATAAATCCAACTTGACAGGTGTAGTATAAGAATGAAAAGATTCTCTGATATTTTGTAGACAGGAAAAAATCATGTATCATTCAGAAGCTGTTTCTTCCTAATATATGAATAAAGGAATAAAGGTAAATATAAATTCCAATGGTTCATGGGCAGATAAAAAATGCTAGTTTTAGGGAGGAAAACAACTGCTTCAGAAACATTTATTAGGGTAAAAGCAAATTAAAATGCCAAGAAGTGAGAAGGAATTAATAATGATAAGATTATTGAAAAGAAGACCAAAGGGCTTAGAATGTATCTATGTAGGAGCATAGCTATGATCATTGTGATAAAGTTGAGTTGGAGAAGAATTTTTAGGGGAGATGTTTGAACCCTCAGGAGGATTCAAACTGTAACTATTTCCATTTTCCTAAGTTTAAATTTGAAGTTCAACAGTAGGTGATACACATATACCCTAAGCTGAAATGCCAAGAGTAATAGGAAAGGAGGAAGGGACCAAGAAGTGGGATCCAAGGAGAATGTGTGAATTTAATCCAGTTTATTAAGACCTCCTTCATTCTTCCAATAAACAATCACCTGTTTTCACCTGGATTCCTCTTTACTCACTGCTTGTTTCTTTTTCTTTAAACAGCTTTATTGAGGTATAATCGATATACAAAATACTACACATATTTAATGTGTATCATTTGATGAGTTTAGACAAAAGAGAACACCTGTTATACCATTACCACAATCAAGGTAATGGACATAACCGACATTTCCCAAAATTTCCTTGTGTTGTTTGTTTTATTTGTAGTAAGAACACTTAACATAAGATTTATCCTCTCCCCTGGAGTATAGGCAGTCTAGTGATTTGCTTCTAACCTACTGAGTATGAAAAAGATTATGGCATGCCACTTTCATGATTAGCCTATATAAGATTATATAACTTGTTTTGCGGTATCAGAATCTGTCTATTGCCTACTAGGCCATACACTTTGAGGAAGAAAGAATCCATGTTGCTGAAGTCCACATTTCAAGGGAATAAAGGCAGCCTCCAATCAAGAACCAGCTAAGAACTGAGGCCCCTAGTCCAACCACCCTCATAGTACTTAATTCTGCCAACAACGACATGAGCTTGGAAGCCCCTATTCAAGTTTTCATATGAGACCTCAGTTTTAGGTAACCTCCTCACTGCAGGCTGGTGAATGACTCATGCACAGGATTCAGCTAAGCCATGTCCAGACACCTGAGACACAAAAAATGTAAGGTAATATATGTGTGATCTCTTTTAAGCTGCTAAAAAAAATCCAGAACACTCTGTTAAGACATGGATCCAAGGTAAACACTCAGTCAAGAAGTGGCTGTCAGATTTTTACTAACAATTTTGAAAATATTAAAGTGGCATCTTGTGAACATTTCCGATGGAAATAAAGATCCAACTGGGTCTCAGCAATATGGAAGTCTTGGTCTTATAGAAGCCAGATATATATCATGTTTATAGAGGCATATCTGAAAAGAATTGTATTTGTGGTTTTTCGCATAAAGAATAGACAAATTTAACTATGCAAATATAAAATGATTCCAGATGTCTAAATCTTATATATGAAAGTAAGAGATGAATATCTTAATTTGTTTCAGCATAGTAACCAGTTTACTATCTATATATATATGTAGATAGATAGATATAGATAGATAGATTTTATAACATCATGTTATATACCTAAAATATACACAATAAAATTTATTTAGAAATTATTATATGCAGACAGACCTGGGAAACTTCAAAATGCAATTGGCTTAAGGGCTACAAATAAGAGATTATTCACAAATTTCTTCCAGATGTCTCACTTCTCAAAGTTTATCCCAAAAAAGTTTATCCCAAAAAAGTCTGCTTTGTCCTCTCAAACCTGATATATTCTTTGCCTCAACTGGATTCCAATCCATGGGCTGCCTTGCATTGCCACCATTTTTACTTTCAATGATTCCAGCTTCTTTCAGGCCCACATACACATGGCAGAAAATAACATGATTAAGTTACAAGCTGCCAAAAAGAGTTTGTTATAAGACAGACATCGATTATCCTTTAATTGTGTCCATGTGAATTGCTGGCTACCCCGGAGAGCTTTAATTTAAAAAAAAAAATGGATTTTGGTTATCAAAGTGCAAAGAAAATAAAATGTAATCATATATAATTTTTTCTTTTTTCTTTTTTCCAATTGTGATTATTAAATTAGAAAAGTATGACACCACTGAGAAGAGTATTATGAATGTTTAATGTTTCCAGGTCACTTCACTGTTCATGAAGAGACTGCCCCGGACTTAGAGACCACAGGTGAGGTTGAGCATATAGAACAGATAAGCAAAAAAATTGTGACATTTTTTGCACTGATGCCTAGATGCTCAGTTTTTGTGACTTAGTCATTTGTATGGCTCTGTAAGACTTGATACCCATGAGGCTGTGCAGATTCAGCCCACTGACTTCAGGTAGGTGTTATTGTACAGATTTTAGTGCAAGTAAGAGACGCTTTTTCTCAGAGGAAAGAAAAGGGCTGTAGGCAAGCAGGCAAAGTGAGGCATTGGACTCGGAAACAAGAGAGGTGTGCTCTGGTTACTGACACATATGGGCAAAGCACACACATTGTTAGTTTTCATTTCCTTCCATAAAATGGTGCTAAGGGAACATTAAACAAATGTGCTAGCATTAAACACAAGTGAAGTGTTTATTCCTTCTCCTTTCTCTAATTTTGAGTCTAATCACTCAATACTTTAACCCTTATGCTTTTTATGAAGTCTGTGATAGAGTCTTTTCTTGAACTGAGTCAATGGCAAACTGGAATCAGAATGAGACAATCTCAAGTATTATTAATCAATATACGAAGGAATAAGCATATGCTGGATGGGGGTAGGTATGTACTGCATTGCACATTCCAAAAAGAAGGAAAGAAAAGAAAAGAAAAGAAAGAAAGAAAGAAAGAAAGAAAGAAAGAAAGAAAGAAAGAAAGAAAGAAAGAGAAAGAAAGAAGAAAGAAAGCGAAAGAAAGAAATTTGGCATTCTTTTCCCTCGTGGACTTGCTATAGTCCTAGGGCGCTTTGGCAACTTGGTGAACTAGATTCCTCTCTCTGACTTTCCCCAGTGCAGCACCAAGTTTCTTCTTAGCATCTTCAAATGGACATTAGAAACTTTTTCTTCCATTCTATTTTTTTACCCTTGCTCTGAGGATATACACATATTTTTGTGTGTTGTAGCACAGTGAATTCGGATGCTTCAGGTTGCAGCTCAGGTCTTACTGTTTATTCCAAGACACGGAACTCTAGTTAGATTAACTCATTCTTTGATTCAGTATTCAATTCACTCTTAGATTTATAGTAAATAAAATTATCACTGTTTTATTGCATTTAAACTCAACTTTAAGCAGTCTTCTTTTCAGCAGGCTCAGGAGAAAAAAATATTTTGATACTTCTTCAAATTCCACGTCCTACCATCCCCTTACTCACAAAAGGTCTTAGTAGGAACTAATGCATCCTAAGCTTCAGGGCCCACACTTGCAAGAGTCCCTTTCCAAGTCACACTGATTTCTCACTCCAAAAAAAAAAGTATTTATTTTCATTTTACCTAGTTTATCTAGTTTTTTATTCAAGGAAATATATGTAGATTTCCTTGAAGAGGCTGCCCCCACCAAATTGTTAAGATTCTGGCCCTACAAATCCTTGTCCTACTTTTAGATGGTACAGTGACCCTACTCCCATAAATTCTTTTCTCCACCCCCAGGTTTCCTAACTCTCCTAAGTATCCTTGGAAAGGTAAAGTGGCAGACATCAAAAAAAGATAAAATTAAACAACAAAGTTGTAAACTTGGCAGAGTCAAAACAGACTATGAGTATAGGATAGAGTGGTAGCATGAAGGATAGAACGCTGGGGGAAGTAGGTCAGGATTAATATTTTAGCACTATCATGAAGCCTGTCATAGTCATTAGACCCTAATCATATGGTGGAAGTTGAGTAGTAGACAAATTAGATGTATAGCGAAAAAAGGCAGATAAAGAAGATTGAGGATATTTTTAATGAACAGTGAAGCAAAACACACAGATTAAATTAAGAGCCTTTCCTTTTATATTTACCCCAAAACTAAAATTATAAATTTTTATTTTGCTATCCAAAAAAGCAATTCATAAAGAATAGCTGACATAATAAGAAAAAAACCCCACAAAACTGTTAATGTTAAGTGATGTGATGAGGCAAGAAGGGAGAGTCTCCTGATGCCCCATGAGATGGTATGACTATTCAGAATATAAATAGAACTATTAAAAAATACTTTTGGTTGTTTAGGAACATGAACGAATTCAAAGAAAGTATCTGTTGTAAACTAGAATTGACTTCTAGATATTTCACTGCCCGTGAACCAAATCCAGCACATCTATTGCCTTAACAAGAATTCATCAGGATGCCCCCTCCCTATGGATAAATTATGCAATTGCAAATATCTGGATAAAGGGCAGGCAGCCTGACAATTTTCAGAACCTCTCTTTGCATTCTCATGTGTTTTCAATTTTCTTTATAAAAGTTCTAGAATATTTTGAGGGGTTGTGCTTGCTCACTTCCCGTGAATTTGGAAAATCTATGATAAAAGAAACTAGGCATTCTATTTTCTTTAGCACCGTTAAGAATTCTGTTCAGTTCAATTCAATACAAATTTGTTGAGCATGAATTATCTTAGATCCTTCTACATTGTTATATTGAGTTTTTATGTATCTCTTGTAATGTTGTTTAAATTTTTCATATATTTATTCTCTGACTTCTCAGCCAGATGATTCTTTTAATGATAGCTATTATAAGGTAGTTGTGAATGTTAGATACTTCTAGAGATACAGAGATGTGGAGTTAAATACAACGTTTTGAGTGTGTGTGTGTGTGTGTGTGTGTGTGTGTGTGTGTGTGTGTGGTGCTTACTCTATATCCATACCAAATGATGCAACGGAGAATCTGAATACATATATGACTCAAACCATGGCTTCATAGAAATTACCATCATTAGTCCTATAAAATCAGCTCTAATGTATTTAAATGTCTTTATACCAGGTAATAAAAAACAGAATGGAAAAATAATACTAGAAGATAGATGTCTTTCATTTTTTTCTGATTTATTTGCTACAGTTTGAATGATTACAATAAAAGTATTAGATATTATATTGTACCATAAAGACAACATAAAGCCAGCTCACCAAGCCATGAAACTAATATTTAAAGCAGCCTATATAAATAACTGGAAAAGGGGTGTCACTCCTAGCCAAAGATTTGGAAGGGAAAATGAGGCTATACTTCAAACCCAGGGCCGTGAAAATTAAAACAGATGTAGTTTCCATTTAAAGCAGCAACTTCTTTCACTTTATTATTTGGCTCACCAACCAAATCATAAACTAGGAATGGACTATGTACTCAACATTTGCTAACAAAAAAGGCAAAGCCATCGTTTTTAGAAACCATTAGACTCATTTATGTAGTGGAATACTTAGGAAAACTATCATCTATAGTGACATGGAAAAGAGAATATATACCTAGTCATTTTTGGATCTGGAAAAGAAAAATCTAAGCAAGATTTCAAAAGTGCCAACTGGTTTCTCTATAAAACAAGATATGTATATGGGGAGATGAGATAAAAAGCCTAACAAACAAAATATAGAAAATAAAACCAAAAACCTGTTCAGTTTTCAAGAAATACTTATAGGAAATAGAAAGAAGATAAGAATTCCTGGGCTTGAAAATATTTTTTTTTCTATTTTTTTATCACAGTTTACTGCAACCTCCGCCTCCCAGATTCAAGCAATTCTCCTGCTTCAGCCTCCCGAGTAGCTGGGACTACAGGCTCACACCACCACACCACAAAATTTTGTATTTTTTTTTTTTTTTAAGACAGAGTCTCGCTCTGTCACCCAGGCCGTAGTGCAGTCACGTGATCTCGGCTTGCTGCAACCTCCACCTCTTGAGTTCAATCGATTCTCCTGCCTCAGTCTCCTGAGTAGCTGGGATTACAGGTGTGTGCCACCACACTTGGCTAATTTTTGTATTTTTTTTTTTAGTAGAGACAGAGTTTCACCATGTTGGTCAGGCAGGTCTCAAACTCCTGACCTTGTGATCCACACCTCCTCAGCCTCCCAAAGTGCTGGGGTTACAGGCATGAGCCACCGTGCCTGGCCCAAAATTTTTGTATTTTTAGTAGAGATGGCTTTTCGCCATGTTGGCCAGGCTGGTCTCGAGCTCCTGGTCTCAAGTGATCCACTTTGGCCTCCAAAAGTGGTAGGATTACAGGCGTGAGCCACCGCACCTGGTGGTAAATAATTTTTCTTATTACTAGCTTCTAGGTGTCAAAGAAGTCTCAAATAAAAAAATTAGAAAAAAAATTAAAATTCTACAATAAATTTTCTCTTTAGTGGAAGAATATGTAAATACTTATTTGTAATGGGGAATGAAAAAATAATGCCTATTAACACTATCCTTATTGACCATTCTACTAACTAGCCAAGGCAGCTCAAAAAGATAAGAAAAAATATAAAAGCCTCTAGAATGTAAAGTGGAAAATAAAGCTATTTTTCATAGATGACTTACCTACCAAGAACAGAAATATAAATCAATGTGAACTTCACAAGTTTTTAGATATAAGATCAATATACAAAAATATTATATATGTATGTTACCCTAAAATAAATGGAAGTTGCAACTAAAACACACTACTAACAATGATATAAAAATGAGCTAGGGTCTAAGAATGCATTTAAAGAAAGATGTACAAAACAATTGAACTGGAAAGTACAACATTTTATTGACATTCACTAATAAAGTCCTAAATGAAAGCTTAGACCAGGTTCATAGGCTTGAACAGTTTAATAATGAAAGTCAGCTCAAAATAATCTATGAGATAAATATAGCACATTATCCAAAACAGGTGTTTATCTTTTTAAGAAAATTGGACAAGCTGATTTTTTAATTACTGAAATTGTACAGAGCCAATACAAGTTAAGACAAATTTGAATAAGAAAAAGAAAGCTGGAAAGCTAAACTTACCAGACATTAGAAGTATTATACAAAATCCTAATGTTTAAAATACTGTGCTTTTGACATCAGAAAGAAATCAGATATATCGACCAATGAGGCAAAATGAACAGAAGTCAGAATTAGATCCATACATATATAGCCACCTTTTATGACACCCTAATGGGCAAGTGAAAAAAATATTTTTAAAGCAAATGTGGTACATACATGTCATGGGATACTATGCAGCCATAAAAAAGAATAAATCTTGTCCTTCACTGCAACATGGATGCAGCTGGAGGCCATTATCATAAGCAAATTAACATAGGAACAGAAAACCAAATATCCCATGTTCTCACTTATAAGTGGGAGCTTATCACTGGGTACACGTGGACACAAAGATGGGATCAATAGACACTGGGGACTACTAGAGAGGGCAGGGGGAAGGCTTTAAAAACTACTTATCAGGTACTATGCTCAATACCTGGGTGACAGGTTCATTTGCACACCAAACCTCAGCAACAGGCAGTTTACCCATGTAACAAACCTGCATATGTACCCTCTGAAACTAAAATAAAAGTTGAAAAAAAGTATTTAAAAAAGTGCTGGTTAATTTCAAAACCTATTGGAAAAACATATTTGAACTTAATCCACTCATTCATATATATCAGATTGATTGCTTGCCTAAATAGTGGCTTAAAATAAGTAGCTTTTTTTTTAGAAGAAGGCTTTCATCACATCGAGCTAAGTAAACATTTCTTTAAAAGGCCACAAAACCTTTAAACCAAAAGAAAATAATATAAATTATATTATGTTAACATTTAAAATTTCGTTTATTAAAGGATACCGGTATAGGGTGAAATGCTGACTCATAGTTAAAAATATAATGTTTTCAAATACCTATGTCTGACTACTTCTAAATCTATAAATATCTACAAATGAATAGAATTATATTTAAAAATAGGCAACCCAGTAGAAAAATGAAAAAAATTTCAACACTAAGTGAGCCAGCCTTTCCACTCTGAGGGTGACCCACAGTGATGCATGCATATGTATACAATGCATACAAAATACCTGTATTAGAATGTTCATAACACTATTATTTTTAATGTCTATTGATAAGAAATTACCCAAATTCCTTTCAGGAGTGAAGTGAATAAGTTTATTTTGGTACACTTGTCTAGTAAAGTACTATACAACAGTACAAATGGATGATTTAAAACAACATACAACAATAGAAATGCAATATTGAGAGTTGAAGTACAAAAGCAGACAATCTATGCTTTTAGATAAGATAACAGTCATGTTTGGTGGGATAAAGACTGTTATTAAGAAAAAATATGGGCTTCTGAGGGAACTGAAATTTAGCTTTTTTATCTCAGTGCTGGCTATAAGTGAAAGTTCAGTTTCTAAAAACATTTGTGTTGTAAATTTATGAATGTATCCTCTTCCATATGTATATTATAACTTCAAAAAACTTTCCCAAATCTCCCTGGGCTTCATCAAACTGATTTTACCTCTGTACAGTCCCTCTACATCCCTCCTTGCCCCAGCTTGAAGCTCGTCAGCTTTCCCTCTGCCTTTCATATCATCAGCTCTCTATAGGAGATGTGACCTCTTTTTAATTTTTATTTCTAGCACTAGCCTTCTGTAGGTTCATTCCTAAATCTCTCATGCTGCTTCTTCTCATCTTAGCAAATATTGAAAGAAAATACATGATCCCTATATCATCTTGTTTCATTACATATAATGGTGCTTTCACCAACTCGGTGTTTTCCCACAAGGAAATATGGATTTACATGCAGGAAAAGCTAGACCCTACCCAGATTTTCAGGATGTTTATAAAGAAATATTTAACAGCAAGAGTTGTAGATAAGGACAAAAATCTAGTACACCACCATGAATTCTTTGAGCTCATGGCTCTTTTAACTGCTGGTAGAGATAGAATCCTATGACCTTTGTTTCTACCCTGCAACCTGGACAAAACATCCCATGGTCATTGGGGACCAAAACCTTCAGGAAATGTACCTTGAAGAAAGTTGTTTGTGTTTACAATGGCCAGCAGGCAAAAGGAGGCAGCGGGGAGAACTTTTCCCAATGCTTCTCACTCACCATGTTCCTTTGGGTTAATGTGTTCTCAGGGGATGTGAATCCCACATTCTTTCATATGCATCCATTTCTTCAAACTCTTTAAGATACATCTAACTGGTATTGCTTCTGACAGTTCAGTTTATCTCAGCCGAACAATTTATTAATAACACAATGTGTAACCCCTAAATGCCCCGGATGACACTGCCCTGACTGGCTCTTATTTCAAAGCATGCTTTGGTGGGAACGGTATGCCATATATTATGCCTCTCTTGCCATTTTAATTTTCTTTTATTGCATCTTGTCAGGAGCTTAATAACTATACATTGAATAAAATAAGACATCACACACATATATTAATTACAACAATGTTAAGAAATATTGTGTCTCTGCTATCAGAGGTGGCAATTTTAAATTAATGGAATTTTAAAACATCATTTGCCAACTTTGCTTTTTTCAGGATACATGTTATAAATATAAATATGTTATAAATATATATTTTTTTATTCTCTAAGAGGGTAGCTATTATTTTGGAGGAGGGGAACTGGTGACCTTCTGCCACGGAATTATGATGAATGCTAGGATGTGAGAACTGTTCAAAGGGTTCTATCATCAAGTTTCACTTGCATGTCTAATCTAGTCCTTGGCAGATACCTTTTTAGATTGCTGCAGAGAAAGTGAGGCACTCTGGCTTTTTCGATTTATCTTTGTCATTTGTCCCACGATGCATTGTTTTCCTGCAAATGATCTCTCTATTCCTTCCCTGCTGAGCTACATACTCTGGGACCTTGGCCATGAGATCTCTCTTTTCTTAAACTTGAAATTTCATATATGCAAAATGGGATTAATGATAGCTATAAAACCAAGAGTGTCCCTTTAATTAAATAAATGATACATGTAGATGCTCAAAATGTTATCAATTATTCTAAATTGTAAACTGATTTATTGCAGGGGTGTTGTCACTGAATTAAGATAGGCCCCCTGTACTATAAAACTCTCTGATCCCTGTTTCAATCAGAACATTGTACATCAGCTTATTTTAAGGGCAGTATGGCAAAGCTTTGATAAAACTGAAGTTGTTTCTCCACTTCATTGTTGAATCCAAATGCCCCCAGAGTGTTTCCTTGACCCTGAGGGTTTAGAACACACTGATTCAATCACCACCAATTGAAGGAGTTATGAAAACTCTCCCAATATTTTCTCATATTCCCATGGGGTTTGTATTTTCAGCAAGTGCTCCCATTCAGGGAGTCTGAATTGTCAAAACCATTGTCATAATAATATTTAGACGTTTTCCCTCCCCTTTCTAAATACTTTGTAATATCAATTGGGATTTCATATTTGGCCAATTAATTACTTAGAAATGTATTGTTGAATTACTAAATATTTGGGATTTCCCCAGATATATTATTGCTATTAATTCTCAATTTTGTTATGATCATTCATAGTAACTTGGCGTGTTTCCATCCATTTAAATATATTGAATATATTGATTCTTGTTTTCTTGCCTAAGAAATGGTCTATTAGGATCAAAGTATCTTTTGCACTTAGAAAAATATATACTTTATAGTTGCAAGTACTATTCTCTAAATGAATATTAGATCGAGTTAATTAACAGTGCTTTTCAGATCTTCTGCATTTGTATTTAATTTTTTGATGAATTTCTACAAATTGTGAGAGGGGATTAAAATTTCCAACTATGGGGAAAACCTTTTTCATTCTCTTTTTCTCTCTTGCTCTCATTTTCTTTTATTCTTGTTTCATTATACATTTCGCAGCTGTCTATTAAGCACCTGTACATAGTGGCTGTATCTTTCAGATGAATAATTTTCTGTATCATTGTGAAACATCCCTGTATATCTCTGGTGACGATTTTTGTCTTGAAGTCCCTATATGTGGTGTTAATAAAGCTATCGCAGCCATCTTTTGCTAATTGTTTTCATGGTTTATTGTTTTCATTTACTTATTTTCAAGCTACTTATGCTTTATATGTTCCTCTTTTAAATACTAAGGATTGACTGTGTGCCTTTGTCCACTGATAGTCTCTGATTTTTAATTGGAATGTTGTAGAATATTAATATTTAATTACTGATATGGTTATATGTAGGCCTACCATCCTATTAATCATTTTCTGATTGTTCCTCCGTTTTTTGTTACTTTCTTTTTTGCCGTGTTGTATGTTTCTCTGAATATTTTAGTACACCATTTTAATACATCCATTGAATTTCTTTCTCCATTTTTTCATATTTTATTTACAATATGAATTATAAATTATATACTTAAATTTGAACAATTTATTTAGACTTAATGTTAACTGACTTCACCTAAGTTAGAGATAATTCATAACATTTGCTTAAATAGTGGTCATAATATAATAAATAAATTGAAGGGGAAAATACTTTTTTGCATTTACCTAGATATTATCGTTTGAGATACTGTTGCTTCATTTAAAGATTCAAGTTTTCTTTGGATATCATTTTTTTCCATCCTGTAGAAATTATTATACAGCGAATCTGCTGGTAGCAGTATCTGTTAGTACCCCCTTCTCTTAAATATATGTGTTTTACTTTTATTTGAAGGATATTTTTGCCATATATAGAATTCTTGATTTACAGTGTTTTATTTCATTTTCTCTTTTCAGGCTTTTCTACATGTTGAGGCACATTAGTTTTTATCTCTATAATTCGTTTTTGGAAAATATCATCATTTGAATTATTACTTCACTATATACAACATGTTGCTTTTTTCTGTATGGGTCCCTGAGGCTTTGTTTATTTTATTATTTTATCTTTTTTATCTGTTCTTCAACTCGGATAATTTGCATTTATATTTATTTACAATCACTGCTTATGCTTTTCTGTGCTATTTTCATCCTGCTATGGATGCCATCTAGTCATTTTTTAAAATTTTTTGTTCTAAAACATACATTTTCATCTGAATATTTTTCTCTAATGAGATTTCCTATTGTTTCATTTAGTTTTGTCTGTCTTCCTTTACCTTATGGAATATAGTTTAGAATAGCTGTCCTAAAGTCTTTGACTCATAATTCCATCATTTGTGTCATCTCAGGGAATACTTTTTTTGTCTTTTATCTTGAAACCATGTCACATTTCCCTTGCTCTTTGTTTGTTGAGTACATAATGTATATAAAGTTACATTATAACAATGTTATTATATAACATATATAATATATATAACATATATAATATAATATTATATTATATATAATATATATATTTTGTTAATAACAATATAATATAATGTTATTATATTATAACATTATAGACATTATGACTTTTTTCTGTGGTTTTAAAATTTCTGTGTAATACTTTGCTAAATAATAATGTATTACCAGATCATCAATGCAAGTTCAGACAAGTTCTGTCTCATCTCTGCGAGTGTTGTTGAAATCTCAATTCACTTCCAGAGTGTTTGCTATTTTGGTTTGAGTCTGTGCTATGTAGGCATAGTTCAGATATTTGCTTGATATATATGAGAATTGTTTAAATCTCAATTCAGTTCTCATGCTTTTGCCATGTTTTCTGGCTTGAGTCTGCTCTGCGCATGCCTGTTTTAGTAAGCTCACACTCCTGCAAGTGCAACCATACTTAGTAAGCCTTTTCTCAGCTGATTTGCATGAATGCAGAACTGCCTCACGAATGCAGAAATCAGAGGTTAGGCTGAGAGATATGTTGGTTCATACACAGAATTGGGAGTTCACTTCTCTGTCTCTCTCTTCTGAGATTTTCTTATCAAACTCCTGGCTGCTTTCCAGCAGCTGGGGCTTAAGCTTGGGGAAAAGTCCACAGAGAAAAGAAAAACCAAAATGAATAAGCAAAAACAAAACAGTAAAGGAGATTGTGCCTCATGTAAGTCAGATCTCCACCATCCACTTGCTTTTGTTTAGTTTGCAGAGACCGCTCACTGTGGTCTGAATGCTGTGTCCCCCCACATATATATGTTGAAATCCTAACCCCTAAAGTGATGTTATCAGAAGGTGGGGACATTTGGGAAGTTATTAGGTCATGACGGCAGCATCTTCCAAGAGGGAATTCGTGCCTTTACATAACAGGCCCCAAAGAGGACAAGGAGGAATGGGCCCCAACCAGATACTAAATCTGCTGGCACCTTCATTTCGAACTTTCCTGCCTCCAGAACTGTAAGAAATAAATTTCTGCTCCTTATAAGCGACCCAGTCTATGGTCTTTTGTTGCAGTAGCTCCAACAGACTAAGACACCTTATTGGTTTTAAGTTTTATTTTCCAGAGACTTTAGCTGTAACCAGCAGGAGGAAAGGACTTGCTTGAGTCTTTCACTTCTGTAATGAAGTCAGAACCTTTAACTAATATTGTAACTAAGATTACAATTTTAGAATATTTATGTTATCCACAAAATTATTCTTAGTTTTCCCACCGTTGCTTGGTCTTTCTAAATGCTTCATCTCTGTTTAACTGCTCCAATCACTTCACGTTCTCAAAAGGGATAATTAGTTCATGGCCCATGAATATTCTTTTATTGTGGCTTGGTTTTATGCTCACCTCACGCCTCTTACACATGGCGTGTTATCCACTAGGGCCAGTGTACACAGTGATCTCAATTGATCTGCATATGTATGCAATATGCTTATCTGTAAGTCTCAGCACACAGGTAGGGAGCTAGAGTAATGTATGCCTTGGTCAACAGAACCATTAATACACTTTAATAGTCTGTGCATTCCAGGAGTATGCTTTTTATTGCAGAGCATGGTAAAGACCAGGAGGAAAAGGAAAGAAGGGAAAGAGAACTAATAACCTACTGAGTGCCTGCTACGTATTACACCAAGGCAGGAACTTTAAACGTGCCATTTTACTTAATCCTCAAAAAGACCCCAGTTAATACACTGTTAGACTCATTTATAAGCAGAAAAAATTTGGATCTCACTTGAGTGAAAAACTATTCCTAGGTAATATAATCAGAATATAAAAGATATAAAATTCCATTTAAAAGTATAAGATTCCCAACCTCAGCAGGATGAGGTGGATCACGCCTGTAATCCCAGCACTTTGGGAGGCTGTGGCGGGCAGATCACAAGGTCAGGATTTCGAGACCAGCCTGACCAACATGGTAAAAGCCTGTCTCTAATAAAAATACAAAAATTAACTGGGTGTGTTGGCACGCGCCTGTAATCCTAGCTACTCAGGAGGCTGAAGCAGGAGAATCACTTGAACCTGGGAGGCAGAGGTTGCAGTGAGCCGAGATCATGCCACTGCAGTCCAGCCTGGGTGACAGAGCAGGACTCCGTCTCAAAAAAAAAAAAAACAAAAAAAAAAACCCACAAATATCCTTCAACAAAACATATATGAACAAATTGTGGTATATTCCAAACCTCACAGTCTTTATCTTAAAATAGTAGTCCATCCAGAGTATAATAAATGGTATTTCCAAAAAAAAGTAAAGGTGTTGATTTCATCTCACGCTATGTCACTTGTGTGTAAGTTATATAATAATGTGGCAGAATATTATCCTCCTAACGAGTGAATATTCCAACTTCAGATTAGGTATTGTGATGCTGGTTGAACTTACTATCTGTAGAAAACTCAGTTAAATTTCTTAACCTTAAATAGAGTTTTTGTGAAGACTAATTTAGAAAATGCATTTAGCATAGTGTCAGGTGCATTACTAACATTAAATAAGTGTATTTTATTTTGTATTATTATTGAATAAAGGTATGAATTGATCAGTGATTCATTATTATGGATTGTTCAGGTAAATCTCCTGGATAATTTTTTTTTACATTTATCCAGGTCCCAACCATAGCACTTGGCAGGCAGTACACCTGGGATTCAGACTCCTGTATTTCAGAGGAAAACATATTTCTTTCAGGTGATTCTAATTATTAAACTTGCTTAAATTCCACTTCAATTAAGAGAACCAAAAAGTACCTTCTATCTTGGAAAGTCTATGATTTAAATGATTAGTGTGGGATGTTTGGGGAAGCTTTCATGAAGATGTTAAGTTGCTCTTTGCTTTGTAATATAGACATAAAATTTCTATGTGTAGTATTAAATATAAAACTCATATTAATATTACTTTTTTATTTGTATAGAAAATTTAAAGGCACCCATAGATCATGATTATAAGAAAAAAACCCAAAACCTTTGAAAATAGTCAAGGACTATAATTCAAAGCAAAGTTTTCATGTATGAGCATTTTGAGTGTTTGCTTTTTTTTTTTTCTTATTTCAAACATCACATTCCTTTTCCACCTGCTCCACCTAGATAATGTCTGCAAGTTCAGGAAGACAGTACTTAACTACAGGGGACAAAGAGGTCACCCACTTAGAAAACCCACTTCCCATATTTACCTCTGAGGCAATATATTAGATTTTTCATAGGAAAACTTTAAAAATTAAAAATTAATGAGTAAAAAATGCTCATTAATAAATCCCAACTGCCTATTTCTTAGAAGGCTTAAAATTAGCACAGTTTGAATTTTCTATTGTCTCCAAATTCTATTCCACTAAGCGTCTGTAAAAAAAAACTGGGGTAGGCAAGGTGACTCATGCCTGTAATGCTAGTGGGAGGTCGAGGTGGGTGGATCACTTGAGGTCAGGAGTTCAAGACCAGCCTGGCCAATATGGTGAAACCCTGTATCTACTAAAAATATGAAAACTAGCCGGGCGTGGTAGCAGGTGCCTGTAGTCCCAGCGACTTGGGAGGCTGAGCCAGGAGAATCGCTTGAACCCAGGAGGCGGAGGTTACAGTGAGCCGAGATTGTGCCACTGCACTCCAGCCTGGGCAACACAGTGAGATTCAGTCTCAAAAAAAAAAAAATTGTAGGAAATTTTTCTGTGTGTGTGTGTGTGTGTGTGTGTGTGTGTGTGTGTGTGTGTGTTTTAATCCACCTCAAAAAATGCTGGGCAAAAGCAAACTAAAGTCTACCTGTTTGTCAGAAAATATAACAAAGATAAGAAACCAAACACCTGAACTGTTTGTGGAAATTCCTCCTGTAAAGAGTTTGACATGGCCAGGTGCAGTGCCCCACACCTCAGCTGTAATTCCAGCACTTTGGGATGCTGAGGCAGGCGGATCACTTGAAGTCAGGTGTTCAAGACCAGCCTGGCCAACATGGTGAAACCCCGTCTCTACTAAAAATACAAAAATTAGCTGGGCATGGTGGTGCGTGCCTGTAATCCCAGGTACTTGGGAAGCTAAGAAGGAAAATCACTTGAACCTGGGAGGCAGAAGTTGCTGTGAGCTGAGATCGAGCCACTGCACTCCAGCCTGGGCAACAGAGTGAGACTCTGTCTAAAAAAAAAGAGTTTGATACATGTGGGCATATAAACTTTGATTTTCCATTTTGTAAATATTTATTTTGAAGAAATTATTATATTTATATTTACTGCAAAAAATATATGTATGTATTATAAATACTTAAAAAAAAGGCACACAATCTATCACCAATTCAGAAAGCAGAGAGTAAAAGGAAGTATATTTAAAACATGTGAAACAAAATAGCTATCCTCAGACTACAAACAGGGATACTATTCATTTGTTACTATGTAAATTTCCAAAACATGTATACTACCAGAAGCATTGCTAAGTCAAATGCTTAACAATTTATCCTACTAAATCCTTTATACACATACTTCAATTTTTTTAGACAAACGTACAAATGCACATTGCACTCTTGCTTATATTTTATCAAAACCCCTAAATCTTTTAAAAAGTATTGTCAATTATGATAGATTTTTACTATGGAATTCTAAATAAACATACAATTTATTCGTGGGAAAAAATATTGCATTTAAGGAAAAGTCTTCCAACATATTATGTAGTGAAAAAGCCTTTATAATTATGCAAGCAAAGTGAAGTTGCCTTAAAAATTGTTTTTAGTTGTTAAATCAATAATTGGCTATTAAAAATGGGCAAGATATTTGAATAGACATGTCTCCAAAGACATACAAAAGGCCATTAAGCCCATGAAAACATGCTCAACATCATGAATCCTTAAAAAAATGCAAATCAAAACTATAATGAAATAGCATCTTTCACATCCATTAGAATAGCCACTATCCAAACAAAACAAAACACAAAACCCATAAAATAACAAATGTTGACAAAGATGTAAAAAATTACCTGCGCATTGTTGATGGGAATTGAAAATGCCACTGCCACTGTGGAAAACATGTTGGCATGTCCTCAAAAACTTAAAAATAGAATTTACATATGATCCAACAATTCAATTTGGGGGTATATATCCCCCAGCATTGAAAACAGGGTCTCAAACAAATATTTGTTCACCCCTGTTCATACCAGCATTATTCAATACCTAAAACTTGGAAGCAACCCAAGCGTCTATCAGTATATTAATGGATAAGTAAAATGTGGTATAGATATACAATGACATGTTATTCAGCCTTAAAAAAAGAAGGCAGGAGTTTCTGGCCGGGGTTGGTGGCTCACACCTAATATCCCAGCACTTTGGGAGGCCGAGGCGGGCAGATCACCTGAGGTTAGGAGTTCAAGACCAGCCTGGCCAACGTGGTGAAACCCCCTCTCTACTAAAAATACAAAAATTAACCAGGCATGGTGGCACATGACTGTAATCCCAGCTCCTTGAGAGGCTGAGGTAGGAGAATTGCTTGAAGCCGGAAAGCAGAGGTTGCAGTGAGCTGAGATCGTGCCATTGCACTCCAGCCTGTGTGACAAGAGTGAAACTCCATCTCAATTAAAAAAAAAGAAAAAGAAAAAAAAAGGCAGTTCTGATATATCCCACAACATTGATGAGCCTTGAGGGCATTATGCTATGTATAATAAGCCATTTACTTAAAGACAAATGCTTAGAATAGTCAAAAATTATAGAGACAGAAAGTAGGTCTGGGAGAATGGGGAGTTAACATCTGATGAATGTAGAGTTTCAGTTTTACAAGACAAAAAGCATATTATGGAGATGGGTGGGGGTGAGAGCGGCACAACATTGTGAATGTATTTAATAACACTGAACTGTACACTTAAAATGCCTAAGATGGTATATTATTGTATGTGCATTTTACTACAATAATAAGATTTAAAAAATAAAGTTTATCTGAAACTGTAAGATGACTTTTCCCTTGATTGTGATGAGTGAGTTCCAGACTCTGACTAATTTTTTTCCTGTGGTCTACTTTACTTTAGACCATTTCATAATGACTCTCACACATTTAGTTTATGATAAAGATAGATATTTAGGTAGATAGATAAAGAAATAAACAAGGATTTAGATGTATTTATATGTTTAATGCTTTTCTGATTCATTAAGGAGACTCTCTTGGTCCTACATTTTTGCAAGAGGAAACTATCTCTTATTCAACCTAGAGGAATGACTTTAGTTTCACTTGGAATTTGGAGAAATCTCTTAAGATGCACACGAAACTCAGAGAACTCAACTGCCATAACTAGGCTTTCCAAAACAGTTAACAGGAAAGATGCTTAAAGCCTTTTCTCACTCAGTATATCAAAACCAACACAGCTGGCTGACATTTCTCTTTAACTATATACAACAGTATCTAAAGGAGGACTTTGGGAGAAATTACAGGCTTTGGAAACAGCAGAAAATAGGTGGTTCTGTTTTTTTGTTTTTTTTTTTGTTTTTTTTTTGACAGAGTCTCGCTCTGTTGCCCAGGCTGGAGTGTAGTGGCGTGATCTTGGCTCACTGCAACCTCTGCCTCCCAGGTTCAAGTGATTCTCCTGCCTCAGCCTCCTTAGTAGCTGGAACTACAAGCACGTGCCACCACACCCAGCTCATTTTTGTATTTTTAGTAAAGATGGGGTTTCACCATGTTGGCTAGGATGGTCTTGATCTCTTGACCTCGTGATCCATCTGCCTCGGCCTCCCAAAGTTCTCAGACTACAGGCGTGACCCACCGCACCTGGCCGTGGTTCTGTTTTACAACCCCTATCACAAATAAAAATGTGATATTTGAATCACATTTTTAACAAAACAAAGTCGATTTTTCAAATATGTTTTTTACAGTATAAAATTATACTGACACAAAAACAAATGCAGCAGCTTTTAAACTAATAATACAATCCCATGGATAATTTCCCCTAAATAGCTCAGATGTGTGAATGAATGAATCATACATCTTTGCAGAAAGCAATTTTCTTCAATGAGTTCTACCTGCTGGAATCTTAATACACTGCAGATTGGGTAAAGGCTTTCAGTTAAAATAAAATGGTAAGACTTTCTCTAGAGCAAAACCTAAATCCTGACGGAGAGATAACTATGAATATATTTAAGGCTGCCTACTTCTGAGAAGCTTTTCGTCCCAGACATATTTCTTATGCTCACAACAGTTTACTCTGTGAAGGAATCAAGTGATATAAGTGGATTTTAACAATTCTTAACAAGTTCCATTTCCCTTTGCATTAGTGTTCTAGGGTTACTGTAACAAAGTACCACAAACTTGGTGGCTTAAACAATAAAAATGTATTATCACATAGTTCTGGAAACTAGGAGAATCCTAGATCAAGATGTTGATAGAACTTCCTTCTCAGGACAGCGAGGACAAATCTGTTGCATGCCTCTTCCCCAGCTTCCACTGGGTTGCTGGCCATTTCTTGGCTTGTAGGAGCATCAGCCTCCATCTTCAGGTGACATTCTCCAAGTGTGGGTGTCTACATTCAAATTTCCCCTTTTATAAGTATACCAGTCATATTAGACTAAAGGCTCACCCTACTCCAGTATGATCCCATTTTACCTAAGTACATCTATAATAACCCTATTCACAAATAACGTCACATTCTGAGGTTCTGGGGGCTAGGACATCAATATAAGAATTTTAAGGGGACAAAATTCAACCCATAACACTCTTAATGTGGTTTGCATTCCTTGATGGGGTGTCGTCTTACAAATATCTTACAAGTATTTCCTTAAAAGTTTCTCTCCCCCGCCTTTCAATATTCACTGGTGTATCATGATCATTGGGAAACTAAGGCACTTTAACCACACATCAGATCCAGGAAAAAAACCATACAACCCAGCTGTGAACAGAAGCTGAACATTTTGATGTTAAAAATTAAAAAAAAAAAACTTAAAAAATAAAGTTACAGTTTTTTAACATCTAGAACATTTACTTATTTATTTACTTTTATATTATTATTTAGTCATTCTGTTTAAACATTTGTTTTTATTTATTTGTTTTATTATGAAGCTCTTTTCCCCTATGCTGGAACAAGATTTCATCAGGCAAACCTATTCAGCTACATTTGCTTGGTATATTTATAAGTCTAAGGAACAAACCAAAGCCTTTTATAAGGAACTTGAAACTCAAGACAGAATTAATCATGGTAAGTTAGACATCTGGTCCATAGAGAACCACAAACCAATGCAAAAGCCAGATAGTTTCAACATTCCTTTCTTTTCATAATTGTTGCACAGTTATATCCGTTCTTATGACGCTTTTATCATGAGTCCTGTGCTTGTCCCTCAAATGAAACAAGAAGGTGCTTGCAGGTAGAAAGGATTTTTACTGGGCTTAGTGTCAGCTCCATTCCATGGCACTTTGCTGACCATGCTAACAATTGGTGCTTGATGCCCTACAGAATGGCTTTGTTCAATACTGACTTAAGACAGTTAAAAGAGTTGCAGATGATATTACTTCTGGTGAGCAGTGGAGTCACAGATTAGGAGAATAAGAATATAAAGTAGACATAGGTTGTAATAGTGGAACCTGAAGTTACAGTGAGAAGTCAGACAATCTGGAGATTGGCTTCTTTTCTGATACTTTACTGCATAGATAGCTTAATTAACAAAGTGAAGGTGATGCTTGTTCTCACTATGCCACTGAGAAGTTGGAAGGATGCAAGAGATGAGCAATGTCAACAAGTTTAGTGTCACAGAAATGTTCAATCAGACCCTAGATTAACCATGCTGGTTTCTATAAGATATGAAACAGAAAGGGCTAAAGAGCAAATTTAAGTAGGTAAAAAATTAAGTTTACTACCATTTCTATTCTTCTCTATATTTGTAAGGATATTAAGTGTAAGCTTTGAAAAAGCAAACATCCTTCCACAAACAAGTTGGTCCTAATATATGCCAGATAGTTCTGCATGTTTTGATAATAGTAATAATAATACTAATACTGCTACTTCTAATCATTATTATTATTATAATCCTGAGAGCTAATTACCATTTACTTAAAGCTTACTTTGTGCCAGGTGCTGCACTTAAAAATGTATTGTATGTTTTATCTTAATTAATCCTTGCTGAGCTAAAATGAGCTTCATTATTTTCCTTTTTTAAATGATGAATCTGAGACTCATATAAATTATGGAACTATGCTAGACCACATAGCTAATGAGAAAGAGAGCAAAGACCATGAAGGCATGTGACCTGAGATTAGCACCTGTATCTGTTACACATAGCTGCATTTCTATTCTGGTAGCTTTATGTTTTATGTGACCAAGGGTAATCTACACATTAAATTGTTTGGTTCTTTACAGCATGTGGCTTTATGGGCATAAGTTCAAAGGTTCTGCTGGAGATTCTGATGTTATGTTAAATTAGAGCAGTTACATTCTCCAGTTGGTTCTCTGGAGGTTGTATGGCTTGTTGTGATGGGGCTAGGAAAACTGTCACCTAGGTCCAATTTGCCTTGAATAACCATGGGTTTTTTTTTTTTTTTTGGTAATAAACCTATTATGCCCATAAATTACAGGTCATGCTAAAACACCTACGTTGTAGAGACATTATGGAGATTAAATCAGATACTAATGTAATGAACTTACTACTTAGCAAAAACTTATAGAACTTACCAGGTACTTAGCAGGAACCACTCACATGCTAAGTACCTAGTAAACTATAATTAGCAAAGACAACCACATGTGCATTTACATCATCATTTACATTTATATAAAAAGATATTAAAAAATGTAAAGTCCTTGAGGAAAGTCATCATGTTTTATGTGTCCGTGTTGAATCCATTGAGTGTTCAACTCTCCTTAAAAGCGAAGTCATCGCACAGTGACAAGGCAAGTGCAGTCAGTTATTATGAAGCTAAGGGGATATCCAGCCCCTTTACCTCTGGAGTACCTGGACTGAAAGTACCCTTGGCCCACAAAAGAATAAGGAGTCTACAGCATCAGACATGTGCCTTCTGATGCAGGCCTGAAGTCTTGATCTGTGTTTCTAAGTCTTGAATAAAACTGTCCTCCCTCTACCAGACTGCGTCATTACTTCTCTCCAATCTTTGGACAGAATTGATATGTATATTCAGGAGGTACAAATACTACAGAGGCTGAGACTCCAGAGTCTAGTTCTTTTGGTTGCCCTGTGAGTGTTATACAAGAGAAGAATGCAAAACCATGGCCTATTCTAAATATGTAATATGTTTTATTGTAGATAATCTTTGAATAATCCTAAATGAGAACTGGGATTGCCTTTTGCTTAAACTCAAGGCAAACAGCTTTGTAAACTCAAGCAATTATCTCAAGATAGACAGTCAGAAAGGCCTGGTTTGGAATTACATCATTTGAGCTAAACCACTATACTCTATAACTCACCCCATTCCTACCGTCATCAACTTTCATTTTAAATAAGAATACCTATAATTTAAAGACTATATTTCTAATTCTCAAAGTTCAGATTCATAGGACACTGACGAGAGTACTTCCAGAGATGTTGCCATTCTGGCATCTCATATTTCACCATGAACTTAGTTTAAGAGGGGTGGCTGGCTAGAAATGAGTCCCAGTCCCCCATTGCACAGAGCTGTTTTCTGAAACTTTGCCTCTTTACCCTGTTAGGTAAAAGCAATATGTGTGACTCCCCAGCAAGTCATCAATCACTTGTTGGGGCTGGATGTGTGTTGCATTAGTTGGTGTTCAACAGTTTGTTTTTTTATGTCAGGCAACAAAAGGGTTCCTCCTGTCATCCTGAGATTAGAATGCTCTCTGTACATCAACATGGTAGGTATGGACAATTAGATTCACAGGAGTGTTGGAAGATTAGAAGAGTCCTCACCACCTGGTCCAGACAGAGGAGCCAGGATATTCAGCATTCCTTTAGATTTTAAATGAAAGCCAAAGTAAGAGGCATAGCTCCTGATTTTCATTTATACAGTCAATAACACAGAAGAAATGAATCTACCCTAGACATTCTTAACCATGAAGCCATATAATTTTTTCCTTCTTGTGATTTTTCATGTACAGTGAGCTCATGCTATGTTTTGATATCTAAGGACTGAAATGACCTAAGAAGGAGCAATAAATTTAGACATAATCCTTATAGATTTGGATTCTAATAAATTATTTACTCATTTATGGGGATAGAAAAATCATTAATAGCAGACATGCTGTGAAAATTTAGACCTGAGTTCCTGTGGGGCCCACATATTCCTGGTAGCTTCACAGCCCTGATACTGATCTCACCTCAGTGATTCATCAAACAGTGCTTCTATTTTTAGCAGGTAAAAACAAAACAAAACTCATCTCTACAATGTTCAGTTAGCATACTTGGTTCTCAGAAATACTGATGTTTCCAAAATGGAGATATCTCAGTGAAAACATCCTTTTGATACCCAGGTACCTATGTTCTCTAATGATGTCCTAAATCAGCTGAAACTATCCACAATTTACAGGTGGGATGCTTATCAAAAATTCTGGCCATACTACAATAGAATTGGGCTGGCTACATCTGGTAAGATGAAGAGTTGAAGTAACCTGGAGTAATCCAGTAGACATGGCAGGTCTGTCTCCAAACAAAAGTCCCAAATCCAGAGGTTTCCAGAGGACCAAAAGCAACAGATGAGAATGTAACTGAAAATGGAGAATGGAGATTAAACTCGAGAGGAATAAAGCAGGACTTTTTTGGTCTTCTAGGTAGGATGGTACAACCCTGAAGAGGAGCACATCAGGAATAGAAGCACTGACCAGTCAAAAGGGACGCTTATGGCAAACTCAGGCCCATGTTCACAGGCTGTTGATCCAGCCCCAAGATTACTGCTTGTTTCTAGAGTGAGACAGGGGTTCAGAAGCCAGTGGGTGAACCCTATGCAACATCAGGACAAGACAGAAACACTAATCTCCAAGAAGAACTGTATTAGTTTGTTTCCACACTGCTGATAAAGACATACCTGAGACTGGACAATTTACAAAGGAAAGAGGTTTAATAGAGAACTCACAGTTCCACGTGGCTGGGGAAGACTCACAATCCTGGTGGAAGGCAAGGAGGAGCAAGTCACACCTCATGTGGATCGCAACAGGCAAAGAGCAAGTGCTTGTGCAGGGAAACTCCAGTTTTTTGTTTTTGTTTTTGTTTTTGTTTTTTTGAGATGGTGTCTCACTCTGTCACCCAGGCTGGAGTACAGTGGCACTATCTCAGCTCACTGCAGCCTCCACCTCCTGGGTTCCAGCAATTCTCCTGCCTCAGCCTCCCGGGTACTTGGGATTACAGGCATGCACGACCACACCCAGCTAATTTTTGTATTTTTAGTAGAGACAGGGTTTCATGATGTTGGCCAGGCTGGTCTCGAACTCCTGACCTCAGGTGATCTGCCTGCCTCAGCCTCCCAAAGTGCTAGGATTACAGGCATGAGCCACCGTGCCCAGCCAGAAACTCCTATTTTTAAAACCATCAGATCTCATGAGACTCATTCACTATCACGAGAACAGCACAGGAAAGACCCACCCGCATAATTCAATCACCTCCCATCGGGTTCCTCCTACAACATGTGGGAATTAGGGGAGTTACAATACAATATGAGATTTGGATGGGGACACAGCCAAACCATATCATTCTGCCCCGGGCTCCTCCCAAATCTCATGTCCTCACATTTCAAAACATAATCATTCCTTCTCAACAGTACCCTGAAGTCTTAACTCATTTCAGCACTAACTCAAAAGTCCTCAGTCCAACATTTCATCTCAGACGAGGCAAATCCTTTCTGCCTGTGAGCCTATAAAATCAAAACCAAGTTAGTTACTTCCTAGATACAATGGGGGTATGGGCATTGGATAAATATAGCCATTCCAAATGGGAGAAATTGGCCAAAAAGAAGGGGCTACAGAACCCATGCAAGTCTGAAATCCAGAAGGGCAATCTAATCTTAAAGCTCTAAAATGATCTCCTTAGATTCCATGTCTCATATCCAGGTCATCCTGATGCAAAAGGTGGGTTCCCATAGTATTGGGCAGCTCCACCCATGTGGCTTTGCAAGGTACAGCCTCCCTCCCGGCTGCCTTCACGGGCCGTCGTTGAGTGTCTATGGCTTTTCCAGGTGCACGGTGCAAGCTTTCAGGGGATTTACCATTCTGGGGTCTGGAGGATGGTGGCCCTCTTCTCACAGGTCCACTAGGCAGTGCCCCATTAGGAACTCTGTGTGGTGGCTCCTACCCCACATTTCCCTTCTGCACTGCCCTAGCAGAGGTTCTCCATGAAGATCCCGCCCCTACAGCAAACTTCTGCCTGGGCTTCCCGGCATTTCCATACATCTTCTGAAATCTAGATGGAGGTTCCCAAATCTCAGTTAATGACTTCTGTGCACTCACAGGCTCAACACCATGTGGAAGTGGCCAAGGCTTGAGGCTTGACTCCTCTGAAGCCACAGCCTGAGCTCTACGTTGACCCCTTTCAGCCATGGCTGGAGCTGCTGGGACATGGCACAGACTAGGCTGCACACAGCACAGGGACACTGGACCCAGCCCACATAACCACTTTTTCCTCCTAGACCTCCAGGCCTGTGATGGGAGGGGCTGCCGTGAAGACCTCTGACATGCCCTGGTGACATTTTCCCCATTGTCTTGGTGATTAACATTAGGCTCCTTGCTACTTATGCAAATTTCTGCAGCCTGCTTGAATCTCACCTCAGAAAATGGGATCTTTTTTTTCTTTTGCATTGTCAGGCTGCGAATTTTCCAAAACTTTATGCTCTATTTCCCTTTTGAAACTGAATGCCTTTAACAGCACCCAAGTCACCTCTTGAGTGCTTTGCTGCTTGGAATTTTTTTCCACCAGATAGCCTAAATCATCTCTCTCAAGTTCAAAGTTCCACAAATCTCTAGGGTAGGGGCAAAATGCTGCCAGTCTCTTTGCTAAAACATAACAAGAGCGACCTTTGCTCCAGTTCCCAACAAGTTCGTCATCTCCACCTGAGACCACCTCAGCCTGGATTTCAATGTCCATATCATTATCAACATTTTGGTCAAAGCCATTCAACAAGTCTCTAGGGAGTTCCAAACTTTCCCACATTTTCCTGTCTTCTTCTGAGCCCTCCAAACTGTTCCAGCCTCTGCCTGTTACCCAGTTTCAAAGTCACTCTACATTTTCAGGTATCTTTTCAGCAGCACCCCACTCTACTGGTATCAATTTACTGTATTAGTTTGTTTTCACGCTGCTGATAAAGACATACATAAGAATGTATGCAATTTACATAGGAAAGAAGTTTAATGGAGAACTCACAGTTCCAAGTGGCTGGGGAAGCCTCAAAATCACAGTGGAAGGCAGCAGGGAGAAAGTCATATCTCATGTGGATGGCAGCAAGCAAAGACAGAGCTTGGGCAGAGAAACTTATGTTTTTAAAACCATCAGATCTCGTGAGACTCATTCACTATCACAAGAATGGCACAGGAAAGACCCACCCCCATAATTCAATCACCTCCTATTGGGTTCCTCCTATGGCATATGGGAATTGTGGGAGTTACAATTCAAGATGAGATTTGGGTGGGGACACAGCCAAACTATATCAAGAACCTCATGAAGAGAGTTTGAAGTTAGATACGCAGGTATTCAGCATTTCTATTACTAGATGGAAGTTTCTTAGACTCCAATGGATTGGAGATCCAGAGCAACCAGACATTCAGTGGTCAAAAAATGATAAATGCCTGAAGTGTATTGTGAGATGCCAGATCCTTTATAATGACACGGAGCCTACCTGGAGACAAACTGCAAAGAGCAGCAAAAAGCAAGTTACTAAGTGCTCCTTATTTTCATTATGCCTTTCAGGGGAAGTTAAAGATTTTTATTTTTAACTTTTTGGCCCTAGAGAAAATTGTATTTCTTGCATTCACTGCTCGTACTTATGCTTTGCAGCATAGACTACATTTATAGACAAAAAAGAAGGGATATTCTTCTCCTTGTGGATGGTGCACATTTCTAAATAAAGCAGGTGTTTCTAATTAACGAATTTTGCTTGAAGAAAGCAGCTATTTCCACCCCTCACCCTCCTCAGAGACAAAAACATGTCCTTATTCTGTTTTACCTAAAAAAGAAAATTATTCACTCAGAGATAAAAAGTCATCTAATTTCATAATTGTCCTCTATCCTACAAACCAAAATGAAAATTTAAATGAGAATGGAAAGGGGTATCTTGTGAGCCATCTCCAGAAAGTTATCATGGCTGTACAATGTTATTCAAGACTGAAGCTCTGTTCTGTGAGAACACAGGATCTAGGGCACTATCTGCCAAAGCCCATAACAATGCCTTTGCTGTTCTAACCACCCGTGCCTCAGCTGACTTAAAATAAAAGGATTAGCCTAAATCATCTTGAAAATTACATCTTCCTTAAACATCTGTGGACCTATGAAGCATATATTAACACATTCCAGCATGTTATTGTTGGAGAATTTCTGTATGTGCAGGCAATGTTAGTGATTTAAAGCTCCCTTTGATATTCTAGGTATCTAAATGCATAATAGCTATTTAATGAATGAGCAGAAGTATTGCTACCAAAATAAAATTGTATGTCTTCTATATACTGTTTAATGATGATGAATGCCTTTTTAAGTGTGAAATAAATTGTATAAAAATATAACATAATTATATATATATATATTTTATACATATGTATGTGTGTATCTGTCTATCTGTTCATCCATCCACCCACCATAATTCCCTATTTAGTTGTCTGGAGAATGTATTTTTTCCATTAACATTATATAGGCTATAAAATATTATCTCATGGCATTCACCATTTTGGGGGCAAAATGATGTTCAATGATCTTTCCCCATCTGCCTAGCTTAATTTTCTTCATCAAGCTGTGTCTATCTTTGGTAAATCATTCCACCTCTCCACACCTTAATTTCCCCTTTGGTAAAAGAAAAGGCTTGGACTACTGCAATGTTTCCCCAAGACACTTTTGCAAGATACATAGTAAAAAATAGTGTTCTGTAGTCAAATGTTTGGAAAATGCTGCATTCTGTGTTCCATCTTAGAAATGCAGTTGCACATTAATACGTTAAATGTTCTGAGATATGACAGGGAAGAAAGTTGCTTACCTTTAATTCTCCCAGTTTATTTCAGACATTTGACTATGAAATCCTTTCTTTCTTGAATTATAGCAATTTATAAAGTGCATCAAATGACATGATCTCTGGATTGACATTAAGGACACTTGAAAGTATATAATTTCTAAGGAGTATTGGATTCTTGGTTTGAATTAAAACTATGATGTTGTTGCAATATGACACAGTCTAATCATGCAACAGGATTTATAAACCCTCATTATGAAATATCCATTCCCTACCCAAACCTTCCTTATTTTCATAGGAAAAAACAGGTTTAATAATTAGTATTCAGCCTCTTTTCTTATTTTAGGATAAAAAAACAGGTTTAATATATAGTATACAGCCTCTTTTCCTCCACCCACCTTTAGAAGTGCCTGTGTGTGTATGTGTTTGGGTGTGGGTGGGTGAGTTCGTGGTGGGTATGTGTATTTGTGTTTGTATGAAACTTGACTACATTTTAGGTTTAGATAGCAGAGAACATGAGGTTGGAAGCTAACTTCCCCAGGCTTGGGTCTGGTTATCATGATCTAGAAAAATTAACGTATTTCTGCGTTTGTTTCCTTGTCTGGAAAATGGATTCAATAGTAACTTCTAGACCTTACTTATAAGGATGTTGAAAACAAAATCTGCAAAACTTGACTCAAGTGGCTTCTCTCATCGTAGAGAAATGAAAACAGTATGGGGAGCTGGATTGACAGCTGTAAAGGATATAGCCTTTTGAGTAAAATACAAGAAGATAGTCTTTGCTCCCAAGCTTGCTCAAAGAGCTATGCCTCAAAGCACCTAAGAAACACCATGTTTGTCCAATTCAAGGAAATGAACCCACCATGGTCAGAATGAATTTCAATTCCAATTCTCAATTTGAAGTTACTGTGGTGTTCAGATGATATAGACAAATAGACAGACGAGAAGAACTCAGCTCTAAATTTAAATAAATAAAATCCTAATTTATGAAATACAAGACCTAGAGAGTCTATCTGAATTTCAAAAGAGATAATTTTAAGACAGAAATAGATGATGTAATTGCATCAGCCTTGTTATTTTCAAAAATCATCCAAACAGTAACTAGACTAAAATCTATGTCGATAAAATATAGACACCAATGGATGACACTCCACAATGGTAGACTCTTAAAGATACAGAGTGACATTTGAAGACATTTACCACTTTTGAAAGCTGAAATTAAATAATCTCAGAGTTGAAGAAGGTCCTTTCATGTGACCTAGCCTCCTCTGTCCCTTAATATCCTCTGCATGATACCACACAAATATTGTCAAGAATGACCATAAATGTCTCTTATACCTTTGTTCTCTCTTGAGGGTAAAATTCTTCTCCAGTCTGTTGCATTTTGTTCTTATATAAAGGATTTTGTGGAAAACATGGTGTTTTTGAAATAAAAAAAAAATGACTAATTTATATGACGCCTATCAGTGATCTGATTTCACAGACAGAGCTTACATTTAAAAAAACATGTGCACGCTCCATAGGACAAAAACCACTCTTTGTGCAGAACATCAGACTATTGTAAGAATTGCTTGAAAAGATGAGGTTTGAATGGGAGCATTTGTCAAGTCAATGGATTTCATTGCATCTTGAAAAGAAAAATTAAGAACTCAGTGAAAGGATTTATATTCTGTGCTTGCAGAGTTAGTTTTGCCTCACACACATTATTTCCCCCATCCACAGACACATCGTGGAAGGCAGGGTTTTTTTATACTTTTGTTTCATGTTCTATCTCGATTTCAGACAGTTTTATCCACTACTAAATGCTTACACTATAGTGTAACTGCTACTATGTGTCTTCCAGATAAGCTATAATTCTATTGAGAACAAGAACTACAGTCATGTGGCACATAATGATGTTTTGGTCATCAATGCGCTACATATACAATGGTGGTCCTATATGATTATAATATTTTATTCTTACTATACCTTTTCTATGTTTATTTTAAATTATTATTATGATTATTTTTTGAGACAGGGTATTGTTCTGTCCCCCAGGCTGTAGTGCAGTGGCACGATTATGGCAGCCTCAGCCTCCTGGGCTCTCCCACCTCAGCCATCCTAGCAGATGGGACTACAGGTGTGTGCCACCATGCCTGGCTAATTTTTTTGTAGGGATAGAGTTTTGCCATGTTGCCCAGGCTGGTGTGGACTCCTAGATTCAAGTAATCCATCTGCTTTGGCCTTCCAAAGTGTTGGGATTACAGGCATGAGCCACTGCACCTGAACTTTTATACATTTAGATATGTTTAGATACACAAATACCTACTATTGTATTACAATTGCTGACAGTATTCAGTACAGTAACATGCTGTGTGGGTTTGTAGCCTAGGAGCAATGGGTTATACCATATAGCTTAGGCGTGTAGTAGGCTATGCCATCTAGATATGTGTTAGTACACTGTATGTTGTTCACACAATGATGAAATCACTTAACAATATATTTCTCAGACCGTATTCCCATCATTAAGCAACACACGGCTATATATTGTAGTCTTCTTTTGTTGATCTCTTAGCTCTTAGATAAGGGCATACCACAAGAAGGAAGTTCTGCATTTATTGGAGATATATATATATATATATCCAATATTTATCTATTTATATATATATCTGTATTTATATATGTCTGTATTTATTGGATATATATATATACACACACACACAATTATAGATATATAAATATAAATTGGCATATGGATAAGTGGATGGAATATAAATCTAGTTTTAAATTTTTTACAAATGTTTTCAGAAGCAGCCACCATAATAAATTTCAAATTATCATTCCTGTGTCTTATGTTTATTACTTTTACATAGATCCATAAAAATATATAGTATTATTTTTATACTTTCAAAATACGTGTTTCTTTTTTCTTCTGTAGCTTGCTTTTACTCAAGAGATTCTAATACATTTCTTCTTACTGCTCAGTAGTATTTTAATGTATAAATATAACATACTTTTATATGATAGAAGTTGGAGTTTTGTTCTCTATTTTTTACTATTAACAACATGCTGCTATACATATATTTATACATGTCTCAAATTACACAGGAAAGTGAGTTTCTCTAGAGAATATCCCTAGGAGTGAGATTGCTGTGCCATAGGGTGTACATATGCTCAATATGCTAGAGATTGCCAGACGCTCCTTCATAATGGTTATTCAAATTACGTTCCTATGGATTCTCATTGTATAAAACTGCAGTTTTCCAACACGAATTCTTAGCCTTTTGAGTAAAATACAAGAAGATAGTCTTTGCTCCTGAGCTTGCTCAAGGAGCTACATCTCAAAGCACCCAAGAAACTTCATGTTTGTCCAATTGAAGGAAATGAACCCACCACGGTCAGAATGAATTTCAATTCCAATTCTCAACTTGAAGATACTGTGGTGTTCAGTTGCCACAGTCAAACATTTTCTTTCTCCTTTTCCTCAACTGTCTCTAGCCCATTCCTTATATATACAGGTTCTGGCATAATTGAAAGTTATCATTAATGACAAAAAATGGTTACATTTATCCAAATGTGATCAGTGTTAGCAGGACTGATCGTGTCCCTATTCACCTGCTCCCACTCTTCCTGTGTTCTAAGAGCCTTAGTATCCTTTTACATTATGCTGTGCATTAACAGCATTACAGGGTGGACAACATGGCTGCTGAGGTGCTAAGGTTGTTATAACCAGAGGTTTCAATTTACTGCCTCTATGTGCAATTTATTAAAAGCTATAACGTCTTAGAATAAAGCTTAATAAAACAAATCAAACCCTGTGTTTCCAAGACATATTTTAAAGAGAAGCTTTTATTAGGCGGTCTTTTAATTAACCATTTGCTGTCAAAAATAAACCATACCATGCAGAAATGTGGTTTCTACTGGTATGTCTTTCTCTTTCAACAGTTACTTATCACCTCAGCCTTCCTCTGAAAATAGTAACCTCTCAAAAGAGATGAGTATCACATAAGGTTTTGCATTTTTCTGTTGCCTGTCAATTTGCTTATTTTTAAATGTATTTATAACTGCATTTTTTAACAAATGAAAATTCTAGGTATGACTCTTTTATGTTGTTTATTTTCCTTTAAAGTAAATATTCTTGTGGAAATAAAACAGGAATATAACAAAGTGAATAAATCATTGATTTTTCATGAAGTGAATGCAATTTATGACCAGAGAATAGATCAATAAATGCAATACTTACCCACACCTTTGAAGACTCTCTCATTTCCTTTATCACGCACCTTTCAACCTCCAATACCTAACTGCATAATACCTAACTGCTTGCTTGGGTTTTAAATACATGAAATGCATCAAGTAAACCTTTTTCATATGAGATCAGTAAAACCCAGAAAGAAGAAATGACTCATTCAGGGTTGAACAATGAGTATAGGAATTAGCACCAGTACCGCATTCTCACATGCACCTTCAAACAGCAGGGCAGAAATAACAATCAACATTAAGCATGTACTGGGAATATGGCAGAGTAGGCAGCACCAGAAATCTGTTTTCCTATCTAGGCAATGTCAGAATCTGTCTGATATAACAGTTTTGTAAATCTGGAGTCTATTTAAGGCTTGCAACTTATAGAAGAAGAGTTGAATAATACATTTCTGCTAATTTTGGTTAATTTGAAGGTTTTGTTTTTCTTTTTCTTTTTCTTTTTTTTTTTTTTTTTTTCTTTTTTGAGACAAGGTCTTGCTTTGCCAACTAGACTGGAGTGCAGTAGTGAGATCTTGAATCACTGCAACCTCTGCCTCCCAGGCTCAAGCAATCCTCTTACCTCAGCCTCTCAAGTAGCTGGGACTACAGACACAGGCCACCATGTCCAGCTAATTTTTTTTTTTGTATTTTTTGTAGAGACAGGGTTTTGCTATGTTATCCACGCTGATCTTGAACTCTTAGACTCAAGCAAACTGCCTGCCTTGGCCTCCCAATATGCTGGGATTTCAGGTGTTCCGGTCTTATTTGAGTTTTTACCATAGTAGTAGTTAACTTACCCCACCCCTTAGCCCCATGGCATGCAGCCACATATTCCAGGAAGAACCTGCACATAGCTGCTGGGAGCCCAAGTGGGCAAAACAAAGGACCATTTTTTTTGCTAATATGAGGGATTTGGGTTCTCATCACTGATCACTGCTTCTGATCACAAGAGTTGCACATAAAGGTGGTAACCATTGGTGCCTCTCCTTTTATTGTTTCAAGCACCTCACACCCTGGCTGAGGTGTCTCCTAGGAGACTTAAAGAACTGGTGCTGGTGCCACCCCCATCTCTCTTTTTCCTTTTCCTCTTTATGGAGCCATACATTGAAGACCAAGGCACTCAAAGGCATTCTCATATATGGGTAAAATTAGAAAGTCACCACACATGCCCAGGGGAAAGCACGGACTAAGAAAAGACGTGAAAAGACCATAGGATTATACCTCACTCTAATACTTGGTACAGATATGATCCAAAAATAAAAGAAAGAAAGAAAGAAAAACTGAAAACAACAAATTCTGGGGAAGGAGAAGACCTCATTTCCAGAGCTACCACAGTATTAGATGGAAATGTCCATTTTCCAACAAAAGATTATAAGATATAAAAAGAAAAAGAAAAATATGGCTAATAAAAAGTAAAAAACAAAAACAACAGAAACTCAGCCTACAAATGAAATGCTTGGCAGAGCTACCAGACAAAGACTAGAACAACTGTCTTTACAGTGCTCCAAGAACTAATGTATGACATGAATAAAGTCAAGAAAAATGATGTATAAACAAAACAGAAAATAAAACAGTTAGAGAACCAAAAAACAATTCCAGAGCTGAAAAATACAACAACTAGAATAAAAAATTTATCTAGATGGATTCAAAGGCATATTTCATCAGGCAAAAGTAAGAATCAGAGAATTTGAAGATAAGACAACCAAAATTATCAAGCCTGAGGAACAGAAAAGAAACTGAAAAAAGTGAACAGAATTTAAAAGACCTGTGGGACACCATCCAACAGGTGAATATGCACACTGTGTGAGTTCCAAAAGAATAGGAAAAAATGAAGGGAGAATATTTGAAGAAATAGCGGCAGAAATTTTGCCAAATTTAATAAAAGACATGAATATAAATATTCTCAAAAGCTCAATTAACTTTATGTAGGATTAACTCAGAGACCCCCATGGAGAGACACAATCAAATTGTCAAAATCCAAAGACAAAGAGATTCTTGAAAGCAGAGAGAGAGAAGCAACTCATCCCATACAAGGGACCCTCAATAAAGTTATATGTAGATTTATCATCAGAAATTTTTGAGGGGAGAAGGTAGTGGGTTGATACATTCAAAGTGCTAAAAGACAACAACTGTCAACCAAGAATTTTATATCTGGCAAAATTGTCCTTCAAAAGAGAGGGGGAAATGAAGACTTTCCTAGATAAACAAAAGCTGAGTGAGATTGTTACCATTCCACCTGTCCTGCAAAAAATGCTCAGGGAGACCTGCACGTTGAAATGGAAAAAACAAAACAAAACAAAACAAACAAACAAACAAAATCATTATAAAGTAACTCATTAAAAGAAATAAATACCTGAGTAAAATAAATACATAGGCAATTATAAAAGCTAGCATTATTGCAGTAATAGTGTACAATTCCATTTTTTGCATGATTTAGTAGACTAATACATCAAAAGTTGTAAGTCTAAAAGCTAGTATTACTGTATCTTTGGTTCGTAACTTCACATTTTGTTGTCTATATAATTTAAGAGAATAACACATTAAAAGTTTTTAATGTATTTGAATACACACTCTATGAAGATGTATTTTTATTAACACCTGAAAGAGGTATGGTTAGGGCTATTAAAGGTGCAGATTTTTAGTATATTATTCAAGTTAAATAGGTATAAATTCACATTTGTAATACATGTAATAACTCTAGGATGTGAAATGTAATCCCTCATTGTAACTACAAAGAAAATACCTACAAAATATAAATAAATGGAAACTAAATGTTTCACTGAAAGAAAATCAACTAAACACATAAAAGACAGTAATACAGAAAATGAGGAATAAAAAGCTCTAAGACATAGATAAAACAAATAGCAAAGAGCAGAATAAGTCTTTTATCAGTTGTTGCTTTAAATATAAATGAATTACACTCTTCAATCAAAATTCAGAGATTGGTAGAATGCATAAACACAGATGACCCAATAATATGTTGTCTATAAGAGACTTAATTTATAACCAAAAATCCAAATTGGTTGAAAGTGAATGTGTGGAAAAGAATATTTCATCCCAATAGTAATACTACAATATTTCATGAAATAGATATTTCATGGCTATACTACTATCATATAAAATAAAATCTAGGGCAAAAACATTTATAAGAGACAAGGACATTTTATATAAGTAAAATATCTAATATAGCAAGAATATATAAGAATAAAAATATGTGTGCATCTTATATTAGACTATCAAAATATATTAAGCAAAAATTGACAAAATTGAAGGGAGAAATAGTGAGTTCTACAATAATACTTGAAGACTTATAAACCTCTTTTTAAATATAAAATAGAACAACTAGACAGAAGATAAGGATATAGAGAACTTAAACAACACAACAAATTAACTAGATCCTAAAGACATATACGTAATAATTCTACCCAACAAAAATAAAATACACACTCTAGGGTACACATGAGTCATTTTCCAAGATAGACCATATGTTGGTCCTCAAATTAAGTTTCAACAGATTAAAAAAATAGATATCAGACAAAGTATATTTTTCAATCACAAACAGATAAAACTAGAAGCCAGAAATAAAATATAAACTAGAAAATTTACAAATTTGTGGAATTTAACCACACACTCGAATAATCAGAGACTTAAGACACAAATTACAAGAGAAATTAAAAAACACTTAGAGACAAATAAAAACAGGAACGCAACACATCAAAACTTATGGAAAATAGAGAAATTGCTGCTAAGGGAGAATTTTATACTTATAAGCATTTACAGTAGAAAAAAGATATCAAATCAATAACCACTTAAATAAATAGAAAAAATGCATACTAAACCTAAAAATAGCATAAATAAAGAAATAATAAATACTAGGGCAGAGATAAAAGAAATACAGAGTAGAAATGTTTTAGAGGAAATCAGTGAAAGCAAAAGTTGGTTTTTGAAAATATTAAGATTGAGAAACCTTTAGCTCTCTGGACTAAGGAAGAAAGGAAAGACTGAGATTGCTTAAATAAGAAATGAAAGTGTAGGGGTGGCTGGCAAGATGGCTGAATAGGAACAGCTTCAGTCGGCAACTCCCAGTGAGATCAATGCAGAAGGCAGGTGATTTCTGCATTTCCAACTGAGGTACCCGACTTATCTCTTTGGGACTGGTAAGGCAGTGGCTGTAGCCCACGGAGGGCAAGCAGAAGCAGGGTTGATCATCGCCTCACCTGGGAAGCGCAAGGGGTCAGGGAACTCCCTCCTCTAGCCAAGGGAAGCTGTGAGGGACTGTGCCATGACAGACACTGCACTCCAACCCCAGGTACTATGCTTTTCCCATGGTCTTTGCAACCTGCAGACCAGGAGATTCCTCAAGTGCCTACACCACCAGGCACCTGGGTTTGAAGCACAAAACTGGGAGGCTGTTTGGGCAGATTCCAAGCTAGCTGTAGCAGTTTTTTTTTTTTTCATACCCCAGTGGCACCTGGCATGCCAGTGAGACAGAATCATTCACTCCCCTGGAAATGGGGCGCTGAAGCCAGGGAACCAAGTGGTATAGCTTAGCGGATCTCAACCCCATGGATCCCAGAAAGCTAAGATCCACTGGTTTGAAATACTCTTTGCCAGCACAGCAGTCTGAGGTCCACCTGGGATGCTTGAGCTTGATGCGGGAAGGGGTGTTTGCCATTACTGAGGCTTAAGTAAGCAGTTTCCCCCTCACAGTGTAAACAAAGCTGCTCGGAAGGTCGGACTTGGCAGAGCCCACTGCAGCTCTGCAAAGCTGCCGTAGCTAGACTGCCTCTCCAGATTCCTCCTCTCTGGGCAGGGCATCTCTGAAAGAAAGGCAGCAGCCCCAGTCTGGATAGATAAAACTCCCATCTCCCTGGGACAGAGCACCTGGGGGAAGGGGCGGCTGTGGGTGCAGCTTCGGCAGACTTAAATACTCTTGCCTGCTGGCTCTGAAAGGAGCAGCAGATCTCCCAACACAGCGCTCGAGCTCTGCTAAGGGACAGACTGCCTCCTCAAGTGGGTCCCTGACCCCAGTGCCTCCTGATGGGGAGACATCTCCCAACAGGGGTAAACAGACACCTCATGCAGGAGAGCTGGGGTTGGCATTTGGTGGGTGTCCCTCTGGGACAAAGCTTCCAGAGGAGGGAACAGACAGCAATCTTTGAGGGGTCTAATTGTTAGAATAAAAACTAACAAACAGAAAGGAATAGCATCAACGTCAACCAAAAGGACATCCACACAAAAACCCCATCTGAAGGTCACCAACATCAAAGACCAAAGGTAGATAAATCCACGAATATGAGGACAAACCAGCACAAAAAGGCTGAAAATTCCAAAAACCAGAATGCCTCTTCGCCTCCAAAGGATCACAACTTGCCAGCAAGGGAACAAAACTGAACAAACAGAGAATGAGTTTAACAAATTGACAGAAGTAGGTTTCAGAAGGTGGATAATAAGAAACTCTTCTGAGCTAAAGGATAATGTTCTAACCCAATGCAAGGAAGCTAAGAACCTTGAAAAAAGTTAGAGAAATTGCTAGAATAACCACTTTAGAGAAGAACATAAATGACCTGATGGAGCTGAAGAAGATAGCATGAGTATTTTGTGAAGCATACACAAGTATCAGTAGCCAAACTGACGAAGCGGAAGAAAGGATATCAGAGATTGAAGATCAGCTTAATGAAATAAAGCATGAAGACAAGATTACAGAAAAAAGAAAGAAAAGGAATGAACAAAGCCTCCAAGAAATATGGGACTATGTGAAATGACTAAACCTACATTTGATTATTGTGCCTGAAAGTAATGGGGAGAATGGAACCAAGTTTGAAAACACTCTTTGGGATATTATCTGGGAGAGCTTCCCCAACCTAGCAAGACAGGCCAACATTCAAATTCAGGAAATACAGAGAACATCACAAAGACACTCCTCAAGAACAGCAACCCTAAGACACATAATCCTCAAATTCACCAAGGCTGAAATGAAAGAAAAAATGTTAAGGGCAGCCAGAGAGAAAGGTTGGGTTACATATAAAGGGAAGCCCATCAGACTAACAGTGGATCTCTTGGCAGAAACATTACAAGCCAGAAGAGAGTGGGGGTCAATATTCAACACTCTTAAAGAAAAGAATTTTCAAACCAGAATTTCATATCCAGCTAAACTAAGCTTCATAAGCTAAGGAGAAATAAAATCCTTTACAGACAAGCAAATGCTAAGAGATTTTTGTCACCACCAGGCATGTCTTATAAGAGCTCCTGAAGAAAGCACTAAATATCAATATCAGCCGGTGCAAAAACATATCAAATTGCAAAGACCATCAACACTATGAAGAAACTGCATCAACTCATGGGCAAAATAACAAGCTAACGTCATAATGACAGGATCAAATTCACACATAACAATATTAACCTTAAATGTAAATGGGCTAAATGCCCTAATTAAAATATACAGACTGGTGAATTTGATAAAGAGTCAAGACCCATCGGTGTGCTGTATTCAGGAGACCCATCTCACGTGCAAAGACACACATCGGCTCAAAATAAAGGGATGGAGGAATATTTACCAAGCAAACGAAAAGCAAAAAAAGCAGGAGTTGCAATTCTAGTCTCTGATAAAACAGACTTTAAACCAACAAAGATCAAAAAAGACAAAGAAGGGCATTACATAATTGTAAAAGGATCAATGCAACAAGAAGAGCTAACAATCCTAAATATATATGCACCCAATACAGGAGCAGTCAGATTCATATAGCAAGTTGTTAGAGACCTACAAAGAGACTTAGGCTCCCATACAATAATAGTGGGAGACTTTAACACCCCCCTGTTAATATCAGATAGATCAACGAGACAGAAAATTAAGAAGGATATTGAGGACTTGAACTCAGCTCTGGACCAAGCAGACCTAATAGACATCTACAGAACTCTCCACCGCAAATCTTCTCAGCACCACATTGCACTTATTCTAAAATTGACCACATAATTGGAAATAAAGCACTCCTCAGCAAATGCAAAAGAAAGGAAATCATAACAGTCTCTCAGACCACAGTGCAATCAAATTAGAACTCAGGATTAAGAAACTCAATATCTGCTGTTCTGCAGCCACCGCTGTAAAATCTCCTTAAGCTGATAAGCAACTTCAGCAAAGTCTCAGGATACAAAATCAATGTACAAAAATCACAGCATTCTTATACACCAATTACAGACAAACAGAGAACCAAATCATGAGTGAACTCCCATTCACAATTGCTTCAAAGAGAATAAAATACCTAGGAATCCAACTTACAAGGGACGTGAAGGACCTCTTTAAGGAGAACTACAAACCACTGCTCAATGAAATAAAAGAGGACACAAACAAATGGAAGAACATTCCATGCTCATGGGTAGGAAGAGTCAATATCGTGAAAAGGGCCATACTGCCCAGGTAATTTATAGATTCAATGCCATCCCCATCAAGCTACCGATGACTTTCTTCACAGAATTGGAAAAAACTACTTTAAAGTTCATATGGAACCAAAAAAGAGCCCGCATCACCAAGTCAATCCTAAGCCAAAAGAACAAAGCTGGAGGCATCACGCTACCTGACTTCAAACTATACTACAAGGCTACACTAACCAAAACAGCATGGTACTGGTACCAAAACAGAGATATAGACCAATGGAACAGAACAGAGCCCTCAGAAATAATGCTGCATATCTACAACTATCTGATCTTTGACAAACCTGACAAAAACAAGCAATGGGGAAAGGATTCCCTATTTAATAAATGGTGCTGGGAAAACTGGCTAGCCATGTGTAGAAAGCCAAAAATGGATCCCTTCCTTACACCTTGTATAAAAATTCATTCAAGATGGATTAAAGACTTACATGTTAGACCTAAAACCATAAAAAGCCTAGAAGAAAACCTAGACAATACCATTCAGGACATAGGCATGGGCAAGGACTTCATGTCTAAAACACCAAAAGCAATGGCAACAAAAGCCAAAATTGACAAATGGGATCTAATTAAACTCAAGAGCTTCTGCATAGCAAATGAAACTACCATCAGAGTGAATAGGCAACCTACAGAATGGAAGAAAATTTTTGCAACCTACTCATCTGACAAAGGGCTAATATTCAGAATCTACAATGAACTCAAACAAATTTACAAGAAAAAAAACAAACAACCCCATCAAAAAGTGGGCGAAAGATATGAACAGACGCTTCTCAAAAGAAGACATTTATGCAGCCAAAAAACACATGAAAAAGTGCTCATCATCACTGGCCATCAGAGAAATGCAAATCAAAACCACAGTGAGACACCATCTCACACCAGTTAGAATGGCAATCATTAAAAAGTCAGGAAACAACAGGTGCTGGAGAGGATGTGGAGAAATAGGAACACTTTTACACTGTTGGTGGGACTGTAAACTAGTTCAACCATTGTGGAAGTCGGTGTGGCGATTCCTCAGGGATCTAGAACTAGAAATACCATTTGACCCAGCCATCCCATTACTGGGTATATACCCAAAGGATTATAAATCATGCTGTAAAGACACATGCACACGTATGTTTACAGTGGCACTATTCACAATAGCAAAGACTTGGAACCAACCTAAATGTCCAACAACGATAGACTGGATTAAGAAAATGTGGCACATATACACCATGGAATACTATTCAGCCATAAAAAATGATGCGTTCATGTCCTTTATAGGGACATGGATGAACCTGGAAACCATCATTCTCAGCAAACTATCACAAGGACAAAAAAACAAACACCACATGTTCTCACTCATAGGTGGGAATTGAACAATGGGAACACATGGACACAGGAAGGGGAATATCACACTCTGGGGACTGTGGTGGGGTGGGGGGAGGGGGGAGGGATAGCATTGGGAGATATACCTAATGCTAGATGACGAGTTAGTGGGTGCAGCGCACCAGCATGGCACATGTATACATATGTAACAAACCTGCACGTTGTGCACATGTACCCTAAAACTTAAAGTATAATAATAATAAAATAAAAAAAGAAACTCACTCAAAACTGCACAACGACATGGAATGTGAACAAACTGCTCCTGAATGACTACTGGGTAAATAAAGAGATTAAGGCAGAAATAAATAAGTTCTTTGAAACATATGAGAACAAAGATACAATGGACTAGAATCTCTGGGACACAGCTAAAGTAGTGTTTAGAGGGAAATTTATAGCACTAAATGCCCACAGGAGAAAGCAGGAAAGATCTAAAATCGACACCCTAACATCACAATTAAAAGAACTAGAGAAGCAAGAGCAAACAATTTCAAAAGCTAGCAGAAGACAAGAAATAACTAAGATCAGAACAGAACTGAAGGAGATAGAGACACGAAAAACTGTTCAAAAAAAATCAATGAATCTGGGAGCTGGTTTTATGAAAAGATTAATAAAATAGACATATGACTAGCCAGACTAATAAAGAAGAAAAGAGAGAAGAATCAAATAGACACAATAAAAAATGATAAAGGGGATATCACCACTGATCACACAGAAATAAAAACTACCATCAGAGAATACTATAAACACCTCTACACAAATAAACTAGAAAATCTACAAAAATGGATAAATTCCTGGACACCTACACCCTCCCAAGACTAAACCAGGAATAAATCAAATCCCTGAATAGACCAATAACAAGTCTGAAATTGAGGCAGTAATTGATAGCCTACTAACCAAAAAAAAAAAAAAAAAAAAAATCCCAGAACCAGATGGATTCACAGCCAAATTCTACCAGAGGTACAAAGAGGAGCTGGTACGATTCTTTCTGAAACTATTCCAAACAATAGAAAAAGAAGGACTCCTCTCTAACTCATTTTATGAGGCCAGCATCATCCTGATACCAACACCTGGCAGAGACACACACAAAAAAGAAAATTTTAGTCCAATATTCCTGTGAACATCGATTCAAAAATTCTCAATAAAATACTGGCAAACCGAATCCAGCACCACATCAAAAGCCTTATCCACTACAATTAAGTTGGCTTCATCCCTGGGAAACAAGTCTGGTTCAACATACACAAATCAATAAATGTATTCCATCCCATAAACAGAACCAATGACAAAACCACATGATTACCTCAACAGATGCAGAAAAGGCCTTCGATAAAAGTCAACACCGCTTCATGCTAAAAACTGTCAATAAACTAGGTGTTCACGGAATATATGTCAAAATAATAAGAGCTATTTATGACAAACCCACAGCCAATGTCATAAAGATGATCAAAAGCTGGAAGCATTGCCTTTGAAAATTGGCACAGGACAAGTACGCCCTCTCACACCACTACTATTCAACATACTATTGGAAGTTCTGGCCAAGGGAATCTGGCAAGAAAGAGAAATAAAGGGTATTCAAATAGGAAGAGAGAAAGTCAAATTTTCTCTGTTTGCAGACAACATGATTGTATATTTAGAAAACCCCGTCGTCTCAGTCCAAAATTTCCTTAAGCTGATAAACAACTTCAGCAAAGTCTCAGGATACAAAATCAATGTGTAAAAATCACAAGCATTCCTATACACCAATAATAGACAAACAGAGAGCCAAATCATGCATGAACTCTCATTCACACTCGCTACAAAGAGAATAAAATACCTAGGAATACAACTTATAAGGGATGTAAAGGACCTCTGGAAAGAGAACTACAAACCACTGCTCAAGGAAATAAGAAAGGACCCAAACAAATGGAAAAACATTCCATGATCATGGATACAAATAATCAATATTGTGAAAATGGCATATTGCCCAAAGTAATTTATAGATTCAATGTTATCCCTATCAAGCTATCATTGACTTTCTTCACAGAATTAGAAAAAACTATTTAAAATTTCATATGGAACCAAAAAAGAGCCTGCATAGCCAAGACAATCTTAAGCAAAAAGAACAAAGCTGGAGGGATCATGCTACCTGACTTCAAACTATACTACAAGGCTACAGTAACCAAAAGAGCACGGTACTGATACCAAAACAGATATACAGACCAAAGGAACAGAACAGAGGCTTCAGAAGTAATGCCACACATCTCCAACCATCTGATCTTTGACAAACCTGACAAAAACAAGCAATGGGCAAAGAATTCTCTATTTAATAAATGGTGTTGGGAAAACTGGCTAGCCATATGCAGAAAACTGAAACTGGGTCCCTTTCTTACACCTTATACAAAAATTAACTCAAGATGTATTAAAGACTTAAATGTAAGACTTAAAACCATAAAAAGCCTAGAAGAAAACGTAGGCAATAACATTCAGGACATAGGCATAGACAGACTTCATGACTAAAACACCAGAAGCAATGTCAACAAAAGCCAAAATAGAAAAATGAGATCTAATTCAACTAAAGAGCTTCTGCGCAGCAAAAGAAACAATCATCAGAGTGAACAGGCAACCTACAGAAGGGGTGAAAATTTTTGCAGTCTATCCATCTGACAAAGGGCCAATGTCCAGAATCTACAAGAAACTAACAAATTTCTAAGAAAAAAAAACAAACAACCCCATCAAAAAGTGGGCAAAGGATATGAACAGATAATTCTCAAAAGAAGACATTTATGTGGCCATCAAACATATGAAAAAAAACTCATCATTACTGGTCATTAGACAAATGCAAATCAAAACCACAAGGAGATACCATCTCACTCCAGTTAGAATGGCGATCATTAAAAAGTCAGGAAACAACAGATGCTGGAGAGGATATGGAGAGTTAGGAACCCTTTTGCACTGTTGATGGGAGTGTAAATTATTTTATTACTAGTTTTTTGAGATGGAGTCTTGCTCTGTCACCCAGGCTGGAGTACAGTGGCATGATCTCAACTCATTGCAACCTCCGTCTCCCAGGTTCAAGCAATTCCCCTGCCTCAGCCTCCCAAGTAGCTGGGGTTACAGGCACGTGCCACCACACCAGGCTAATTTTCATATTTTTAGTACAGACAAGGTTTCAACATGTTGGCCAGGCTGATCTCGAACCCCTGACCTCAGGTGATCTGCCCACCTCGGCCTCCCAAAGTGCTGGGATTACAGGCATGAGCCACTGTGCCTGGCCGGGAGTGTAAATTTGTTCAACCATTGTGGAAGACAGTGTGGTGATTCCTCAAGGATCTAGAACCAAAAATACCATTTGACCCAGTAATCCCATTGCTCCATATATACCCAAAGGATTATACATCATTGTACTATGAAGACACATACAGATGTATGTTTATTGCAGCACTATTCACAATAGCAAAGACTTGAAACCAACACAAGTGGCCATCAATGATAGACTGGATAAAGAACATGTGGCACATATACCCCATGGAATACTATGCAGCCATATAAAAGGATGAGTTCATGTCCTTTGCAGGCACATGGATGAAGCTGGAAACCATCATTCTCAGCAAACTAACACAGGAACAGAAAACCAAACACTGCATGTTCTCACTCTAAGTGGGAGGTGAGCAATGAGAACACATTGACACAGAGAGGGGAACATCACACACTGGGGCCTGTCAGGGGTGGGAGGTTAAGGGAGGTATAGCATTAGGAGAAATACCTAATGTAGATGATGGGTTGATGGGTGCAGCAAACCACCATGGCACATATATACCTATGTAACGAACCTGCATGTTCTGCACATGTATCCAAGAATTTAAAGTATAATTTAAAAAGAAAATATATATAATCAAATTCATTTTCATAGAATGTAGGGCTCCAGTTATACATAACCATTTTGTCCACTTCTGAAATGATTAGCAAAAAAAATCGCATGTATACTCCTCTTAAAAAAAAAGAAATGGAAGTGTGAATATTACTAAAAATTCTACAGAAATAAAAAGGATTAAAAGAGAGTACAATGAATAATTTTATACCAACATACTGGATAGCCTAGATGAAACTGACCAACTCCTCAAAACACAAATCCTACCTAACCTAAAACACAAAGAAATTTAAAAAACCCTCAGTAGCCCTAAAGATAGCAAAAATATAGAATTAGTAATAAAAAATCATTCAGCAAAAAAAGCCCTGGACCTGATAGTTTCATGGGTGAATTCTGCCAAATATTTAAATAAGAATTAACACCAATCCTTCTCAAGACTTTCCAAAACTCTGAAGAGGAGGGATACTTTTTTTTTTCTTCAGACAGGGTTTCACTCCCACTCCCCAGGCTGGAGTGCATTAGTGTGCTCTTGGCTCACTACAACCTGCACCTCCTGGGATCAAGTGATCCTCCTGCCTCAGCCTCCCAAGTATCTGAGACTGTAAGTGCAAGCCACCATGCTGGGCTAATTTTTGTATTTTTAGTAGAGACAGGTTTTTGACATGTTGTCCAGGCTGGTCTCAAACTCCTGACCTCAACTGACCTGCCTGCCTCAGCCACCCAAAGTGCTGGGATTACAGGCATGAACCACTGGGCACTTTCTAACTGATTCTATGAGAGCAGCATTACCCTGATACCATAGCCATACAAAGACACTCCAAGAATAGACCTCACACCAATATCCCTGATGAATATTGTTGCAATATTCAAAAACAAAATTCAGCAGCATATCAAAAGGATTACATACCATGACCAAGTCAAATTTATTCATAGAATGTACTGAAGGTTCAGCATATGTAAGCCAATCAATGTGGGGGTGGGGGTTGGAGGAAAGGTGGGGGTGGTTAACGGGTACAAAACAATAGTTAGAAAGAATGAATAAGACCTAGTATTAGGTAGCACAACAGGGTAACTATAGTCAATAACAATTTAATTGTAAATTTCAAGTAATGAAAAAAATATAACTGGATTGTTTATAACACAAAAATGCTTGAGGGGATGGATACCCATTTTACATGATGTAATTAGTACACATTACATGCTTGTATTGAAGCATTTCATGTACCCCACAAATATATACACCTGTTATATACCCACAAAAATTAAAATTAAAGTTTTAAACAATAAAAAGTAAGTCTATCAATGTAACATACCATATTAACAGAATAAAAGTAAACAACCTCACATGGACATCTCAATTGGTGCATAAAAAGCATTTGACAAATTTCAGTAAAACTCATGGATTGATGATAGAAAATACTCAACAAACTAGTAAAAAAGGGAAACTACCTCAATATAATAAAAGCTAAATATGAAAAACCCACAGTGAACATCACGTTCAATGGAGAAAGACTGGAAGCTTTTCCTATAAGTTCAGGGACAAGGCAAGAATGCCTCTTTTGCCACTTATATTCAACATAGTACTGGAAGTCCCAGCCAGAGGAATTAGGTTAGAAAAACAAAGAAAAGACATTCAAAATTGAAAAAAAAAAAAGTAAGTTTATCTCTGTTTACAGATAATATAATCTTAAATGTATAAAATGAGTATTTTGCAAAAACCTATTAGAACTAATAAATGAATTCAGCAAAAGTATGTATAGTAGGAACAAAAACAACACACAAAAATTACTTGCAGTTATATACATTAACCATGAACAATCCAAAAAAATGAAGGCAACAATTCCATTTATAATACCATTAAAATACTTAAAGGTAAACCTAACACAGATGAGGAAGACGATGAAAATGCAAAGCACACTAAAGAAATTAAAGAAGACATAAATAAATGTCAAGAAATCTTACGCTCATGAATTGAGAGACTAATGTTGTTAAGATGGCAATACTATTCAAAGTGATCTAGAGATTTAATCTAATTCCTATCAAAATCCAAATAACATTTTTTGCAGAAAGAGAAAATAACTTTTTGAAGTTCATATGAGAGCTCAAGGAACTCTGACTAGCTAAAACAATTTGATAAAGGAGAACAAAGCTTGAGGGCTCATACTTCCTGATTTCAAAAGTTACTCTAAAGCTATAGTACTATAGTAACCAAAACATTTAGTGATTCGAGAAAAAAAAAAAACACTTGCATGTATGGTCACATGATTTTCAACAAGAGTGTCAAGATCATTTCATAGGAATACAGCAGTCTTTTCAACAAATAGTGCTGGGAAAGCTGATTATTTCAATTCAAGAGATTGAAGTTGGACTCTTACTGTCTTAGTCAGTTTGAGCTGCTCCAACAAAATGCCACAAACTGGGTGGCTTATAGACAACATAAATTTACTTCTCATTTTACTGGAGGCTGGAAGTCTGAGATCAAATTGCTAGCATGGTCGGCTTCTGGTGAGGGCCCTCTTTCAGGTTGCAGGCTGCAAAGTTATTATATCCACACATGATAACAAGAGAAATTGTTAGATCCTTGCTTGTGTGCTTCTTAATAAAGACACTAATTCATGAGGCCTCCACTGGCATGGCCTAATTACTTCTAAAAGGCCTCTCTTCTAAATATTCTCACATTGGGTTTAGGGTTTCAACATGTAAATTTTGAGGGGACAAAAACTTGTGGTTCTTTGTAATTACCTAACACCATATACAAATATTAACTCAAAATACATTCATGAACTAAATATAAGACCTTAAACTATAAAAATCTTTAAAAAACATAGGCCAAAATCTTCATTACATTAGATTTGGCAATGTGGTTTATTGTATATGACACCAAACATACAGGCAATAATGACAACAAAAAAAGTAGACAAATTGGCCTTCATGAAATGCTTTTTTAAATGTGCATCAAAATATACTAGCTAAAGAGTAAACAAACAATCCTCTGAATGGGAGAAACTATTTACTAATTACATATCTGATAAAAGATTAATATCCAGAATACAGAGAAAACTCTAAAACACAACCACAAAAACAACAACTGAGTGCAAAAATGGGCAAAAAGCTCGAATAGACATTTCTCTAAAAGAGATTCACATATGGCCAAAAAGCAAATGAAAAGATGTTCAGCATTACTAATCATTAGGAAATGCTAATCAGAACTACAATAAGATATCACTTTAAACTCATTAGGATGGCTACTATAAACACAATAAAATAAAAAGTTTTGACAAGTATTTGGAGAAATGGGAATCCTTGTGCAGTATTGGTTGGAATGTAAAATAGTACAGCTTCTGTGGGAAACAGTGTGGAATTTCCTCAAAAAATTAAAACTAGAATTACCATATGATCTAATAATTCCACTTCTGGGTATATACCCCAAATAATTGAATATAGGGTCTAAAAAAGATATTTGAGATGTTTCTACATTTATGTTCATAACGCCCTTATTCACCATAGCTAAAATGTGGAGGCAACCGAAGTATCAATTGATAGATGACAAGCAAAATTGTACACACACACAAACGTGCACATGTGAGCACACATGTATGCACACACACACACACGTCCCAGCACTTGAGCAATGGACTTCAGCCTTATTTCATAGCAATCAATGTTGAGTATTGCCTAATTTGTGCCAGGGAGATCAGGTCCAAAATTATACACTAGAGTTTCTCAGCCCACATCACTTTCTCTACAATTCCTAAGTAATTATTTGAGAGAAAATTACAGTACACATTAAATAAAGTAATTTATTTCATAGACAAATCTCAGACTAAGCATTATTGAGATAGCAATTTTTAAAAAGGTAATTGTGGAATTAGGAATACATTTTTTATAAATCAGTAATTATTTTACTTAGAACATATAAAATGACTTTTAAAGGAGGACCTTTTTTAAAAAAAGGTTATAAAGAGTTTTACTGGATCAAATGAAAGTTTCAAGTTTTATTAGCAAAGAATAAAAAGGCTAATTAGAATTGGTTTTATAGGTCTATATGCTCATTTTCAATAGGGGCTTATAATGAATTTTGAGGGGACATCTGATTTGGCTGGATTCTCATTAACACATTTATGCAACACTGAGTTAAGACTGGACTAAGAGAAAACTGGTGCTTATTCTTTCTACTTCTTTCACATGATACCAACTCTCAGTTTGTCATCAAGAGTTTGCATCTCCTCAGTTTCACCAGCTGATTTCTGAAGAGTTTAACCACCTTTACAATTCTATAGTTATGAGATTTTGAAGGTCTGTCTGTTGAAAGCTACAACTGTCTTAATATTAGTAACAGCAATAGATATTTGTTGAGCTCTTTAAAATTGCTATCATTAGTGCTAAGTGTTTTATATAGTTTGTCACATTCGATTATTTTCCCCCAGCTTTATTGAGGTATAATTGATAAGTAAGAATGTATTTAAGATGTATAGCATGGTGTTTTGATATATGCATACACTGTAAAATTATTACCACGATCAAGCTAATTAACACATCTACCACCTCAAAGAGTTACATTGTATATATGTGTGTGGGAGGATAAGAATACTTAAGATTTCCTAAAGTATGCAATACATTATTACTAACTATAGTCTCTTGATGCCATATTTCAGATAGGAAGGAACTAAGGCTTAGAAGGATTTTTTTTTTTTTTTTAGTCATCTAGCTAGTGTCAGTGTCTCAAAATAGATCTGAGTGTAACTACAAAAGAAAGGGTATAGACTACTTCATTGCTGACTGGTGGGAGGTAGCTAGAAAAAGAAGGGTGGACAACACATTAATGGGCCCAGTGGTTTCCATTTTTCGAGGCTTTAAATGAGTGATGGATGCTAGCTCGTGCATAATTAATTATTAGATAATGTGGTGCATATCATTAAAAGAAAAATGCCAACTATAATTTATGGACAAAAGATAATATTGCTCAAGAGACAGTTGCAATCACTTAAGTATCTGAGCTGACATAAGTTAGTTTTGGTCCTCTGAGAAGCAGATGCCAACATGGGGTGAGTTTTGTAAGGGATTTATTGGAGGAAACACCCGAGAAAGATAAAAAGAGACAATGGGAGTAGGTGAAGAGAACCTTCAAACCACAATGAAGATCTGACACCTGTGAAAGGAGAGACAGAAGGAAGGAAGACTGGGTAGAAATAGCTTCAAAATGTAGCATGATTTTTAAAGTCACCAACTAGCCAGACTCCTATGATAACAAAAGAAATGGTGACTCTAACTAAAGGTGCCTAAGAGTCTATTGGCAGTGGTTTGAGATTGACTGAAATGTTTAGGGTCATTCAGAAAAGAGATAATCTCTCTATTCACCACCACACCTCTCCTCTGTTTCAGACCTGTATTCCAGTCGAGAAAAGAGGACAGGGAAAATAATCAGGATATTTTATTATATAAAAATGTATTGATGAATTGATCATCAAAGGGTCACTGGACTCTATGAAAGTTAGTTATTGCTGGGAGAACTTTAGGCATTAGGGTTTCTTGAGTATTGTTTCTGACTTCAACTTCTCACAGACCCATCTCCACCATAATCAATCCTAAGTCACTCCCATGAGGCCAGGGATCTGTCCTCAATGCCTCAGATGTGCTTCCCACATTTGTGCCTTAATAGAAATGATATATCTATGTCCTGAGTATGGAGAGAGTTAACTAAAATGCTTACGTGAAGTGCTTCAAGGCTTCTTTTACTGAAGATACAAGAGCCAAATGCAATATAATCACCACAAATACACTTGAAAAACCCGCCAAATTATTCATTTATATATCTCTCCTAGATAGTGGATGCTTCCAATTCTACAGTGATCACCAAAAAGGGCATTAAGATAAGCAATTTAGCATTCAAATATTTAAAGAAAAATTTAAATTTATCTTTATACTACTAGAACATTAGATGTTGAAATACACATAAACTTGCACTGTATCTCACTGCACCTTGATTTGCACTGTATCTCATTTGTTGTAAATTTCAAATAGAAAAAAATGTGTCTTTATAGTAGAATGATTTATAATCCTTTGGGTATATACCCAGTAATTGGATTGCTGGGTCCCATTATTTATTTACATTTATTTATAGTAGAATAAATCATCCTACTATAAAGACACATGCACACGTATGTTTATTGCAGCACTGTTCACAATAGCAAAGATTTGGAACCAATCCAAATGCCCGTCAATGACAGACTGGATAAACAAAATGTGGCACACCCACACGATGTAATACTTTGCAGCCATAAAAAAGGATGAGTTCATGTCCTTTGCAGGCACATGGATGAAGCTGGAAACCATCATTCTCAGCAAACTACCACAGGAACAGAAAACCAAACACTGCATATTCTCACTCATAAGTGGGAGTTGAACAATGAGGACACATGGACACAGGGAGGGGAACATCACACACTAGGGCCTTTCAGGGGGTGGAGGGCTAGGGGAGGGATAGCATTAGGAGAAATACCTAATGTAGATGATGGGTTGATGGGTGCAGCAAACAAGCATGGCATGTGTATACCTATGTAACAAACCTGCACGTTCCGCACGTGTATCCCAAAACTTAAATTACAATTTAAAAAAAAAAGAATAAAAAGTGGAATGTGCTCAAGAGTAAACACTCCATAATCAATAGCTATTATTGGAAAGCAGTAAAGTGTGCTGACTACAATGGCTGGTTTTGACTCAGACCATCTGGATACAAATTCGCAGTGGGACACATTAATTTCACCACCTTGGCAAAGTTATTTAATATCACTGCACTCCTATTTTCTCATCTATAAAATGGGATAATGACATAAACTTTCTCATGTTGTTAAAGAAATTAAGTAAGATAATATATGTAAAAAACCTAGATGAGTGTCAGGCGTGTATTAATCATTTAGTAAATGCCAGATAAAATTATCATTATTACTATAATTTCTGCCATAAAGATAAAAATGCATTTTGCTTACCAGTAAATATCAGCTTGGAAACTATAGACTTTGAAAAACTGAGATCTTTCAGTTAAAATGTCATAAAGGAAAAGACAAAAATTATTACTACAGAGAAAATGTCTCTCTTCTAAATAAAAGTCACAAGACCCTCTTAAGCTATTTCCGATATTGTTATTGACAATCTGACCTCCAAATACCAAACAGAGTTTTCTTAATGTGCAACCCAATTGTTCTCTCTGGAGCCTTACTTTGAGGCAGAAGCAGTCACCCCAAAGTTTCAGGGTGGGAGGACAACCTGGTTATGGCTTCACATGTATCTATTGGATTTGCAATTTTTAAATATAAAAGTTTCTAAATTATTAACTTTCCCCAAAGTGATAATTGATGGCAAAAGTCATTTCTGCATGAAGTATTAAGTGATTTTTATGAAAAAAGCAAAGTAATTTGACAGAGCATAATAATTACACTGTCAAAGAATATAAGTTTCTATTTTCTCAGAGAAGTCTATATTACATGGTTTCAGTTTCACAGGCTGTCATCAAGACAGCAAGATTTATTTCTCCTTTAATTGCACTACGGCAGTTTTTTTTATGGAAAATGTGTATGCCATGACTGCTTCTCAGAAGGTTGAAGAACTAACTCATGGCTTCTCAGAATGGTGTAGAACCCATGGCATCACTTACATATTCACTCATGTGCACAATTAAGAGACTGGCTTGCATCCAGTGGATTTGGAAAAGAACAGGCATGAAAGCCCTCTGGTGTTGGTCAAATATGGTAAGATATATAAGGATGATGATCTAGTAATAATGGGAAGGCCAGAAGTACTATTTTTCATGAGTGTTTTCCCCTGAATTGAAGCTCAAAGCAACTTTCCACCAAAGAAAGTGAGTTTTATGGTTATTTCAAGTTTGTAATCTCCCCTTTTAACCTCAGAAATTTCACACATAAATTATATAGAGGGAGAAAACAATCCAGAGCTGAGGATAAGGGGATAAAGTTAACATTGGCATTCATCCTTGGAGCAGAAGCTTATGTCATTGTATGCCAATTTAATTTGTCTGCATTTATTTCAACTCCAAATCTATTCAATGTCATGCATTGAGAGGGATTCAGAAGTTATGAGGTTGATGTCTTGTTTTGTGCTAGGCCCTAAGAGCAGTAAGCAGTCATCCTATGTCTCATTTTTCAGAAGCCTTGTATATGCATTGGAGAATTAAAACTTGGGTTTATAAAAGTATTTTATAATTGGTTTAATTTTTTTAAGTGTGGTCATATTCCAGATAATTACAGATATTTATTTTGCTTTAGATGTTTGGTAAAGTTGGGGAGTATTTGTTGAGTTTAGATCTTGAAGGGCAAATAAGTGAGAGAGAGAAAGAGAGAGCAAGTGGTGGAGACTCAAGCCCCTTCCATCTTATGCCTCTACCATTTGTTGTCTTTAAAGAAGTGTCGAATACACCATCCAATGGAGAAAAAGAGTGGAGGATATGCATGATGTGTGGGATGGCTTCATGGGCTAAAGTGGAAGTGGCATGAACTATTTCCTCCCATACTGTGTGGAAGTGTGGAGAGACTGGGAAATATATCTTTGTGCCTAGCAGTGACAGTAAATTGTCTGGTGAAGTCTCTACCACTTACTCTATACCCCAAACTAGTAACTGAATCCTTCCTGGTTTATTTAATGAAAGATTATACTCTAGTACTAGTAGCCAGTACCTGAAAACCGGGAACTGATTACTAAAAGAGAAGGATCCACTGGCTCTCTGGCTAACAAGCCCTAGTCCTGGGACCAATTGCCAGACACCCTCTTGCTGCCTACCTTCTTGGACCCCAAGTACTTGCCCCACTCTGGGAGTCCTGACTCTGGATCAGGTGACAGTCTATTCTCAGTGACAAGCTTTATTGCAATTCCCACCTCCTATGTAACCACCATAGCTCTTATGCATTGTTGCTGTTTGCTGACTTATTTTAACTACAAAGGCCATTAAGCATTTACTCTCCTATGTTCAGCAATCCTTGTGAAAACATCCCCAGTGATGCATTAGTTAACAGTCTGTCAACACTCCATAATAATTTTGATTTATCACTCAGCTATAAAATTTTTCAAAAGGCAAAGCTCGCCTACATTGCCTGAGCTCTGAAGCAGTTTTATTTGTACTCACTTTCTAAATAAAACTTGGGGAACTCAAAGGGTGGATGAGCAAGACTGGCAACTCAAAAGAAAAAGTGTGAGAAAGAAATAGGCAAGCCTAACGAGAGAAATGAGAGCTTTCCACAAAGGCACGGGGAGTTACCAAAGGTGGAGGGAAAAGGAGAGAGAGCACATGGAAGAGACTGACTGTAAGCAGAATACCAAATGAAGAGCCAAGAAAGAATCAACAATGAGAGATCCCATTGCCTTCTTTTTGGTATGTATCAAATCTCCCTCTGCCTTATTCATATAAGGATACACTTAATTCAACTTAGAACCCCCCTGGATATTTCAGGAGTATCTTCACAGATCAAGATCCTTAACCATATCTAAAATGTCCTTTTCACCATATAACTGCCCAGAATTAGCCAAACCATAAGGTCTGAAAGTATAAGCCTCATAGAATGACACCAACTACAAGTTTGGGGTGGGGAGCTCCAAAAGTTGAAACTTTCAGTTTCAACAATTGGCTAGAAAGACTTACATAATTTATTGAAGGCTATTATACTCACACTTTTGGATTACTACAGGGAAAGGATACCATTAAAATCAGCCAAAGGAAAAGACACACAGGGCAGAGTCTGGCAAGTTTCCAAATAGGAAGTTTCTATTGTCCTCAGGACACAATACCATCCTGACATTGATGGGTAATAATATGCATGGAGTATTGTCAACTAGGCAAGCTCACACAAGTTTTGATGTCCAGAATTTTGGTGTCCAGTATTTTGGTATTCACAGATACCCAAGCTTTGGTGTCATTACATAGGTATGATTGATTGAATGAGTGAGTGATTGCCCATAGGGTTAAACTCAGTCTTCAGATCATTTGATATCATGACCCGAAGTCCCCATCTTTAGTCACATGACTGGAATTTCTTGCATGGTCTGCCTCTAATTTTTGACTGTCAGGTATGGACGGTTCTACCCTAAGATCTGCTGTGGCCCAGCTTCTGCCGTGAAAAAAGATACTCCTAGCAGGTATGAAATAGATTATCTCCCAAAAGCCAAAGGCAGAGGCCGAACTTTCCTCTAGGCAAAGTCAAACTCTTTCCTCTACAGTAATACTCACAGTTTTTAGGGAATAAGACACATCTATCTTGGAGGGGACATAATTTAGTCTACCATATAAAGTTTTATTAATTCATCAAATTCTTATTGGTTGCCTGTTATACACTAGGCTCTATACCCAGGGCTGGAGATAGAAACCTAGATGGAGAGATCTCAGTAGGAGCTAAGAGATTAGTCAAGAGTTCATGGTGTTTTGGATATATAACAAGAAGGAAATTTAAGGTTTCTTTCTAAGTTTCTGACTTCAAAAAAACAGATAGTGAAGCTGAAGAGGGACCAATTTGAGGAGAAAGTTCATGTATTCATTCCTGAATAAATTAAGTTTACAGTTCCTTTGAGATTTCTATATACTAATTTCTGTGTGACAACTGAGAGAATCCCAAACTCAGTAGGGTTGACTAGGTCAACCTGTTTCTTAATAACGTGTTGCTTTTCCCATCCAAATACACCCTTTCTTGCCTTTATTGTGTGTTCTTCAATAATGTAGATGAATTCTGTAATCATTTGCCAGTTAGATTCATGTGTTTGTCATTAGAGGGCTCTGGATGAAAACTGGAGGAGGAAAGAGTTTTTTCCCCTAGCTTGAGCATCCTCTCTCAAGTACCTACAGTGGATCACTCTTGCAGTGCCATTCTGCAAAACAAGGGGGTCAGCAATATCCCCAGTAGCTTCCTCTGGTAGGCTACTAAGCAACTTTGAAATTACTTCTGAATGAAGCCATCTGCCTCAGACTATTTCCCTGGCACCTCAGAGGACAGATTTCTACCAGGGTTCTCAGCAAGTGTCTCTGGTGCTGCATCTCAGAAAACCACTTCTGCATTGTAAGCCACAGCTGAGACTTCTCCAGCAAGATCTAGATCTCAGTCTTGGGGGAAAAATACTGTTGATAGGTTAAGTAAGAGAAAGGGTAAAAATATTTATTTCATTTAGTTACAGAGAGATCATGAATAATTTTAAAGAGAGCTCTTCGGTAGAGAAGTGGACAGGAGCCAAATTGGAGCCAACTGAGGAGGAAGGGACAGGAGATAAAGTCAAGAAAATGCCATAAATCAGTTTGACTATAAAAGGAGGGAAGAGAAGGTAAAGAGCTGAATGGCTTTCCCACCACATAATGCAGCTTTACTTTTGGCTTTGCAAATCTAAGATTTTTACCTCTAAGATTCCCTATTCTATAGAATCTTTCAAGGTCAGATCTTAAGATGGCACCAAGGCAGCCGTGGGGCACACCTCAGGCCATCCACACTGTTTCTGAGGTGCAAATGAAATTACTACTAGAGGCAACTCATCACAGAAAGTGAGCACCCAGCAATCCCTTAGATCCCAATCAGAAAACTCTCAGAAGGGTTCCAGGGATAGGAAGATAACAACCTGACAATCCAGAAGGGTCTTATTTTCATTAATGAAAGTGCAGCTTTGGGGAACATCTCAGTATAAACGAATGATATTTCTGTTAAAGTAGTTAGCATCCAAAAGTAATAAATGTACTGTTTTATGTGGCAAGCAATAGTGACAGTTCTATTTTCCAAGATAATCACTCTCATTAACTGAAGCTGATTACTTCCTTAGCATTAACTCACTTAATCCTCTGACTTGAGGCAACACCACCTATATATACATATACATTCCTTTTGATCTTCAAACCATTTCTCTATGCTTTGTTTGTTTTGGTAGAGTGAGTTTTATAATGGTTAAATGTGGCAAACTGTCACTTGCCACTTTCTCATGACAGCAATTTAGCATCTAATGTCCAGAAATTGCAAGCACAAGGAAATACAGAGGCTTGCTAGCTGATTATGGACACACACAGGAGTGACTTCAGAAAGAGGCAAAATGCAGTTCAGGATAGGGCGCTGTGTTGAAGAAATATGACCCAAGTGTGTGGGGGAAGGAAATACAAGGCAGGAACTTTAAAAGCAGATTATTGATGGAAATTGATGACACGGAAGAGGAGCAGCTGATATTTTTATGTGTTAGGCTGGTGCAAAAGTAATTGTTTTTTTGTATTACTTTTGCTCGGCAGTGCAAAGAAAACCAGCACTTAGGCAAAAAATTCCTCAGCAAGGCAAATTTACTTCTGGAGAAGGGTGCTGCCTGCGTCAGTCATGATCACAAGAGCACTCCCAGCGGGATGGGGCAGGGGTTTTTATTTGTAACGCAATTGGTTCTTACTGCTGTGTCTTTTCCCCATTGACTGGGGTTGGACTGCACAATCTAAGCTAACCTGATTGGCTAAGGTTTAAAATTGAATAGGGTCAATTAGGTGGGAAGGTAGAGGCTGCCCGTTACTGGGCGGGAAGGCATGTCTGGACTTGTCTGGGCACAGCAAAGGCGAGAAGTGTTGTTTAACAGGTAGTTAGGAGACAAGGAAGTACAAAGAAGTTGGTCTTGAAAAACAAAGAACAGGAAACTAAAGCTTTTTGAAGAGGAATTTATCATCTGTGATACTTTCAATGGTAAAAACCACAGTTACTTTTGCACCAAGCTAGTAATAGTAGCAGTGCTATGGTTTGAATGTGTCTTCTTCAAAACTCAAGGGTTGCTAATGTGATAATATTAAGAGGTGAAGCATTTAAGGGGTGATTGGGTCATGAGGACACAAGAATGGGATTACAAAAGAGGCTTCACGCAGCATTCAGTGCACTTACCTTTCCACCTTCTGTCATGTGAGGACCCAGCGTTCCTTCCCATTGGAGAATGCAGCAACAAGGTGCCGCCTTGGAAGCAGAGAGCAGCTCTCACCAAGCAACTGAATATCTTTGTGTTGCTCTTCCCAGTCTCCAGAACTGTGAGAAAATATTCAAGTTCTTTATAAATTATCCAGTCTGTGGCATTATGCCACAGCAGCACAAAATGGACAAGTAATAATAGCAATAATTATCATAATGTTGTTATTAGCCCTCTTTCATCAAGTACCATGTATTGTGGTGTCACACATTGTGCCAAGGGCTTTGCAAGATGATCTCTTATCTAAGCACGTAGAGAACCCATCAAATCCACAGAGCACACTCTATATACTAGGCAAATTATTTAACTTTCCACACCCTCAGTTTGCAAATATTTAAAATGTAACTAAGGTCACAAATCTGGTTCATATTGGCAGACATAGATTTTAAATGTAAATCCAACAGGCTTTTAAGAGAAACTGTTAGCCGTCTTGTACGATTTGGACTATTAATAATGGCATCCGTGAGCTCTCTTCATATGATCATAATAAATGAACTGTGTGCCTCAGATCCAGAAAAATTAAGCAACTTTCTGCAAGTTTTCCCACTTGTAGAATGAAAAGGTTGGACCAGGTGATTTCTTTGGTTCTCTTTAGACTTAACATTTTACCTTTCTCCTTACTGCAAGCTTTCGTAGAGAGGCCTCTTGGTTTTCTTCTGCTACCATCAGGCAAAGCAAACCCCAAATAGCCCTTCTCAGCTGTAGACCATAATGAATACGTGAAAGGATGAATGGCAACATCATTGCTTTCAGCCCTGTGTCACAGGAATAGAGGAATGTGTGAGATATAGACTGAGAACCAACCTTTCTCTGACACCCCTAAATTCTAGGGGTTCTGTCTAACGAGAGAATTCTTAGGCTTTGGAAGGGATGCACGGATATCAAACAGTATCAGTCACCTAAATGCTCTTGCTACAACAATTTCTTGTTTTCCACCTTGATTTCCCAATATCAAATGAATCAGAGTCCAGAATACCCTGTATTATTCCCAGGGATTATCAAATGACAATGTGAAAAGGGGGAGTGTTAGCAGGTCCCTCTACCCTTCCTCTCTGTGATCATGGTCTCTCAAAAAGGTGATGTAAACTGGAGGCAGTAGTGGATTTTGATGGGCTCTACAATTTATTTTCATCTATCAACCACTGCCAAGGTGGGAACCCTACTATTTCCCAGGGAAACAGTGATTGCAGAAATACTGACTGGCAGAGTGAGGTGGAACTATGAGAATCTGATAGCACTGATTTATTTACAGTGTTCTGTGACTAGGCCAGGGAAAAAGTAACCTGAGAAATTTTCAAACATACATACTTGGATTTACATATTTACAGAACACTTTATACTCTTTTGCATTTTTCACCCAGTGAGGCCAATCTTAATCTGATGCCAATCTTATCGCCATCTAGGTTGTCCTGTTAGTGCTGTTTAACATCTTTAACAAATTAGGACCGTATCTAATTTGTTATATTACTGTGTCATTAAAATATGACAGTGGTTTGGAGTCTTAGGTGATCTCTATCCTTCTCTGACTATGACCCTAATGCTGCTTGGTTTTCTTTCGAATGTGTGGAGATAAAATTTACTTTTGAGATAAAAACGAACAGATGTTCACTTTTCATTATATTTGAGAGTCACTAACCAAAATTTTCCTCACTGTCCTTGTACTTTTGTTTTAATATTTGCTTTCTTTTTTTCGGCTGTTTATTTGGTTTTTACAAGCCTCTTTTCTACTTTTAAAGTTTGCTAATTTCAAAAATCTATTTGTACAATTCTTGAATTTTATTTTCCTCCTACTTAACTGCTCAATCATACAGGCAGTATATATATTGTTGGTGAAATAAAAGGAAGGATTTAGAAACAGGGAATACTATACTTTGCAGCAAAAACATAATAGATCTTTTCCTCTATCATAAATGTATGTTAAAATATTTAAATATAAAGTCAAAGTTTTTCTTCTATAAGTAGAAGCCCAACTTGTCCAGCTTTGCCTTTTTTCATTCTATTTCAATAGATGGTTTGAGATTATATGAAAATATCCAGACTTGCTTTCATTCTTGTTTTTCTCACAGAAGAAAAAATACAGTGCAATTTGACAAAGGTGAGGTTGGAATTTGGCAGATATTGAGCCAGATTCTCAGTTGTCTATTTGGTTTAGTTCATCAATTTTGTACAAATATTAATATAAAGCTACATCTTCTTCCTACAGAGTCATGGACCTCAGGTAGGCCACGGAGAAGCTGACAGCCCGGTGTGCCCCTTCTTATCAACTGCCTGTTTGTACACTGTGCCTGGAATTGCTCATTCTGGGAGAGACTGCTGTGTATTGGAGCAGGAGTCCTCCCACAATGGCAGGTTGTTTCATTTTCCCTCTTTTTCTGCTTTGTTCCTGCCATTTAAAGGATTTTTGTTTGTTTTTTCCATTGCAACATTTGTGGTGAGCTTTTGATTAGGCTGAAGGCTAACACAGCTAACGCTAACAATTTAAATGGGATAACTCTCAGGGAACCTGTATAGCTCTGTCCTTCTCCCCTTCCTCCCCCTCACCATCAATACCAACAACAGCCACTTTGCAAACCACATGCACCTTGCAAACCTTTTACAGAAGCAGATTCTTCCCTGACTAGGAGCTGAAAATATATGGAAGGTGAGTGTGTATTTAGACTTTGGGCTAGTGACAACAATTTTACTTTCCTACAAAAGGGAATTCGTGATTTCATAAGCAAGGTCGTTCGTTTACTTACAGTCCAAGATCTTGGAATTTCTGACAAGTCAACTGTGAATGGAATAATTCTTCCCCATCTGTTCCTTTTCGGAGACAAATTGACCCTGAAAGCATGGTGATTGAAGCTCTTTAACTTCTCTGCGATGGGGTCTTAACAGACAATGATCTGTAAAAAGAGGGGGTGATGGTGATATTTATTTTGATGATTGCTAACTAGCTCCTGCTTTGCGGTCTTTCATTCGATTGCATGTCTGTCATCTCTTCTAAATCTCACCAGCACTCCATAGTGCAGTCAGGCCTGCCTTAGAGGATTTGTTAAAAGTTCAGAGGCATTAATTGCCCAAAGTTTCACCAGATGGTACTCCCCTGTCAATTAGGTGTGATGTTCCTGATATATCTGATATTATCTTTATTGAACAAAAAATAGTTGGCTTGAACTATTGACAAAACCTATACTTCCACCCAGGCTTGAGGTCACTGACTAGAAAGTCTAGATGAAGGATGAGAACTCTAGCTGCATTTTTTTTTTTAGACGGAGTTTCGCTCTTGTCACCCAGTCTGGAGTGCAATGGCGCGATCTAGGCTAACTGCAATTAGTTGCATAATTGTAAAAGCTGGTATGAGATATTCCAACTTTGAGCTCAAAATCCATTTAGAACATCTGCCATGTGAAATCCCACCTGTAGTTTTGGCCATAAGCTATTTTTATTGTTAATTATGACTTTAGGTTTACACTGAATTATTTTATGTTGATGTGCTACAGTTGCAGGACTTTTTCTTAGTTCAGCTAAAGATGGGGTTCTTTGTCCCATGGCCACGAAAATTCAGGCTGGCAGACAATTTTTATGGTGAGTAAGACAGGGTTTTATTGGGTGAAAAGGAAGAAAAGGGGGAAACAAGGACACCCCACAAGGCCAGAGGCCCTGTTAGCGTGCTTCCCACCCAGGTATCTCAGGTTCCACACAGGAAGAATAGGGGCCAGGTTCCTCTCTGCTGCCAATGGGCAAACTCCCCAAGGCTCCACCCCAGTGCGCAGGCTGGCTGGAGTTTTTCTGGGGACCCCTTCACACCTGACTCTCTCACTACTATTTCCTAATAATGGGAGGCTGGGCATGGTGGCTCATGCCTGTAATTCCAGCACTTTGGGAGGCCGAGGTGGGCAGATCACCTGAGGTTGGGAGTTTGATACCAGCCTGACCAACATGGAGAAACCCTGTCTCTATTAAAAATACAAAATTAGCTGGGCATGGTGGCACATGCCTGTAGTCCCAGCTACTGGGGAGGCTGAGGCAGGAGAATCGCTTGAACCGGGAGGCAGAGGTTGCAGCAGGCTGAGATCATGCTATTGCACTCCAGTCTGAGCAACAAGAGCAAAACGCCGTCTCAATAAATAAATAAATAAATACATAAATAAATAAATAAATAAATAAATAAAGGGAGACTACTGGCCTGGCACTAAAATGTTCAGGACGTTTTAAGTATTGAAATAATGCTAAGGCAGGGCACGATGGCTCATGCCTGTGATTCTAGCATTTTGGGAGGCCAAGGCAGGTAGATCACCAGAGGTCAGGAGTTCCAGACCAGCCTGGCCAACATGGTGAAACACCATCTCTACTAATAATACAAAAATTAGCCAGCCATGGTGGTACACGCCTGCAGTCCCAGCTGCTTAGGAGGCTGAGGCACGAGAATTGCTTGAACCCAGCAGGCAGAGGTTGCAGTGAGCTGAGATCATGCCACTGCACTCCCTCCTGGGCAACAGAGTGAGACTTGGTCTCAAAAATAAATAATAACAACAAAATGAAATGAAATAAAATAAAATAATGCTAAAATGAAGAAAAATAGTAGTAATAATAATTCCCAGCCCCTTCTGAGTGTTTACTAGGTGTCAAGAGCTTTAAAATCTTTCAACAGCCCTGAGAAGCAGACTCTACTAGCATCCCCCTCATTTTATAGAGGAAAACACTGAGGCTTAGAGTTTAAGTTACCTAAGATTTAAGGCTTTGAGACATTAAAATAGTAAATTACTCAAGACTACCTGTTGATGGGTGATGGAATCACAATTTAATATAGGCATTTTGACTCCAGTGACAGCAGGGTTCATCACTCCACTAGGCTAGTTCTCTAGGCTTTATACCCAGAAGACCAGCGGAAACATACTTAAGAATAGTACAAAGAGCATGTGGAGATTCACACATCTGTGTGTGAGCATGTGTGTAAGTGTGTAAGAAACTATCCTCAGAGTGTGTGGCTGAGACTATGCAACAGTGACCCATCTTTGCTTCCCTATTGTGCTTGCAGATCTACGACAAATTCATCTGGATTTTCAGCAGATTTGGTGGTCTTTGGAGGAATTTCTCTGAGCTTAGCCTAGCTTTCTGTCCCAAACACAACATTTTCAGTTCTGCATGTTAGGTTTCATGTGACATGTTTGTGCTACTAAAATAAACTCCCTCTTAAATATGAATCCAAATTTCTTGCCAATATATTTTAGTATAATATGGAATTAATGACATTTCTAATTTGCTCATCAGTATACTTTAGAATGATGTGGAATCAGTAATAGATAATATATCATATATATGTGCATATATATATATATCTAAACATTAATCTATTTATCTGTCTATACATATACTGTGTATATATATACACGCACACACACACATATATATATATATATATACACACACACATATATATGTACATAAAGTGTTATTTGGGAGGACAGTATACAAAAATGCTATTGAAAGCCATCTGCGCTGTGAAAGCCAATGTGTGTGTGTAGCTATGTGTGTAGTCATCTTCTAAGATATAAGGTGTTTTAAGACTATATGTTATGAAAAAGACTTTTTTCTCAAAAATGATCTTAATTTGGAAAACAGGATGGTAAAAGTAACTTTAACATATTATTAGACATGAAAATTTAATTAAGACATTAGTTCTCTACCTAATGTTTTGTGTGTATGTATATCTATCTTAGCATATTTATGGCATAAGTTACAGCTAAGGACAAAGGATGAAAAATGCTAAATTACCCTCTCTTTGTTCCTCATTTGCCAAGCAAATGAATGAAAATGTATATCTCTGTCATTTGGCTTAAGAATCCCCCCTAAGAATTTAACCAAATAAATGATTTTAAAACTGTGTAGAAATACAAATATATGAATATTCAGAAGAGCATTGTGTTGATAACATTAAAAAACTAAAAACATCATTTTGATGGTTGATTTTATGTGTCAACCTGACTGAGCTAAGGTATGTTCAGAGAGCTGGCAAAACATTACTTCTGGGTGTATCTGTGATGGCTTTTCTGGCAGAGATTAACATTTGAATTGATAGACTGAGTGAAGAAGGTTGTCTTCAACAATGCTGGTAGGCATCATCCAATCACTTGAAGGCCTAAATAGGACAAAAAGTGGATAAGGGGTTAATTTGGTCTTTGCTTGAGCTGGGACACCATTTCCTTTTTCACTCAGACATCAATGACCCTGGTTCTCAGTTCTTTGAACAAAGACCAGAACTTACTCCAGTATCCCTGCCAATTCTCAGGCCTTTAGACTTGGAATGAATTATACCATCAGCTTTCCTGGTGTTTCAGCTTACAGAGTGGGAGCTCTCAGCCTCTGCAATTGCATGAACCAATTCCTATTATATATATGTAGATGAACAGATAGCATTTTAGGCTGTTCTTGCATTGCAATAAGGAAATATCTGAGACTAGATAATTTATAAGGAAAAGAGGTTTAATTGGCTCATGTGTCTGCAGGCTGTACAGGAAGCATGGCTCTGCCATCTGCTCAGCCTCTGGTGAGGCCTCAGGAAGCTTATAATCATGGCAGAAGGAAAAGGGGGAGCAAGCATTTCACATCGTGAGAGAGGGAGCAAAAGAAGCAAGAGAATCAGGGGGAGGTGCCACACAGTTTTAAACAAGCAGATCTCACAAGCACTCACTCACTATTGTGAAGACAGCACCCAGCCATGAGGGATCTATCCTCATGACCCAAACATCTCTCATCAGGCCCCACATCCAACACTGGGGATTGTGTCCCAACAGGAGAATTGGAGGAGACATCCAAAATGTATCAGAGAGATGGATAGATCTAAGATTGGCTAAGAATCAATACATTGATTTAATTTAATACAACCTAGCTTTCAACATATCATGACAGAATGAATTTAAGAATATAGAAACATGAATAATGCAGAAGCATGTCAATGTTAAACTCTTAAGTTTAAAAAATAAGTTAATAATCGCAGCACTTTGTGGGGCCAAGGTGGATGGATCACGAGGTCCGGAGATCTAGACCATCCTGGCTAACATGGTGAAACCCTGTCTCTACTAAAAATACAAAAAATTAGCTGCACGTGGTGGTCGGCGCCTGTAGTCCCAGCTACTTGGGAGGCTGAGGCAGGAGAATGGCGTGAACCCGGGAGGCAGAGCTTGCAGTGAGCCGAGATCACACCACTGCACTCCAGCCTGGGTGACAGAGCAAGACTCCATCTCAAAAACAAACAAAAAAGTTAATGAAGATTACAACATGAACTTGTTTTTGAACAGAGTATATAAAAACTGATAGGAAAAATGTGTGGAAGCGCATATAGAAACATGTTTAGATACTTCTTTTTAGAGAGTTTATAAATGATTTCATTTTTTCTTCATAGTGATATTAATGTTCATATTTTTAATCAATTCATAGAAAAATGGCTTTATACTTTCATGAGGGTTGGCTGTGCCCTTATGTAAACTTTAGTTGTCTTCTGATTTGCATGTTGCTTGAATAAGTTACTATACGATTGTCAAAAAATATATAAAATACTTAGGATTTCATGATTCTTATATTTTAAAACTGAATGAAAATTAGAGAAATTAATATGTCTTTTAGAATAAAATATGTGGTTTGCTGCAGAATTCCTGTACTTCCTAATTGTCCTTCCATGACTGGAATACAAACCCACCCATGGGCTTACCACAGTTGGAGAGATATAAATGGATTGTTCTCTTGAAGGGAGCTTCAGACCAACCTTCCTCCTCATTCTAGTCTTCAAGCCTCTCTCCTGCCTCTGAACAAAGCCTTTCGGGCTCGTGATGTGCTGTCCCAATTGCAGAAATAGTTCCACTATCAACCTGCTACATCATAAAATTCAGCCTGATCACATGGAGAAAATGTGACCTTCTGAGTAATTTGTCACTCTGAATAAAGTATCTCCTTATTAGAGAAGAGACTGTCTGTCCTCAGGGCACTTTGGAACAGTCAATTGCTAACTCTATTTAGACGTTTTTCCTCATTGCAAGGTGAATAAAGGTAGAAACCTTGCTGTGAGTCATGATCCAGCTCATGCCATCTGGTTAATCTAAGACTCTAAATAAGATGTCACCATCATTTGCCTAGAGAATGTCATTGGCCCAGAGAATATCTCATTCTGTAGAGTCTGAGATATTACATTACGGCTACCTTTGTTTTTTACCCTAAACATTCTCTCTAGCCTTCTCTCTCATAATGCTTCTACATTTAATCTGAGAGAGCAATGTTTACACTAAAAGAGGGTCTCATGCACTATAGGAGGTAATGGTGGCATGTATATTGAAGGGGGCATATTCTCAGGCCAGCCTCCTGCCATGATGGTAAAGATGGGACATGAAGAGAGGGTATGGCCATTGCCCAAGACTCCAGCTGAACAGACTCGGCTGCACTAGGGCTGGCTGCCAACTAGGTCCTCTGTACAGTTCCAGGTGTCCATGCAGGGAAAAAGTCCAGCCCCACATTTGGGCCTTAAGCAAAAGACTATAGCGTCAAAAGGCCATGATCCAGGCCAGTTGTTCACTCTGGAAATTCTGAGGTATGGCAGCAGAGAAGAATCCAGTCCCAGCAGTTTGGACAAGTGTAAGCAGACACACATTTGACATCATAAAAATTTACAGGCTAGGTAGTTAGACCATGGCCCTAAGAGAGGTTGCAAAGATAAGATTCCAGAGCTTGGAGAGAAATCTAAAGAAAAATTGACAGGGCCTCAGTTTTATAGGGATTGGGATAATAAACAGGTTAAGAGAACCTAGGGATATGGCTTAAGTGCTGTGGTTTGAATGAGACCTCAGGACAATGCTGGCTCACAAGCAAGCGTAGGAATACTGAGGCCTTCTGTGCAAGGTTGGTCTAGGAGATGAAGACCGATGATCCTGCAGGTGACCATAGGGTAAAGAGATCAAGGCTGGGCGCGGTGGCTCATCCCTGTAATCCCAGCACTTTGGGAGGCTGAGGCGGGTGGATCACGAGGTCAGGAGTTCGAGACCAGCCTGACCAACATGGTGAAACACCATCTCTACTAAAAATTCTCTATTAAAAATACAAAAATTAGCCAGGCATGGTGTTGTGCCCCTGTAATCCCAGCTACTTGGAAAGCTGAAGCAGGAGAACCACTTGAACCCGGGAGGTGGAGGTTGCAATGAGCCAAGATCACGCCACTACACTCCAGCCTGGGTGACAGAGTGAGACTCCGTCTTAAAAAAAAAAAAAGAAAAGAAAAAATCAAGTGAGCAGCTCTAGTGTTGCTTTCAGATGAAAGCCCCACAGGAAAACTTGCCTTCTTTCTGAAGAGCTGTGCCCCTGGATCACATTTCAGCAGTGAGGAGAGAAAATGCTTCTATAAAGCTTCCTTAGTGATACCAACAAGCAAGTGTCAGCCTGTCCTTGTCACAGCATTGGGGAAAATCCCTGACTCACAGAAATAACTTTGTTTTGTGGTCTGCGCTAAGGTAACAAGGAAGAGAGACCCTGGTTTAACCTAAAGTCTCTATCCTCATGGTCTGGTCTCTCTGGTATTCTTGCTGCACCTCATGGGAAGAGAACAAAGAATAAATGAGTCCTAGAAATAGAATCATAATCTTTCTAGCCTGTTCATGGCATATTAATTTTACTGTTTAATAGTAATTTTTCCAGCTAGAATATAAGCCCTGTGAGAGTAGGGATGGGGCCAGTCTTATTCACTGATGTGTCCCTGGAGTCTGATGGGTTCCTGGGTGAGTTTGAGTAGTCATAGGAGGGAGTGATTTCAGGAAGCTGTAAGAGATTTTGTTTTTATGTTAGACTTACCAGACTGGCATATGGCTGCTGGATCTGGCTACTGCAGGAGAGAAGACAGATACTAGAGGCCTAAAATGCAGTGTGAGCTCATCAAGGAAGGAGAGAGACCAAAATGGAAAAGTGAGTGGGACATAGGAAGCAGAATTGAAGCCTGAGAGAAAGAAGACTATATAGAGCCAGACACCCCAGAGTGAGGCCAGTCTCCAGAGAGGCCTGAGATGGGGATGGGCTTGGAGGAAGAAAATTTCAAGTGTTCTCTTAGTAAAAGGAGCTTTCTCCAATAAAGTGAGCCCTTCCAGAAATCCAATTTCTCATCTCATCTCATCTCATCTCATCTCATCTCATCTCATCTCATCTCATCTCATCTCATCTCATCTCATCTCATCATATGGTGATGTTGTTGATGGTAGGTACCCGACCCTGTCTCAGAGTAAGAATGCTGGTTATCAGGAGCTCAACTGAGGTGATATTTGAATGATCAGTTAAAGCAACAAGACAAAAGCAAAAGTAATTGCCAAGGACTGAATCACTTACTGCAGCAGTATAATCAAGAGGTCAAACTAGAGTGGAGTCAAAGTATTGACTTCCCTCTTTCCATTTCCTGTCATGGTACAGCACACCTATAGCAGGGTGTCACTGCCTAGTGAGTCCTGAATGCAAAGCTCACACAGTTTATTGGCCCTGGGACCTGGCAGAGAGAGAGGGGCCACCACCAAAGTGGGAAAAGGATAGGAATGGATTCTCCCCAGAGCCTCCAGAAGGGGCTGTCAATAGATGGATAACTCGGTTTTTGATCAGATGAAACTGATTTTGGATTTCTGGCCTCCAGAATTGTGATGGAATACATTTCTGTTATTCAAGCCACCAAACATGTGGTAATTTGTTACAGCATTCATAAGAAAATAATACACCCTCTGCCACCAGCACCATTGTCCATGCTACCATGGTCTAAAAATGGTTCCTAGTAAAGTTTCAAGAGTCTCCGAACTTGTGTCCCTAATCCACATTATCACCCAAACCAACCAATTTCCTACATTACAGGTAAAAAGGACATTACATCTAAAAGTGATCTCATGATCTCTGATCGTGTCATCCACTTTCCCTAGCTTCTACCACTTCTTCAAAGGTTTCTCATTGTTCCTAAAATAGAAAACAATTTTTATGACAGTTACATAATTTGCAGGCACCTTCATGGTCTAACTACTGGCTACCTCTCCAGCTTTATCTTACACTCCTCTTTCTCTTTTTTACTCAAGCAAACCAGCCACACTCATCTGCCTTTTGCCTTGTGCACTCCTTACATTTCCTGCTTCATCATCTCTTCTCCCTCCTACCCAACCACATTTAACTCCAAATCATCCTTGATGTTACAGCTCATCTTTCTGTAATTCTTCTGTCATACTCCTACCTCCCAAAGTCAAAACAATCTATTTTATGGTCTCCTAACATAATATACCTCTGAAGTTATACTTTTAATTAGCATATGTGTGTGTGTGTGCTTGTGTGAATGTGTGTCTGTCTGCCTGTCTCCTCTCAGAGTACCAGCTTTCAGAATATAAACCCCATGATGGCAAAAATAATTTATGATTATTCTCTCCATTATATCCTCTAACCTATCATAGTTGATGCTCAGTCCATTGAATAATTTGAATGCACATAAATTAGGAGACTGCTGCCCCAATCATGGCAGTACCACTGACTAGGGTGCTTCCATTAAATAAATTTCTGTCTTTTGTTATTAAAATTTATGTGTACACATGCAAATCTCACCCACTAGGGAACCTAACCATTTGGGAATAAATCATTTAAAGGGAGTTCTCAGTCTCTGGAAGTTTGAATAGAGAGAATTGTACATATTGCTTTTGTTCCCATATTCCAGATTAAATAATTGAGAATGAGAGAAGGCAGAGGTTCTATTCAGCATTACCCGCTAGTGGGTCTGGTTTCAAACTCAGCTTTGTATACACTAAAACCACAACATTTCCTTAAATTCTTCCTGCTAACTCCATATATATATATATATATATATATATACACATATATTTTAGGTGTCTCTGTGTGTGTGTGTGTGTGTATTCAGATACACAGAGACAGTAGACTATATACTGGGAGTGTGTATATATGTATGTATACATACAAACACATACACAGATAATAAGATGATATATATGTATATGAATATAAATATATCTATATATGTGTATATCTATACATATATGTATAGATATTATGCACATATATTTTTATATACATATATAAATATATGTATATAAATCTATACATAGATTATGTGTGTGTATATATATGTGTGTGTATTTATGCATAAGTGTGTGTTTTTATATATGTATGTGTGTGAGTGTATAGTCTCTCAAATAGACTATAATATACTCTTTGGGCAAAGGGGCAATGTTTTATAATTCCATGTTAAGTCTAACTGAAGCCCTAGACCAGTGGTCTAATGCTTGGAGAATGGATCAGGTATACAGCTGGTGATCAAGGCAGCCAGATCCAAAACTCCTGACATCAGGAGAGTCAGACACTATAGGGCAGAGATTATTTGCTCACTGATGGGTGGAGAGGTTAACTGGATCACTAAGTTCCTGTATTTTCTTTGTTTCCCACAACCCAGTATGCAGCACCTCTAAATAAATATGGCATTAAGTTAGATTGGACAGTTTTGCAATAAAGTTTTTAAAAATTGAAGATCTGCTTTTAATTCCAGTCTTAATTAAAGCCAAACTTTCCTTAGAAACTCAGGAGGAGAGATTTGCTCTCAGCTCATTCCCTTCCATTCTTAATAGACAGAAGAAGAAAGACCTTCAGATGCATAGGCTGGAAGAAAAGTTTAATTCTCTCTAAGCCATATCCGGTTGGGTTGTGAAAGAACCTTACATATCCTGACATCCTCCTCAATTGGCTCCCCTAGTATGACCATACTGTAGTTTCCTGAGAGACTAATGCTGCTATAAAGAAAGTCAATATTTGATGAGCAATTTCCTGAGAGACTAGTGCTGCTGTAAAGAACCTCAATATTTGATGAGCAATACTTGATGAGTAAAATGAGAAAATCTCTATTATTTTCAAAAAGTAACAAATAAGCAACAAAAGTAAGACCCAGAAATCTTCAGAAAACATATTGCTTGGGAGAAGAGAAAAAAGAAAAAAAATCCACTTTCTCTTTTGTACTTACATTTTCTTACATTCTTGATTGTTCTTGAGATATTCACTAATCCTATCTTGGTCCAGATCCTTTAGAGGCAAAATATCAGATATGTAAGGTCAGCTTCGAGGAGAGTCACGACAGAGAACCTCTATTGGCCGAGACACTAACTTCAAACCTGAATTTCAAGTGATTATGAGCAATACTAAAACATCGAATGGATCTTTTTGTTTTTTCTGGAGAAGAGTCCACACTGAGTTATAAGGGGTTCTAGAATCTGCCTACTTCCAATTTTGTTCATCCTGCCTTCATATAAGAGTAACAGCCCATTCTTGGATGGACAGTTTAGAACTTATAAACAATCTCATTTATAATGCTTAAGAGTAACTCTGTATTGAAGTTACCTTGCAATGAATCCTCTGGGAATTCAAATAGTCCCTTTATTCTGTGAAAACCTATGACTCTCAAAACTGTGCTAATTTATCATATGAGTTTATACTGGTATACAATTACCTACAGCTTACCTGTAGTTCAACTCTACTCATCCTTATTTATGTGGGCGCTTCATTTAAAATGGTGAGTATTAATTTCATTTTAATACTCGGTGCCTTTTTGCTATTTGATCTATGCCTTTTTGCTATCTATGTGTCTTCTTTTTTTCCTGAAATCAATTGCTTCATTTGTCACTTCTCATGTTGTCACTCTAAAAATAGGATATAGAAAATGCAGTTTCAAATCGTGTAGCCAATTATCACTGGAGTTATCACAGCCTGACAGCAGGCAGAAAGGAAAAAAAAAAAAATCAGAACTATTTAAATCATGGCATTAGTAACATCCCAGGCCCAGCTGTGAGAAGAGAGGTTGTGCTATGGCAGGAAAAAACACCAGAGTGGGGAATCCCAATTAACTGGGCAAGTGAAATTCAAAATTCATTATTTTCTTTTCTTTTTTTTTTTTGAGATGGAGTCTCACTCTGTCGCTCAGGCTGGAGTTCAACTCGCCTCCCATGTTCAAGCAATTCTCCTGCCTCAGCCTCCCGAGTAGCTGGGCTTACAGACAAGTGCCACCATGCCCGGCTAGTTTTTGTATTTTTAGTAGAGATGGGGTTTCCCGTTGTTGGCCAGGCTGGTCTCAAACTCCTAACCTCAAATGATCCTCCTGCTTCAGCCTCCCAAAGTGCTGGGGACTACAGGCCTGAGCCATCGCGCCTAGCCCAAAATTCATTTTGTTAATGCATTTAGTTTGTCTTTTTATTATGTATTTCTGGTGGGGAAGATATAAAAATAAAACTTTTCAGTAAAATTATTTCTGAATTATTGTACATATATCTAGAATTCTAAATATTTTCAAAGGAAACTTCAAGACACAGCGAAAATATTTTCGTTCTTTATATTTTGTAGCTTAGCTGCCACACATTGAGGATTTCAACCCAAAATAGGCTACAGGTCCATTTGAGAGAAATGAAGGGCCTAAAATTAAAATAAAACAAAACCAAACTTCAAGTAGTCTTAATAGGAGGAGGGCCTACCATTGTCTGTTCAGTTTCTACATTTAACTCAAGTAACACTGAGTTTTTCTTATTATTTGCTTTGAGGGATACTAAGATTCACATCTGTTAATTAACAAAATAAATCTGTAAATTAACAAAGCAGAAAATACTGTCTATTTAAAAACAAAATAGCCGAGTGCCGTGACTCATGCCTGTAATCCCAGTGCTTTGGGAGGCTGAAGTGGGCAGGTCACTTGAGGCCAGGTCACTTGAAATCCTCTCTCTACTAGAAATACAAAAATTAGCCAGGCATGGTGGTGCATGCCTGTAATCCTGGCTACTCAGGAGGATAATGCAGGAAAATCGCTTGAACCTGGGAGGCGGAGGTTGCAGTGAGTCGAGATCGCGCCACTGCACTCCAGCTCAGGCAACACAGCGAGACTGTATCAAAAATAAATAAATAAATACAATAAAATAAAAATGAAAACAAAATAAAACAAACAAAATAAACAAAACAAAACAATAATACCCAGTCCAGTGAAATCTTTCCCATGAATATGCAATCAATGTTGTCACTATAACAACTGCACACAAGAAGAGGGAAGGTCAGGCTGTTGGCATTGGATATGGTTGCATATGAAGCATTGATAATGTGCTTTCTTCTCTTCTTTCATGGTATGCATCTTCTTCAAAGAAAGGATAAGATCTCAAAGCAAGAAACTTTCTTCTGTTCAATCTGTGCTACAAGCTGTTAGTCAGCTGGCTTGTCCAAAGTTACTCCTCCTGCTTGGGTGGATTGATAGTAAGCCCGACTTCCTAGCCTGGATAACAGCCACTTTTACAAATCCTATTATGTCATACACTTCTCTCTTTCCATATGCACAAAAGTTGTGAATATTCATCCAATGCCATCAGCATTTGATTATTTCTATCTCACCTACTAGGCTATAAGCTCCATTAGTACAAGGATGTGTTTTTGTTTGTTTGTTGTTTGTTTCACTTTTATGCATCCTAGAAGCTATTTCTTTCAGTTATCTATTACTGTGCAGCAATTTACCACAAAACCTAGTGACTATAAACCAGTGTGATGATTACTCAAAAAAAATTAGACACAAAATTACCACATATGGTTGTAAATTTAAAACAACTGAAAGCAAGAACACAGACATTTGTATGACCACAATCATAGCCACATTATTCACAATGGTCAAAAGGTGAAAGCAATCCAAGTGTCTATTGATGGATGAATGGACAAAGAAATATTATTCAGTCTTAAAAAGGAAGGAAAGTCTGACACATGCTGCAAACTAGATGAAATTTGAAGACATCATGCTAAACAAAGTAAGCCAGTCACAAAGGAGCAAACACTGTATCATTCAACTTAGATGAGGTAACCTGGAGTAGTCAACATCATAGAGACAGAGAGTAGAATAGTGGTTGCCAGAGGCTGGGGAGAAAGTGTAATGGTGAGTTAGTATTTAATGATAAAGAACAACAGTTAGGGAAGATGACAACGTTATGAAGATGGATGGTTGGTGATAGTTGCATGTTTTAGTCCGTTTACACACTGCTGATGAAGACATACCTGAGATTGGGTACTTTATAAAGAAAAAGAAGTTTAATGGACTCACAGTTTCATGTGGCTGGGGAGGCCTCACAGTCATGGCAGAAGGTGAAAGGCATGTCTTACATGGTGGCAGACAAGAAAGAATGAGAGCCAAGCAAAAGGGCTTTCCCCTTACAAAACCATCAGATCTCATGAGACTTATTCTCACGAGAACAGTATGGGGGAAACCGCCCCTGTGATTCAATTATCTCCCACTGGATCCCTCCCACAACATGTGGAAACTATGAGAGCTACAATTCAAGATGAGATTTGGGTGGAGACACAGACAAACCATATTATTGCACAATGATGTAAATGTACTTATCATCACAGAAGTCCATACTTAAAAATGGTTAAAGTAGTAAATTTTATGTTTTGTGTATTTTACTACAATAACATGCATGCACACACACACACACACACACATGCAAACATATTACTTCACAGTTTCTGTGGGTCAGAAATTTATGCATAACTTAACTGGGTCCCCTGTTTCAGAGTCCCTCACAAAACTGAATCCAGGTGGCACTGACTAAAGGTCTCATCTGATCTATGACTGAAGAAGGATCCACTTCTAAGGTTGTGTGGTTGTTTGCTGAGTCAGGACCTCAAAGTTTTTAGGACCAAAAGCCTCAGTTACTAACTGGATATTGGTTCCAGGCTATTTTTCTGTTCCTTGCTATATGGTCCTCTTCAAATGTCAACTGGCTTAATCAAGACAAACCAGCCAAGAAGGCAATAAAGAGAGCAGCAAGACAAATGTCACAATATTTTGTAATATAATCAGAGAAGTGCATCCCTTAATGCTGTCATATTTTTTGGTTATAGCCAAATTGCTTAAGGAGAAGACATTACAAATAGCCATAAATAGCAGGAGGTTAGGTAGGACTTACTGGGACCGTTTTAGAAGTCTCTCTAAGAAGGTAGATAATAGGAATGGGTGAGAACTCCGAAGACAAGTTGAATCCTCCCACAGACAGGAGGTCATTGCTGAGCAGCAGCTCTACCCTGAACTCTGAGTCTTTAGTAAGGAAAGATGAAATTACAGGCTAGGGTCATGTCAGAGTCAGTCCAGAAGGAAGGCAATTTTGTTATTTTAGGAAAATAATGACCAGCTTTCTGGGTCAGGGAATGCATAGAGCCTAAGACTACTGCCAGGATGCAGCAGTATTTAAGACTCAGTCCAGTTCAAATGCTCTACACCTTGCTGGATGGGTTATGCAGATATTTGTGGTTGAAGCCTAGACCTTAGATTTTTCTAATTACTTTCTGTAATGGCTTTATAATTGGGATGGATTCCAAGTTAATTGTCTGATAGGCTTCTTTGGTTAAAAACTTCGACTGCAAAATATTTGCCAAGGCAACTCTACTTGCCATCTTTTCTGCCGATAAGATTTGAGAATTATACTTCTGGGCCAAGGGCAAGGGAAGCTTCTCAAGAGCTCCAATGCAAGGTGATTTTTCTGACTCTTGAGCAAAGAAATTTCTGGGTGATCAATGTAGCCTTTTTGACCAAGAACTTTATTTGGGGATATGGGGAGTAAAGGTGATAATACAGCTAGAGTGGAGAGACAGAGGAGAATGTTTTGTTTATTTTTATGAAGAGTCATCATGGCTTTTTTGTTTGTTTTTTCAAAGTGGGATGCTCAATAAAGGCAGGGGGAAATCATGTCACCTAGTGAAAGGACAAAAAGGCACATCAAATAAATAAAATGGACACCAAAGAGCCTCTCCTCAACCTGAAGCTGTCTCCTCCAATGTTGTGCATGGCTATCATTTGTTCTAAGTGACAAGAACTTCAGATTCCAGAAAACAATTAGCTCTTAGTCCAACATTTTGTAAAACAAAAAATGACATCCTTCCTCTATCTGAATCAAATACCCTAACTATATGAATAGTTAATATGTAAATATTTACATGCATAATAATACTCACAAACTACATGCATGTATTTGCAAATTGCATATGTATTTACAAATACCAAGGACTTTTCATTTCCATTTCATTTTTCATGAGGATTTTTTATCTCAATAGGAAATCAACGTATAGAGTGGCCATAGTTATCTTCCTGTAATTCCATCATAGGAGATTATTATTGTTAGGTAAAATGACACACAGATATGTTAACTTAGTCACAACAATTTTAGGGATGAGAACGGGTGGACATAAATGGGGAAGTTTCTAGTGGATTGCCTTCCTTGACTCAGTGGAGCTCTTTCACTTAATCAGCCTAAAAAATGCAGTTGGATACAGAATCCTGCCACTGAAGCTCTAAGTAACATGAAGAAGGTACCTTAGACATCCCATAAGGAATGTGAATCCAAAGAACTAGGAACTAGCCAAACCTCACCTTCATCAACAAGTAGCTTGTTTCTAGTCTATTTTGCTGGTTGTAAATTTGCTGTAGTGCAAGTAACCAATCCTGTATGAATGAAAAAAAAACATATCAATTAATAACGAAGGCTTTTATGGCAAAGAAGCCAATATTTTAGACAGATTTAAGATGTCTTCATCAAAAAGATGAAAACAATGTAAAAGGTTTGCCTTTACTGACTCTGCTTTTTTTTAAAATTCTGTCATTCCAAACAGTTCAAATGTAAAAGTGATACTATTTTCCATTTTTTCATCTAGGAATTCATACCACCTCCCACTGGCTTGAATGTAATATCTTTAAAAAAATTCACTATTTCCAGTGTTACAAGTATCCTCTTTTAAATTATATTCAGTCTAAAAACTCATTCTCTATGATAAAGTAAGTTATCTTTCTTATTTCTTTTTGGAATACCCTGAACTTGCTTATCAATCTTGGAATGCACTTGAGATACCAAACCTCAAAAAATACATTGAGCTCTGAAATTTTCTAAGAGAATTTCTCAGCACACCAAGGCTCGCTTTCTGAAACCATGCTCTTGAAACCAGGCAACTCCAAAGGCTCTTCCTCCTTTTCCTCAAATTTATTGTCAAAAATTTGTGAAATTCTTTGTAGAAACAAACAGTAAAAACCAGAATGTGTTCCTGTCAACATACTATTTTGCTTTAAAATCTAGTTTCTCCTTCCTCTTCCTTCTCATTTATCTGTCTTAAACACCTTCCTGAAAGATTCAGCTTTATATTTTGCATATACTCTAGAATGCATGAGTTATGTAGAATCCTTAAGTTTGGCAATAACATGTCTGATTCCATTTACATCTTGTAGAGGAAGAAGGGAATTACTGCTTATACAAAATTATATTATGTCCAGCAGGATATTTTTGATGACCCAACACAAGAAATGCAATAGAACATTCAAGTGAGAGGTCCAAAATGGTTTATTCTTTTATACATAGACAGTCAAATTGGAAGGCTTACTGTATTTCGGTTCCAACATACTGTAAATGATAAACACTTTGATAAAAGAAAGATGTTTTGTTATAAATTTAAGTAAACTCCAATTTACCCACAGTTTTTTTTACCTCTAATTTGTTTTGTGTAATGATTTCTTATATTGTAGTGCATTATACTTACCTCAATAAAATAATTTTTCCCAAAACAGGGATAGAATTGGTTTAAGTAAATGTGTATTTAAGTTTAATTCCATGTTTAAGCTCAAACAATCTCTTTTGGTAAGAATTCAAACACACACACACAAAGACATACACATAAATACACACTGAATTTTTCTTGATAGGTTTATGGAAAACTAAAAATTTCTGACTTTTGCCTGCACTATGTTTACATTATTTTCCCCCTTCTATTATCTCCTCACCCATGTTGATATAAATATAAACATCATATATATATATACCCATATATTTCATGCTTGAGTTTCCATTTAGAGATTCAATCCGAATTCTATACACAAATATGCTCAAAACTTGAAACACATAAGCTTACTTTAAAGAATGACTCATTGCTGCCCATGAAGCTATGTCAATACTTATGCAATTCCTTTTCCTTTCAAATTTATCTTTCCATACTCTGCTTCATGAGACTGTGCAAACAACTCTTCTCTGTCATTAGATGGCTTCCTCTTAAGTCCCATAGAAAAATGCACAAAAGGAAGACAAAGACAGGAGGAAGAGAAAAGGAAGGGCTCCTTTCCATTCTGTTCACTGTTTCTGTCAGCAAGTTACTTACTTGAGAAGCAGCAGTGTTAAAGGATGTAGTTTCTTTTGATATTCCTGGAACTAGCCGCCTCTGAGGCAGCAGAACCATGTGAGCATGGTTTATGGGAATGGTTTGATGGTTTACTTGGCACTGAATATAGCAGTGAGTTCTTCACTAAAAGAAAATGGGAAAATGGCAATCCATGGCACTCAGTTTCCTTACAATTAATGTCACTTGTGGTTGATTGTGACAAAGATCTTACTAGAGCAATAGCTTTGGGCACTAAGTGGCAACTGTACTTTATCTTACAGAAATAATAAAGTCTATAAAGCCTGTGAGTAAGATGGCCAATACTCACTGCTCTCTGGAGCTTTCAGAAAGAAATTATGAACTTAGTCTCTAATCTCTGAGATCAACTCAGTGGCTAAGTAACAGAAAACTTCAATGGTGGCCTGAAACTAAAATCTTATTTCTTGCAACTCTCTAAAAAAGAAATCCAAATTTTATTGTGTGGGTTGCATGACTACATGATAATGTGATTTACAGTCACAAAACCCCTCATGTGGTTGTTAGGACATTGGAAAGAAATAGGAACCATGACCTTGGAATAGAGACATCTGGATGGATTTAGAAGAAAATGAACACTTTGAACACCTGAATCATTCAGTGCCTTTTCTAAAAAAAAAAATCATAGCATATAAAAAGATATTTTAATCTTTTTGCATGTTCTTTGAATACAGAGCTTATCATTTGATATAAATACAGCTCATAATTCATAGTTTTTTGGCCTTCTTTTACATTTTTTTCTTTCCCCCTTCAATTTACAGTGATACCTACTCTTGGCAAAGCCAGCAACTTTAAACTAAACATAACAGTTTCCACCTACCCCAAACCTGTATCTTTTCATGGGTCTCCTACTAGGTTAACTTCTATTCATCAAATTAATTACCAAATTCAGTTCAGATCAGAAAAGATTTTGGAATTTACTACATGCCTATAATGATGCTAGACACAAACACTGATATCGAAGTAAGCTTCACACCCATGCATCCCTTTTCATTTTTTTCTACTCCATCTTAATAATCTCCTTATTGATCCTCCTCCCTTAGTTCTTCTTTTTCTCATAAAGATTCTATTTTTGGTCAGTATTCTAAGCTATTATCTCTAGAGAGTCTATATATAATTTATAACATAAAGAAGATACCAACATAGGCCAAGACCATGGTAAAGAAAGAAGTTACACACACTATCTTGATATCATCTGATTCACTTTGTTTTTAAAATTCCTGTAGTTGATTGACTCAAAATATCTAAGTAAGCAGAATTGTGTAACATAATTGTTCAAATCTTCTTTCCAGAAGTATTTTCCCTCTGGAGGTAATGGTTTGATACTTCATATCTATCTTAATGAAATGTATCTACTATGCCATCATATCATATATGATGTTATATAATTTTTCTCTTCAGTCTATATAATGCTGTAATGTAATAAATGCATCACTGACCCTGTCTGATGGCATTGCCAAGCTCCTCTGTTTGGTAAAAGAGCCTGAAACAATAGTAGTTATATGTTGACTTATTGATAATGAAGAAAAATTCCCAAGGCCAGGCTGATATTTACATATCAAGAGCTTTGCATTGAGAAAAATGTTGTGTTCTTGACATGAAAATAAAAGGTTCTCACATTTGTTTTCCTGTCCTGGAAAAATTATTAAACAGAATAAGTGAGCAGAGTTGAGCTGCTTGATACCTCAACCTCTATGAAATTGAAATGTATAATACCACAGGCCTTATTTCATTTCAGAGACTTACTGGTTTCAGATGTTTAAGGAAATCCTCCTCAGGTGATTAGCTGACAACTAAGGTAACTTAACAGAGACTTCAGTAGCCATACCCAACAAAGAATACAGATTTTTCATATTTGGATTACAAAAGTAATTAAATGAACAACTATAACAAAAAAAAATAACAACAACAACAAATCCTGCGAGGGGAAATCTGATTTCCAGAATTGTCATATTGCATTATGTATTAATATAGTGTCCTGTTTTCCACAGAAGATTATGAGACATGTAGAAAGTAGAAAGTATGGCTCACATACAGAAAACCAAAAGCAGTCAATAGACTTTGTTTCTGAAGAGGCATAGACATTGGACTTACTAGACAAATCAGTTATTTTAAATAAGTTCAAAGAACTAAAGGATACCACATCTAAGGAACTACAGGAAAGTATGAGAATGATGTCTTGCCAAATAGAGACCATCATTACATAGATAGAAGTTTTAAAAATGTACCAAAGAGCAATACTGAAGTTGAAATTCAGCAATGAGGCAGGGCGTGTGGCTCACGCCTGTAATCCCAGCACTTTGGAAGGCCAAGGCGGGTGGATCACCCGAGGTCAGGAATTTCAGACCAGCCTGGCTAACATGGTGAAACCCTGTCTCTAATAAAAATACAAAAATTAGCTGGGTGTGGTGGTGGGCGCCTGTAATCCCAGCTACTTTGGGAGGCTGAGGCAGGAGAATCGCTTGAACCCAGGAGGCAGAAGTTATTGCAGTGAGCAGAGGCCGCACCATTGCAGGGGCAAGAAGAGCCAAGAAGAGTGAAACTCCAATTCAAAAAAAAAAAAAAAAATTCAGCAAGGAAATAAAAACGTCAGTAGAGGGGACTAAAGCAGATTTGAGCAGGTAGGAAATTAATACTCAGGGAACTAAAATATAACTCAGTTAAGACTATCCAGTCCCAGGGACAAAAAGAAAAATATAATGAAGCCAAATTTAAAGAGTCTCAGCATCCTGCAGGGAATCAGCCAGCATCCCAATCTGTACCAGGAAATCCCAGGAGGAGAGGAGAGACACAAATGGAGGCAATTGGATGACACATTTGTAGTGATAAAAGAAAAATAGTCTCAGTGAAGAACTCTTATCTCCCGTGAAACTCCATCAAAAATGAAAGTGAATTTAAGATACTCCCACATAAAGAAAAACTGACACGCCATAACTAGTAGACTTGTCTTACAATAATTACTAAAAGGAATCTTTAAAGGCCAAAATTAAGGCAAACTAGACAATAACCAATTCTGTACAAAGAAATAAAAGAGCAGAGATAGAGATAACCACTTCCGTAGTCTGAATGACTCCATCATGGTAAACTCCTTCCCTCTTAGAGCCACCCCCCTGACATAACAATCTCTTGTTTACCTAGTGCTTGTCAAATGTACTTCCACTGCTAAAATACCCATGATTCATGGAAAAAATGATGGCGAAAAGTCATTCCTTTTCTTTTTGTATGGCCCACTTTTGAATTTTTGCATTGCTTTTTCTAATTACTCTTTCTCTTGATCACAGGGGACAAAGATATTCTTGTCTAGACACTGCCATAAATCTAAAATTTTGGCTTTGGGGAACAGGTAAAAACATTAGAGCAACCTGCTGTCAGACCCACTTCATGCATAAGGCAACTAAGATCCTGCAAAGGTGATGTGATGTTTTGGAAGTTTATATAAATAATGCTATTCCCTGCCTTCTAGTGCAAGTAACAATAACACTGCGTTTTTGTAATGCAGCTATATCAAGCCAGCAGCTTATAGACTTTCTGGTGATGAGCATATTCTTTTTGAGACAATATTTTAAAATCAGAAGGCTTCACATAGAACTATGTAGAAACAATTGAGAGATACTGTGGATCTTAGCCCTGTGTTCCATGTAACACTTAAAATGCTATTGCTTTGGGTTCCTGTCAATAGCTCGGTGGTACCTATTGTTTTGATGTCAGATAACTCTGCCCATACACCCTGTCTGACTCCCATACACCTGTCTGACATTTATCTTTGCAAGCCAACCTTGGCATCATACACTTACAAAAAATTCAATATCTACTATAATACAAGTAAGGCAATACAGAACTGGAATATATATACACAAAAACATTTAGATAGACATATACATGATTGCACACCCACATATTAAGTTACCTACGTTTATCATATGGTTCAAGTGATGTCAGACAAGCATGAGGATTCAGAGGAGGCTTTGGAGTTAAACAGCCTGGCTTCAACTTTCACTTTATCACTGAGTAACTATGTAGCACTGGGAAAGTCTCCTGAACTTACTGAGACATGGTTTCTTAATTTGCAAGATGAATATGATGGCATTTTTGGGGAAAAAAATAAAGAAACTGAGTGAAACTTTTAGCAAAGTGCCCAGTGTTCATAGATTGAGATTTCTTGCAGGCTGGGAACTGGCACCAAGGTCTCCTGACTTCCAGGCAGAGATTTTTCCCATCATGTCACTTTTTTACACTCACTATCTCTTATGTGTCACCCTAGTCCCTAGTCTCTGCTGCTGTGTAATGTAAAAGATTCATGAGGTGGGAAGAGTCTGAAAGGTCTCATAACCAAGCACTTTATGAGTGACTGAACATTTTTGACATTCTGTGCTAACAAAAGCCACCCTCAAAGATTTTTATATGGGGAAACTGAAGATTGCTCTGTGTGGGCAGTGGCTCACTGAGTCATATATTCAGTTTGATCCTGAGTAGGACTACTGTAGATGGTTTTATGTCTAATTAGCCATGACTGTTAAAGACTTAAAAAAATGAGAATAATCAAATTTTATGCTTCACTAGGTCAATCAATGGCTATGGAAGTGCAGCTGCTCTCCTTTACAAATGCTTCCAAGAGTTTTTCACAATTCATTGGACACCTAAGTGGGTGATTTTACCTCTGTTGAACTAATGACTTGTAAAATTTATCTGAACCCCAAGTCCAGACCACTCAATTCAATGTCTAGATGCAACCAGGCTTCAAATTCTCAATTTTCTTCCTTCTTTCTCCACTTTCAGGCATTTGCTGTGAATCTTACAATACCTTTGCTGATTGTATGAGCAAATAGCACATAAGAAAACTCAGACTGAGGGAGCAGACATGCTTTTTGAGACAGTATTCCCTAAGCCTCTGGAACCTCATAAATGAAAGTATCTGAAGCTTGCATGACAACATTCCTCAAAGTTTGGTGCTTGGCTTACCTGCCCCAGAATTACTTGTTGTCAATTATAAAAACCACAAAAATAACACGCAAAAAAGTAAAATAAACAAGAAAATGAAATAGAGAAAGAGAGAGAATAAAAGAAACCTTTCAAGCTCATACTGTAACAAACTTTGCAATCTCTGGAGGGAAGACGCAGGAATCTGCCTTTGTAACACATGCATTTCTAATGTCACTGATGCACAGACAACTATGAGATTTCCTGAGCAATTTGCTCAATCAATGAATATTTAGAGTAGTATGACAGTTTGAGAATTGTTTGAAATGTATGGAAACTATTGGAATTACTTCAGCAACACATCTTACAATGTAGGAGGAATCATAGAACCTTTGAAGTTATAGGACCAACCCTCTAGGAGTATACAGTGCTCTTCAATTCCTTGCATACAATAAAACCAGAAAAGGGGTAAAGGAGGTGACATGATTTAAGATAGGCCATTAAGTATAGTCAGGATTTTATTTTATTTATTTATTCATTTTTTTTTATTATACTTTAAGTTTTAGGGTACATGTGCACATTGTGCAGGTTAGTTACATATGGATACATATGCCATGCTGGTGCGCTGCACCCACTAACTCCTCGTCTAGCATTAGGTATATCTCCCAATGCTATCCCTCCCCCCTCCCCCCACCCCACAACAGTCCCCAGAGTGTGATATTCCCCTTCCTGTGTCCATGTGATCTCATTGTTCAATTCCCACCCATGAGTGAGAATATGCGGTGTTTGGTTTTTGGTTCTTGCGATAGTTCACTGAGAATGATGATTTCCAATTTCATCCATGTCCCTGCAAAGGACATGAACTCATCATTTTTTATGGCTGCATAGTATTCCATGGTGTATATGTGCCACATTTTCTTAATCCAGTCTATCATTGTTGGACATTTGGGTTGGTTCCAAGTCTTTGCTATTGTGAATAATGCCACAATAAACATACATGTGCATGTGTTTTTATAGCAGCATGATTTATAGTCATTTGGGTATATACCCAGTAATGGGATGGCTGGGTCAAATGGTATTTCTAGTTCTAGATCCCTGAGGAATCCCCACACTGACTTCCACAATGGTTGAACTAGTTTACAGTCCCCCCAACAGTGTAAAAGTGTTCCTATTTCTCCACATCCTCTCCAGCACCTGTTGTTTCCTGACTTTTTAATGATTGCCATTCTAACTGGTGTAAGATGGTATCTCATTGTGGTTTTGATTTGCATTTCTCTGATGGCCAGTGATGATGAGCATTTTTTCATGTGTTTTTTGGCTGCATAAATGTCTTCTTTTGAGAAGTGTCTGTTCATGTCCTTCGCCCACTTTTTGATGGGGTTGTTTGTTTTTTTCTTGTAAATTTGTTTGAGTTCATTGTAGATTCTAGATACCAGCCCTTTGTCAGATGAGTAGGTTGCGAAAATTTTCTCCCATTCTGTAGGTTGCCTGTTCACTCTGATGGTAGTTTCTTTTGCTGTGCAGAAGCTCTTGAGTTTAATTAGATCCCATTTGTCAATTTTGGCTTTTGTTGCCATTGCTTTTGGTGTTTTAGACATGAAGTCCTTGCCCATGCCTATGTCCTGAATGGTAATGCCTAGGTTTTCTTCTAGGGATTTTATGGTCTTAGGTCTAACGTTTGAGTCTTTAATCCATCTTGAATTGATTTTTGTATAAGGTGTAAGGAAGGGATCCAGTTTCAGCTTTCTACATATGGCTAGCCAGTTTTCCCAGCACCATTTATTAAATAGGGAATACTTTCCCCATTGCTTGTTTTTCTCAGGTTTGTCAAAGATCAGATAGTCGTAGATATGCGGCGTTATTTCTGAGGGCTCTGTTCTGTTTTATTGATCTATATCTCTGTTTTGGTACCAGTACCATGCTGTTTTGGTTAGTGTAGCCTAGAAGACATGATTGTATATCTAGAAAACCCCATTGTCTCAGCCCAAAATCTCCTTAAGCTGATAAGCAACTTCAGCAAAGTCTCAGGATACAAAATCAATGTACAAAAATCACAAGCATTCTTATATACCAACAACAGACAAACAGAGAGCCAAATCATGAGTGAAATCCCATTCACAATTGCTTCAAAGAGAATAAAATACCTAGGAATCCAACTTACAAGGGATGTGAAGGACCTCTTCAAGGAGAACTACAAACCACTGCTCAAGGAAATAAAAGAGGATACAAACAAATGGAAGAACATTCCATGCTCATGGGTAGGAAGAATCAATATCGTGAAAATGACCATACTGCTCAAGGTAATTTACAGATTCAATGCCATCCCCATCAAGCTACCAATGACTTTCTTCACAGAATTGGAAGAAACTACTTTAAAGTTCATATGGAACCAAAAAAGAGCTCGCATTGCCAAGTCAATCCTAAGCCAAAAGAACAAAGCTGGAGGCATCACACTACCTGACTTCAAACTATACTATAGTCAGGATTTTAAAGAAAGGACAGAAAAAGACAGAATTTTCCATATAGGGAGGGACAATATGGATAAATGGGAGGAGATGCTAATAGTATGTTGTTTAGGGATGATGGAAAAAGATAAGAATGAACAAAGATAAAGAAACTGCAAATGTGTACACTGTTTCCAAAAGTAGTAATGGCAGGAATACTTTTTGTGTTGCATTGTAGTATCTTGTATTGATGGAAATCTCTAGATCTAGTTTATGGTGTACCCAGTGTGAACCTGGCTGAGATATTTGACTCTCAAAGTCTCCTCCTCCAAAGTAGACCAGTTCCACTTTGGGCTTAAAGTGATGGGAAGCTGAGGCAAGACAGAATGAAGGCCCTGAGATGGCAACCAAAACCTCCACAAACAGCAGGAAAAAATGGAAAATGGGGAACAGAATAAAGGCAGAGACACACCCGTCTCTGCTTGTCCTTCTACCTGGATCCCAAGGGGCTACCTCTCCACTCTGAAAACCAAAGAATCACCTCTAAAGAAATTTGTATGTGTATGAGGATCAACCTACAGAACTTAGCACTGTAAAATATTGTTGAAGTGGAAACTGGAAACCACATTCATTTTATTTAAATCTAAAATAGAGAATTATATTTTTCTCAGGATTTTGTATTGGATTTAATGGGTTTTGTTTTTTGTTTGTTTGTTTGATTTTTTGGTAAATCCTGGATAGCTTGGAAGATCTACATATGATGAACATGTGCTTTTTTTTCTGGTTTGTAAAATCGAAGAAATAACATTTTTATTCTTTCTCTTTCCATCCCCTGACTAGATTAGTATTGCTCATTAACACTGTTCTGGAGCTGTAGTTAGTTCTGAGGTGGTATTTGAGTATGGTGTGTGGGCACTCATGCAGGTTTATCTGCTGAAGTTGCTTGCATTCCTAGTGGCAAGTGGAAGCAAAGCTTACATGGGAGAGTCTTCTGGTTGCTGTGCTCTGCCTACTTCTTATAGTAAGGCCTCATTGCTATTGGCAGTGAAAGGTACTGCCAGACTTTATCCAAAATATTAGTCTAAGCATCACAACTACACAGGATATTCATGTACACAATTAGTACACTGGAAATATAGTTTTCTTAAATCACCCTATATAGATTTCTCCTACCTTTCATGAAAAGTACTTTAACTTCTCTCTGGGGCTCAATAGCTTCCCTGCCCTCAGGCTGTGTTCTTTCAATGTGGCCGATCCCACTCCAGTTCCAGACATGGGCATAAGACTTAAGCCCAAGCCAAGAAACACATTTCATTCCCTTGACTATAAACATTGTGGTGAGGGTAGTTATGAAATCACAGTGGGGCCAGTTTGAACCAATCAGAGGAGAGATTGATCAGAAAAGAGAAAGATTTTTTTTAATTGCTATTTCTCTTCTTTTTTCCTGGATTTAATCCTGCATAGAGTAGGAGAACCTATCTGAGAATGAGGCCAGCACACATAATGGGAGAAGATGACTGGAGATAAATTTCATGGATGATATCATTTGACTACTAAGTCAAGCTATGCATGAGGATAAATGTTATCTTGGACTTTTTTAAGTTTTATTACAAAATATAGTCTTATTATACTTTTGGCATCAAGAACATTTATTTGTTTGCATATTTTCATTTTCCACTTATGAGTGTCCTGATGCTAATTTTTAATAATAAAATGCATTTGCTTCTTCCAAAGTTTATTAGACATTTCAGCAATATGACATCATTCTTTTGGCTAGATATCAGTACACAGTACCATTTTACTTTAGTTCCAAATCCTTTCCATCTCCTTCATGTATTTTTCTAGTGAATGACCTATAAACAAACATGTATAGTGAAAAGACTGCCACTTAAAGGGCTTCTTTGTTTAATCTCAACACACAGATTGTTTTGAAAGTTGAGTTTTGTCATCTAATACATTACTATGGTAAAATATGGCTTTCATATGCTTGATTTTCTAAAGCATGTATTCACCTATAAGATATTCTCATTCTTGAGTCCTACTTGGTCTACTGATGCTTGGTCCACTGGTTTTAGTATAAAACTAAAGACATTAGGTATTATTAAAATATAATAATACCAACTTATTGAAAGATAACGCCTCCCCTCCCCTCTTCTCTCCTCTCCTGCCCTTCCTTCCTTCCTTCCTTCCTTCCTTCCTTCCTTCTTTCCCTCCTTCCTTCCTTCTTGTGAGGGTGGGGTATTGAAGGGATAAAATGCCCAGAGGAAAACTCCAAGATGGGATGGGAGACATAGGTCCAATATATCAGAAGGTTAAATTGAGTGGGCTTATGAGAGAAGCAGGAGAAAGGGAGGCTAGAGAGCCAATAAAACAAAGTTCATAGTGATAACTGGAACAGAATAGACCTCAAAGGCTTAAAGATGTCAAAGTCCCTGCATTTTTTCCTACCTTCAGAATCTACCACCTTCAGTCATGGAGAAGTCTTGATGAAGTTACCCAATCTATAACAATTCTATGCTGTGCATGCTGATTGAATTATCTTCATCAATGCATTCTGTTTTGCTTTTATCTTTTGCAGGTAACACAGTTTCTCACTCATTGAAGCTCCTCCAACATTTCTAGAAATATGGAGTACAAAAAGAATACGTAGGTTTTGTTAATTCTATAGATTGAATTAGAACTCCCAAATGATTTTTCAAATGAATATCCCCTCTCAAATCATTTAACTTTTTAAAGAGGTAATTTCACTCTCCAATTAGTATTTTCTAGTAATTGTACTTAAATGTCTCATAAAGTGCTCAGTAAATGTTACTTCAGCTTTTACTACCTCTTGCTAGAAACAGTTTCTCTTCTTTTTTATTAGGAACCAGCATCCTAACTAACCAGCTCCTTCAGAATGAGTTTACTAAAGGATATATTTTCTAAGGAATATCCACATTGTATATTTAGGGTTCATGCCAAGCTGTTATTGTTGTATGCCTTAACTGATTACTAAGGATTTATTGCTAGCCACTTCAAACACATACTCGGTAGTGTCCTCTCCATTGGCCAACCTGTTTCTCCGACCTTCCATCTACTTGAAAACATCCATGACTGTACATGACTCTATCAATTCCCTGGGCAGGGGTTGGGGGGATTTACTGATATATGTTCTTTTGCTATTTATTGAATCCTCTCATTTTGTTTAGTATTGTCCTGGATGTTACAGAGGATGTAATGACTAACCACATAAGAATACTGTCCTCAAGAAATATACAGTCTAATAGAAAGAAATGAAGACCAATAATTTGGGATCAGTTCTGGAAGGGAGAAAGTCAAAACAGGTCTTACAGTATAAATTGAAGGTGTGAGCAGGGTTGTGTTCTGTCTGGAGTTTCTAGGGTAGAATTGGTTCCTTGGCCTTTCTAGCTTTGAGAGGCTGCCCACATTCCCTGGTTCTCAATCTCACACTCTGACCTCCACTTATATTGTCACATCTCCTTTGCTAACTCTGACCCATACACCTTATAAGGACCCCTGTGATTACAATGGGCCCACTGGCTAATCTGCAATAATCTCCCTATCTCAAAATCTTTAATTTAATTACATCTGCAAAGCCTTTTTTGTCATGTAAAGCAACATATTTATAAGTTCTAAGATTAAGACATGAATATTTTTGTGGTGGGGACAATATTCTGCCTGTCATAGTCTCTATGTTGTTAGTGAAATAAAAATGCTCACGGAGCCATTTAGAAAAGGCCTATCACCTCCAAACTCGCCTTTCCATCACTTTTGAACAGTAGGTGGATTGTACCACCTAAATGTTTCCTGGATTCATCCTATAAAAGTCCCTTACTGGAAGCCACACACTGAAGAACAGAGTCAGAAGTTGAGTCATAAAACCAACTTGCTTACTATGGAAAGGATGAAGCCCAAATCATATTAAGTTACCAGCTGAAAATCACAAGGATATGTAGCTGTTACATGACATGGCCTTTTCACATGTGTGAATATAAATTTATATGAATCTAAAAACATATAAAATCTTTCAGTGAAGAAATGAATCAATCAATAAATATATTATCTTTATCTTCTTCTTTTCCCCTGTTCTTTCCCAGGACCTTAATCAAGCACCTATTTTGGGACAAGCACCACTGAGAATACAATGGCAGAAGACCATCTTACCCTCAAGAAACATTGCACTCACAGAGAAAAAATAAGACAAAGTGCAGACTCTGTCTATGGCAAGAAATATAAAGAAAACTATGTTTCATGTGAGTTCAGAACAGAGAGAAATCACTTCATCATCTCATAATGTTACTGGTGAAGAGATCGAAGTTACGCCGAGTTACTGGCTGCGAATCCCTATACATCTGCAGCATCTTGAATTCTTGCCTCCTCAGAAGAAAGAATTTGACTGAGGGGCATAAAGCAGAAAAAGAGACTGAGATGAGTTCCAGAGCAGTAGTAGAAGTTTGTTTAAAAGGCCTTAGAACAGAAAAGAAAGGAAAGTTCACTTGGAAGAGATCCAAGAGGGTTCATGAAGGTTAAAGAGAGAGAAGTTCAAGTGCCCCATTGAACCATGATCCTAGGACTTTCATAGGTGCACCTCTTTCCCATGATTCTTCCATTAGGGTGCGCTTTCCTCTTGCACAGTGTTCTCCTTATCCTTGGGAATGGAGCACCTGCACTATGTTTAGGGAGTTATATGCTTGCCAACCTGAGGCTTTCTTCCCTTTTTCCAAAGGGGCGTACCCAGAAGATCATACGTCACCATTTTTTTCTCTTAATGTTCATGCCTAGAAAGTTGCTTCTTTCTGGGGTGTACATTCAATTAATATTTTGGTGTTAATAGGTGTGGACCATCAGGAAATGACCTCTCCATGGCACAGGCTGCCAATTTATCCCCTCTAGAGAGGCAATGATATAACCGGCAAACCATCACCTGACATTTCTAGTGGGTGGGGGAAAGAGCCCTCTCTTGCCCTGCTCATGCCTGACTACCTGTAATAGTAAAATACTTACAGTGCCCAACACACACACACACACACACACACACACACACACACACACACACACACATCTCCCTCATGTAGACAGGGACAGTGTTTTGTCCCCACTCTTTTTGTTGTTATTGAGGCAGAGAAGCTATATCAATCATCTCAGATTATAAAACTAAAAAGTGATGAAATAGGATTAAAAACCTGTTACCCAAATTATAATTTATTATTTCACCTTCTCCCTCAAAAAAGACAAAATGCAAAAATAAAAAAAAAAGAACACAATAAACAAACAAATGCTAATGTTTAAATCTCTTACAACATAGCAATAAAGAAATCATGCTGGCCCACATCCAATTACAAATTCAAAGCTGACTGAGTTCAATATGTGAATTATGTATCAAACAACTCTATTAATGCAAAGATAATTTAAACCTTAAAATTAAATATTAATTTCCATGAAGCATTCCTCCTTCTTTCTTTTCTAGGTTCTAAATCATCCTACATTTTTGCCAGAGGAGCAATTAGATATTTTACAAATATATCAATATTTTTCTACACTGAGAATGACATGACCAAGTGCCTGGTGCCGCCTCATGAGTCCAGCTCTGGGAAGAAGGGAGATTCCTTGCTTGGCTTTTTCAAATTGACATGGCATTTCCTTTGTTCGATAATATAAGCCTTTAAAATAAATAACAAATAATGTGCAAAAGAAAAATTAACTACATAATATATCGTAAACATAAATTATGTACAGTGAAGTGGAACATGACTCTATTTGAGCATAAGGGAAGATAAATATAGCTCTACCATATACATTCACATTCCGTGTACCTTGAACTCTTTTTTAAAAATTTTAGTAACATTTTCTATCACTGGAAATGATAATGATCTTGCCTCCTAGTTTCTACTGTTATATTGTCAAGAGTTAATCTAATTGTAAATATACTTGTAAAAGATACTTGTGCTATGATAGTCCATTGACGTTTACGATTTCAGAATTTTAAAATATTTTCTGAATACCCTAAAAGTAAAGATTTAGTAAAAATCACAGCTAAGTTATAAGATTATTGTGAAGATTAAATAAGACAGTGTATGCAGAGTGTCCAGACTAAATTGAATAAAGGTAACTGTGAGACTGGCATAAAAGAGCAAGTTAGGCAGCTAATGAGTGTGCCTACTCAGTGGCCCTTCCTTCTTGTCTCAATTATTTTTAGGTTCCCTACACATTGTAGACTCTGCAACACAGAGGTTAAGGCATGTGGAGTAGAACTGCTTGAATGCCAACTCCATTTACTAGCTGTGTGGTTCAGCACATTACTTAATTCTTCTAAGCCTCCGTTTTCTTAGACTCACAAGGTTATAATTACTGCACTTAGGTCATGGGACTGCTGTGAGGATGAAAAAGAGAAAGCATATGTTTAAGGTGTTGAGAATAGTAGATGGAACATAAACAGTGCTTAGTAAACTTTTAGCGATAATACCAAGACTAGTGGTTTGCAGAAATATCTGAATATATCTCTCCAGAGTGCCAAGGGTCTACTATTTATGCAGTAAATGACAGCATGGTAACAACAGTTTTCAGATTTTATGACATCTAATCTGTATAATTGTTAAAACTTTTTTCCATCCCATAGTGTCTCTTGAAATATGCAGAAATTAAACATATATGGCACAAATACTGTTACACTTCTTCCTAATCTATGACAATTAAAACCAATAAATTCACGAATTATTTCTGGGTTTTGGAAAACCCTTAGAATTATTCTAAACACAAATCCAGACCAGCAGCATGTTTGTTTACTATTGCTACTGTAACAAATTACCACAGTTTTTTTAGATTAAAATAACAGAAATTTATTTGTTTGCAGTTACAGATAAAAGAAGTTCAAAATTAACCTTATGAGGCTAAAAATCAACAGTTCTATACAACTGTTACCTCTGGAAGCTCCAAGGGAGAATTAATTTCCTGTCTCTTCCAGCTTCCTGTGTTGGGTGGCATGCCTTTGCTTGTGGTCAAACTACTTCAACTTCATGCCTCCATTGTCTTAAATCTTACTCTCTTTTCTGTACTCAAATCTCTCTCTGCCTCTCTTCTAAAGACACTTGTGATTATATTTAGGACACACTCATATATCCAGGAAAATATCCTTATCTCAAAACCTTTAATTTACTTACATCTGTGACACATCTTTTTCCATATAAGGCAAAAGTTCACAGATTCCAGAGAGTAGAATGTGGATGTGTTGGGGAGCTATTATTCAGCCTACCAGGACCACAATTAATGGGTAATAGCCTGCACATGAGATTCAGAAGGAACTGACTTGATGGAGTCAAGAAGACAAATTTGGGTTAGGGGAGAACAAAAAAATGACTGAAGTCTTCTGTAGCATCTGCTAAGGTTATTCAATCTTGTGAATACTCATCTGTATTATGCCAGCTAAATGATTTGTAGAAACATAAATCTAGCTCATTTTCAAAATTTGTCAATGAGAAACCTCAAATAATATAATATTTAGATATTTATATAATATTTAGGTGCTGAAGTAAAACTGACCAAAAAGTTTACCTTTGCAACTGGGTGGTGAAGGGAAGAATACAGAGAATGAGAATTGGCAGTTCTCTTTTAATATGTGGATAAATACTATCCCATTTCTTCAATCACTTATGAGGAGATCAATAAAGTCTTAAGGAAAGATTACAGAACAAAAGAGAAATAACATCGAATTTTAGGCAACTTGATTTCAGGGCATAATCTTTGGGTTATATTACTATGATCTTTGAGATAAATTCTTAATCTAAATTAATAATTGGGTATTTTCAGGTTTGCAATGAAAATACAGAATAAATGATGGAAAGGTCTCTATTACTATGCCCTAATAAATGTGAAGGAAAACAGGACTTGGTGACTTCTTGATAATGACTATCTCCAGCATATTTCCCTATAGTCAGTTTTTCTTTATTATGTTAAAATAGTTTTAAAATAGTTACATATCTCCAATTGGCCCCTAATCTGATCACTGAAGTTCTAGAAGTCATTGTTTCTATACCGAACCTATTATAGTTAATTGGACCACAAATAGACACTGAATTTAAGTTAAAACAATAAACTTTTCTCATATGGGATTTTTGAAATCCATCTGATATTTTTATGGAGCAAGTCTGTACATTTCTGAACCTGTCTAAACTGGCAATATATATGTTTTAGAATTTAGAGGCAGCAGTAAAATTTCATTTGGAAAGTTGGGAAGCAGGGCAGATTACGGATGAGAACTAAGAGAGGCCAAGTCTAAAAACTGGGAAAAGAATAAGCTTTTCCCCAGGATCCAGTTCTTTTCTTAGGTTTGACTATATTGTTCAGTAACATTGCTTACACTCAACTTTTGCAGTCAAAGTCAATAGGAGGCATACGATTGACACATAATGCTATTGTGGACATCCTTCTCGAACTTTCCCACCTCTTCATGATGCTTATGCTTTAAAGAACATTCTTATTAATCCTTACAATAACCATGAGGTAGATATTGATATTTACATTTTACAGATGGACAGATGGATACTCAGATTGATTGAAATAAGCTTAATGCTAAGTAGCTAGTAGAAGACAAGTTTGGAATGCTAACCCAGGATTACTGGTAGTCACAAAGTTATTTCCAGTAAACCATTCTTGTCTTCCCTCTCCTCCTCATAGAAAGTTGACTATCCTCAAATCCTTTGCTTATCCATGACTATGGCTATTGACTGTGGATTTATCTTCTTCCATGCCAAGACTGTTTAAGTTTCTTTTCAGTTTTCTCGAGCCAGTGTGAAATGCTCTCAGACACACTCCAAAAACATATGGCATGATGAATCTTTATAGTTGGGAAAAAAGCCCTTAAAGATAAAGGGCTCTCTGTCAAATATAGATTTTGTGTGTAATACAAGAAATAGCTCTCTTTTCAGGTTTTCAAAGCTGTTTACTAATAATTTAATCTTCTCATATTGCTAAAATTAATTTTTTTCTAGCTTTACTAGTACAAATCAGTGTTCAGGAAGTAGACAGCACTGTGTTTACATAAATTTGGACAATGAGATTGAAAAATAAAAGATCCGTAGTGTCTAAACATAAGATCTCAAGCAGGGTCCATGATAGGAGCTACTGAAATGCGGTAGAGTTCTCAAATTATTTTCCCAAAGGCTTTCCTGTCACTATTCTTTTAACAAATACTAACAACTAACATTTCTTGAGAATTTGACAATAACCATACTAAGAAATTTCATGTATTATTTAAGTTAATCATATTATCATTCTTGATATACTGTAATTACTCTTATTTACAATATTTTAAAGATAGACTTTCAGAGAAAGATTAAGAGATGCCTGAAAGTCAATGGCTTTATAAGTGGCTGGTTATCCTACCCAACTGTATATGATTGATGAACTTCACCACTGAATTAAACTTCTTTCACACTAGTAAAAATTGTGGAAGGGTAGATGATTAGTTATAATAATTTGGGAGACAGCAAAAACAAAGAGAAAGAGTACTTCCAAACAGGACCAACTGAGAGCAGAGATGCATGCTATCAACAGTGATTTCAGCTCTTCAGCTATAGTCCTCACTTTGAGGAAGTTTATGGTAGGTGACTGAATAATAACATTTTTTTCCCAGTTTACAAATTATCACATCCATAGACCACGAGTGGCCATTTTGTGGCACCTCTTTTTATTTTTTCCCTTTTAAGTCACTTTTTTCAACCTAATTTTTCCTGGAGCACTGATGCTGAAGATCTCATGCTTTTTTTACGGTTCAAAGTACTTCTGTTTACCCTCCCTTGGCTCTTCCAATTTCTTCTTCTGTTTTCTCTCTCTCACCATGAGATACAATGTGTCATGAGACATGAAGTCATGAGAATGAAATAGGTTAAAAGAAATGATCTATTACATCTTAAGCCTTTCTTTAAAAAGAAACACAGCTCAAATTTTGGTTTTGTGGCTAGATGATATCTTGTGGGAATATTGTAGATCTTTCAACCTCCATTGAGTGTCATTTCTGACAAAACCTTGAGAGATAGGAGCTTCAATAATAAATCTTGTTACTCATTCCACAGCATCTGTTTCACTTTGTCAAAGGGGTGTTTCTATGGCTGAATCTAAGTCCAGATGCACAGCCAACTCAAGAAATATTGAATGTGGATCACCAGTTTATATTGAAAAAGCTCTCTTCATTGAATTATTTTCTCACTTCTACTCTACTCTATCTAGATTCTTAAACTTATCTGAATAACTAGTGTCTGATACCTTTCTTTAAAACTGACTCCTTAAATTATGTAATAATTGTGAGAATTCTCTTCAATGTTTCCCTACATTTCCAACAATGCTGAGAAGAGAGTGCCCATAGGCAAGGGTAACCACAATCTCTTTTCACGCAACCTACATCTCCTCCTTATGACTTTGAGGAAATTGCTGTACAAAAAATTTTATCTGAGCAATCTGGGCTCGGTATCAATCTTGTAGCAATAAAGATTTATTACTAGGAAGCTTATTTATGTGTCTATACATCTGGAGTCTTTGTTTCATTACTGCCCACACAGAGCTGGAAATCTGTGGAGAATGGGAAAGGATCATCTTTATTATAAACTCAGTTTCACCTATTTTCTACCCATCACCTTTTTTAGTATAATTTATGACCATCTGAACCCAGACCTAAAAAAGAAAGGTTTAATTTTAATAAAGATGTGAAAACAGGTGAGTTATTGTTTGCAGTTTCAGTGTGAGACAAGATCTGGATAATGTGTCATTAAATGCATCATTATAAAAGCATATTATTCCTTCCAGAAGATAATCAGTTATGTCACTGTATCTGGTTTTATGTCCATTCAGGGTGAGTGGATTCTCCTTTTGACATGAAAATTTGGATTGTAGGGAAAGTAAAAAACAGAAAACAAAAAAAGAGGCTCACTGACTAGTTAATTAAAAAAAGAGAGAGACGCATCTGCTGTTTTCAAAGTAGCAATATGTGAAGTGATATCTATAAAAGGAATCATAAAACAGCCATTGCAAATTAAATGAATGATGTTTAGTTATTGAAAAATACATCTCTTTGCATATTTTTCCAATTTTCACCACGCTTTAATATCTCTAAATAAAACAAAGTGGAACACTTCAACTTTGGAAGCTTCATTATAAATATTAGTCTTAGCCTATTTTAACTTCCTTTCATAGATATCAGTTTCTTTGCTTAACTTAGAACTTTGCAAGGTCCCATTTATGGAGGTAAAACTTCAGACTCTGTTCTATAGATTAGCTAATTAAAGACAAAGAGGTTGCTTCTCTGCAAATGAGAAGGGAAAAAATGGGCAATCCTTTCCATTGTTCCTCAAACTTCTCTGCTGATGAGCCCTCACCCTGACTTCAACCACATCATGGCCATTTTTTCATTTTTCAAGACTATGTTAGTTATGAATATCTTGTCTACAAGTGACAAAAACTAAACAAAATAGCTTAAGCTAAAAATCACAAAATATTATAAAATAGAAGACAGAATATATATGCAATACATAGTATGTGAGTGTGTGTGATACCTTTAGATGATACTTTCCTTGAGCAGAGAGCCTACACTACCATTTCTTTGTTAACAGTGTGACCAGGTTTGTAAAGCCAAAGTTGGCACGTACTGACACTACGGAAGTATATATGACAGTCTACTTGGTGCAGATACTTGAATTTTGCTCCTTTTGCATTTCTATGATAATTAGAACCATTGCTATTTTAAAAGTATCCTTTCAGCATTTCTTTCCTTACAATTAATAGAAATGTAAAAGTTTCTGTTTTCATTTTTAAATGTGTAAACCTAAAGTCATAGAGAAGTGTTTGGAAGGAAATTACATAAATACATGCAAGCAAGACAGCATATGGAAATTATTTCCATTAGTCTTGCCTATGATTTTGATATCTAAAAATCTCTGTGAGTTAACGTAAAGGAGCATGTTAGGTAGAGTCAACTCAGGCACCTGTCAAAGACCTCCAGGCAACTGACTAAAGGTTAATTTTTTTTTCCTTTTCTCTGAGTTGTGCTTATGGAAAAATGACCAGGCAAACCTTTTGGTAAAGAAATGGAAATAATAATGTTTGGTCCATCATTAAATATATTTGTCACAAAAAATAGTCCCATGTATTTTTTAAAATTATTTGTCTTCAAATTATTAACATAAGCTCATTTGTTTCTATAGTGCTTGTGCTTTCTATGCATGGATTGGTGAAGCTAAGTATTTTAGTGATTCGTATGAGTAAATGGAACATTTAAAGTCCTGGAAGTTCTATAGATTAAGTAGCACACAGAGAAAGGAGAGAATTAGAAGCTTCTTAATAAGAAAGTTTAAAGCACTTGAGCATCTAAGGAAAACATTTTGAAGATTAAATCCTGGATACGGAAACCTTATTATTAACAGGTTGCTGGAACTATTTTCATAGGGTGACTAAGATATGAAAGATTAGTTTTAATGAGCACTGTGAATGCATATGAGGAGAGTAAGAGGAGATCATTAAAAAACCTTAGCTAGAAGTAGGACTACATTTTTATAAGGGCTGTAAAATGACCCAGTCATTATGATTATTGTTGTGTTCCTATGAAGTTAAGTGTATCACATTGCAAAGGAGACTTGGCTTTTAAATTAAAAAAAAAAATCTGATGTTGAAAATTTGGTTTAATTACTTCCCAGCTTTGTAAAATTGGTAAACCTCTCTCTATGCATCGTTTTTTTTTACAATGTATAAAACTAAGATTTTAGAAAGCTATCTTGCTTGATTGTCAGAGAGTTACATGAAATAATGAATATAAAGCAGTAAGCACTGTGTCTAGCATATAGTGAGTTCTAAATAAATGCGGTGATAATTTTCAAGATAATATTAGACATGATATCTTCAACATGGCCTCTCCTTCCAAAATTTTTCTGGGAAAATATAAATTTCATATATATATTTCCCCCCACCCTGGCTGGTCTTGAACTCCTGAACTCAAGCAATCCTTCCTCCTGGACCTCCTGAGTAGCTCTGACTATATATGCATACCACAACACTTGGCTTGAAACTTTCTAAAACTAAAAAAAATCAATGAGAATTTTATCAGGTTTTCTTAATTCGTTAAATGTTATGAAAAGCCTTCTAAATTCCACAAAAGTTTGTGGAACAAATTGTAATGAGGCACAAAATTCCAAGAGCAACTCATATTAGAATTTAAAGGAAGTAAGGAGACATATTAGAGACTTTGTACTTAAGGGACCCAGAGGTGGTTACTAGCACTCTTCACTCAAGACTTCCCAATCACTTCTGGAACTCCACCTCCCCAAGGGAACACAGAAAAATTCAACACGAGAGAAACAGCAAGGACAAGACAGAATTGCACCATATGAAAGCCATAAAATAGTTTAGCCCCCTCTCAATCCTGACCAAAGAGTAAGGGGTAGCCTACAGGGCCTTATCCTTCCCCATAGCTTGGATAAACTGTAGATAGGTTTCTTCCTGACTGCAGGCCCCTTCCATTCATTTTCTAAAGCATTTACTTTAGAAAACTTGCAATTTTAATTTAAACTTTATGCAACACAGGGATGTCTTTCTCAAAGACCTGGGACCAGTGAAGGATTCACCTACTAATTAATTTAAAAATATTTCCGTTCTTACTAGACTCAGTCATTATGCTAGACATCCTAAAGCTCACCCTTATGGAGTTCCAGTCCAATGAACTTCATCAACTTTTAGGATCACAGAAAGGAATTTTAAGACACAAATATGACCCTCATCGCTGTATAGAAATGAAAGGTTTATAAATATTTTTGTATCCATTCTGTGGCAGGCATATAAGCTTCATGGGAAAAACTGTACCTGTTTCTTTTCATGGTCTAAGGAATTAATTTTACATAATAAATTGCCCATTACACTATTCAGAGAATTATGACATAGAGGAATCATTTTTTAAGTACCATTTACCAAAAGGTCATGTGGTACATATAATGGGTGAATAAGGGAAGCTCTTCTAGAAAGTAAATACAAATAATAATAATACTAATAATAAAATAAAATACAAAAACAAAGATAATCTATCAAAGTCCTTTACAGAGTGAGACATTCTGGCCAGTCGCTAGGACTTGGTCCAGGTTGACCATCTGCTCATACTGAATTCTAATCCACTATCTATTTGACAATGTCTCTCCAAGCTCATCTTCATAGAATATCCTTTCTGAGTAATTTTCTCACCATAGGAGGTCCTGTTGCCCTGATTTCAATATATTCTAATCTTCCTTTTTTTGTGTTGGCAGTGTTACACCAGATAGAAAGCTAAATAATGAGGATTTGAAGTAAACCCAGGGGTCAAGCAAGAAGTCAAAAAGTTAATTAGACCACGCCCAAGTTACTATTCAGTAGCGCTGTTCAACCTAATTTTTAATATCGTTTTGATTTGCAATTTCTTCGGCATGTGTCAGTGGAAAATTGCCTGAGACAAGTAATGTTATATGAAATATAACCATGGCACAGCTGCAGAACTACCAAATCAGCCCTCTGGGTTTTTATTCTTTGGCTTAACTTGAAGTCCAAGCTAAAATGATTACACAAGTTCCTAAGTGGGAACTTGATGGTCTTTTATAAAGATAATGAGAAAGCAAGGTCCATATCTTCAAAAACTTGTTCTTTTCCTCTTACCACAATGTCTATTCCATCATCCCACCACATCTATCTTGAAAGCTCTGATAAACTACACTGTCAGAATGTCACATCTTACTCTTTGGCTTATCACAAATTCTCCCTAGGAAGTGAAACACATCAAGGAGAGTATGATGACCTCAATAGGTTCCTTTCAATGCTTGAATACACACAATAAAGACAACCATTAAAAAAGAATATTGATGATGTGTGTGCATTCTTAAGAGTGATGGCCCTGTAGGAAAATGGAGAAATCCTGCAGTGAGCACTTGGATGTCATCAGACTTGAGAGAAACCCTTCAAATACACCGAAGTGCTGAGCCAAACATCAACACTAATAGAATGCTTGTAAAATGATGCCTGTTACCCAGACACAGTAAATGAAGCAAGAGAAAAAGCTGGAGATTTGTGGGTGGTTTTTAGTGAATGTGGGCAGGGTTAGAGAGGTACAAACTCACAGTGTTCTGTTGGTCAAATGGGCTGTGAAGTATAAATGAGATGATAAAACCATATAGTGTCTTTTGTTGTTTTTGTCTGCCCATCATTCGTCTTCACTTCTGATGGCAATAACCTTCTGATTTTACTTGTTGAACAACTACTTTTATACTCTCAAACCATATTAAGATGGGGAAGCCTTGGGTCTTTTTAGCTATAAAGATTGACATGTGGTTCAGGAATATTTAACTGGAGCATCACATCTCACTGACCACAGTATAAGACATGAAGAGAGTAAGGCCAAAGTGAGGAAAAGATACTCAATTTTATACCTTCTGTTGAAAATACTGAAAAGAGAACATACTTTTCCACTAGATTTAGAAATTAACAAAGTACAAACCTGTGGCCATGGGAGATTACCTGTGGTTGAGGGATTTGTTTTAGAATGAAGCCAACACACATACATAAACACACACAAAGCAAGTCTGAAAGATCAAGAGAGGCCAATACTAAAAAATTCATCTGAGTTCCTAGCCAGCTTTCCTCAGTTATTATTATATGTGAGCAAATAGTAATGCTTATTGTGTTTTGCTTGAAATTAGTTTGAGTTGTATTTCTGTTACTTGTACTCCTCAAAATAGTTGTGAAATATGCAAATCATTAAGCATCTGCCTTACTTAGTTTCTCTTAAAACATAAAGCCTGACCAATAGGGTCTTGTATGTAGCTAATTTATTTCAGGAAATAATCCCAAGGAATGGGTGTGGGAACTGGATAGTAATGCAGTAACAGGGAAAGCCAGTCCAAGGTTATGTTATCAAGTTTACCACTACTTTGAAGCACTGGTAATCAATGCAGCTAGAGGCATTTTCAGGATTGCTCATCCAAGGAATGAATGAGAGAGTAGCCACTGTTACACACACAATATACAGTGCGTGGCAGACACAGGATAATCACCACCAAACCTTTCTTTCAAAAATTTGAAAACAGGAGGGATACTCTTCAATGGTTCAAAGGATTCTGAACTCAAATGCCAGATTCAGTGGTAGAGCAGAAACTTAGCAGCAGGACTTAACTTGGCCATGATTTTTTTTGAATACCTTTCATTGGTAGGTTTATGTAATTTGCACATTCAACATTTCTGTTTTCATCTACTTTTCTTTAACTCATGGTTAAATACTGATTATAGTTATGCGGAGGTATAGATTTCTTTCCTATTATTTCCACAAGATTAGCATAAGAAGGGTCAGTCAGTAAGTACATAAGCAAGCCCAGCTTCCTCTCCCGCCTCCATGTCACAGCCGTGATTGCACAGCCTATTACATGTGTGAAGCCTTAGTTCTTCAGGTGTTAATAGGAATCAGTGATTACAGACTAAAAGACAGAGTCTATGATTAACTACGAATTTAATTTTTATTAGAACACTGGGAAATGAGTTCAGGCAAAGAGACTAATTCCAATCACTTGGCAATGCCTGCTGAGAATATTGTTTCACATGCATTTCTGAGGCCATGTGTGAAAATAAACTTCTTTAACGATGAATAAGAGAATAGAAAGGATTAGCAAACAAGCCCTCCCTTTGCCATTCCTGATAAAGGGGTGAAAGGGATATTGTCTCAGGGGATGAGAGGCGGAACCAATTATTCAGTGGCTCTCATCACAGATTGTCAAGAGTAACTGTAGGGTACCAATCCTGCATTCCCAGATTATACCTCCAGATTGTACATGTATAAATGTTCAGAAGTTTTCTGCCATCATCCTATATCTTGGCATAGGAGTTGCTCCAGAGCAAGAAGTGAAAAATACAGGGCACAAGGCCTTCGGAAAGGCATTATCGAGTTACACCAGTGGAAAGCATAATGACATAAAGAAGTAGACAAGAGATATCCAGTAAAGATATTCTTCCACTGACTCTTTATGACACTAGACTGTAACAGCCTGTGCTGATGAATCAAAAAATTCCCTAGAGTTTTACCAATATGAGGAGTGGCATTCTTGCTGTGACATTTTAAGAATTATATTTTCTGGATCCACAGTCTAACCATTTATTAAAAATCAGATTTAATCTTTGAGCAGTAAATTATGTCATTTGAGCTTAGGGTACAGCTGCTAGATGTGAATGTCAATGGAAATAAAAATTAACAGTGCAACATGCTAATAAAATAGAGAAATTTTATTTCCTAATAGCATTCCTCCTAAAAGTGCTAATAGCCTGACCCATATTTATTCTTACTTTCTGCAAAAGATGCTGTTTTCAATAAGTTTTTGGGAATAACACTGACCGTAATGAAGCAGAAAAAAATGATGAATGTTAAGAAATTAAGGTGGTACATAATAAGCTATAAAATTGTACCTCTTTGTTGTCCATGCACTATTGGTGAGCTTGCACAGTTTTAGACCTCTTTAATTTATGATTAAATAGTTTTATATCTTTCAGCAACAGTGGATATAATTTCCTCATCTATCATGAGAATGGTTTAATACTTTCATTAATTCACACATCATAAAGCACAGAGTAATTTTTATACCCACTCAAATCACTCATTGCTTCTGTTCCAGAAAAGAAAGCACTGTTTTCTGCTAATTTCAGAGTTAGACTTAAGGCCAGGATCTTCATGAGCAATCACAATTAGAAAGAGAAAACATAGAGACGGGCTTCTATTGCCACTATTTCTTTATAATCATGTTTTGGGATATTGTTCAGTTTTGGAACAAATCAGAAATGCAACACTGTAATACTGGCTGTGTGACAATGGAAGTCAGTAATGATGATCCTTGAGAACAGGGAGTTGTTTTCCTCACTGAATTCATGAAAAATCCCTGGATGTCCATTACCTCTTTTTCAGTGGCAAAAACCTTTGATTTGCTGAGCACATGGGCTAGATTTGAAAGTAGCAGCTCAAGACAGAGGTGAATATGTTTGAGCCAATTCTCTAGAGAAGCCCTGAGTCTTATCATATTCCTTTCATCTAAGCAGCTTCTCTTCAGAAGGCTCTCTCTTTCCGCTTCAGAGATAACCACTCAAATTTGTATTCAAAACATACTGGCGAGAGGAAAGAGGCATTTATACTGTGGTAATAAAATCCTGAAGTGATACAGGCCCCAATAGAACTTTTCAATTATGGTGATTTTCTAAAATTGATGTTGTATAAATAAGAGCATGTCCTCTGAAGGAAAGGCCACTTGTGGGCTGATAGACTGATCATAATATAAAAGCAGGCTCAGAAGATACTGTGCTAACAAAAAGCTTGATAATTTAGCCCCATTGAAAATTTTGAAAATGATGGATTTTACCTGTCTCATGAAATTATATGGAATCTAACACCAAGATTGCAAGATTAAGAATTTAAGAATGAAGAAAGGAGATACATAACCTAATAAATGAAAATAACCTATGATATGAATGAAAAATATGCAGTATTCCTATCTGTCACCCATGTGTAAGACATCATTAATCTACTAAAAAACACTGTCAAGCAGAGTACTGAGAAAACCTCAAAATTTTCTGCAACATAAACCTTCAGGCAGACATTCCTAACCTTTCAAAGAGAAACCTATACATAATCTCTGCTCTATCATCACGCCCAGTTTTATCTCACATATACCCCAATACAATATGTCAGTGCAGTGGAGAATGTTAAAAGTGGGTTAAAAAAATACCCAGCACTTTTACAAACTACCCAGAACTGTCCTATCACTATTTCTAGAATACTTACTATTTCTCACTTTACCACATATTGCTGTGTATATATGCTATTTTATAATTTATATAATTCTTTTATATATACTAACTCTTGATCTTTATAATAACTATATGAAGTAAAGCAAGATAAACAGTATTATTATTAATGCAAGATTAAAAATTAAAAATGCAAAATCAGCAAACAAACCAATGAGCAAAAAATGAAGATTGAGTGATATATACGTATGCATATATATATATATATATATTTATGTTTGTGTGGGTGTATACATATATATATGCACATGCTTGAGACCAATTACTATATAAAAAGCCAGCAGGTAAAATGAAGTTTAATACTAAGTTATTTTAAAGGTTTATCCCAAGAGCAATCTAAGAATTATTTGACTACAACTAGAAACGGCCGTCTAGTTTTCCTAAGATCTTTCTTGGCTCCTATTTTTAACTGAAAGCTGCCCTATCTCATCCAGCAATTCTGCTCCCACATAAATAGCATCTCCAGATGCCAATTTTAGAGAAAAAGAAAGCTAAATATATATATATATTTATATATATTATATATATTTATATATCATATATATATATTATATATAATATTTATATATCATATATTTATATATATTATATATAATAAATATATAACATATATTCATATATATTATATATAATATTTATATATCATATATTTATATATATTATATATAATATTTATATATCATATATTTATATATATTATATATAATATTTATATATCATATATTTATATATATTATATATAATATTTATATATCATATATTTATATATTATATATAATATTTATATATCATATATTTATATATTATATATAATATTTATATATCATATATTTCTATATATTACATATAATATTTATATATCATATATTTATATATTATATAACATATATAATATATTATATATCATATCATATATAATATATAATATATATAATATGATATATAATATATAATATATAATATTATATATTATATATTATATATTATATATTATATACATTATATATAATATTTATATATTATATATACTATTTATATATTTATTATATATAAAATATATATTATATATTATATATAAATAGTATATATAATATTTATATATATATAATGGGAAAAGAGATGCCCTTCTCATAATCTGGGACATTTTTTTCAATATGCTGAAACACAGGCAACTGATTACTCTTTTAGCTGTCTATGTGACTGGCTATAAATATTAATGCAGGTAACTAGCTGACCTTGGTAAAACAACAGGAATAGTTTTTCCTTAATGATTACCTGGATTGTATAGCATGGAATTGTGGAAAGCCATTAGTGGTGTCACTGCCACCCTAGTCTCAGGAAGGATCTGTGTTCAAAAATAATGGGTTGCATTCCATCTTTACAGCTACAGCTTCATCCAGATTTATATATCTAAATTTTTTGAAAGAAGAAAGTAGCACTAAGTATTTTCCTTTAATCAGAAAAATTACTTCACAAGAAAAGGCATCCTTACGTAAATTGGAGCTTTTGAAAAACAACTAAGTGGAAGACCTTAAACCATTTAATTCTCAGGGTTATTATGCTCTAGTAATGAAGACAATATTGGCACAAGGATAGGTGTATTAATCAAAGGAACGGAATGAGAGTTCAGAAATAGACCCACATATAGGTGGAAAATTGATATTTGATAGAGATTCCAAGGCAATTTAGTATACAATGAATACTTCCTATTTCAACAAATGGTTCTGGGATAATTGGATAGCTATATTAAAAACAAGCAAACACACAAATTTTGTCCATGACTTCACATTATATACAAAAATAACTTAAAATATATTAGATATGTAAATGTACAGACTATAATCATAAAGTTTCTAGAAAAATGCAGGAGATAATCTTAGTGACCTCCAATTAGTTGAAGAATTTCTAATAGGAAATGAAAAGTGCAAGAGAAATATATAAATTTAGCTCAATCACAATTCAGAACTCTTGTTCTTCAAAAGATACTATTAAACAAATGAAAAGTCACAGAGTTGTAAAAACCTGTTTTTTAAAACAAATATCTGACAAAGGATACATATCTAAAATGAAAAGAAAATCTATAATTAAACAAATACCTAATAAAAATTGACAAAATACTTGAACAACAACTTAACTAAATAATGTATATGAATAGTAAACAAGCTCATAAAAAGATTCTCAACATCATTACTCATCAAGAGAATACAAATTTAAGCCCTCATGAAATATCACTATACCTCCACTGTCAGGGCTAAGTTGAAAAAACTAACTATACCAAGTGTTAGTGACACCATGGAGCAACTGGAACTCTCATGTACTAATGGTAGAAATTAAAATATTGCAACCATTTGAAAAGCAGTCATATAGTTTCTTAAAAAGCAAAACAAATTATCATTATATGACCCAGTTATTGCACTTTTAGCATTTACTTAAGAGAAACAAAAACATATGTTCACACAAAGCCTTTTATGTGAATGTTCATAGTAACTTTATTTATAATAGCAACTAATAGGCCAGGCTTGGTGGCTCAGGCCTGTAATCCCAGCACTTAGAGAGGCTCAGGCGGGCGGATCACCTGAGGTCAGGAGTTCAAGACCAACCTGGCAAACGCAGCAAAACCCCATCTCTACTAAAAATACAAAAATTAGCTGGGTGTGGTGGCTGGTGCCTGTAATCCCAGCTACTCAGGAGACTGAGGCAGGAGAATCACATGAACATTTAAGGCAGAGGTTGCAGTGAGCCAAGATCATGCCACTGCACTCCAGCCTGGGCAACAGAGCAGGACTCTGTCTCAAAAAACTAAATAAATAAATAAATACCAACAAATATCCTTCAACAAAACATATATGAACAAATTGTGGTATATACAAGTAACAATATGCTACACAATATTAAGAAGGAAAAAGATATTGACATATACAATGATGAATTTCAAAATAATTATGCTAAATGAAATAAGTCAAAGTGAGAGTGCATACAAATTCTCCTAAAATAAAAATGTTAGACAAATTTAATTTAACAGAGTTTATTTGAGGTTCAGAGAGTTCCAATCTAACACTTGGGCAGTGAATATTTACAGACAGACACAAAAGTAGTGTACAGAAAGAGCTTGATTGGTTACAGTGAGGCATTTGCATTAGAACATCGTCTGATCAATTGGTTGCTGGTGATTAGCTGAAGCTTGGCTGCTTGTGATTAGCTCTGATACAGCTGTTATGAATGTTCTATATATACACACACACAAATATGGATATAGACAGATAGATGAATATATATACATTCCTAAGTTAATTTTTGGTTTGTTTACCTGCTGAGTTAGGTTGCAGTTTGTTAGTTATGCAGAAAATCAAGGTACAAGGAAAGTATCAGACTAAATTTAATTTAACTTTTCCATTTAAATAAAAATCTTAAAAATGTAAACTAGGAGGAAGAGGCAGAGCAAGATGGTCAAATAGAACCCTCCAGTGATCATCCCTCCCACCCCACCCCAGGGACTCCAAATTGAACAACTATTCACACAAGAAAGCACCTTCACAGAAAAACAAAAATTGGGTGATCAATCACAGTACAGGGTTTCCCTGAGGAGAGGAGTGGGGAGAATAAAGAGAATTTTGTCTTGTAACTTGATACCACCAGCTCAGCCACAGTAGGCCAGGGCACCAGGCAGGGTACTGATGCCTCCTTTCCAGGCTCTAGCTCTGGGATGACCTTACTAGACATATGCTGGGCCAGAAGGGAACTTGCTGCCTTGAACCAAAGAACAGAATTCTGGCAGGATTCATCAGCTGCTGACTAAAGAGCCCTTGGGCTTTGAATAAACATAAATGATAGCCAGACATTACTTGCCACAGGCCTTGAGTAAGACTTAGCACCGTGCTGACTTCAGGTGTGACCCAGCACATTCTCAGCTATGGTGGTCATGGGGAGAGACTCTGCTTAAGGAAAGGAGAAGGAAGAGTAAAAGCAACTTTTTCTTGCAGCTTGGGTACCAGCTTGACCACAGTCGTTAGGGGAGCAATCTGACTCCTGGAGTTTCTGATTCCAGACCTTGGCTCCTGGATAGCATTCTTGACTCACATTGGGCCAGAGGGGAGCCCACTGCCCTGAAAGAAGAGACCCAGGCCTGGCAGCATGTACCACAAGCTGAATGAAGAGTCCTTAGGCCTTGAGTGAACATCAGAGGTAACCAGGCAGTACTCACAGTGGGCACGGGGCAGTGGTGGCCATGGGAGGAAACTTCTGCTTGAGGAAAGGAGAGGGTAGAGTGAGAAGGACAGTGTCTTGTGGGTTGGTGATATGGTTTGGCTCTGTGTCCCCACCCAAATCTCACCCTAAATTGTAATAATCCCCATTTGTGAAGGGCAGGACCAGGTGGAGATAATTGAATCATGTGGGCAGTTTCCCCCACAGGGTTCTTGTGATAGTGAGGGAGTTCTCATGAGATCTGATGGGCTTCCCCTTTGCTTGGCACTCATTCTCTCTCCTGCTGTCCTATGAAGAGGTGCCTGCTGCCACAACCGTAAGTTTCCTGAGGCCTCCCCAGACATGTGAAGTGGTGAGTCAATTAAACCTCTTTTCTTTATAAATTACCCAGTCTCAGGTATTTCTTCATAGCAGCATGAGAACAGACTAAAATACTTGGGTACCAGCTCAGCCAAAGTGGAATAGAGCACCAAGTAGATTACTAAGTTTCCTGACTCCAGGTCCAGGTTCCTAGATGGCATTTCTAGACCTACCCTGGGCACGGGGTACCTTACCACCTTGAAAGGTTGGATGCAAGCCTGATTGGATTGGATTTGCCACCCCATGACCAAAAAGCCCTTGGGCCTTGTGTGAACATTGGTGATAGCCAGGGAGTGGTTGCCATGGGCCTTGGGTGAGGCCAAGTGCTGTGCCAGCTTCAGGTTGAACCGAACACATTCCCAGTGCTCGTGGCCACAGGGGTGCTTGTGTCACTCCTTCCTTAGCTGCAAGTAGCTCAGCATAGAGAGAGACAGACTGTTTTTTGAAGAGGTGGGTGGGGGAGTGGGGGATGCGGGAAAATATGGGAAGAAAACAAGAGTTTCTGATTGCTAACCCAGGGAATTATCTCAGCTATTACTCAAGACCACCAAGTTGGTTCTTCTATGAGTCTGCAAGAGTCACCGCAGTCTTGGGCTTGGGGTTTCATCTAATGCAGACGCACCTGCAGTGACTAAAGACTTATATCACATCACTCAATTGCCTTTGAATATGTGGAAAGCCTTTCCGAGAAGAATGAGTACAAACAAGCCCATACTGCAAAGATTACAATAAAGACCTAACTCTTCAGTGTCTAGACATTGACAAATATCCACAAGCACCAAGGACATCTAGGAAAATGTGACCTCACCAAACAAACTCAATAAAGCACCAGCGACCAATCCAAGAGTGACTGAGATATGTGATCTTTCAGACAGAGAATTCAAAATAGCTGTTTTGAGAAAGCACAACAAAAATTGTACTAATCTGATTAAAACACAGGCAAAAGATATGAATAGACATTTCTCAAAAGAAGACATACAAATGACAAACAGCTATATGAAAAAGGTGCCCAACATCATTGTTTATCAGAGAAATGCAAAGCAAAACTATAATGAGACATTATCTCATCCCAGTTAAAATGGTTTTATTCAAAAGACAGGCAGTAACGAATGCTATTGAGAATGTGAGGAAAAGGGAACCCTCTTCCACTGTTGGTGAAATGTAAATTAGTACAATCATGAGGTAGAATAGTTTGGAGGTTCCTCAAAAAACTAAAAATAGAGCTACCATATGATCCAGCAATACCACTCTTATGTAAATACTAGGTATATGCTTACTCAAAAGAAAGGAAATCAGTATATCCAAGAGGTATCTGCACTCCCATGTTTATTGCAGCACTATTCACAATGACCAAAATTTGGAACCAACCTAAGTGTTCATCTACATATGAATGAATAAAGAAAATGCGGTGCATATACACAATGGGGTAGTGTTCACATATTAAAAAAGAATGAGATCTTGTCATTTGCAACAACATGGATGGAACTGGAGCAAATTATGTTAAGTGAAATAAGCCAAGCACAGAAAGACAAACTTCCCATGTTCTCACTGATTTGTGGGAGCTAATAATTGAAACAATTGAACTCATGGAGATAGAGTAGCAGGGTATAATGTTACCAGAGGCTGAGAAAGGTAGTGGAGTGGGGTAGGAGAGTGGGAATGGTTACTGGGTACAAAAATATAGTTAGATAAAATTGATATTATCTAGTATTTGATAGCACAACAGGGTGATAGAGTCAACAATAATTTATTGTACATTTAAAAATAACTAAAATAGAGTAATTGAAATGTGTGTAACAGAAAGAAACAATAAATGCTTGAGGCAATAGATACCCCATTTACTGTGATGTGATTATTACACATTGCATGCTTGTATCAAAATGTGTCTTGTATCCCATAAATACATACAGCTACTATGTAGCCATCAAAAAAAAATTTTAAGGGCAAACTAATTTGCAGTTGCAGGAAATAGGATCAGTGATTTCCCAAGAAAGGGGATAGGGTAGAGAAGACTAGATTAGAAAAGGGAAATATGAAATTTGGGGACTAGCTATACCTATTATATTGTTTGTGGTGGTAGTTTCACAGGGATATGCATTTGTTAAAACTCATCACAGTATACACATTACATATCTTAAGTTCCTTATACCTTATTTTTCAATAACTTTAAAAACATGAATATAATAGAGACATGTACAATGTGTACTTTAGTCTTCCTATAATGAACTGAGACTACCTTGGTTTATCACAGTGAAAACAGGCTTATCACAGGACAGAACTTTGCATGGCCAAGACTTCTGCTCTTACTTCCAAATGATATTTTCAACAGATGCAGAATTATAGGTTGACCTTTGCATTTCTGCAGTCAGTTCAAACACATAAATACATTACTTTCTCATAAGAAGTCAGCTGTAAGTCTTATTTGTACTCCCTTGTACTTAATTGTTTCCTTCTTTTCTGGCTGCTTTAAAGATGTTTTATTATAATCATTATTATTGCTTTTCAGAAAGTAATTTGTGACATGCCTTGGTGTGATTTTCTTTTTACTTATTCTTTTTGCAATTAACTGAAATTATCTGATAATATGGGATATTTTTATTAAGTATATCACTCATTCCTTCTGTGACATAATACACTTTTTCCTTAAGATACATATTGTCTTCCAAATAACCAAGGTTCTGTTTCATTTTCTTCTATGCTTTAGTTAGGATAGATTCTATTACCTTATTTTAAGATTATTGAAATTCTTCTGTAATGTTGAACTTGCTATTAAGCCTACCAATTTTTCATTTTATTTATTATACTATTCAGTTTTAGAAATTCTATTTTTTATTTTTTATTTATACATTTCTTATAATTTCCATCTTGTTATCACATTCATCTGCTTCAAGTGTGTGTATACATTTATAAAATTAATATATATACAAATTAAATAGATACACACACATATATATGCATGCACACACACAAACACACAAATTCCTTTGCTTATTTGATCATCACTATAATTTATTTTCTGTTTCTATTAACTAATTTTACTTCTGATTTTAGGTCAGATTTTACTGTTTCATTGCATATTTACATAATTTTCAATAGGATTTAGTACATTTTAAATGTTATGTAGTTGAATGTCTAGATTTTGTTGTGTTCTTTTAAGAAAATTGAATTTTATTTTATTAGTGGTTAGTTTATTTGTAGATTAGCATAATCCTTTTGAGAATTTTTAATTTTTATTAAGGTAAGTGTAGAACAGCCTTTATTCTATAACTATTTGGGCCTATTCTTAAGGCAAGGAATTTCATGGTTTTCTACTGAATGTTCTAGTTGTTGAAAAAGGTCTCATCATTCTGGTTGGTCAGAACTAAAAACTCTTCTAACCCACTTCAGTCCTGTAACTGTTTAATTTACAGCTCCTTGGTCACAGGTTGTTTTCTTCATCTTTTGTTCCCATTTAGACACATGTAGTATCACCCTGCACTTGAACACATTATTATTAAGCCAAAGACTCAAGGGATATACAGCTTTCTGAAGCTTTTTGTTTAAATGGCTCCCTTTGTTCTTGTATTTTACCCCATAAATTCCACCTCCCTCCATTCTACCTCCTCCAACTTGGATTCCCATATCTTTAATTCGGCGAGTTCTTTATATTTTGCTTTATTTCCTCTTCGTTGCCTCCTTGGGGGCAGAGTTCAGTGTTTTCAGACAGAAAGCCAGAATTATTGTAGGGCTCATCATATTTCTTTTTCTTCTCTCAGAAGTATACTCTTCGGCTGTCTACTACCCAATATCTAAAAGTATGTTGGATTTGTTTTAATATATTTTTACAATTTTCTAATTGTTTATATCATAAAGCTAATCCATAAACTGTTACTCAGTTATAAACAAAATAGAAATTAAAACTTTAAAAACGAATAATGATTATAACAAATTACTGGAAACCTACTCCATAGCCTAGGGGAGAGTATTCTGTAATGGTTCAGAGCTCACATTCTAAAGTCAGACTGCCTGGGTTCCAACCTTGCTCCTGTCTCATTGCTTATCTGCACTGAGCAGGCCACTTAAACTCTCAGTGCCCCAATTTCCTTATGCTTTTAAAGGATGATGATAAGGCTACCTACCTCACTGAGCTACTGTAGGGGATAAATAAGTTAGTAAGTGTGAAATACATAGACTAGTCACTGACAAAATAAGTGTTACTTAAGCATAAGACATTACTATTTATCTGATGTTCAATAACTTAGCTCATTTCCTTTTCTAAGCCTAATCTAAAATCCATGTTCATTCTACATTAATTCTCGTCGTTTATCATTTTCTTCCTATTTTATTTTCTAGTGAAATAGTTTGATTCTTAGCATTACTCTGATTTTATATGGGGTCAAATTCTAATCTAAGGGATGACCAGATGAGAAATTTGTTTCTCCGGGAAGAATTGTTCCCATTTTTACTCAGCACACAATTTAAATAAATTGATTTTCTTTTCCTGAGGATAATATATATCAATAGATTCGATGCTTCATTTATACATTTTATACCTAGAAAATAATTCTCTTCAAAAGCATACTGTCAGAGGATCTGTAGAGTGTCACTTTACCAGCTGAAACCTCTGTGGCCAGCGGTGCCTCTGCTTGGGTTTTGCTCAAACCCTCTGGGCTTGTTCCACCCAGTTGGCCCAGCAGGCTGTGCTTGGTTCACATTACTGGCCCAGATCCCACAGCTGCCAAGGGTGAGCCAGTCACAGAGTGGTGAGAGATGTGTGAGTGAGTGAGTGCAGGGTCCAGCCATTGTGCACAGCCAGGTGTGCCAGCTGTGAAGGGAGGGCAGCTCCAGGTACCAGCACAGGTGCCAGCTCTGTTCAAGGCTTGTGGGTGAATGAGACATACCACAAGTGGCTTCCACTTCAGGTGCTGGGGAACACAGTGGAGTCCAAAATCTCAGAGGCGCCAGGAACTGCAGAGACCCAGGGAGGGTGTTACAGCCCGTCACAGCCCAGGCTTCAGAAACCCTGAGGTCTGGGCTCCCAGAAGGGCCGCAGTTCTCCTCTCCTTCTTGCTGCCCACAGCACAGCAAGTGGGGAAAGGGGGGCATGTTTCAGCCTGTTTGCATTATAGTTCTTTCAGTCCTTCCACCCATTGCATGGGGCAGCCACCCAGCACCAGTGGAGAGTGGGAGAGCTATAGTGTTACAGCAGGTCTGGCTCAGGGAATCCTGAGGTCTGGGCCCCCAGAAGGGTCACCACTCTTCACTCCTGCAATCTAAGAGCATGAACCGCCCACAGCTTGGCGAGCTGTCCAGGGACATGTTACAGCTCCTTATGCTCCTGCCGTTCAGCAGGTCCTGAGTCCTTGCCCTGCTTCCAGGAAGAATGAAGTTACACAGTACACTGGAGGATGACCAAGATGGAAAGAGCTTTATTGAGCAACAGAACAGCTCTCAGGAGACCCAAAGTTGAGAGCTCCTTTCTGTAGGCAAGTCCTCCCAGTGAGAGTCTGAGTTTGGCTGAGTCTGAGGCTTTCATGTGCTCAGAATGGAGGAAGTGCATGCTAATTGGTCCATGGGTGGCCATGGGTAGGCTTCGAAAAAGCACCATCTGATTGGCTGGAAAGCATCAATAAAGTATTCACTCCAGGTTGCAGACTTCACCCAGAACTGGTAGCACAGCCCTCAGGCTTCAGGCACACCCTGACCTGAAGGTGGGGTTTCAGCAGGGATCCACCTTTTCCTGCCTATGAACCTGTCTGCCTCCCATCATCAACATGCCATCCACGGCACCCAGGCTTTCCACACCAAGGGGTGCCTGCAGGCCTACAGTGAGCCCCTCAGCCTCCATCCCACAATCATTAGTGCCCAAAGTCTGGAGGGGCCAAGGTGGCAGGAGACTGGCATGTCAATGCAACCCCAAGCATGTACACACCCCGTCAGGTGGCAACAGCACTGGGGCTTGGCCACAACTTTGCTCCACACTGGGGCAGTCACTGGGAGTAGGAAGAGGCCACATAGCAGGAGCAGGCACTTCCAAGCCTGTGAGAGTTGAGTGCTTCCTGGGCCCCAAGAGCGAGGGATGCTGAGGTCCAGTGCCATGGCTGTGCAGCTGCAGATGTGCACAGGAACACGGCCTGTGGCCCTGCCAACTCAGTAGGGTGTGGGGCTCCCTCTGTGATCACCTGTTCCTGGCCCCTGCTGGGCTCCATGGAACACACAGCCCAGGCCCCACCTACCCTGCTGCAGCTGGTGTCCTCGAAGTGGCCACTCCAGAAAGGCTGCCACCACCATCAATACTATCCAGTCTTTCAAATGGAACCACTGGCAATGGCATTTACCTTGACTAAGAAAATTAAGATGTTTGTATTAAATCTCATCATATTTACTTTCCTTGAATGTACTGCATACAAATTAGAATCTCTCATGTTTTGCTACAATCCACACCCCCGAAGTACTCATATATGATTAAATTTGCTTTCTGTCCTTTACTTTTCAGATGTTTGTATAGACTGGATTTTACATGGGTGACCTCTTACAGGTCTTTTCCCTGGATATCAATTTGTTATTTCATGAAATATTTCAATAGTATGCCTGGAAATGAGACTGGACAATTTGCAACCATCTCCAGCACTGCTCTAGAGCTTTATACAATTATAGTGTAATTAAATAAGTTTAAAAATAATAAAAGTAGAATATTTAAAGATCTTAACAGCATTTTAAATAGATTTTTAAAATATGCTATTACTTTAGAAATTAAACTGCTTTTGATAGCCAGTGAGGAGATGAGCTTTTAAAAGCTATGTTTAAAAATACATTTAAATTAAAATGTAGTTATAAGGTATAATGCAGTGACTTATAAAGCGTCTTCTGGCTCAAAAAACCTAACAGAAGTAAATGCCTTCTGTACATTTAGTCATGGCTTATGGCATCTGTATTATGCAGGAGGAACAGTAACAAATTTAGCAGCTCAATGAGAACACCAGAATCAGTTCAAGTTTCTCTATATTTTTGCCAAAATTTATTACAGTCACCATGAACAAATAAGGGTTTAATTTTTTAATAAGATATTTATTTAGTATTCAAAAAACTATTCCGAAGGAGTTGAAATCAGTATGTCAAAAAGGTATCTGTACTACCATGTTTATCACAGGACTAATCACAATAGCAAGGTGTGGACTCAAATTATGTGTCCATCAAGGGATGAATGAATAAAGAAAATGTGGCATATATACAGTATGGGGTACTATTCAGCCATAAAAAAGAATGAAATTCTGCCATTTGCAACAACATGGATGATCCTGGACGACTTTATGTTAAATAACATAAGCCAGGCATAGGAAGACAAATAGTGCATGATCTCACTAAAGAAGTTGATTATATAGAAGAATGGTTGTTAGCAGAGGCTGAGGTGGTTAGGCAGGAGTGGAGGATGGGGAAATATTGCTCAAATGATACAGGATTACAGTAAGATAAAAGGAAAAAAATGCAAGAGATCTATTGTAAACATAGCAAGGTGACTATAGTTAGTGCTGATACATTGTATCAAAAAATGTAGAAAGAGTGGATGTCACCTGTTCTTACCACAGAAATGATAACTATGCAAGATAATTCATTTGTTAATTAGCTAATTTAACTATTTTACAGTGTACATGTACTTCAAAACATCATGTTGCACATGATAAAAACATACAATCTTATCTGTCAGTTTAAAAAAGGCAAACAATTTGCCTTCTCTTCTAAGGGTATTTCCAAGTCATTTAAAATGGTTACATTTTTTGATGACAGCATTGAAAAGCAAATGCATTTTTTTATTGGACATGAAATTGCTGAAGTTCATTTTAATTAAAAATGCTTTCAAACAATTTTATATTCTTTATAAAATTAATGTGCTAAAGTATTATGGACTTCTGGTTTCCAGTCTAGCATGTCATGAGCTTAGAAGTCAACAATCCATCCTAATAACAAATATAAAGCTGAGCAAAATGAAAAATCAACAACTCTTCTAAGATTTTTAGATCTTTCAGAGAAGTAAAAGTTCAGTGCAAACCACTGCCATCCTCCCAAATTGGAGAAACAGACAGGCAAATACTGAGTGCCACAATTTACTGAAATACAAACCCAGTAGAAGAAATCTCCATGGGTACCAGTGGTAGGTTAGGAAAACCTGAATTCTAATTGACAAATTGCTGAAAGCTTCACGTGAACAAATCTGAGTGTGAAAAACTCCGGAAGGATCCAATCATGGTGGGAACCCCCACTTTTATTTTGCCTCCAGGAGTTTGATCTCACCCTCAAAGTGAATATCAGAGAAAAATCTCCCCATACTTCCATGGGGGTGCAGGGAGTAACCATTTTGAAATATGTCAGAACATTCTGTTCTTACTAAAAGCCCTGCCCTAGGAGAAATAATTTATGAGGCTCTAGCCTGCTGGGGTTTTTTAGAGCCTAACCTACCCAAGGGAGTGGATAGGCACCCAACTCTAACCACCCCTAGTCATCCATGTAGGGGAAGGGAAATATCCAACCGCAGTACTCTCTAGTAATCCTGTCCCAACTAAAGATGAGAAAACAAAAACAAATAAACAAACAACAGAAAGAGGGAGTGATGAAGTCCACAGGCCAGGGGCACAGTCTCATCCAAAGTCTAAGACTAATCATGGAAATAGAATGCTTCTCCTCCCTCACACCTTGCTACTACATTGCTAAAGGCCTTAAATTTAACACACATTCTTTTACCCAGTACATCATATCTGCCTTTCAGTAAAAAATTACAAGGCAATTTAGTAGAAAAGGCAAAACACGCAGTTTGGGAATCAGAACTAAAATCAGATGTAGCAGTAATGTTAGAATTATCAGAATAAAGAACAAACAAATAACTATGATTAATATGCTAAATGGTTTAATGGAAAGTGTAGATAACATATAAGAACAGATGAATGTTAGCAGAGAGATGGAGATTCTAAGAAATAATAAAAACATGCAAGAGATTAAAACACTGTAATAGAAATAAAGAAGTCTTCAATTAGCCCACCAGTAGATTAGACATGGCTAATGAAAAAAATCTCTGAGCTTGAGGATATAACAATAGAAACTTCCAAAACTGAAAAGCAAAGAGAAAAAGAATGAAAAAAAAAAAAAAAAAAAAAGAACAGAGTATCAAAGAACTATGGGACAAATACAAAAGTGATAATAAACAGTTTGGGGGAATATAAGAAGAAGTAAGAGAGAAAGGAACAGAAGCAATATTTGAAACAATAACTGAAAATTTCCCTAAGTTAATGTCAATTCCAAAACACAGATCCAGCAAGCTTAGAGATTAGTAAACAGGATAAATGCCAAAAGCTACACCTAGGCATAACATTTTCAAACTACAAAAAAAAAAAAAAAAAAAATCAAAGATAAAGAAAAAATTCTAAAAGAAACCAGAGGCAAAACAAACAAAAAAACCTTATGTATAGAAGAGCAAAGATAAGATTGCATCCACCTTCTCTCAGAAACCATTCAAGCAAAAAGAAAGTGCAGTGTAATATTTTAAGTGTTGAGAGACACTTAAATGTTGAGAAAACAAGTATTGAAAGAAATATTCAAAAGAAAACACCAACCAAATTCTGTACTCTGTGAAATTAAACAGTGAAAGAGAAATACTTTCTCAAAGAAAAAAATGAGAAAATTTGTTGTTAATAGACCTGAAAATGTTAAAAGAAGTTATTCAGAGGAGAGGGAAGAAACTTGGATCTACATTTTAAAAAAAGGAAGACCATGACAAGGAATAAGTGAAGGTAAAATGAAAACTTCTACTTTTTAAATTTTAAATGATATAATCATTTTCTTGTTTAAAATAATAATACCAACAATATATTTGTGTGTGTGTGTATATATATATATATACATGCACACACACATTTATATATGCTTAAGTGAAATCACAGCAATGATACAAGGGGTGGGAGGGAAAACTGGGAATATTTTGTTATTATAAGGTACTTGCACTACCTGTAAATGCTATTATGTTATTTTAATGTGACCTAGATTAATTGTGAATATACATTGCAAACTCTAGGACTATCACTTTATCACTAAAAATGTTTTTTAAAAGTATAATTGATAGAAAGTGGAGAAAATGGAGTCAGATAAAATACATAATTAAAACCATAACAGACAAAAAAATGTGTGGAAGACAAAAACAGGAACAAAGAATAAATACAACAAATAGAAAATAGTAACAAATATGGTAGAAATTAATCTAATGATATCAGTAATCACCTTATACCTCAATCGTCTAAATACACTAATTAGAAGACAGATTGTCAGATGGATTGAAAAACAAGATCCAACTATCATCTACAAGAAACCCACTTGTAATATGAAGACACATTTAGATTAAAAGTAAAGAGGTAGAGAAAGATATACAACGCTAACACTAATTAAAAGAAAGCAAGAGTAACTATATTTTCTTTAGACAGTACAGACATGAGAGCAAGTAAAGTGATCAGGGATAAAGAAGATACTACATATTGATACAAAAGAGTCAATACTCCAATAAAACATAACAATCCTTATGTATCCAACAATAGAGCATCAAACTATATGTGAAAAGAACTGATAGAACTTCATGGAGAAATAGATGAATCCACTATTACAGTTGGAGAATAAACATCCCTCTATCAGAAATTGACAGATCCAACAGCCAAAAAAAATCAATGAGGATATAGCTGAAGTTACCAGTACTATCACTCAAGTGGATATAGTTGACATCTATACACTACTTCACCCAAGCACACCAGGTTACACATTTTTTTTTTTTTTTTGCACAGAGAACATTCACTAAAATGCATCACATTTCAGTACATAAAATACACTTAAGGTATTATGATCTATTTTTTAAATAAATAATTGTTTGCCATTTAAAATCTTTGAATTTTTTTTAGGACAAGCTGAAAATAATTAAAGAGTGAGAGAAAATAATGAATTTCTGAAATTCTTTCTACAGTCTCAAAACTATGTACTACAAAATTACAGACTAATAAGTAATATAGCTGGAAAAGATAAGAATACCAAATATGAAATAATGCTATGACATTACCTATTGTAAAATTAATAGTTCATCTGTAATCATTGATAAAGAAACTGGAGAGGCAAAAACTTTAGAAGTCAATACATAATATAACTTATAACAAAGCCTCCTAAATTATTTAAATAAACATACTTAGAACGACCAAACTATCATGAATTCAAAAAATACTACTCAGAACATTATAATGCCTTCTTCCTACTTCTATATACCTAAAATTGCTAAAGTATGGTGTTCAAGAGTTCGCAGGACACTTTGGGAGACCGAGGCAGGCTGATAATGAGGTCAAGAGATTGAGACCATCCTGGCCAACATGGTGAAACCCCATCTCTAATAAAAATACAAAAATTATGTGGGCATGGTGGCACGTGCCTGTAATCACAGATACTAGGGAGGCCGAGGTAGGAGAATCGCTTGAACCAGGGAGTTGGAGGTTGCAGTGAGCCAACATCGCACCACTGCACTCCAGCCTGGTGATGGAGCGAGACTCCATCTCAAAAAAAAAAAAAAAAAAAAAAAAAAAAGAGTTCACAGAAAAAGAGAGAAAACAAGTAGACCACTCAAAAGGTTCCCTAAAGGACATGGGACATGCACTGAATCTTCTTAAAATAAGTAGGGTTTGGATGTGTAGAATGAAAACAAAGAGAGAATATGAGCAATAACTGCACAGATGGTAAAGAACATGGCTAGGGTTGGAGGCACTCTGGAGTGGGTTTGGTAACCATCACGTTCATACTGAGCATTGGTCCCAAAACATTAAATAAAAAAGAATAGGTTTCAATGAATAATAAGTTTGTTTCATATGGGCACAACAGGAATAAAAAAATTCAACCTTGATATCCTATTTCAAATAATACCTTGAGAGAAAAGAAATTAAGAAACCGTGGGTTCATTTCCAGATTGAAGAAACAGTAGGCTGAGTATTCCACACTGTAAGTGAAATGAGGATCCAAATCAGGGCATACCTTGTCAAATGTTAGAATTCAAAAAGAAAACAGAAGACTGTAAGCATTTCCAGAGCTAAAACAGAAGGGAAAATACAATGGCATCAGGCATCTCAATATTATCATTTGTGATAGAAAAAATACCAGATCGATGTATTTGATAATATTATAAGGAAAAAAAATTTCATCCTAGAATTACATATTCAGCAAAACTCTCAAAGCAATTTTCAGATATACATAACCTCTCTTCATCCTCTCATCCTCTACCTCTTCCCTCTCCTTTTCCTCCCCCTCTCCTGCTTCTCTCTCCCTCTTCTACACTTTTTCTTAGGAAGCTACTGACTGTGAACTTATCTGACTCTGTGGATTAAGCAAAACAAACAAACAAACAAACAAGTAAACTAACAATAATCAAGAGACTAGAATTTAAGAAACAAAAGATACACTCAGCAGACACAGTGCATAAAGAATGCAACCTACTTTGTAGTAGGAGACTAGAATTCTACAAACTGGAGCTCTCCAGAAAAATAAAAACGCAATCAATAGATTCTGAGATACCGTTTAGAATTTGGAAAGAGAAATATTGATTGGCATATGAAAGGTCAGGTATAGCTCATAGAAAGCTCTGATTTGCACTGAGAAGTACCTGCAATATCATACCAAGGTAAACAGTGACTACTTATTTAATGAAGCATTCTTATATATGTGCTGGATGTTTCCAGGTCAATTTGGTTAGGTGGAAACTGAGCTAAAATGAAACTATGTATCCTAGAATCCCGAGTCTTGTATGGTCCCAGATTAGGATTAACAACAAGAGAAATTGGCATGAGATTTGGAAAACGAAAATGCAACAGCTGCATTAATATCAGAAGGTGGATGTGGGCAGATACATTCATGTATAGATACAAAACAGTTAAATACATCCAGTTTACCTTTATTGTACTCAGATTTGCATCTGGTTCATTTTCCACACTGCAGACTGAGCAGCCATAAGCCCTCAACCGGATGAAACCACAACTGTGGAACCATAGAAGTGGCCATCTCATAGCAGCACACTTTCGCGTCTATCTCTCCTTTAGCTTTCCCTTCACAGTTCAGTTTTGGTAGCTGGGGTTTGCTTAAATTTTCACATTTCACTAAAAGCTGACTTGCTCAACTATGCCAGTGCTTCACAAAAACTATTAGTGATCCTGTCTCAAATCCTTCAACTCATTTCCGACCTTTACCTCTCCAGCTCCAGCCACAGATCTGACATCTAAAATAAATCTCTTAATCCCATAATACTGTACTCTGCCTCCATGATTAAAGATTCAGAAGATTCAGATATTGGTATTAGAAGTGTTTCCATAGAAAGAGATGCTTAAGGGTAGAAATCTAGAATTGGTTTGTAGATCTAATGAGATTTGACAGGACTAATTACACTGCTGCAAGGCAAAAACAGAATGTTGGTATTCTCTGTTGGTTCATTGCAAAAATATGACTAAAATTAGAACTGTCATCACCTGGAGTGAAGTGCTTTCAGGCGGCAAGGCTTTGGGTGATCCAGTAGCAGTTGCCGTAGAGCCAAAGAGCAATTTAGTGGGAAAAAAAGAGCACAATGACTGGTTATTTTGGATTGCTTCTAACAGTGCTGGATACTTTGAAGGAAAAAAAAAAAAAAGATGAGCTCAGGAGTTCAAATTCCTAAACATTTGAGTAAGCAGCCAGAATACTTTTATTCTGCCCTAACAGTACTCTAGGAATGGTATTAAGATTTCTGAAAACCTAAACCCAAGACTAAACCTGGCAGATTCTCGGATTTTCATGTTAGGATATTGTTGGAAAGAAGAGGGACATTGAAAAGGGAAATGAAGATATACGGTAAAATTCTCACGAGATTGAAAATCTTGAACCTATAAATTCTTCACAGTGTCAATTTCCAGTAGAAGCAGCACATTCTTTCCTATCTGAATATATTATTATTTTTTTCTTTTCCTAAATAACTTGTAATGGGCTCCCCTGAGGTAGTTGCCTTCTGGGGAAATGCGGATTCTGCTCAGGACCTGTCATGCAACTTCTGTTTGCATCTAAATTTATAACAAGATTTAGTGACAGCAGCCCCCAGGAGACTGAATATGAAGTATGAGCCCTGAGGAGGGACATACACAACAATAAGATTGTACAACCTTAACAATTTACTTTATCCAATCTTGAATTATGTATGGGAATTCATTATGAGAAATTTGGTTCTGAGTGAATGAAATGCATTGTTGGGTTAAGCTAACTGCTTCAAAGGGGTGCACTGGCTGAAATCCCTGGATTCAGTAAAGGAAAGAGCAATGAGGAACAGGTCAAACCGTTTTCTTAGTCAGGTGTCTGAAAATTAATTTACAGGTGGTCTGCACTGAATTAAGTTAAGATGTCAGAATGTTATTGGTTGACTACAGATAATTTTTTAAAACTTTGAACACTCAACTTCATACATTATGAAAGATTTGTTCAACCCAGAAGGCGGTGAATTTTCTGTCAAAGAAAATAGGGCCAAAGGTATAGAATACTCTATTGCATGGATAGTAACTAGTGGTTTGTCTGGATGCTCAAACTGGAAAGAAAGAAGACAATGGAAATATTGGTGATCAAAGGGTCTAGAGAATAAGTATGCCCATGCTTACAGAAGAGTATTCTCGGCTTGGAGGAAATCTCAGAAATCAACTGGTTACGATGAACTACTCAATGAGCGCCATTTAGCCTCTCTTCCTAGGCCTCCTTTTCCCTGCCCAATGGGCTCATGAATAAATCAGCCACAGTGGTAGAACTATAGTTTATTCATGGTCTCAAGAGACTTGGACTTCACTTCATCAAGGTTAATCTTGTTACAGCTACCATTGACACTTCAGCCTGCCAACAGTACAGATTAACACTGAGCTCACAATTATCCAGGGTGACCATGGAGCCACTGAATGACTAGCTGATTACACTTGAGTATTTCCATATGAAAGGAACAGTGTATTGTTCTCAATGGAATAAGCATTTATTTTGGAAAACGGATGTGCGTTTCTGACTATAATGATTCTCTGAAAATAAAATTTTATAGGATGCCTTAATTACTGTCATGCATGCCACCTAGCATTGCTTCTTATCAGGGAACGCATTTTATAGAAAATGAGTGTAGTCGTGAATTAAAAATCGGAATTCATGGTCTTATCCCATTCTACATAATCATAAAGCAAACTGGTTTGACACAATAGAGGGGTGACCATTTAAAATGCATTGATGGCATCAGAGGGTGACAACACTTTGAGGCTCTAAGGTAGGTCTTCTAGGATTTGTTATGTTCTCCAAATCTGTGATCGATAAACAGTACTCTTTCTCCCATTTCCAGAGTTCCAGGATCCAAGGAGGAAGGGAGGCAGATAATGGGTATTACTCTATTGCTCCTGCCTGATCATCCACTAGAAAAAAATTTCCTGCCTACTACACAAATTTAGGTCCTGCTTGCTTAGAGGATTTTGGTACCAACGGACAGAAACTTCCAAAACAGTAAACAATAAAACGATTTTATTTAACTGGATGCAGATGCTGCCATTTAGCAACATTGGTCTTTTCATGCCAGTGAACCAGTAGGCAAAGAAGAGGGTTACTTTACTGTTTGGGGTAATTGATCCTGATTACCAAGGGAAAATTGGACTGTTTCTGAAAACATGGAGTTAGAAACTAATATGACTGGAATATGTAATGTCCTATGGCCTCCTACTTGATATTACTATTTTAAAATGTTAATAATAAACTTCAATAACGAAACATAGGCAAGACTTCTAATAGCACAGGTATTTCAGGAATAAAGGTTTGAGTCTTCTCATCGGATACGGAATTATGACAGTATATCTTAGTTTGTTTGTGTTATTAATGGAACATCTAAGGTATTAAAATGCCATTAACTAATAAAGCATACAAAGGACAGGGCTGCAACAGGCAAGCCCTAGGCTAAGTTTTGTTCATGGTTTGTTGAGTTTTATGCTGAATAATATTAATGACTTGATATGATATCAATTAATGTCTTAACATGACAATTATAAAGTGATTATAATTAAATTCCCAAAATAAACTATATAAGCAAATAGAATATTAAACAACTAAGTTGCATAATATATCAATAGAAACCTTGCATAAGGAATAATTAATCAAATTACACACCAAAAAATGTTAGACTTGTTAGAAAACCTTCACATTGTCCCTTTTCACAGTAAGAAGGATGAGACCTCAGCCACTAAGCAGTGACTCTGTCCTACTTCCTTACCCAGTGCAAGCGTGCCTTAAGGTTTTGGTAGTTGTATGATACTACTGAATTCTGAGCCTCTTATGAATGTAGATTTTTTTCTTAGTTATACCACTTATTAAGCAAGTACTATACTAAACACTTCAGATGCCTCGTGTCACTTAATACTCTTAAGAACTCACTAAGAGGTATTATGTTCCCATTTTAGAGATGGAAAATTGAGTTTCACCGAGGTAAGGTAATTTGTCTGTATTCTAACAGCAGAAGTGGTGGAGCCAGGATCTAAAACTCGGTCTCACTGATTTCAAAGCCTTCCTTTTTTTCCTACCACCTTCTATTTGCTTGATAGTCACCTTCTTCCCTTATTTATTAGAGCTTCTCTTACTAAGCTTCTAGATTCTATGAGACAGACATAGTAGACTATCTAGGGCTTTCAATTGAATGGTTGACTCTAGACAAGCATTGTTCAACAGATATATAATGAGAGATTCATATATAATTTAAAATTTTCTAGTGGCCACACTGAAAAAAGTAAAAAATAAGAGTTAATATGAATTTCCATATATTTTATTTAACTCAACAATCCAAACGTTATCATTTCAACATGTAATCAGTATAAACCTATTAATATAAGGCATATTACACTTACAGCATCCACAGAACTAGCTCCATTTCAAATGCTCTATAGCCACTTGTGGATATTATATTGGTTAGTGTAGCTCTAGACTAAACATTAAACAGGAAGTCTGATTATATTGCCCCTTATAAGTGAAGTCTTGGAGAAGGAGAGGGTAGGTGTGCGATGGAATAGGTTGTTCAAAAAGTCCGCCACTAAACATAAAAAATTAGCTGATTTTGCCTTTATCTTAATTGACTGATTTGTCATTTATGCCATTCACAGGCATAAACTGCACAAAGCTCTGAGAATAGATAGTGTTAAAGTGAAAATGCACTTGACAAAGTTAAATAGGCAAGAAAAACTATCTAAGACTATTGCAATAGGGAAAGAGATTGATTTCTGCTCTGCTGAAACAAAGGTTGGAGTTTTTAAGAGCTGCAGTTGGAGGATCATAGGCTATCAGGGTTTGCTAATTAGCCTTACCCTAAAGAAAAGTTAATTACTCTTATCTTTATAGCAAGAGGTAGTTATTCAACTTTGAGCAAGACACCTAAGAAAGTGAGACTCCTTCCTCCCATAGAGACTGGAAGGTGTACCATCATCTTTAGGGATCACATTGCAAACGCATAACTCCTAGGTCTTTAATAAAGATTTCCCCTGGGTCCTGTAACTGGCAAGAGTCTTTTAAGGCAATTCATATACAATTCAAAGGAGGTAGAGAAAGAATTTACAATGACAACTTTTCTAAATAAATACTCTAAGACAAGGGAAACAAAGGGGCTACAGTCAGGAGGATACCTGTTTAAAGTTTTGTTAAACCAGTGTGTCTTTTAAGGCTGTTTTGGTCAATAACTTTTCACACCCCCCTTTTACCCTCAATCCTGATGAACAAAAAACTTTCCTTCATCAAAGTCACATTTGCCAAAACTTCATAACTGTTTAAGTGCCCAAAAGGTATTCCTGAGGGCTTCATAGATTTAAGGTTTTTAAGTTTGTTTGTTTGTTTTAACAAGAAAATTTCTTTATCTTTCCATGTTGGTCATAAGGGAAGTCTGAAACAACAAAGAGCTTAGACAGTAAAAGAAACCCTGCAGTTTCTCTTTTCTCTCTCTGCCCTCAGATATCTATCAATAATCAAATTTGAGAGAAGAGAGATTGTGGGAGGTCCAGCCTAAATCAAAACCCACAAAAGCAATCAGAGAACACAGTAAGAAAAGCAAGAAGAGGAACGAGGCACTGAGGGGAGTGAGGAAAAGGAAAGATAATGAAGTGTAGTTTCCTTGTACCAAGGAGAACAGAAGAAAACTCCAGTAAACTTAAGTGCAGCATATCTGATAGCGTGCCCGGTGAAGGGTATGACTGTTGATCACTAATACACTGTATCATTGATGTTGAGGTGGAGTGCTATCAGGAAGAGAATTCAACTATCAAGAGAAAATTCCCTTCTTTATTGTTCCAGACGTTTGAGTCAACTGACATCAAAATATTCTTTTTCTATAACTTATGGGAATATATACTGTTCTGGGCAATTGAGAATACCCAATTGAAAATTGGAGAGAAAAGATGAACAGCAAGACGATTGTTGATCATGGTAATAGGCAGAAAATATGAAGCTGCAAAGGATTAGTTGGAAGTATTTTCATCAAATTGAAATATCCTCTGGATCTATATCCATAAAGACTACTATAGTGAGAGAGAAAGAGACAGTAACATGACTAAGTTCTTTTGAATTTCTTTATGTAAGAGATGTCATGAGAAGGTAACTGCATGGGGTTTAGAAATTAGATGTCATTTCAAGCGGTTTTCATTCTTCAATAACAAGGTTTTTTTTTGTTTTGTTTTGTTGTTGTTGTTGTTGTTTTTTGAGACGGAGTCTCGCTCTGTCGCCCATGCTGGAGTGCAGTGGCGGGATCTCAGCTCACTGCAAGCTCCGCCTCCCGGGTTCACGCCATTCTCCTGCCTCAGCCTGCCTCCTGAGCAGCCGGGACCACAGGCGCCCGCCACCATGCCCTGCCCGGCCAACTTTTTGTATTTTTTAGTAGAGACGGGGTTTCACTGTGTTAGCCAGGATGGTCTCGATCTCCTGACCTCGTTATCTGCCCGCTTCAGCCTCCCAGAGGGCTAGGATTACAGGAGTGAGCCACCGCGCCCGGCCAAGATTTTTTACTTGTATGAAAGGAAACACATTAGTTATTGCAGGGGACAGACACTGACCCTGCAGGTTGGCTAACTACTCCGATTTCCTACATGTGATAAAATCACTCAGCAGTTACACCAACCTTGGATAGCTGATATTTGGATTTCATTTGATGTGGAAAACAATCTCCTGAAGGTTTAAGTCTGTACAGTCAGAAATTTTGTTACTTGCAGCTAGAGACATTCCGCATTAATATAACTTCTAAGCCTACCGTACTTACAACTAAATGTCGGAGGCCATGGTGAATTTCCTTTGCTTAAATTTAAAATAAAAATTAAGAGAGTTACTGATCAATTAATGAGTTTTCCATGTGCTTCAGGTAAAAATGAGGGAAGTATTCTACCTTCCTGTTCTCTTAGTTTTCCTGATGATTAGCCTGTCCACTCTCTATCATTCACCCACTCTTGAGGAAATAGAAATCATATAATTCCATTGATGCAGGACAGACGAACCCCAAAATTGGTGCTTAGACCAGAAGGGTTCTTGGCTTTGCCCAGGACAGAATTCAAGGGTAAGCCGGCAGTGTTAGACAGCAACTTTTATTGAAGTGGCAGTGTACAATAGCAGCAGAGGCTACCCCATAGGCAATGTGCCCAGAGTAGCAACTCAGAGGCAGTTCTGCAGTCATATTTATACTCACTTTTAATTACATGCAAATTAAAAAGCAGATTATGCTGACATTTTTAGCAAAAGGCTAGTAATTTCTGGGTCAGTGGGTCATTGCCATAGAAAGGGGGATTAACTTGTAGGTTTTGCCATGGCCATGGTAAACCGACATGGCACACTGGTGGTGTGTCTTAATGCCAAGGTGCTCTCTCCTCTTCCTTATTTAAGCTAGTCCTAAATTTGGTCTAGTGTTCAAGCTCCATCTCCAGAATTCAGTCCTGCCTCCTACTTCATTCCCCTCTCAGAGATTAGAAGCTCCTTAATATAAAGGGGCTGTAGAAGGGTAGAGGTCCAACTTCTGTAACTCTTCCTGCTAATTTTATGGGCATAGACCATGCCTACCACTGAAGAGTAAATATTTCCGCCTACCTGATCTTAGGATCCCAGAGACAGAATGCTTTCATTCTTCAGGTCAGAAAGTTGGAGGGGTTGGAAGCCTTTTGCCAACATTGTCTTCACCTGGAACTGTTGTAATCTAGAAGACACAAACTTTATTAAGAGGTTAAACAAACAAGGGCCAAAGATAAGTAATAACGAGATAGTTATTAAAAGCCCTAGGAGAGGTAAAAACCACATGAGACTTGCGAAGGCACTTTTGATAGTCAACCAGATATAGTTGAGGTCAATGCCCTGGTTATATCTATGTAACAAGGTAGCTTGTGCACAGATATTTGAATGTTAACCTCAATCTGTCAGAGTTGTTAATATATGTGCATCAATTTTATTAATAACTCACAGACTCTACCTCGTGTGGCTAGTAAATAATACAATGACAGTCTGTTATCGAGATCTACATTTGCCAAAGAGTCTAGGGACTCTCGAATTCTCTTTACTGCCTGACCTGTGTTGATGGCTAAGGATTCTTGGGGTTAAATCAAATTTTCAGGATTGATTCATGGTAAACAAAGCTGCCCAATGGTGCTGCTAGTTCTAGTGCCACCTCAATTCCTGTCAGAATTATTCCTAGGGTTCATTTACTTCTGGTATTTTGGGGTCTTATGAGGTTATACACTGTGACCCTTGGAGGGGTAAGGGTGGCTAATGTATATTCACCTGTGTTCCAAGGTTTTGATATACAAGAGAAAGGTACTATAAAAGAACAAGTGGCTCCCTGGGAATTCGGGCAGGTATGGAGTGTGAATTTTTCCCACTGATGGCCACAAATGAAAGCAAGGCTAGTTGGGGCACAAATAGAAGCCCTAAGGGGTGTGATATCTATCCTTTGATGCTAAGCTGGGTCTTTGGAGATATTCTTTCCTGTTCCAACGGGGATGGCTGAATAACCTTTGTTTTCCAGAAGAGGGCAGTACTCCCACCTTCCCAGATTAGTCAGCTGTTTTTGTTTGTTTCTCTGTTTTTTTTCCTGTATGTTCTGATCTGGGTGAAGACACCATATATGGTTTCCTCACCCATAAAGGGGTCCTATTTATCTTGCTATGGTATTGGGAACTAGAGTTGGATCAAAGTATTGCAAGAAAACCTCCACTTTTGTGTCATTAACACAGCAGTGAGTTCAAAAGATAGAATGATTAGTGCACTGGAAATATAGATACCCAACTTTCCAGGTCCAGATAATAGTGGTGGTGGGGTTCTGACGGAATCCATTAAGTGGGGAAGAGTTTCATCTAGCAAGTAGGGGCCTGGGGAGATGTCCATGAGATTTTATGGATAAGCCAGAAGATGGAACTATCTATCCTGGGGATGTTGATAAACCTATCAACCATGAAGATGATTCCCTGATGCTATATTTTTTGAAACACTTAAAATAGAGTTTTGTTTTCATACATACTGGATCAGGATAATTGGGAAAGCAAACAGGATTAATAGTGATAGCATGGTGTCCAGATGGGCCGTAGAGTGACCTCTATACCCACGGACAAGAAAGATGTTTCCCAGGAGAAGGCAGATGCCGAAAGCAATAGAAAAGAAGTATTATAGCCAGGAAGGAAATAAAAATTAATGCTCCTGTTTCCATCCACAGCATCACACTATCACTTCTGACTGAGTGTTGATTCTTTTAAATATAAATCTTTCAAAGGTTCACAGTTGTAGATCATGGTATCCTCTCTTTGTACCTGTGACTCTTGAGACACAGATTTAATATTTGATAGGCGTACATAAGTAATTATTTCCTGACATTGTACAGTGGTGGGGGAATTTAACAATGCCTGATAGGGGTATTTCCATTTTGGTTATAATTGATCCTCAGCAGATTCTTCTTGTTAGTAAGACTAAGTCTCCTGGTTGAACATGGGAGCTGTTCTTTTCCTTTGTGGGGAAGGGCAATATTTTATTTTCATCTTGAAGGACCTTTTGAAGCTGGCCTAATTGACAAAGAAAAAGGGGAAGGTATAGTGAGGTACGTCTAACCCCTCTGTTTCTCACTGTGGCCTGAATTAGGTTTTTGGGTTTCTTTGGGATTCTCTTTGGCCAAGAGGGAGGTGTCCATTAAGTCTGTTGGGGAGCTATAGATTTTAATTTTTTTGTTCAGATTCTCCCTTTTTTTTTTCAAGGTGTGCCAGAGCGAGTATTGATGGTCAAGGTTTTATTTTCTCTCATACTGATGCTGGGGTGGTGTGCTACCTGCTCTAAATCCGTCATGTTCCTCAGAGGGACCCCCATGGCCAAGAGACTTGGAGCCAAAAGACTGACTTTATAGCCAATTAAACAGTCTAGAGCAGGTGGGAATGGAGGTGGGCAGGCACTTATTAGCCCTTAAAACCATTTTAAGCAATGAAAGAGTCCAAAATTAAAGCCAATATTAAAGTTACACCTGAAGAAAAACCAAGAGCATAGAATTAAGCTATATTGAACTAGGGAGGAGCCAAGACGGCCGAATAGGAACAGCTCCGGTCTACAGCTCCCAGCGTGAGCAACGCAGAAGACGGGTGATTTCTGCATTTCCATCTGAGGTACCCGGTTCATCTCACTAGGGAGTGCCAGACAGTGGGCGCAGGCCAGTGGGTGCGCGCACCGTGCGCGAGCTGAAGCAGGGCGAGGCATTGCCTCACCTGGGAAGTGCAAGGGGTCAGGGAGTTCCCTTTCCGAGTCAAAGAAAGGGGTGACGGACGCACCTGGAAAATCGGGTCACTCCCACCCAAATATTGCGCTTTTCAGACCGGCTTAAAAAACGGCGCACCACGAGACTATATCCCACACCTGGCTTGGAGGGTCCTACGCCCACGGAATCTTGCTGATTGCTAGCGCAGCAGTCTGAGATCAAACTGCAAGGTGGCAGCGAGGCTGGGGGAGGGGTGCCCGCCATTGCCCAGGCTTGCTTAGGTAAACAAAGCAGCCGGAAAGCTCGAACTGGGTGGAGCCCACCACAGCTCAAGGAGGCCTGCCTGCCTCTGTAGGCTCCACCTCTGGGGGCAGGGCACAGACAAACAAAAAGACAGCAGTAACCTCTGCAGACTTAAATGTCCCTGTCTGACAGCTTTGAAGAGAGCAGTGGTTCTCCCAGCACGCAGCTGGAGATCTGAGAACAGGCAGACTGCCTCCTCAAGTGGGTCCCTGACCCCTGACCCCCGAGCAGCCTAACTGGGAGGCACCCCCCAGCAGGGGCACACTGACACCTCACACGACAGGGTATTCCAACAGACCTGCAGCTGAGGGTCCTGTCTGTTAGAAGGAAAACTAACAAACAGAAAGGACATCCACACCGAAAACCCATCTGTACATCACCATCATCAAAGACCAAAAGTAGATAAAACCACAAAGATGGGGAAAAAACAGAACAGAAAAACTGGAAACTCTAAAACGCAGAGCGCCTCTCCTCCTCCAAAGGAACGCAGTTCCTCACCAGCAATGGAACAAAGCTGGATGGAGAATGATTTTGACGAGCTGAGAGAAGAAGGCTTCAGACGATCAAATTACTCTGAGCTACGGGAGGACATTCAAACCAAAGGCAAAGAAGTTGAAAACTTTGAAAAAAATTTAGAAGAATGTATAACTAGAATAACCAATACAGAGAAGTGCTTAAAGGAGCTGATGGAGCTGAAAACCAAGGCTCGAGAACTACGTGAAGAATGCAGAAGCCTCAGGAGCCGATGCGATCAACTGGAAGAAAGGGTATCAGCAATGGAAGATGAAATGAATGAAATGAAGTGAGAAGGGAAGTTTAGAGAAAAAAGAATAAAAAGAAATGAGCAAAGCCTCCAAGAAATATGGGACTATGTGAAAAGACCAAATCTACATCTGATTGGTGTACCTGAAAGTGATGCGGAGAATGGAACCAAGTTGGAAAACACTCTGCAGGATATTATCCATGAGAACTTCCCCAATCTGACAAGGCAGGCCAACGTTCAGATTCAGGAAATACAGAGAACGCCACAAAGATACTCCTCGAGAAGAGCAACTCAAAGACACATAATTGTCAGATTCACCAAAGTTGAAATGAAGGAAAAAATGTTAAGGGCAGCCAGAGAGAAAGGTTGGGTTACCCTCAAAGGGAAGCCCATCAGACTAACAGCGGATCTCTCGGCAGAAACCCTACAAGCCAGAAGAGAGTGGGGGCCAATATTCAACATTCTTAAAGAAAAGAATTTTCAACCCAGAATTTCATATCCAGCCAAACTAAGCTTCATAAGTGAAGGAGAAATAAAATACTTTACAGACAAGCAAATGCTGAGAGATTTTGTCACCACCAGGCCTGCCCTAAAAGAGCTCCTGAAGGAAGCGCTAAACATGGAAAGGAACAACTGGTACCAGCCACTGCAAAATCATGCCAAAATGTAAAGACCATCGAGACTAGGAAGAAACTGCATCAACTAACGAGCAAAATCACCAGCTAACATCATAATGACAGGATCAAATTCACACATAACAATATTAACTTTAAATGTAAATGGACTAAATTCTCCAATTAAAAGACACAGACTGGCAAGTTGGATAAAGAGTCAAGACCCATCAGTGTGCTGTATTCAGGAAACCCATCTCACGTGCAGAGACACACATAGTCCCAAAATAAAAGGATGGAGGAAGATCTACCAAGCAACTGGAAAACAAAAAAAGGCAGGGGTTGCAATCCTAGTCTCTGATAAAACAGACTTTAAACCAACAAAGATCAAAAGAGACAAAGAAGGCCATTACATAATGGTAAAGGGATCAATTCAACAAGAAGAGCTAACTATCCTAAATATATATGCACCCAATACAGGAGCACCCAGATTCATAAAGCAAGTCCTGAGTGACCTACAAAGAGACTTAGACTCCCACACATTAATAATGGGAGACTTATAATAACATATAACTTATAATACATAATAATAATAACACCCCACTGTCAACATTAGACAGATCAACGAGACAGAAAGTCAACAAGGATACCCAGGAATTGAACTCAGCTCTGCACCAAGCAGACCTAATAGACATCTACAGAACTCTCCACCCCAAATCAACAGAATATACATTTTTTCCAGCACCACACCACACCTATTCCAAAATTGACCACATAGTTGGAAGTAAAGCACTCCTCAGCAAATGTAAAAGAACAGAAATTATAACGTACTATCTCTCAGACCACAGTGCAATCAAACTAGAACTCAGGATTAAGAATCTCACTCAAAGCCGCTCAACTACATGGAAACTGAACAACCTGCTCCTGAATGACTACTGGGTACATAACGAAATGAAGGCAGAAATAAAGATGTTCTTTGAAACCAACGAGAACAAAGACACAACATACCAGAATCTCTGGGACGCATTCAAAGCAGTGTGTAGAGGGAAATTTATAGCACTAAATGCCCACAAGAGAAAGCAGGACAGATCCAAAATTGACACCCTAACATCACAATTAAAAGAACTAGAAAAGCAAGAGCAAACACATTCAAAAGCTAGCAGAAGGCAAGAAATAACTAAAATCAGAGCAGAACTGAAGGAAATAGAGACACAAAAAACCCTTCAAAAAATCAATGAATCCAGGAGTTGGTTTTTTGAAAGGATCAACAAAATTGATAGACTGCTAGCAAGACTAATAAAGAAAAAAAGAGAGAAGAATCAAATAGACACAATAAAAAATGATAAAGGGGATATCACCACTGATCCCACAGAAATACAAACTACCATCAGAGAATACTACAAACACCTCTACACAAATAAACTAGAAAATCTAGAAGAAATGGATACATTCCTCGACACATACACTCTCCCAAGACTAAACCAGGAAGAAGTTGAATCTCTGAATAGACCAATAACAGGAGCTGAAATTGTGGCAATAATCAATAGTTTACCAACCAAAAAGAGTCCAGGACCAGATGGATTCACAGCCGAATTCTACCAGAGGTACAAGGAGGAACTGGTACCATTCCTTCTGAAACTATTCCAATCAACAGAAAAAGAGGGAATCCTCCCTAACTCATTTTATGAGGCCAGCATCATTCTGATACCAAAGCCGGGCAGAGACACAACCAAAAAAGAGAATTTTAGACCAATATCCTTGATGAACATTGATGCAAAAATCCTCAATAAAATACTGGCAAACTGAATCCAGCAGCACATCAAAAAGCTTATCCACCATGATCAAGTGGGCTTCATCCCTGGGATGCAAGGCTGGTTCAATATACGCAAATCAATAAATGTAATCCAGCATATAAACAGAGCCAAAGACAAAAACCACATGATTATCTCAATAAATGCAGAAAAAGCCTTTGACAAAATTCAACAACGCTTCATGCTAAAAACTCTCAATAAATTAGGTATTGATGGGACGTATTTCAAAATAATAAGAGCTATCTATGACAAACCCACAGCCAATATCATACTGAATGAGCAAAAACTGGAAGCATTCCCTTTGAAAACTGCACAAGACAGGGATGCCCTCTCTCACCACTCCTATTCAACATAGTGTTGGAAGTTCTGGCCGGGGCAATCAGGCAGGAGAAGGAAATAAAGGGTATTCAATTAGGAAAAGAGGAAGTCAAATTGTCCCTGTTTGCAGACGACATGATTGTTTATCTAGAAAACCCCATCGTCTCAGCCCAAAATCTCCTTAAGCTGATAAGCAACTTCAGCAAAGTCTCAGGATACAAAATCAATGTACAAAAATCACAAGCATTCTTATACACTAACAACAGACAAACAGAGAGCCAAATCATGAGTGAACTCCCATTCACAATTGCTTCAAAGAGAATAAAATACCTAGGAATCCAACTTACAAGGGTTGTGAAGGACCTCTTCAAGGAGAACTACAAACCACTGCTCAAGGAAATAAAAGAGGATACAAACAAATGGAAGAACATTCCATGCTCATGGGTAGGAAGAATCAATATCGTGAAAATGGCCATACTGCCCAAGGTAATTTACAGATTCAATGCCATCCCCATCAAGCTACCAATGACTTTCTTCACAGAATTGGAAAAAACTACTTTAAAGTTCATATGGAACCAAAAAAGAGCCCGCATCACCAAGTCAATCCTAAGCCAAAAGAACAAAGCTGGAGGCATCACACTACCTGACTTCAAACTATACTACAAGGCTACAGTAACCAAAACAGCATGGTATTGGTACCAAAACAGAGATATAGATCAATGGAACAGAACAGAGCCCTCAGAAATAACGCCACATACCTACAACTATCTGATCTTTGACAAACCTGAGAAAAACCAGCAATGGGGAAAGGATTCCCTATTTAATAAATGGTGCTGGGAAAACTGGCTAGCCATATGTAGAAAGCTGAAACTGGATCCCTTCCTTACACCTTATACAAAAATCAATTCAAGATGGATTAAAGATTTAAACGTTAGACCTAAAACCATAAAAACCCTAGAAGAAAACCTAGGCATTATCATTCAGGACATAGGCGTGGGCAAGGACTTCATGTCTAAAACACCAAAAGCAATGGCAACAAAAGCCAAAATTGACAAATGGGATCTAATTAAACTAAAGAGCTTCTGCAGAGCAAAAGAAACTACCATCAGAGTGAACAGGCAACCTACAAAATGGGAGAAAATTTTCACAACCTACTCATCTGACAAAGGGCTAATATCCAGAATCTACAATGAACTCAAACAAATTTACAAGAAAAAAACAAACAACCCCATCAAAAAGTGGGCGAAGGACATGAACAGACACTTCTCAAAAGAAGACATTTATGCAGCCAAAAAATACATGAAAAAATGCTCATCATCACTGGCCATCAGAGAAATGCAAATCAAAACCACTATGAGATATCATCTCACACCAGTTAGAATGGCAATCATTAAAAAGTCAGGAAACAACAGGTGCTGGAGAGGATGTGGAGAAATAGGAACACTCTTACACTGTTGGTGGGACTGTAAACTAGTTCAACCATTGTGGAAGTCAGTGTGGCGATTCCTCAGGGATCTAGAACTAGAAATACCATTTGACCCAGCCATCCCATTACTGGGTATATACCCAAATGACTATAAATCATGCTGCTATAAAGACACATGCACACGTATGTTTATTGCGGCATTATTCACAATAGCAAAGACTTGGAACCAACCCAAATGTCCAACAATGATAGACTGGATTAAGAAAATGTGGCACATATACACCATGGAATACTATGCAGCCATAAAAAATGATGAGTTCATGTCCTTTGTAGGGACATGGATGAAATTGGAAACCATCATTCTCAGTAAACTATCGCAAGAACAAAAAACCAAACACGGCATATTCTCACTCATAGGTGGGAATTGAACAATGAGATCACATGGACACAGGAAGGGGAATATCACACTCTGGGGACTGTGGTTGGGTGGGGGGAGGGGGGAGGGATAGCATTGGGAGATACACCTAATGCTAGATGATGAGTTAGTGGGTGCAGCGCACCAGCATGGCACATGTATACATATGTAACTAACCTGCACAATGTGTACATGTACCCTAAAACTTAAAGTATAATAAAAAAAAAAAAAAGAATTAAGCTATATTGGTGAAAAACACTGGTTCCACAGACCTCTAAGACACAATGTTTTAGCATCAGGCCATAACAGAATTGGGGAGAAAAACTCACAGGAGCTGATGAAAAACCTAAAGAAGAGAGACACGTGAATCTATGAAGCTTTTAAAAGAAATAGATTACAGAACTGAAAAGTAAAATTTCTGAGAAATTGGCAAATTCATATCTTAAGAAAATTAGTTTTAACATGTAGAAAGTCTATTATAATCATTTTCTTTTTAATTTTTTCAAATGGAGTCTCACTTTGTCACCCAGGCTGCAGTACAGTGGCATGATCTCGGCTCACTGCAACCTCTGCCTCCAAGGCTCCAGTGATTCTCCTGCCTCAGCCTCCTGAGTAGCTGGGATTACTGGCACCTGCCACCAAACCAGATTAAGTTTTGTATTTTTAGTAGAGACATGGATTCACCATGATGTTGGCCAGGCTGGTCTTGAACTCCTGACCTCAAGTGATCAGCCCACCACAGCCTCCCAAAGTGTTGAGATTACAGGCTTGAGCCACTGCACTTGGCCACAATTTCCTTTTAATTACAGCTAACAATCACACACAAAATTGCTTTCATAAATTCCCCTTTAGGAACCTTATCACAATTTAAACAGAGCATCTACAAGATACTTGGACTTTCTGGCTCTTCCTATACTACCCTTTTCTTAAATAACCGGTCATTTTACTCTAGCACAAGAATTTACTATACAATATCCCTCTTCATACAAAATTACTCTTTCTTTATATCTTTCCTTGCCAAAAAATACATTTTCAATCTAAAACGTTTTTTATACCTTTTTCTCTACTCCTTGATTCTCTCATATTTTGAACCTCTCTCTCTCTCTTTTTTTTTTTTAAGATGGAGTTTCACTCTTGTTCCTCAGGCTGGAGTGCAGTGGTGAGATCTTGGCTCACTGCAACCTCTGCCTCCCGGGTTCAAGCGATTCTCCTGCCTCAGATTCCTGAGTAGCTGGGATTACAGGCATGTGCTACTATGCCTGGCTAATTTTGTATTTTTAGTAGAGACGGGGTTTCTCCATGTTGGTCAGGGTGGTCTCGAACTCCTGACCTCAGGTGATACACCTGAATCAACAAGTCCTGGACTGCCTACCAGACACTGGCATTCTATAGATGAGAATCATTTCATAATTTTAAGGTTTTTAACTATACGAAAAGCTCACTATTTAAGCATTTATTCCTTTCAAATATATTTAATTTTTTAACTTTTAGTGGTTTTATCTAAACCACCTACAAGAAATAAAATACTATGCAAAGCTAGTCACCATTAAGTCATTTTAACCATTTTAAAGCCTGTGAACATTAGTGATTTACTTAAGTAAAAACCTTAAAGTTAAATTTTAGAAGACACAACATTCTCTTCAAACTAATAAGCTTAGACTAGTCTTGTTTAATTTTTGAATGCTCTCTTATTTATAAGCCAACCTGATAACATGCTGAACAACATACATCACAATACCTGTGTATACACCTAAACAAACTCATCAAATAAAATAACCTATACAAGACAATTGGATTCAAGCTATTTACAAAGTTGGGACTCATCTACTAGGCCAAACTATGTTTGCCCTAGTAGGTATAGAAGACACGAAAAGGCAAGGAAGGGGATACCCTGGCATTAAACAAGGTAGAGAGAGGGAAAACCGTGTTGCTCAAAGGGAGACCTAGGAATCCCTGATATGGTCTGGCTGTGTCCCCCTGCAAATCTCATCTTGAATTTTGGCTCCCATAATGCCTATGTGTTGTGGGAGGAACCCAATGGGAGATAAATGAATAATGAGGAGTGGTTTCCCCCATACTGTTCTCATGGTAGTGAATAAGTCTCATGAGATCTGATGGTTTTACAAAGGGTTTCCCCTTTCACTTGGCTCTCGTTCTCTCTTCTCTGCTGCCTTATAAGAAATGCCTTTTGCCTTCCACCATGATTGTGAGGCCTCCCCACCCACGTGGAACTGTGAGTCCATTAAACCTCTTTGTCTTTATAAATTACCCAGTCTCGAGTATGTCTTTATCGGCAGCATGAAAACAGACTAATACAGTCCCCAAGCTGCTGGGAGCTCACCCAGCAGCCAAGACACTAAAGAAAAATGTTGATCCAGCTTCTTGTCTGCCACTGCAAGAAACTATCCATCAGGTAAAGGGTCCAAGACCCCCAGTAAACTTACTTAAGCAAGGCAGCTCTTTGGGGCTCGTGGAAGAAAATTGATGAGAAGCATCTTTTCTCTCTCACCAGAAACAGTTAGGACATTCTCATTGTCAATGATCCTTTTGCTCATAGTAGGAGCAATAATTCTGGCCCAGGGGCCGGTGAGTTGGGGGCTCCTGTCTGGACATCCCAGATGCTGATCTCACAACAGTTTCTCAGGATGGATAATTCTGAGGTGGCAGGGGGCTTACAGCAACTATGAACAATTGCACTTTTTGGCTATTTCCTTTGGTGTTTTTCACCTCTTTTTTTCCTGTCCCTGTTATTGTAAACTTTAAAGGCCATGTTTAAGAGTTTGCTTTTAAGAGTTTGAGGTCCCACTGGTGCTTTTTGTAGCTTCCTCCTAATGTCAGGGGCAGATTGAGTAATTAAATGTGCATCCAGAAGGGCTTGCCGTTCTGGGCAGTCTGGGTCTAAAGTGGTATCTTTCCTGAGTGCCTCAACTAAACAACCATGAAACAGAGAAAGGTTTTCATCTTTTCCCAGAGTTATTTCTCTAATCTTGTCATAATTGTCTTGTTTAGCCACACTATTTTTCCTTTGCATTTTTTCTATGGCACAGCCAGTTGCATAAGAAAATGATCAACTTAACAAGCTCTATAAACTTTTTAAGCCAAATTTTTCCTTGTATAAAGCCAAATTGGACAAAGTAAATGGCTCATGTACCCTAAGTATTCCATCATTTTCGTTAGCTGCCTTTCGCAATGAACCCAAGTTTGATTTTATGGGCAAATATGGGGCCCCACTCCTGGTGGTACTGTTTGGGCTTACTTTCTTGGCCAGTGAGGGGTATAAGCTGGTTCTAGATGGATACTGGACAGGGGTGTCTCATGACCTGGGGGTAGAGTACTTCATTAGAGAACTGGTGGGAACACCCTCAGAACTGGGGGAACAGAGACTTTGGGGAGGGTGTAGGCATTCCAGGGGGCCTAGCTAGGAGGAGACCCCTTAGTCATGGCTTTCTGGTGCCTGGAAGTAATGTGAACCAGTTAAGGGCCATAAAAATCTGTACATAAGGGACCGCTCCTCATTTTTCTCCTTTTTCACAGAATAAGTCCAATTGCAAAATATAATTATAATGTATAGAATGGTGTTTAGGCCAAATATGTTGGTTTTCTAATTTTTATTGAACCCAAATAGTATTGCAATAGAAAATGAGGGTTTTTTTCTTTTTCTTTAAGCCAAATTTGAATTTGTTCCAGTAGCCTAAAAGACATCCTAGTGGTGAGTCCCCTGGGATCTCATCATTGTCCCCGTGACTAACCAGGATTTTTACTGAACATAGAAATTTTTCTAAGTCTAGTGAGAGGGAAAGAAACTGAGCCCTTGTTATTTTCCCTTTTAGATTTCCACTTCCTTCAGAGAGAGTGTAAGTACAAGGAGCAAGGCATTACAAAAGGAATTAGGAGCTACACATGGGCAGTAAAATGTTGAGCCTAAATTTCATGGAGAGCAAGAGTTGGGCAGAGATGGGGCTACACAAATGGTGGCTGTGGAAGGAAGGAAAGGAAGGAGGTAGACAGCATTACCCAAGAGGATACCTCAGAGGCCCTGACCTGCCAGAAAACCTTCCCAGCAGCAGAGACACCAAAAAAATGTTTGGGTAGCCACTTGTCTACTGCTGTAGGTGGTCGTCCATCCGGTCAGGGGCCTAGGAATTCCCAGTTTCTTCAACCAAGAGGGGCTTGAACAAGGCAGTTATAAATCAGCACACAGGATGGGGCCTGAAACTAGCTACTGGGGAAATAATAAATTCTAACTTCAGGGCAGAAAAAGCGAGGCCATTATTTCTCTAGGTGGAAAGGCTATAACCCACAATCCTAGAGGGAATGTAAATACCAAAAACCCCAGCGCATCTCGGGGCAACCAATGACACCAATGCTGAAAACCGAGAGTGCCCAAGTAACCCTGGGGCACATCAGGGGTGGTCAACAGTGAACCCAAGACCAAGTTGGGGGTCATAGAGGAAGGTCACTGCAGCATCCTAGAGTCAACACAATGGGAGACCTCTCACAGCCAAGTGTCCTGCCTTAAACAATTGCCCAAATACAATTAATGAAAAGTAAATGCAAACATAACACTGAAAATGAAATATACATTTTTAGGACTAAAAATAATTTGTGGAGCAATTAAATGGAGTCAGAGGGGAAAGGACTGGGGGTAGAGGTGATAAAGAGGTGGTTGTGACACTCAAATGACAAGGAACTTTTAACTGACTACTTAGCTAAAGGCTTTTATTCCAGCTCACCAGATACTATGGCGAGAACAGAAGGGCACTCACCCATCCACAGGAGTCAAAATGGTGCTAACCGATCTTTGATGCAGGACCCAGGTGAACGTCTCTCTAAGGATTCTCCAGCATGAGTAGGCTCAGCTATCACACAGGGAGGGGCGCATCAGGGGAACCAGTAACCCACTGGTCTGCCAGTCAGAGTGGAGGGGGCACACAGAGGAGGCAGCAACAGTATGGCTACTTGCTCCTCTGTTCAGCTCTGCTGCCTGCCAGGAAAAATGATGGCTCTGAAAAGCAGCTTTGGTTCGTATTAGAGCTCTGTAGGGTTAGCAGAACTTTATGGTCAAAGCCTGAGTATTACATCTCTTTCAGGCTCAATCACAGGCTGCTTCGCTGTCTCTCACTGTCTTGCTGACTGCTGTCTCTCACATTTCTCTCCAAACACCACCTCCCCACTGATCACTTACAGCCACCATCTCTGCTGTGTCACTCTCTTGCCTCTCCACTGATCACCGCCATCTCTGCTGTCTTCATCCCTTTGTGGCTATCAGATGATGCAGGGCAGGCAAGCCCTAAACTTGGGGGTTAGCCCAGGAGGGTCCTTGTCTTTACCCAGGAAGGAGTTCAAGGGTAAGCCAGTGGTGTTAGCAACTTTTACTGAAGCAGCAGTGTACAGCATCAGCAGAGGTACTCCTCCTTGTGAAGCAGAAGCAGGGCTACCCTATCAGCAGTGTGCCCAGAGTAGCAGCTCAGAGGCAGTTCTGTACTCATATTTATACCCACTTTTAATTATATGTGAATTAATGGGCAGATTATGCATAACATCTCTAGAAAAAGGGTAATAACTTCTGCGTCATCAGGTCGTTGCCATGGAAAGAGGTGGTAACTTCCAGGTATTGCCATGGCAATGGCAAACTGACATGGCACACTGGTGGGCATGTTGTATGGAGAGATGCTTCTGCCTCTTCCTTGTATTAGCTAGTCCTCAGTTTGGTCCAGTGTCCAATCTCTGTCTCTGGAGTTGAGTCCCACCTCCTGAGTTAAGTCCAACCTCCTAACTCACCATCATCCCTCATAACAAACTTAAACTCACACCCTTCAGTGCTGGTAAATTAGGGTAAATCTACTCATGGTGGAGATGATGAGTCTGGAATAAGGTCAATTTTGGAGGCATGAGTTCAATTATAGTGTCTAACCAGTCACTTTAACCTTATATTTTCCCTCATTACTAACTCTGAAGATCAATTGCTGATTTAAAAACCAGATGAACAGTCTTATATGAGTCTGCAAGAAAGATGTGGATTGATTGAGCTTACTCACCTAACATGCAATGCAATTGTTGGTACACTGAATCCTTATTATTTATTTTGCATGACTGAAATCTCTTAAAATTAATTGTGCTTTATTCTTGAATAGAATTTGGTTTTATATATACATCTTGTGAAAGCAAAAGTAATCTCGAGACTCCAAACTTACTATGCCAAAGGGAAAGTTAAGCTAGGGAACTGAGTCATTAAAAAAATTGCCTGCTTTTTGTTCCCAAACACAGAGCCTTATACATGTCAAATCCTCATACATAAGCCAGGTTCCCACAGCAGTAGAAAGCCACATGTCTCCCCAGACGGCCCTTCCTCACAAGTCGCTCATAAGGCATTTCCTTGTGGACCCTAAAATCTTTCAGAATATATGTTCTCCCTATAATCTAGCCCTAAAAGAGAGTGCTGTTAAATCTTATCCTGACAATGTAAATTTTCAGCTTATCTTCCAAGTAGCAGACAAAGACAAGAATAGAAATCATCCTTCCGCCCACCTAGAGAAAAATGCATAATTGACTTCTTCATTCACCCCATCTTTTCACACATTTTATCTTATATAAAATGTGGATTTACTGAGCCCAAGATAAATGCATAATTGACTTTTCCTCTAACCCTTCTTTTCACATGTAAAATGTAGATTTACTAGGTGTTGATCAAAGCCTTACAAGAATATAACTACTTGCCTTACTGCCTACCCTTTCCCACCTTTAAAATAAATTTCTTTCTTCGCCTCTGGTTTGCTCTTTCTCCTTTAAATACTGAAGTCCTCAAAACCCTCTTAGGAAAAAGCATGGATTACAAAAGCTCCAGTGATTTGTGTTTCTTTCCCAGGTGCAACCTCAACTTTGGCAAAATAAACCTCTAAATTGATTGAGACTTGTTTCAATCAATTTTTGCTTTACAATATGTGTGTGTGTGTGTGTGTGTGTGTGTGTGTGTGTGTGTAATTTCTCATTTTCTCAGCTATAATTAGCTATAATCATCAGTCAAATTCAGAAACCAGTTAGGTGATTCTTACTAAATTTAGAACAAAATTGGTGTGGAAGTGTGCTATAGAGATCACATCCAGGATTTTAGCAGTATATATCAAAAAATGCTAACTATTAGAAGAGAGCAAATGATACCAAATTAAACTTTGACGTGTATTTATAACAATAAATAAGCTAAAGCAAGGAAAATTTCCTTTCCTCTATACAATACTATTAGAAGTGGGGTCTTTCAAGTAGGGATAGAAGAGGACCCAGCTCCATAGTAGTGAACAAACCTCAGTTTTCCAGAGCAGAAGTCATTTTTTCTCATAGATTCTTGAAAATAACCATACCTCTTCTTTAAGTCTTAATCCAAACTGTCTGGAACTCTTATTTACCTTTTAAGATGTGTCCGCATTTTCTTCCTGGGTTTAAAGCCACCTAGGGCCAGAGTTTCTATATATTTCCAATTTTTGACCCAGAGGATTATTTGCATATAGTCATTGTTCAATACATAGATTCTAGTTTTTAAACAAATTCTAATTTCTCTGGCAGAAAAACTGGTGATTTGAGAATTATAAGATAAATATGAAAACGTTGGTTTTTAAAACATTTTAACATATGCTAGGACTCCCCAAAATCTGCAATTTTCAAGTGAGATGTAAAATGTTCATTGGCATTACAAGCTTCTCAAGCAAAAAAATTGCATTCTGAGACAAGGTCATTTCGTTCTTTAACAAAGTTGCTGAATACAAAAGTCAGGCTTTGATGCCCACTGCTGTTTCTTCCAAAAACATAAACAATATTATAAAAGGGATCTAGATTAATAATTTATAAAAAGGAGCTGGGTATTTTCTTCCACTACTTTATCAACTAGCCAGCAATTCTGTCTTTCTTCAGAATCTGCCTTAAACTTATTTTCTATTATCTGCTTCCTGTTGCGCCAAAACAAGTCTAATTTTATTTCATGCAAACCACTGAGTCACTACTGAAATAAGATCAATTCTGAATCTCTCTCAAGCAACCCACTCCTTTGTTTTTTATCAGTGTTAATAAAATCACAGTGTCTTGCAAAATTCAATTTATAATTATTTTAGAGAATTTCAGCCTCCTAAAAATGTCCATTCATTTTTGGAACAAGTCATACAAAGTTTTAGAAAATAAATATGCTTAAAAGGAACTCAAGTAGAAAGAAATATTACTCTGTTCTTCCATAAATCTTCCTTAGGGAGTAGATACTTAAGTTTATTCCTGTTGTAATTCCAGTGACAATAACGGCAATGTCAACTAGTAAAAAGTAATGTTTTAGTGAAAGACTCAAATGTAAGAATTTTTTACTTCATTATTACCAAAATAAAATATCTTGGCAAATAATATGTTTAAATAAAATCTTGTGATATTGATATGAATATTTTGCCAATGCTCAATGAACTTCTGAATTTTATTTATTTTTTTACTTTATTATTTATTTATTTATTTATTTTGAGATGGAGTTTCGCTCTTGTTGCCCAGGCTGGAGAGCAATGGTGTAATATCAGCTCACCACAACCTCCACCTCCTGGGCTCAAGCGATTCTCCTGCCTCAGCCTCCTGAATAGCTAGGATTACAGTTATGTGCCACCACGTCCAGCTAATTTTGTATTTTTACTAGAGACAGGGTTTCTCCACGTTGTTCAGGCTGGTCTCGAACTCCCAACCTCAGGTGATCCGCCTGCCTCAGCCTCCCAAAGTACTAGGCTTACAGGCGTGAGCCACCACGCCTGGCGAACTTCTGAATTTTAAGTGTTCCACATACTACCTAAAGATACTGACTTTGCCATTCATTGGCTATTGCATCAAAGATTAAGCAGCTGTTATGTACATCACACGTTTCTAGATGCTGCTTAGTACAATGGTGATGTTTACTTTTACAATTGTCCTTCTCAAGTCAAATATATTTTCCAAACTAAAAGTTAAAATATGTGTGTTAGTCAGGGTTCTCTAGAGGGACAGGAATGATACTTTGTATCCTTCAATCCAATCAAGTTGACTCTCAGTATTAACCATCACAATATGCATAATTAGTTCTTCAGGATAAAATTAAATATTTCAGTGTTGAAAATCCAATAGTTGATCATACTATGGGTCCTAAACTGATTATGAAAATAGAGACTTATGGAATCATGACCTATAGAAAATATGACCAATGGATATGACAAAGTGTTTTTTGTCATTATTAGCTAAATTAATATTCTTTAACCACATTTTAATAAGATCAGTGCTTATGGTGTGTTCTTACTAGATTTATTCCATTTCATTCTTTAAAAAATCTTTATTTGGCCCCAGGAAATTTGTCATAACATGCACTGCATCTCAAACTGGAGCTCAAGTGCTTGACTCAAAATTGTCTTTTTTGACTCAAAATTAACAGGCATGCCTGGGCAACAGAGCAAGACTCTGTCTCAAAAAAAAAAAAAAAAATCTGAAGCATATCAATCTAAGACCTTGAATGTAATGATAAATTAATCATATTTAGGTCCCTAAAAAAAAAAAAAAACAAATAAAAACAGGAAAACAACAAGAAGAAAGAAAATAACTCCAATATTCTAGACCATTATTGAGATATAAAATAATGTTTACAGACAAAAGGGTTTAGGCCCAGCATGGTGTCCCATACTTGTAATCCCTGCAATTTTGGAGGGCAAGGCAGGAGGAGAATCACTTGAGGCCAGGAGTTCAAGACCAGCATGGTCAACATAGTGAGATTCATTTCTGCAAAACATATACAAAACAGAAATTTAAAAGTTTAAAAAATAAAACAACATGAAATTAAATTAGCCTGGTATGGTAGCACATATCTATAGTCCCAGCTATGCGGGAGGCTGAGGCAGAAGTATTGCTTGAGCCTAGGAGTTCAAGGTTACAGTTAGCTACAGTGGCATAACTGCACCTCAGCCTGGATGACAGACGAAGAACCTGTCTCTAAAAATTTTGTTTTGAAAGAAAAAATCAAGAAAAAGGTAAAACAAATATTGACTTAAGGACATAATTTAGATATATTTAATATTGTTTTTATAGATTTTCTCTAGACCACCCTATGTTCATGAATACAGCAAGGTAGAAAATGATGTTCTTCCCAAATTTAGGCATAATTCAATTACTCACGGCTCACCTGGATGACCATGCACAACCTGGGGATTCTCATATGTTGGACTAAAAAGTCAAAATGGAAGGAGAATATGTGTTTCTCCACTTGTGCTTCTGAAATGTAATATTGTAATGGCTATATTGTTATCCTATAATTCAAAACTCTGGAACCAGATACTTTACTGTCCGACCTTTCCAAGTGTTCAAAATTTCCTTATTTTCTATCTTATTTTTGTGATTTGTACTTGGCCAAAGAATATATAAGACGAAAATTTTTGTTTTCAGTGTAGGAAAACTTTGTATGTGCTTTTGATGACTCAACTCTGTTTTCTATATCTAAAAATGCCTTCCTTCCCCCAGACATCAAGAGTCTTACATCTCCATCATATGCCCCTACAACATTAATTTTCTTTCAAAGTATTAAATGAAAAAAAAAAAGTTGGGGGAAAATGAAAGGCCTCTGCCAAATTTGAAACTAGAGAATGATTTACCACTGGACATTCCTTGTGGATATTTTTAGGTAAAAAGTTATAGAATCACAGACTATTATTCTGAAGAAAACAGAAGTGATCAAGCCCTAGCCTTCACTGCATAAAGGGAAGAATCTGTGACTCAAGAAATTATTTCATAGAGAGATACATTGGTAGATCTAAAACAGCTTTCAAATCTCATTACTGTCCCAGAGCAATGCTCTTCTTCATATTTTAATTCTAGAAACAGGGCCTACCTTTTAGGGTCATTGGAAATACAAAATGTAAAGTTCATAATGTAACATCTCAAACATAAATAGTAGGTGATTGAAACGGTTAGTTATTAACTATATTACACCTCATGTTAAGAGGTCTGTGCTGCCCTTTCATGCCAAAACTAGAGTGATTCTAACAGACGCTGGCTGTGAGTATAAAGTCAATGCTTTATCACACTCTACTTACTGTAGGATCCAGCCCATATGAGACTAACTGGCTTTGGGGCCTTCTTAGAAGAAGACCTGAGATAGATTTAGATAAGACCAGTGCCAGTCTTCTAGAGGATCTAAATATAAAACACAAGTAATGCAATTTATTCAAAAACAAACAGAAGGCCCATAATCCCCAGATGTTTATTTTTGATAGAAAAGAAAAAAATCGGAAACAGGGCTGTAACAATACTTAACCCCAAAGCAGAAAAAGATTTAAAATTCCTGACACTTTAAAGGGGAAGTCTTGAATACCTGCCTCCCCCGGGAATTCTGTAAGCCATGTTAGCAGTTCTCTTAGTGCCACTAAACTGCATTTAGAACTGGGGCTAATGTACATTCTGACCTTATCATCCCTCCGTGTTACAGCATAAGGCACTGGCCAGTGTACCTTCTTCAAGCTCACCTTGTCTTGAAAGTCAGCCTGGCCAGTAGCTGAAATACATGGGTTCAGAATCAGGTCTAAAAGTCACAAGTTCATTATTGCTGCCAGGCTGGATCTAAATGCCTTTTCTCCTAAGATATCAGCATTTCTCATCCATCAGTGAAGCGGTTAATTTGAAATGATAGTTTATTTCCTTCTGATTTTCAAAATTTTGAACTGGAAACAGGCTTGATTATCTCTTCTTTTTAGAATGGTAAATGTTTAAAATAGATCAGGGGAAGGCACATGCTCTTTGACCTAGAAATTCCAGTTCTAAGAACATATTATAAATAAATAATAGGACATGTGCACAAAAATGAAAGATATATGCACAGGGATGTTCATTGATATTTCGTTCATTATAACAAAAAATTAAAATGAATGAAAGCCACTTAAACATCTATCCATAAATATTTTTGGGGCATATTGTTAGCAAAACTTTTTATCTAAAGGGATAAATATTAAATATGTGAGGCTTTGTGGGTTCTACAATTTCTGTCACAATCACTCACTCACTGTTGTGGTATGAAAGCAACTACAGATAAGGTGTAAACAAATGGTCTTCATAGTGAAATGAGATCAGATTCAGAGGAGTGCTGACTGCTGCACAATCCATAAATGAAGGAAGCACGTATGGAAAGAAAACCATAGGGGGCTTCCTGCTCAACTGAACCCCACTAACACTCCTTGTGGAACCCCACTAACATCCCAGTGTGGAAGTCAGAGGAGAGTGCATGTTGTGGGATGTTTCAGATTCAGTCAATTTCTAACAACATCCTTATCATTATAGGAAGATTCTTTCTATTCATAGTTTGAGTTATTTTATTTTTCTTTCTGGAATGAGTTAATTAGAAAAAAATTCACCACCTATTGAAATGTGTATGTGTTTTTTTCTTTAGCACACTAATAAAGGGACTTACATGGAAATTTTTTACAAATGGACATTGTGAAACTGTGTCGTTGTCTGGGGTAAATACCTGAGGTTTGTCATCTTACGCCAAGGAAATCAAGGACATGGACACACATGGAGTGAGGTTAAGAGCAGAGATTTCATAGGCAAACAAAAGAGAAAGAGGAACAGCTCTTTCTCCTGCGAAAGCGAGAGAGAGAGAGAGAGATGCCTGAGTGGAAATTCTAGCCTGTGTTGGAGTGCACAGGGTTTTATAGACAGGCTTGAGGAGGTGGTGTCTGATTTACATAGGGCCCAAAGACTGGTTGGACAAAGTGTGATGTTTACATAGTGGGTGAGGAAACTGGCCACCCCACCCTAATCCTTTATTATGCAAATAAAGTCTCTACTTGGCTGCACCATGTTGCCTGCTCCTTACTGTGCACATGGTTGATAAGGAAAGAGGAAGATGGAGCCACCATGTTGGACATGCCTAGCCCCCAGGTAGCCTTTCCCTATTGGCACAGCTCCCAGAATTCACCCGTGTGAGCTTGTAGCTTGACTTACTATGCTTGCAGCTTGAATTTTCAGGCTGCTTTTTGTTAGAAAAGAAAATGTTTTGGGGGCTGCTTTTCATTAAAAGGGAAAGCTTACCGAGGACTTCCTTACCCTATCTGCCTAAATAATTTCTTTTTAACTCCTATATCAATTGCAATGTTCCAAAAAGATAAAATTTATTTACAGAAACAGTTATTTTTGCCTACCTGCTGTAGTTTGTTTATTTTCTTGGATTCATCTGAGAATAGAGGTTTCAAGATAAACTATCACTCTAAAAGCTGGGGAGACAGGCAAGTTGAGGGAGTTACAGCGGAGAGCTTCTTTCTGCTTCTGTGGAACAGAAGCCAATGCAGCCATGTGCTTGTATCAAAATTTCAGTGGTAATTTTGATGAAATTCCATAGGCTGGGTGTGGACTATGTCAAAATTGAGAAACTGCCGATAGCTGCATATTTAGATAAATCCAATTGGTCTTACCTACTGGATCCCCACCAAGTTCTAATTGTGAACATTTGAGAAAGTTCCCGAGTGGTTCTGGTGGGGTAAGGAAAGATAAATCATTGTAAAATGCCTCAAATAATTCTTCATAATAAAGGCCGATTCTCTAGAGCAAAAGTCTTTAAGATAACCTTATTCAACCTGGAGGAAGGATATTATTTTTTCTCTTGTAACTACCCTTAGCTTTCTTATCTCCGCAAGGGGAAATAAATTGTACTAACAGAAAAAAAAAAAATCCAGCATAGACCGGGGATATAAGCATTTCTTTATCCATTGTCACATGGCATTTTTCTTGTGTGTCTGAGTCCTCTGTGTTCAAATTTTTGTCTTCTTATAAAGATACCAGTTATATTGGATTCAGGTGCCACCCCAAATCCAGTACGACCTCATTTTCATTTGCTTTCATCTGCAAGACTCTATTTCCAAATAAGGTCACATTCACAGGTTTCAGGTCAATAGATATATATAAATTTTCCGCAAGGCTATGCAAACGAATACAGCCTCTTAGTGAAAAAGTAGACATTGTGCTATAACATATGATAAATATAGCAGAGAAATAAAAATTGTAAGAAAGTACCAAAAGGCAATGTTAGAAATAAAACAAAAAAAACCACTGTAACTGCAATGAAGTATGCTATTGATGAACTTAGCAATACACTGAGCACGACTGATAAAATAATCAATGAGTGTGAAGATCATTCAATAGAAACTTCCCAAACTGTAATTCAAAGAAAAGCAGAAGGGAAAAAATAGAACGGGACATTCAAGTACTATGGGACAACTTCAAAAGTTGTAACCTATGTTCAATGAGAATGTCAGAAAGTGAGGAAAGAAATAATGCAGCAGATAAATATTTGAAGTAATAATGACTAGGAGCATTCCCAAATTAATAACAGATGTCAAATCACCAATAGAAGAAGCATAGAGAACTGTAAGAAGAATAAATTCAAAAAAATAGAAGGAAGAGAGAGAAGGAGGGAAAACAAAGAGGGAAGAAGGAAGGCAGACAGACAAACTATATCCAAGCATATCATATTCAAACTACAGAAAACCAAAGACAAAGAGAAAAACTTCAAAGAATCTAAGTGAGGGGAAAAGATACCTTAAGAGAGAGTGGAATGAAATATTTAAAGTGTTAAAACAAAACAAAACAAAACAAAACAAAACACCAGCTAAGAATTCCCTATCCAGTGGAATTATCCCTTAAAAGTGCACAAGAAATAAAGACTTAGACAGCACCTGAGGGAATTCATCACCAGCAGACATCCCCTACATAACATGTTTTAAAAAGTAATTCAGAGTTAAGAAAAATGATATAGGTCAGAAATGTGTGTCTATATAAAGATGGGAAGGGTTGGAGAAAGAATAAACAAGCCTTATATTACCAAGAGTGAACATTAATGCATGCAAATTTAAAAAGTAACTTAGGAGGCTGAGAATTTTCCTAGACAGAATGCAAAATATGATAAAACAAATTTAATTGTATTACAAATGTATGAAACAATCTCACTGAAGTGTGTGAGAGAAGAGGGTATTGACCGAAATGCTTTAGAAGTGACAGAAGTCTGTAAAACTAAAGGCAAAATTAACTGCCTATAAGCACTGTTCTCCAGCTGAAAAAGGTGTTTCCTTCAGAAATACAGTTCAATAATTCTAAAGCCTAAATACTCACCCCTCACACACATGCACTGGAGTTTAACAATTAAATAAATGGATAGCCGATGATGGGAACAGATGATTTTTCCAGACATCTCAGAGTTGGAGTAGGAGTTTACATATAAGAAAGGGGAAGAGTCTTGAACTATTCATGTAGTAATAAATTAGAGCTGGAGACATCACCATAAATTCATGCTTAACCTGATACACATACTGATACATATAGAAATATTTATAGATATGTGCATTTAGTGTGTGTGTGTGTATATATAATATATATAGCTTAGTATACACATATACATATATATATATATCCTTGTTACATCAGCTGAGAGGGCCTAGAGGCAATGACACTCTCTTAGAATGAGCACAACTCACACTCAGATACCAATTTTTAGTTCTGTTTTCCAACACAAAGGACAAGAGCTCCTTATAAAAAGAGCTGAGTAGCTCATTCCAAGACTGGGACAGGCTATACAGAAGATAAATCTAATATCATTCTAGCATCAGACATTAAAGAAGTACACAAAAAACAGACATACACACACATATACAGGCATGCACACACAGACACAAGTTGACGGAGTCATGAGAAAGGAATATGACAGTCAACTGAAAGAATTCCACTGGCCAAAGCTGGAAATATTGGAACAAAAATACATATAAATAAGATTGGATTGCAACCTAAAATATAAAATGAATGTTCATACTAATATAAATAAATGATTGAATAAATAAATGAGGAAAAACCTGCAAGTTTCCCATTCAGAAGAATCTCAGATAATTTATGTGGACACTCTGTCCTTAGGGAGTGAAGCATAGCAGTCAACTCTTTATGTGTGTCTTGTGCAGAGTGACTTCCCCCCGAAGCGTACAGTATGCAAACAGGCAGGGGGAGCAACTTCACTGGAGAGACCCGACAAATCCTACCTCAGCCAGGAGGTCAAATTTAACATTATCAGTGAGAAATAATAGTGATAGCGTGTACCCTCGAAATGACGTGATGGAAATTACACTTTACCTCTGTGATCTTTCCAACAACTCACAACCCCAGGTTAGCTATGAAAAAAACTATCAGACAAATCCTAATTGACGGACATTCTGCAAAATAATTGACCAGTATTCCTCAAAACGGTCAAGATCATTAAAAACAAGGAAAGTCTGAGAAACAGTCATAGTCAATAGGAACCTAAGGAGACAAAATGACTAAATGTAATTTGATATCTTGGATGGGACCCTGGCACAGAAGAAACACACTGGGGAAAAATGAAGGGAATCTGAGTAAATTACGGACTTAATAATAATTCACCAACAATGATTCACTAATTTTAACACATGTACCATAAAATGTAAAATGATAACAGAAACTGAGTTGGGGGGTTATATGTAAACTCTCTATACTATTTTTGTAATATTTCTTAAATTTTAAAGGTTTTCTAAAACAGAATTTTTTTTTTTAATGTTTGGGCATACCCCTTTTCTAGGTGCATAGTTGGCAGGTAAACGACCTGATGGAAGCACCTCGGTTTTCAGTGGTGTAGTCTTCTGCAATGTGTTACAGAACATGGGCGACACTAGCTCTTACTTGGAAGAGACAGGCTGCTTCTCAGGGTTTAAACATTCAGAGGAACCTGGTTATTTAAAATATTTGTGAGCATTCACCTACATGCCACTATCCCATGGGTTATGGTTCCAAACTTTCCCAACCACAGTCCTGACTTTGGCATAACAAACCTCTCTTGATTGGACTTTTAACTTTCTTGAGTGGGTATGTCCCCAACCAGACTATTAGATATGAGTCCTTGTCCTGAAATTTCTCAGCCTTGCTTTTGCAGGGAAAAAAAAAGAGCTTGTTGATAATATAAGTAAAACGCCATTAACTTTTACTTCTGGCTTACAATTATCTGTTTTTCACCCTCAGATAATCATTAATTTTCTTTATCTTATCAGTTATACTTAGCAATAACCATCCAATTCTATTATCCTTATATCTACTATTTCCTCCATAGTCTTAAATACTTAATGTGTTCTACTTGCTTGTGCATTTCCTCCACCAGAACAGCTTCCCGGTTTACCACTGGTGAAAGCTTAACAGGTGAACCATCACCTGTGCTCCACCTACCACCAGTGAAGGAGTTCTCATTGCCAGCAAGAAAGTGTTTGATCCAGCTCCAAAATCTCATCTCATTACATGTATCTCAAACCACTGCATTTTTATTGCTGTCTGTAGCAATTTGGGCCATCCAGGAATTGAAAAAAAAAAAAAAGAAGAAGAAAGAAAGAAAAGCTGAGATGGTATCTGAAGTGTAAGATACTGGCTAGGGATTAACATCTCCGAAAGAAAAGAAAAGGAAGAGAAACAAAATTAGGTAGAGGAAAAAGCAGAAATGTGATGCAAGCCTGACAAAGCCTCAGCCAGCAAGGTGGAGACCTTTGGAGTGAAGATTTCCCGTCAAAGGATCCTGATTAACCAAGCCTCTATAACTCTGTCCTTCTTAGTGACCAAGTGCAGGCTTCCCTGGAACGGATGATCAGGATTGTGGTGGCTCTTTGCCGCTGGTGCAGCCACTGGAAGAGCTGACAGCTGAAGGTTGTGTGTGGTCCCACTCCTAGCAGCTAGGAAGGAAGTTTTGCTTCAAAGCAAAATTCTCTTGCTTTGAAAACACACTCTCTATCACAAAGAGAAATCAATTTCCCATAGAGTAGACCTGAGTCTTTGAGAACAAAGATGGATACCACTCCTATCAACATAAAATATTATAAATGAGGTGCTTGTATTTTTCAAGATACTCATGATTTTGAGTGATTTTATTTTCTCAACAAGGAAATTCAACATAAACACAGCTAAATTTACTTTTTACCATTAACGTTTGGCACATTTTTAGTTTTAAGTGTGTTTAATTACGAACTGTTTTTTTGTCACACCATATGTTCCAGCTTTTGATTAGGAAAATATAATCCCTTAATCACATGACCTGTTTCAGTGGCCCTCTTATCAGGAGGCTTAAACAGATGTGGAGGTACTCTTTATCTAAAGTCAAAACATGAGCCAGAATTTACAGCCAAAATAGTTCCAATACTCCATAAACACCTTATGATAAAAACTCCAAGAATTCCTGATGATGATGATGATAACTTACATTTATTTTATGTCAATTTTCTCAGCCCCATGCTGAACACTTTTTAAAAAAAAATTATGTTTAATTTTTGTGGGCACATAGTAGGTGTATACATTTATGGGGCACATAAGATGTTTTGATACAGACATGCAATGTGATATAATTGTTGCAGCACTGTTCACAATAGCTACTAAGCAACCTAAGTGTCTATCAACAGATGAACGGATAAAGAAAATGTGGTACATCTACCTGATGGAGTACTATTCAGCCATAAAAAAGAAATGTGATCCTGTCATTTGCCCATGGATGAAACTGAAGATCATTATGTTAAGTGAAATATGCCAGCCACAGAAAGACAAACATCACGTGTTCTCACTTATTTGTGGGGTCTAAAAAATGAAAACAATTGAACTTATGAATATGCTGAACACTTTGTATGCACTCTATCAAGCAATATTCATACAGACTTTGGAAGTGGGTATTGCTACCATTTTAAAAATCAGAGAATTGGTTTGGAGAGGTTAAAGATCTTATCCAAATTAACACGGTTACTATGACTAAGCAGAGACTCTCCTACTGTTTACTCTGAACCCCTGCATAGTCATCTTCATACAATCTGACCAGGCTGTCAAAGGATAAGGTATGGAAGCCATAAATATATTATACTAACTTGGAACAAATGCCAGAGGAAAGGCACTTACTCTCTTCTATGGCTTATCCATAGAAGCCAAGCCCTCTGTGAACTACTCCTTAATAATCAATATGATTATCCCCAATATACAGGTATCACTACCTATTATTTTTACTGGAAATTCACTGTTTCACTAGAATGGTGAGCAGGATTATTTGATTACTTAAAGGGCATTTAGTCATTCACAAAAAAATCCATTCCAAAATGTAAAATGTTCTCATGTAAGCTAAATGTATAACTTGTTGTTAGACCCCTTAATATCTGTACAGTTCAGAGCCAGGCAAAATTTTCTGATGTGCCAGGCACCCTCATTTCCATTAATGTATTAAATTCTCACAAAAGAATACTTTTTCTTTTTTCACAGATAAGGAAACACTACCTAAAAGAGAGTGCTGAGGGTCTCAAAGACAGATGAGAGAACTGGTGTTTCCCCTCAGCCTTCCTAACTCCATGCCCACAAATATTTCCTGCCCATGACTGGCCTTCCCCTGGGTATGTTACAAGTTTAGTTGCTGTGGGGATAATGAACTAGTTTCAAATATTGGTTTTTATCAAACAGCATCTGGGTGATCTTAGGAAGGTTAACTAATCTCTGCAAACCTCAATGATCTGACATATATATATATATATATATATATATATATATATATATATAATACTTATAATAATATCCACTTTATAGGATTACTATAAAATTTAACACAATAATGTATGCTAAGTAGTTTGCACAATGCCTCAAAGTAAATGCTCAACAAGTAACTATTATTATTCTTTCTTTGGCTGAAGATGATTTTAAACCTCGAAGCATACTATATTAAAAGCTGACACTTAGAAATTTCCAGAGAACTAAGCCATTCGGCCTTGTGAGGTGAATGTCAGATGTCATGGATGGGTGTAGGTAATAGATGGAAAGAAATGTTGCCAGTAGAAACAGGGCTGACTGCAACTGTGTTCTTACTCTCTGAAATACACTCAAATCCCGAAGGATTAACTGCCCCTCATCATCAATACCCTAGCATATCATGTTTTTCTTTTTCCTCCAAGAGTCACACTTCACTCGGACTTGACATGGCTTCTTTTGAAACTCTGAGGAAAGAGTTTCAGCTCTTTCACAAAGAAATCTGAATGGAGAAATTGTAGCAAATTGTAGTAAATTTATTAATAGCATCTTCCCCAGATTGAATACTACCTTAACATCTCGGAGCTTTCTTCACTTGTGGTCAGGAAAGTAACATCTTATCTAAGCTATAAATAGCCAATTTGCATGGTTACTGAGGGCAAGAATTAAACTGTAATTTCTCATTTATTTCCAAGAAGGGACATCATCAATGCTCCAATCAAAACAAGCCCATGCTGGTTCAGGGTATAAGTCCCTTCAAGGCAAAAATACTCCTAATGCAGAACCTGTGACACGTAGTTGAAGAAAAAATTGTAAAATTATTCAAGAAAATTGTTTGGAGGCAAAACTTATCACTTCTAGACACAGGCAAAGGCAAATGAATTGCTCTAGATTTCCCAAAGAAATGATGTGTGGTTTGCAAAAAGTTCCAGGAGGAAAGTTCCCTAGATACATATGCTAACATTCCTATTTGGTCTTTCCTGGGGCTGGAGGTGAGATTGCTGGACAATAATAAATTAACTCATGCAAAGCCCTTTTCTTACTTGTGAGTCCTGGTGCCCATAAATAGTTAGATGAAATCAACTCACTGACAGCTTTACATGGGTCTTGAAAAATTGGATATTGCAAAAGCCAGCTTCTGTATCCCTCACAGTTCTTTCTTTTCCAAGAACAATATTGCCTGGAACAAGAGAACTAGAAGGAAAATGATTTGAAATATTTTTTATATGAGAAGCTCAGGAAGATTTATAAGCACATACCTGACCTTCTCCAAGAAACATTTTGATTTAATCTCTTTTGTACTCTGCTTTTTCAGGAAAAGGCTTCTTTGAAATTTTCTCAGGATAGGTGGAATATAACTCATGAATAAAATTTGTCTGGCTCACAGGCTACTGCTGAGCTCTGAGCTGCTTCAAGAGAAAATAATTTAATTCCTTCCTCCTAAGAGTGAGAGTTAAACTTCTCCATCCTTATGTTATCAAGGACACCATTCAATATAGCATCAAATCTCAAACTCTGTTTCTTCCAGAAAACCCTCACATACAACAACAGTCTTGTCTTGCTCTCTGGTGTCCTCCTTCTCTCTTTCTTGCTCTTTCTCTCTCTCTCCCCACCCCTATATTAGTTATGTTGCACACCTTTCAGTAATTTGAATGCACCAAACATGTTTTTACCTCAGTTTGTATTATGCATAAGGTATTCCTTATTCCTAGAAAGTTATTCTTAACTCTTCTTTCAAAACCACACTTTCCCCCTTTACCAAACAGGTTCCTTCATATCCTTGACACTGACATCATTACTTCTGAGGGAACATCCCTTCCATGATCCTAAAGTAAATTGGATCCTTGTATTATTTTTCTCTAGGACTTTATACTTTTGCTTTGTAACGATTGCATAATTGTTCACTGCATGTATCTTCTTTGCTTACTGTCTGTCTCTTGACAAACTAGAACTTCCAAAGGTCAGGGACTAGATGTGTTTTTTGCATTAGTATGTCTGCTGCACCTAGCACTGAGCACAGAGTAATGTGACTATTTCATTAACATTTCTTGAAGTAATACTTTAACAGGCTTCCTACTCTATATTCTATAGCACTTACTTCTGAGTGCCTCTTTTTATACTAGTGGTATACACCTTAAATCATTAGCTGCCATGGCATGTTTTTCTTTATAGACGTTAGTAACTTGAGAGATGATTCTGTCTTTTTCACCCTTTCTGTGACTATGTTTTGTATAGAAGAGAAACAATCAATAATTATTGGTTCAAGTGCTACTCCAGAGTCAAGCTTCTAATATCTAATAGAGTGAGTTTAAAAAGCAAATTCAAAAGGAAGGAAAAATTTGCAGATAATAAATTTCCAAGGGCTTATTGTGTTTGCATAGATAACATCTGTTAGGAAACAAACCATCTGCGGGTCCCAGCCTCCTAAATATGTTAGCTTTTGAAATGCCAAAATTGATATCTATTTTACCTTCTGCTTAAGTTCTAAAGCTTATGGACTTCCATAAGTCTTAGGCCAGGAGGTAGCACAGGTAGGTCAAACTTTGCCCTGGCCTTGTTATTAATTACTTGAATAAACTTGGAGAAACCAAAAACAACTTTAGGCTTCTTTATTCTAAATATAGTATAACATTATTAAAATAAAAGAATATTTTGGAGTAATCTGTTCCTGCCTCCTAATCTTAGGAAAGAAAATGGATCCCTGACTCAACTTTTGATTGAATACTCTTAGTGGCAAAGAGCTCACTATTGTGTGAGCCATCGTCTTCCATTATGGTTGAATCTTGCTATTAAAAATTTTCTTTATATTGAACCAAATCTGTATCTGATCAGTTTTAAACAGACTTCTCCTAGCATATCCTTTAAGTAGGCTCAAAGATACCTTCCTAGCCCTATAGTTTCAGGAATGTGGAAGAAAAATGACTTTCTTTCTTCTACATCTCCCCATCTTATTTCTTTACCTTCAGAAAGCACACAAACAAAAAGAGTGTGTGTCTCAAAAGAAAGATATAAACCAACACTAGGCTAACTTAAGGTAGCATTTAGTAATACAAAACAAAGTGGAGGAATAGGTAGAGGCCTTATATAGTAGCACAGGTGAGATGCTAAATTTAGAGTGTCCACACAAGCATTCTGCTTTTTTTAATAGTTCACATAATGATAAAAACTGTGGTTCCTGGAGTATGACTATCTTGGTTTACAACCCACCTTCATACCAAATAATGTGTGTTATTGAAAATTTGCTTAAGAATTCTGAACTTTGATTTCATCACCTGGAAAACAAAACTAATAATAGGGTTTGCCACCAAGATTGTTTTTAGGATTGATTATGACAATAAAGTTCTTAGAACCAAAAACAGCATATAGTAAGTGGTCAAAAAAAAAGTCAGCCAGGCGCGGTGGCTCATGCCTGTAATCCCAGCACTTTGGGAGGCCGAGGTGGGCAGATCACAAGGTCAGGAGATTGAGACCATCCTGGCTAACACGGTGAAACTCCGTCTCTACTAAAAATACAAAAAAAAAAAAAATAGCTGGGCATGGTGGTGGGTGCCTGTAGTCCCAGCTACTCGGGAGGCTGAGGCAGGAGAATGGTGTGAACACAGGAGGCAGAGCTTGCAGTGAGCCGAGATCGTGCCACTGCATTCCAACCTGGGCAACAGAGCGAGATAACGTCTCAAAAAAAAAAAAAAAATGTTAGTCACAGGATCCTGATCCTTACAGAGTAGAAATAGGAAGAGTATAGGATAAACAGATTTGAGGGAGGGGTAACCAGATGGAACACAGGGTTTTACTTTTTTTTTTTTTTTCCCCGTGTAGATCAAGAGAATAGTCACATATGGCTTCCAGGAACTCTAGTTCAAGTGTGCCAGGAGAGTTAAGGATCTAGGTGCATCACCAAACAGAGAATGTGCAGGAAAGCATTTGTTCAAAAGACTGTTCTTAAATCTTGCATATTTCCAAGTCCTGCTTTCAGGATTGGCTCCTAGCAACTGAGTTCTGGGCACTATGAGTGTTCTGGCTGATGAGTGTTTTTATATGTCTGAGGCCTTGAGTCGCCCCATAGAGTTTTAACAGATAGTTTATGCTAACAATGTGATTTATGGTAAATGCATGGATTTTGCTTTGGGAACTGAGGTCAGTCACACAGTATTGCATGCTTCCATTAAAAACTCTGGACACCAAGGATCAGGTAGTCTACTGTGATCTGTTATACTTTGCATTTGCTGTCACACACTGTTGCTGGAAGGACCTAGTTTTTCCCAGATGATTCCACTGGGAGGGGACACCTGAAAGCTTGCACCTGGTTTATTCCAGACTTGGCCCACCTTTTATTTTGATTTTGATATGTATCCTTTCATTGTAATAAACCATAACTGTGAGTATAACAGTTTCTGATTTCTTTGAGTCATTCTTCTGAATCATCAAATCTGAAGGTGGGCTTGGGGATCTCAACACAGAACAGATGAGCTCTAACTCCAATAACCAGATGCTCCATGAATTCTGTTAATTCTAATAAAATAGCAACATTGTTTTCTAACACTTTTTGAAACTCCAGTGTTACATAAATTTAAGGAAATATCAACTGACTATATTGAAATATTGTTATTATTGATGTGTTATTGCTGTTTTTATCATTTTTGCTAGAAATAGCTGGAGATGCCCCTTCCAGAATTTTAACTGTATATAGGCTCATTAAGGTATAATGAAATCCTACAGATAGATGACTACTTTACATAAATCTTCCTACATCCTATGCCTATAGGCCAGATAACAGTAAGGTTTTTTGTTTGTTTGTTTCTTAATGGACTGCTCCACTATCTATCCCACTAGTATTGAGGTAACGTAGAATCATGTAAGACAGAATTCTTTTTTAACAATTTTTAATCATTTCAACTTTATTTTAGATTCAGTGGGTACGTGTGCAGGCTTGTTACATGGGTATATTGCATGATGCTGAGGATTGGGGTACAACTGATCCCATCATCCAGGTGGTGAGCATAGTTAGCTTTTCAACTCTTGCCTCCTTCCCCCCCCTCCTCCCTCTGGTAGTCCCCAGTTTCTATTGTTTCCACCTTTATGCCCACGAGGACCAAGTGATTAGCCCCTGATTATAAGTGAGAACATGTGGTATTTGGTTTTCTGTTCCTGTATTAATTCACTTAGGACAATGACTTACAGCTGCATCCCTGTTACTGCAAAGAACATAATTTCATTCTTTTTTAAGGTGGTGTAGTATTCCACTGTGTATATTACCATATTTTCTTTATCCATTCCACCATCGTTGGGCACCTAGGTTGATTCCATGTAAGACAGAATTCTTATTTTCCTTTCCCAAAATGTTTGTATTCAGAAATATTCAGAAATTATTGAAATTCTTCACTATGTTTTTATTTTTATACTAATTACAGCTTCTTGACTTAGTACTGTGTGCTACATTAAGACATCTTTGCTGCCTTCCAGTTTCAATTCTTGCCCAGAGTTCTGACTTGTCCATGCTGAAGAATGCAGATCTCCAAATTTCCCAAATGACATGGGGGCTGTGTAAGCCAAAGAAACAAAGCAATTTCAATGCCTGATATTTCCCTTACCCTAGAGAGACTCCCTTAGGATAGGGAAACATGGTCTCTTTTATCTGAACTAGGGCTTTATGAAAACTGATATTTCAACCTGAGCTTTTGTGATATAAAAACTTTTTAACAGCAAAGTGTGTATAATTATATTGCAAAATGTTTTCTAATACTCAGACTTTAAAATGTTTACCACAAACATGATCTCACTTCAATATTCTCCATTCTTCTTAATGTGTCACCATCTACACTGTCTATTAGATTTGAAGGCCTGCACTAATTTTAAAATTCCTATCCACCCAGCCCCCATCATATACAGTCTACTCTAATTACTGAGTTCAGTTAGTCGTTCAACAAATATTTTATTTTTAATCAAATCTGGTCTAGTAAACAGGTAATAATTTAGTTAATAGTAATATATTTGTGCACAAAGTAAATACATAGTTTCTGACCTCAAGAATCTAGGGGTAAGTGAGAAGTCCAGCATTAAATAATTATAAAAATCATACCACAGTGATAATATAAATGAAGAAAACATAACAGGGATGAATGGCCTAGTATTACAAAGGACTGCAATTCAGAACAGGAGATCAGAAAGTTTTCTCAATTGACTTCCAGCATCACATTGTGAAGAGCTTTGCTGATCTACTGATCTATTGACCAATAAAATTGGTGAAAATTATTTAACACAAGCTTTTATTTTTGGAAATTCTATGAAATGCTACTGAGGGCAAAGAGGAAATTAAAAAAAACTCTCCAAGAAAAATCTATTTAAAAAATGATAAGAAAGGCAAGACTCTATGGTGTTTGAATGAAAGTTACTCCCTCCCCAGTCCCCACTCCCAGTTTAGCAAGGCAGAGAATTCACTTCAGACTGCTACAGCTATAATCAAAGAACTCCCTCTCTCCTCAGCTTCAAGTCAGAGGGTTTTCTCCTAGGCAGAGCAAGATTTTCATCTTTTCTCACCCTGTCCTCAACTACTGGTTTCTAAGGCTGAGTCCTGGGCAAGTACATTTGAGAGGTGAGACCTCTAGTCTTGTTTCCAGCCTCAGAATTGGAAGGGAAATTTTATCTTGAGCATGGCAATATGAGAACACAGGCGCTCCTATGAACCCTGCAACTCTCCTTGCCCAGCTTGTGAGGCAGCGGTTTCTTGCCAGGAGAGGTAAACTGAAATGACTTTCCACTATTTCGATTTTTTCCACTGAGTGCTGAACTCCTAGAGCAGGGGTGGCATTTAGAAGAAGCTTACCATTGTCCCACCCCCTGCTCCAGAGCTCTGGCTAAAAATGTTTTCCTGAGAAACATGAGTGAATGATAAAACAGATAGCTTCTAATCTCTTCACAAAGAAACTGGCTTCATTTGCAAAAGAGATGGGAAAAATTTAAACCTAAAAGTGCTGCCAAAAATAAGGGGTTGCAATGAAAAACAACTAGAAGATTTGTGGATTTGATAAAGGTACAGCTTAGATGGCAGACCAGCTGGTTTGCAAGAGAGACTTTGAGAATATGACAGCTGGGCGGAGGTCCTCTGAAGCTACAACAAATACCTACCATGGACTTCATAAACTATTTATTCAAAGAAGCTGCAATTTGATGAGTTTGTATAGCAATTTATGCCCCAGGTCACGGTTGAAACAGTATAACAGTCAATTGGAAATTGGTAGAGTTTAAAATCTGGTGTTTTTAGAAAAAGAGAAAGATAGTCCTACATATGCCACTGTCATCCTGGGATGACTGTGGGCATATCTGAAGCTGTGCCTCCCTTAGGAGAAACAACAAAATCTTAACACTGTTGAGGGGAAAATAAAATTCACTAAAATAATCAGCCAGTCACTAACAAATGAAAAAACAAATGATAAACTTTAGGCATGAGAATAAAAAGGAGGTGATGGGATGCCATTACTCAGAGTTGCTACAATATATTTTAAAAGTCTAGCTTCCAACAACAAATTATCAGGCATGCAAAGAAACAGGAAAGTACAATCTATGCTGAAAAAGAAGCATACAGAACAAACTGCCTGTTAGAGCAACCAGATGTCGGATTTCACAAATAGTGAGTTAAAAATATCCATTATAAATATGTTCACAGAACTAAAGGGAAGCATGCTTAAATAAGTAAGAAAATGTATGGTGATAACGTGGCCTCAAATACAGAACATCAATAAAGAGATACTGCCCCCAAAATCAAATGGAATTTCCAAAGGTTAAAAGTTACGGAAATTAAAAAAATTAAAAAGGCATACCAATAGACTTAAAATGGCAGAAACAAAATAGTAAAGTTGAAGACAGATTGATAAAAATTATACAAGCCAAGAACAGAGAGATAGAACCTCAGAGAAATGTGGGACACCATCAACAGAACCAACACTTGTGATGAAGTGTGAAAAGGAGAGGAAAGAGAGAAAGGAAAATGTTTGAAAATAATTACAAAAATAAGTAATAACAGGAAAGTACCCAAATTTATTGATAAGGACAAGTATACATCTAAGAAGCTTGAGGGGCTCGAGATAGAATAAACACAAAGAGATCCAGAAACAGACATATCATAGTAAAAATGCCAAAAGTAAAAAACAAGGAGAAATTCTTGAAAGCAACAAGTGAAAAAGGATTCACTGTGTGCAAGAGAAGCCCAATAAGATTGACAGCTGACTTCTCATTAGAAACAATGGAGGTCAGATGCAGTTGAATAACATACAGTCAATTTTTGTTGTACATGGTATTTATGCTCTATGAAGTAATCGTGAACACTGAATTAACACATATACTATTGATCATAGAGGAAATATAACTTTAGTTTTTTATAAGTCTCTGATCACAACATTTTTGTCACCAAGTGCAACTTGCATTATTTATTTTAAAATATTTTTCTGCAGCCTTCCAATAGTAAATTTGGCAAATAACTCTTAAATATGACACCAAAAGCACAAGAAACAAAATAAAAAGAAAAATGGATTTCATTAAATAATTTTTTAAGTGTTCTTCAAAGGATATCATCAAGAAAGTGAAAGCACAGCACAGAAGATGGAGAAAACATTTGCAAATTATAGATCTAAAAAGAGACTTGTAGCCAGAATACATAAAGAAGTATTACAATTGCATGATAAAAAGAAAACTCAACTACTACATGGTCAAAGGATCTCAACAGACATTTCTGTAATGAAGATACACAAATGACCAATTTCACTTCTGGGCATGTATTTGAGAACAGTGTAAACACATGTACACATAAAAACTTGTGCAAGAATGTTTACAGCAGTATTATTCATAATAGCCAAAAGATAGAAAGATCTCAAGTATCCATCAATAGACAGACAAATAAAATATGGTATATCAATACAAGGGGCTATTAGCCATAAAAAAGAATGAAGTACTGATACATTCCACACCATAAATGAACCTTGAAAACATTATGGTAAGTAAAAGAAACTGGCCACAAAGTGCATGTATTATTTGACTCTATTGAGATGGCAGTCCAGAATAGGGAAATCTATACTGACAGAAAGTAGAATGGCAGTTGCTTAGAAAAAGGAGTGCAGGTAGGAGATAGGGGAGTTCATATCTAAAGGATACAGGATTTCTTTTTGAGATGATGAAAATGTACAATTGAATATGATGATTGCATGTGAATATACTAAAAATTATTGAATCGAATATGTCATATAGGTGAATTACATCTTACGTGAGCTATATGTCAATAAAAATATGTTTAACAAAAGAACAAAAGACATCTCTAAGAAAGAGATCTGGATGCTAAGACTTCAACAGTGTGTTTTGGCGGGCTATGAAGAGATGGGGAAGAACATCCAGGAAGGGAAACCACCAATGCAAAGGCCCTGAGGTCTGAAAAAACTGATTACACTGGTAGAACTGGATAAAAGCTAGTATTGATAGACTGTGGTAAAGGGAGTGAAGTGGAAGAAAATGAGAAAAATAGACATGTATTTGAAACAAAAATGGCAAGAATTTGCTGGCCACATGGATTTTAGGCTCATTTGTAAGTCGTGTGAATAAAATTAAAATGCTCTAAGCAGGAAAGATACATAATCTGATAGGACTTGTAAAAAATATATGGGTTGGGTTTGTAGAGAACAACATTGTGGGGTTGAATGGATGTAGGCAGATGAGTATGAAATCTCTAGGAAATTGGTCTTTTGGTCCTTTGAAATGTATTAGATGTACAAGATTTTCAACATCTTGTGTTTCACGGTTGGTGAGAGAGAACTCCTCACTGCCAATAGACACAGGGGAAATAGGACTGATGCAAAATTTAAGGAGACACTCCCTATCAGAGTCGTGGGAGTGTAGGGTGAACACTGGCAAGACTCTGAGAATGACTGCCTGTTTAAATTCTAACATTTTAAGCCCTAGTCACCTCACTTATAATGCCCTGATCTCATCTCTGATGGGAAGCTTAGTAGTTTGATCATGAGGAAAATTTGATGCCTACCAAATATGTGAACAGACACAAATTCATGTTATCTACTTCATAGTGTGATACTGCTATATGGATATTATGAGATGACAACCATGTATCTCCTATCAAAAAAAGGTCAAGGGGTTTAAGAAGCACTCAAAGTTCTTTACAAGATACCTTAAAAAAAAGGGTTATGTGGCTTCCCTGGCTTAAGAAAAAAATAAAGTAGGTTTTGAAACAGACTTTCATAAAATCCACTCCCTTATTTGAGACATAAATATATTTACCACTTGACTGAATCTACTTCTCCAGCCTCATTTTCTTATAATGTAATATTTCATAAGCATCCAAGCTTCAGGCAAGCTATAATTTTCACCCTTCTAAGAGTGTGTATTATTGCCTTTGTATAACTCCATGTCTTTCTAAACCTACTGCCCTTTTGCTATATAATATCTATTTCTCTTTGTCCATCCAGCAAATTCCAACTCATCCTTCAATACTTTGACAATGTGATCTCCTTGATAAAGCTTTACTCCATACCCCTGAGGAGAATTAATTGTCACCTTTAACTACACCCCTTAACAATGGTTTCTATTAATGAATTTACTTAATGTGCTATGGATCATTTTGTATGTTATGTTGTGTTATGTTATACTATGTTATTGAATGTTATGTTATGTTATGATATTCTGTCTATATGACTCCATGAAACTACAGCATTTTGAAGGCAGAAGAGATATGCTGTTTTCTGTTTAATTTTTGTAACCCTGGAAAACAGAGATACTTATCAAACACTGTTTACAGCCATATTTGTTTATTAAGTCACAAGCCTTTGTGAGTTTTTATATAAGGTAGCTGTTGTATTTGACTTTAAAAATGGTAATTAAGAAGTTTAGAAGAAACTACTAGTAGAAAAAATGATTTTGATTCAGAAGCTATTATTGTAAACTGTTACCTGTAGATCATTGCATCCTTATCTTTAAAATGAAGACATTAAGAAACTCTTTCTCAGGAAATTTTATTAAGGCACGTATTTAATGACAGGCACTGGATGGTAAAACATTATTGGGATGAGAGTTGCTATATTAGATTAGGTATTTTGTTTTCACAGATGTTCTCATTTAATTTGGGAGAACTACAATCTATATATATTCTGGTAAAACATACTAATATTTATAAAATGATAAATACACAAGGCAATTGAGGTTGTTACCTAATGGTACCATTAGTTACTATGTAATGAGAAGGACAGAAATAATAACTATGACTTGAGGTACTAATGGAATCTATATTGAAGAGGTGTGACATGAAGAAGAGGTGGGACTTAAATGCAGAGGAAAGAGCTGCTTGTGCTTTCCCATGGGGCTCCCGAATGCTGTATTACCAATGGACCTGGCATACAGACTGAAAATTGGTCCAATTTGTGTGGAACAAGAGAAGGACTGCCTAAGGTGAGAAAAGAAAACAGCTACTTATCCAGAAAATGAGAGTTGATTAATGTTATTATGGAATAAGAAATGCAGTTAGAGAGTGGTTTGAATGAGAATACCAAGAACTAGTAGCTAGATGCCAAACGCAGCCAAGCTTTCCCAAGAGTTCTGTCAATCAAGAAAAATGACCCAGGCAAGCCTCAATCATTTTAGGAGGTTTATTTGCCAAACTTAAGGACACACACCTGGGAGACCTTTCCTGAAGATGGTTTTGAGGGCTTCAGTATTCACAGGGGAAAGGGCAGGATATTGAGAAATATTCAATTTTCATGTGAGAGCAGGGGTAGGGGAATAGAGTCATTCATGCCTTTGTCTGGCTCAGTGAATCTGCATTTTTACAAAAGATTACATAGACAATAAGGCAGAGGCAACAATCAGATATGCATTTGTCTCAGGTGGTCAGAGGATGACTTTGAGTTCTGCCCTATGTCCCTGCACCTATGAAGATAAGCTATGAATTTACATTGCCATGGTGAACTTTAACAGAAATGCTTTAGGGCGAAGATCTTGGGGTCCACAAGGAATTTCTTTGTGGGCAAAATGTGAGAGAGGTATGTAGCTTTTCATCTTTGTAGCTATCTAATTTAGGACACAAAATGGGAGGCAAGTTTTCATGACCCAGTTCCGAGCTTGACTTTCCCTTTGGCTTAGTGAATTTGAGGTTCCAAGATTTATTTTCCTTTTACAGTTCCTAACCCGCACATGAATTCCAGCCTTCCCTCCAACAGGCCATTTGTTTAAAGGTAGTTTCTGATTCTGAATATTTACCTCCACTGATGGTCAGTCAGTAAATTTGCTTTCCAGGTCTTGCTAGGGACTGCTCCTATCATTTTCGAATACCAATGGACTTCCTAACTGGTTTGCCAGTCATTTGCATGCAAATTGCAATCCCAGCTGCAAAGAGGAAAGTGTCAGTGTTGAAATAAGATTCTCACTGGCCTCCAAAATAAGTAAGAAAATAAATAAATAAATAAATAAATAAATAGCATTGAAGCCAGTGCCTGTATCCATCCTTAGCAGTAGCTAAGACTGCTTTTTGTTAGATGTGTTAATGAAAACACATACATTCTCTAATTCTCTTCTCCCAATCACTGATTCACAAATGAGAATGCTTATAAGTTTTTCTAGTTCACTCTTCTCCAATTACAGGCATGACTGTTGTTTTTCTGTTGTCATTTTATTGGCATAGCTTTCCAAACTCTCATTTAGAAACATGTAATCTATATCCCTAACAAACTCACTCGAAACTCCTTGGGTTTTTCTATAACTCACAGTATTGTTCTTTCCTGAGGAGGCATTGCACTTTGCAATCATCTCCCTGAAACTTGAATAAAATTAATAAATATGTAAGACCCTGTTGGCAAGTTGGCTCATGCGTGTAATCCCAGCACTTTGGGAGGGCAAGGCCGGGGGTGGGTGGGTCACAAGGTCAAAGTTCGAGACCAGCCTGGCCAAGATGGTGAAACCCCATCATTACTAAAAATACAAAAATTAGCTGGGTGCGGTGGCACATGCCTGTAATGCCAGCTACTTGGGAGGCTGAGGCAAGAGAATCACTTGAACCTGGGAGGTGGAGGTTGCAGTGAGCCAAGATTGCCCCACTGCACTCTAGCCTGGGTGACAAAGTAAGGCTCCATCTCAAAAAAAATTTAAAGAAGAGAGACCCTGTTGCTTAAAAGATAAGCTATAAATTAAAGCAATATTTGAAAACAGCTCTGATCATATATCAAAGGTTCATGTTTTTTACTTGCCTCAATCAAATGAAAATTGAAATAAAACAAGCTCTGTTCCTTATCCAACCCAGGCATGTTGGATAAGAATATTTAGATATAATACTTTATAATTTTAAATAGTTCAGCCCCTTCTCTAGAAAAGACTTTTTGTTTTCTCTGAACAGAACTGTCTGGAAAATTGCAGCTGGTGTTGGAGTCCTGATAATTGTAAGAGTGAAAGGAAGTTTCTTTCCACCTCCAGCAGTTTTGAGAACTGGAGTCTACAAACAAACTGGTAATAGATGAACAGGAGAAAAAGAATAAAAACTTACTGATGTGCAAGCACATAGGAATCATACAAAGTATAAAACTCCATGATGGTCCAGACAGTTGAAACTTAAATACCCTTTTCTTATGGGAGAGGAAAGTAGAGGATGTAGGCAGTTGTGGAGGAAGAGTAAATATTTTTTAAGGAAGGTAAATGGACTTAATAGCCTGGGACTAAGTTCACTTGAGCTTTGAGGAAGGTAGCAACAACTTATGGGAAGGTAAGGGGTGGAACTGCACTATGAACAGAGGTTGTCTTATTATGCAGATAAAGCCTCTCAGGTAACAAACCTTAGAAGAACAGATGAAAACTTTGGCTGTGCTAGTAACAATCCTTATTTTCTTCTTTCATGACTAACCTTTCCTGGTTAATGAGATTTCAGATAGGGTGTTTATGGCATTTGTGTTTTTTGGAAGAGCTTCCCTCACTCTGATCAGAGAATTTTAGAGAGAGCACCTCCTTGCACTTGGGAAGAAACAAGGGAAGGTCAGAGAGAGCTGATTCTAAGACCTTAAAATTTCTTTTCATTCTAAGTGCTCAGCATGCCAAGGTACCGTATTTTTGTGGTATCATTCTCTGAGACCCAACATAATCTTAAATCATAAAAATATATAATTCTTATTATATCATATATTATATATCATGTATAAAATAAAATATGAAGCTCAGATTGATGCAAAGCTAGGCCATATAATCTTTTATTGAGAGGTATCTTCTGTCATAGCATACTTTTCTTATTCCTTATCCAAACAACTCAGAAGAAGTTACTTTTTCTTTATAAGTCTGCCATGAATAAGACACAAAATATTAAGCCCATGGTAGAATTAATAATAATACAGATAATAACAGTATCACTTTGGTGGGACATTCACTATTATTGCCATATACTATTAAGTCCTTTGTTAGGTTTTTTTAATTTCATAATAATTCCTGCTTGTTTATCTACTCTCATTTTCCTCCACTGTTTTTACTAGCTAAACACACTGGCCTTTTAAAGTTGTACATACATATTTTACTCTTTCCCATCAGTGGATACTTGCCTATGTCTTTCATTTTATCTGGTTTATTTTAATTATGAAGAGTTTCACTTCCCACATAATCATAAACCATCACTCATTTCCTATTATTCCCTTGTTTAGTAAATTCCTAGTATAATTCTACTCATTCTTCTGTATTTTTTGAAACATTCTTGTCTCAAAAAAGATCAAATGTACTTGTCACACATATCTGTAAACTAACTCTTCACATTTCTGTTGCATATTTGTAATCATCTGAGTAATGCCAGTCTTCCTAATAGACTGCAAATTTTTCAAAGGCAGAAACAGTTTCTCTCTTATTCAGAGGTCTTTCTCCTCTTATGCTTCAACTAATCAAGATACAAAAGACCTAAACTTCCAGCAGAAAGAAAAGATACTTTCAAAGTTTTCATTCTGCTAGTAATGGGCCCTAGATATGTGTCAACACAGAATATGTTTTCAAAGGGTTTTAGAGAGGAGTCAAATATGTGAATTGTGAATATACCCAGGTAATAAAATTTTATATTCAGGCTGTCCAAAGTCCTTTAAAAATAGAATAAGAATAGTTAAAAAAAAAACTAGGATTAAATTCATTGAATAGATAGTGAGAACTATACAATATACCCTGTATTAGTTTTTGTATTGGTTATCAAGTTGCTAATAGCTCAGTTTTATGCCCCATAACAAAACTTACTTATAAGTCTAGATTTTGTGACATAATAATTTCACTTCCCATCAATCATTACCGTATATTTCTTTTTTTAAACTCTGTTTTTTACTTTTACTTTATTTGAGTGGTTTTGATTATTACTGATTTTGAGGAAGTTTCTGTTGCTTTAGTATGCCTACATTATATTTATGTTTCTTCAAATCCTTTTTGAAAACTCTTGAGGAATAAAAAAAATTCTAATAGGTATCTACAAACCCATAGAAATAAATATCATATACATGCATAGAACATGTACTTCACTGTTAGGAGATAATATTTTGCATAATTTATTTTTACATTTTGCACAGTGCCAAGTATAATTTCTTTGACAGAGATGGTGCTCAATTACTTTACTAAAAATAGAAAGATATTCTGTTGATGCAATGCATTGAGACATGAGAAGAATGGAGAGAAAGGTGAATTGTCATTGTTAAAAGAATGGCATAAAAAATCCTCTGTTTGCTACCTGTAAATTTTCTAAAACCCAAAGCAGAAGGGAAGGGTGTAACAATTGCGGGCTTTGGAATCAGATGGCCATTGTTAGAAACCCAGTTCTATAACTTACTGATGGTGAGATCTTTTTTGCGTTTCTTACACTCTCTGTGCCTCAATGTCCTCATGTATAAAAGGAAGATTATAGTATCTTCAGTGTACATTCAGTAACTCATTCAATGTCTATGAGTGTCTACTATGTGCTAGGCATTGGCCAAGGGGCCTTTTTTTGTATTAGCCATTTAATTCTCATGATAGCACTCTTAATTTATTATTGCCTACTTTATATATGAAAAGAAGTGAGGCTTAGAGAGATTAAGCAACTTGCCCATGATATGTAGTAAATGAATGGCTCAAGACCACCTACTCTGGAATTTTCTAGAATAAATTTCATAGGAGTGACATTTAAAGTCATTCTCCTAGAATTTGTTAGCTTTTCTGGGAAGTCTTATCTGATTGCCGACTTTCTTTTGTGTCCATAGCAGCATCCCATATTTTCATCTCTGATAGTACTTATTACATTGCAGAACAATCATCCATATATGTATTTCTTCTACTTAAACATAAACCTATTGAATGCTAGCAGTGTGTCTTACTCTTTTCTACACTTCTCTTATTAAAACTTTCTAGTTAATGCTTGTTGGAAGAATAAATGAATGAATAAGTGAATGAATGCTTATTGCTCTATCAATTATATTTTTTAAACGGAGTCCATTAGTGTGAAAACATTAATAAATGCAGCAGACAAAGCTGGCTAATTTTTTAACCTATCCAACATCCATTTTCCTTTATTTCCTTCCTAATAGAATCCTACTTTTATTTGGGTGGGGGCAGCGATGGCCAAACTTCAAAATAAACAAAAAGAAATAGTGTACTTCTTCGTTTTCCTTGCAATTAAGAGAGACTATTGACATATTATGAACAATGCTTTATAAGTAAAAACCAATTGAATATTTCTAGATATGTATGTTTTTCTTTCCTGTTGTTGGCATGCCCCCCTTCTCTTTGATGCTTCTTTCTTCTTTCTACTTGGAATGTGAGAATAAGCTAGATGAGATAAAGCCATCTCACAACTTTGAAAATAACATTTGCATTCTAAGCATAGTAAATAATAAAAGTCATATGCTAAACCTAATAGTTCATGAAGTTAGAAGGAACCTGGTTCCTAGGTAGCTCTACCCATCCTGGGTTACTTACCAATGAAATACTTATAACATGAATAAAATTATTTAATTGTTATAATAACCATATTTTTGTTATTGTATTAACCCATTTTCACACTACTGATAAAGACATCCAAGACTGGGCAATTTACAAAAGAAATAGGTTTAATGAACTCAGAGTTACATATGGCTGGGGAGGCCTCACAATCATGGCAGAAGGTGAAAGATACGTGTCACACGGTGGCAGACAAGAGAAGAGAATGACAGACAAGCAAAAGGGGTTTCCCTTATAAAACCATCAGATCTCATGAGACTTGTTCACTACCATGAGAACAGCGTGGAAGAAAACAACCCATAATTCAATTATCTCCCACTGGGTCCCTACCACAACACCAGGGAATTATGAGAGCTACAATTCAATATTGGGTGGGGACACAGCTAAACCCTATCAGTTGTATACAGATAAATATATATGATTAAATGTTAATATATCTTTTTATTAAAAAATTTAAAAATTTAAAAAAATATAAATAGTTTCCTAAAAGAAGAGTGGAGGAATATGTGTGCAATTAAGTGTGCAATTAGGTTAATAAAAAGGAAATTTTAAAATTTGGTTCTTATATTAAAATACTTAAGGACTAATGCATTTGCCAAAAAAGGTGATAAAGTCTGCCTAGTACTTTGTGGAAAATGAGTCATTTGTAAAGATATTTAAATGAATGAATTTTCATTTACTATTACAATAAGTCTAATGTGTTCACCAAAACTATGATTTTTAGCAATATGCAAAGAGTCAGCATTCAATCCCATCTCTACTTGAGTTACAACTAAATATTGACGGCAGAAAGGAAACTTGCAAAAGAGAACAGGAAGTTATCTGTATTAGTTTCAATTATACCTTTAGTAATAAGTAGTTTGACCTCCCTGAGCCTCAAATTCCCCATGTTTAGCTTAGAAATAAAAAGCAGTCAGCTTTGTCTATCTCTTTTTTTGTGACAATCAAGTCAAGCACTTTGTAAACTAAAAAATGTTATACAGATATGAAATTGAGTTTTCTTTTTGTTTTGATTTGTTTTGTTTTGTTTTGAGATGGAATCTTGCTCTCTTGCCCAGCTTGGAGTGCAGTGGTGCAATCTTGGCTCACTGTAATCTCTGCCTCCTGGGTTCAAGCAATTCTCCTGTCTCAGCCTCCCGAGTAGCTGGGATTACAGACGCCCACAAACATGTCTGACTAATTTTTGTATTTTTAGTAGAGATGGGGTTTCACTATTTTGGCTAGGCTGGTCTCAAACTCCTGACCTCAGGTGACTCACCCGCCTCGGCCTTCCAAAGTGCTAGGATTACAGGCATGAGCCACCGCACCTGACCGAAATTCAGTTTTCACTATACCAAAATTATTCTGTTATTTCTATTTGGCTCCTCAGTGTCAAGATATTTCTCATTCACTTACTCATTAAGGAAATGATTCTTAAGAGACAGAACACTGAGGATACTGCTGAGAGATGGAGACCTCCTTCTTGACTTGCTGGAATTTGGAAGTCTAATGGGAGAAAGAGACTCAAATAATCACATAAATAGACTAAAATTTGAGACTGTGAGAAGTACTGTGGTAGATTTAAAAAGGGAGGTGTGAGAGAATACAATTCTAATTTGTTCTGATTATTCTCGGCTGAATTTAGTCATTGTGTGTCTCAGTTTGTCCCAGCAAGATCAACTTTTTTATGACTGTAACCTCAGAAGGAGGTGTGCTTTGTATGTGCTTCAGTTGGAACCTATGTCTGAATTTAAAACTCCTCTGATTGTTGTTTACATTTTACATTAAAAATTTTGCCTAGTAAGATCCAAATGATTAGCATAGAGGGAGAAAACAATGCAGTGCTTTACTATCCTATAAAACATCACCAACAACTACTACTTCCAAAATTTATTCAAAAAGAGCTGCATCTCCATGCCTGCCTACTATTGCCACAATTATTTATGCAAAGTACCCACTGAGAAGCAATCAAAACAGTGATTATCTGAGCATTTTCACCAGCAAGGTGAGGTCCAAACCCCAGAAAAATGATGGCTCTAAGAGCTGAGAGTCTAGAATATTTATAAGCTATGCTTCAGAGAAGTCTTGAATTAAGCTCATGTTTTCTTTTTGCACCTCTTGGCAAGAGATAAAAACTTCTCTGTAAATATCATAGTCATGAGTAGTGGGAAGTTTTGCTAAATTTTCTGGATGGCTCTTATAACCAAGCAGCCTCTCCATTACCAGAATATCTTTTCACAGTCTGGAAACTCAATCATTTTCTTTCTTTTTTTTTTTTATTATACTTTAAGTTCTGGGGTACATGTGCAGAATGTGCAGTTTTGTTACATAGGTATACATGTGCCATGGTGGTTTGCTGCACCCATCAACCCCTCACCTACATTAGGTGTTTCTCCTAATGTTATCCACTTAGTAATTTTCAAAAATATTGCATGTGTACCTCCAATCGTTTAGTTACAGATATATGCCTAGTGAAAAAAGAGTTAAATCTCAATAAGGATTTATCTGGAGCCCTCTGTTTATTAACTATAGGCCAAATAGCCTTAACTACAGTACGTCTTCCTCTTCATTACATGCACAATTATATGGCCTTTGGCAGAAAAACCCCCTCCATCATATGTCTAAAATTCCCAGGATAGGATGAAGATTCTCTCTAGTGATCTTCTGTACCTCCTGGGCTGTAGTCTTCTCATTTGTGTTTCTTGTTCTGTACCACACAGTTCCATACTTAAAATTCATCTCATTAATGCTCTACCTGTATTCTAATCTTATATAAACATAACATTTATCAGTCCATGGAAGATATATGGGGCACAGTGACAGGGCCATAATATACACCATACAGCAAACAAATAAAGAAACGTTATTATGAATGATTAATATATCTAGCCAAAGTAAAGCAATTTGTGCCCATTGTGTTAAAAAAATAATGAACTGAAAGAGACATGTGAAAGCCAACTGTTTAAAGGTGTTATGCAATGGGCAATGTAGGACAGTGATCACGAGAAAAGGGGAACAAATGGAATGAGCTACAACATTGCCAGGCTTTCTAGCAAAAAATCATGTTTTAGATGATAGAAAAGGCAGGGAAAACCAAACAAAATACAGCAGCTTTTTCTAAGGTGATTACACAGAGTTTGTAGTTCTGGGTAACTTGTAGGTACCTTAAAATGTGGTGCAAGGTACAAAAGATGATGGGGGATTTATTTGCAGAAGGATTTCCAGAAAATTGCTTAGGGATCTCTTTGAGTTTTGGACAAAAAACAAAGCTTTGTATTCACAGGTAAAATTTAAGAATTCCAGAAAAAAAGAATAATAATTAGGGAGAAAAATCATCATCAAAACAACAACTGCCTGGGAGAGATATGATAAGTGAACAAAATAACCTTCAAAATTTGCACAGGGTCTGACCATGGAATGGGAAAACATCTCATTGAAAAGACAAAGTTTTCAATAGAAATCTATAAAGGTTTCTATTGAAACCTTAGAAGGATACTACCTTCTAAGTAGTATATCTAGTCATGGAGCACAAGCAACTAGAAATTTATCTTTAAAAAGTGTAAAGGCAAAATTTTAAGGAATCAAGTTGACCTGCAAGTAACTGAATGGACAGCTAGACCAAACTTAAGACTCTATTAAGGCAGATAGAAAACTCAAACAATCAACAACGTAACAATCACACTGTCAAACAAAAATGTCCTAGAAAAATAAGCAAGAACACATGACCCATTGACCCATTCTTTACTCTTGACATTGATGAGAAATGTCATCCAAAAGATAAAGGCTTTAAATTGGCAAAGGTATGAAAATAGAAGACAAGGGCACTAAGCAAGCTTTACACACATTTTCAAGGAATTGTAAAAATGTATAATTATAATGAGAAAAATAGGGAATCATGGTAGAGAAGTAGAAACTACAAAAATCAGCAAATACAAAATATAAACTAATAAACACAGTATAATATTTTTAATTTAAAACATTTGTTGGATTGGATTAAATTTTCAGTCACCAAATTCTGGTCATGGACCAAAGCTGAAAAACTCATTATTTTTAAATAAAATTATGTTTGGAACACAGCCACGCTCATTAGCTTACATATTGTTTTTGGATGCTTTGATACTATACATCTCCAAGAGTCTCAACAAACCCTAAATATCATAAAGAAACTATTAAAATCATAATCAGACAGCTGAGAGCCATAGATAAAGTGAACATCTTGAAAGCAGTAAAAGAAAAGTGACATTATTGCATAAGGGAGAGTAAGTATTTTTAAAGTCTAATTTTTCATTATCAACAATGGACCCTCAGCAAACACCTGGCTTGCTATATATCCCAACAGCCTTCCATTCAAGTGATAGTTGACCACACTGTTTGAAAAACATACTCCTTGATTCGGGTTGTTCCTTTGATTCTACTTCATAACTCATATGACTGCTCTACCTATTTAAAAATTTTCATGGCAAAAGTTTTTCATTCCTCTTTCTCTGTCCTTATGGGCCTCTTTTATTCAATAGCTGTACTTATAAAATATCTAAGAGTAACTATTTACTTATTACCAATCATGCTGGTGATGGCTTAAAGTCAAAGTGACAATAGTATGCCAGTTGATTTATAATTTATAATGACATACTTTTGTGTGAACACACAAATATACACACATATACATCCATAGTATAAAAAGAATAGGAAGAATAATAGATGATAGATAGATGCATGCATAAATACACACAATTTTATTAGATCATATTGGAAGTAATAGTAAGTCAGGATTAACTTGAAGTTGATTGCATAGTAAGCTAAGGATACAGATTGTAAATCTTAAAGCAGTACTAACAACAACAAAAATTACAGAGAATTATAGTTAGAAAGTCAACAGAGAAATTAAAATGTTATATAGCAACATTTTTCTCATAAGGGACAGCAGTGAAGGAAGAATGAAAGGAAAACAGAGATGAGACAAATTGAAACAGAAAAATGGTAAATGTAAATTCAACAATAAAAATAAATAATTTTAAGAGGACTAAAGCACTCAATCAAGAGAGACATTTTCTTAATGAATGAATTAAAGATTATAATAACTATACACTCTATATACAAGGGATGCACTTTAAAATTAAAGGCAAGATATAATGAAATTAACAGGAGTGAATATGAAAATATGCAAACTGTAAGTACAAGGAAGGTGACATGGCTACAGTTGGATCAGACTAAGCAGGCTGACACAAGAAATGTTACTAGAAACAACAAGGGACAGTTCAAAATCAAAAGATGGTAAATAAAATAGGAAAATATAACCATCATAAATATATAATCTATAAGCAAAGTAGCTCCAGAATAAAAATAAAGGTAAATCAACAAAGTTGAATATTTCATAATTTCTCTCAGTAATTGATAGAACAAGTAGACAGAAAATCAATAAGGATATAAGCCTTGAACAACATCATCAACCACCTTTCTACCACAGCAAACTTTAAGTGTACATTGAGCACTTACCAAGACAGACCATATGCCAGGATATAAAATGTCTCAATGTATTTTAAAGATTGAAAGCATACAGAGTTCGTCATCTGACCATATGCTAACAAATTAAAAATCAAAAATAAAAAGAAATCTAGGAAACACAGAAATCAAAACTGGTAAAAATGTGTAAGAAGCATCTAGAGTAGTGCCTGAAGAATAAAAATAAAATGACATGAATGCTTATTTTAGAAAAGAAGAAATATCTAAAAACAAGCTAGAGGAAGGACAGCAAATTAAACTTGAAGTAAATACACAGAAAGAAATAATACATTTTGGAGCAAAAATTGACAAAATAGAAAACAGAAACGTAATAGAAAGCCTCATTAGGAATATCTATAATAAAAGAGGGAATACCATATTTACAGACATTACAAGGAAATAGAATGATATCATCAAAAATTGGATGCAAATGCATTTCATAACTGAGTTTAAGTTATTTGAAAGATAAAAGTTACCAAAATGATATAAATACATATCAAAATGTGATTATATATAAATTAGTGGTATATACCTAACACAAGGGAGAATGGAAGTTTTTTCAAGAAATAGTATTCAAACAATTGTATTAACTGAGATGCAAAATCTAAAAATGAAACCTAAAATATTAAAACTCTCAGAAAAGAATACAGAATACTTCACAAATGTGAGATATACAAAGATTTCTAGGAGGGGACACGAATGGCAAAACCATAATTTTTAGAAAAGGTTAAAAAAAAGTAAACTGTTACATTTTGTTAAGTGAGTAAGCCAGGCACAGAAAGATAAACACAGCATGGTCTCACTTACATGTGGAACCCAAAAAAGTTGAACTCATACAAGTACAGAGTAGAATGGTTCTTCCCAGGGGCTAGGGATGTGGATGAGAGATGTTTGTTAAAGTTTACAAAGTTTCGATTACACAGAAGGAACAAGATCAAGTGATCTATGATATGACATGGTGACTATAGTTTAAAACAATGTATTACATTATTGAAAATCACTAACAAAGCAGATTTTAAGCTAATTAAGGGCTAATTAGCTCAATTTAGCCATTCTAAAATGCATATATATATATTAAAACATCATGTTATACATGACAAATACATAGACTTTTTATTTGCCAATCAAAAAACTAAGTTAGGGGAAAAAATAAACTGGACTTCACGTACATTAAAATTTCTGCTCATCAAAATCATTATTAGCTGTGACAAAGATAAGACATAGTCTAAGAAATTACTTTCCATAGACATATCTGAAATAGGTCTTGTACCTAGACTATATAAAACACCTAAAGATTAGTAATAACACAGGAAAAAAATCAAATAAATAACATGCCCAAAAGAAATGAACAGATTTTACAAAAGAATAAAGTAGGCCAGGTGCGGTGGCTAATGCCTGTAATCCCAGCACTTTGGGAGGCTGAGGCGGGTGGATCACCTGAAGTCAGAAGTTTGAGACCAGCCTGGCCAACATGGTGCAACCCCATCTCTACTAAAAATACAAAAATTAGCCGGGTGTGGTGGTGGGTGCCTGTAATCCCAGCTACTAGGGAGGCTGACGCAGGAGAATTGCTTAAACCTGGGAGGAGGAGGTTTCAGTGAGCTGAGATCACACCACTGCACTCCAGCCTGTGCAACAGAGCAAGACTCAGTCTCAGTTAAAAAAAAAAAACGATAAAATAAAAAACAATCACAGAAACACCTGTTGATGAGAATGTGGAACAACTGAAACTCTCATAACAATGTTGGTAGTATATAAAATGGGAAATCATCATTTGACAATTTTTCAGCTTTTTCTCGTAAACATATCCCTACCCAACGGCCCACTATTATGAATTTATCTAAGGGAAATAAAAATGTGTGGTTACTGAATGAATTGTAAAAGAGTTTTAAAGCTCTTTATTTAAAATGGAATAACCCATGTCTATTAATTAGAGAATAAACATATCATGTCCTATGCATATAAAGAAATATTCTTTGGCAATAAAAAGAATGAACTACTAATAAACACAATAACATTGATTCACCTCAATTCATTATGGTAAATAGAAACAGCCAAGACATAAAAATTATACCTATTTCATGATTCAATTTGTTTTTAAATAAAGTTCAAGAACAGACAAAGTAATCTATGGTGACAGCTGTCAGAACAGCAGTTGCCTGTGGTCTTATAGGAATTAATATTAAGTGGGTACAAAGAGACTTTCTGGGCTAATGGAAATGTTCTTTATTAGTATTGATATATTGTCTACCTAAGTCAACACTCGTAAAATCATGTATTTAACATGTACTTATTTTACTTTATATGATTTAAAGGAAACAGGATTATTGTAGTGGGCTTAGTCACTAACTGTGCCTCAATGGACTCGTCTATCAAATGGTACTATTATCATGACTGTCTGATTCATCTTCAGAGACGGGAAGGTTAAATGTAATAGACACTGTACAAAGAAATATCACGATTTCATCATTGTCTATCTTCTGGGAAAGTTAGAGATTTTATCTACTGTGTTCTGAGGGTTATCTGGGGTGCAACTTTATTTATTTTGTGTTATTTAAAGTTGTACTTGAATGCTTTCTATATTTACCCTGTTTTCAGTTATTTAGTATTCTGGTATTTTTCTTGCAAATGTTTATTTCTATTTTCTCCCAAACTCCAAAAGACATTTAAAATTAAGAATGGATGAAACAAACAAATATTGCATTTCTACATAAGAGATGAAGTGAACACGCAAATAGCCACTTCCAGACAGATTAAGCCACCTCAGTAAGTGCTATTTCTAAATCAGATCACCTCATATATGGAGACAGGGAATGCTACGAAGCTGCTTTTGAGACATCACTCAAATATCAAATACCAAAGTACTTCCATACAGTAAAAAATATGCCTGACATAGTGTGATATTCCCAAAGAAGAAGCTCTTCTGGGACCTAACAAGCAATATAGATACTCATTTATTCTCTTATTACCTGACTCTACCAATCTGTCCATGAGAAACAGCATACGTATACATTAGAGTAATATTTAGATTTTGGAGGACCGGAGCTACCCTTAGAAACCATTGAAGAACATAAATTGCATTAATTATATCCTAGATTCTCAGATGAACTCCCTGAAGAAGTTTTATAACTTGCTATTATTTAGAAAAAGCATTTAATTAATCTGTACTTCTGCAAGGAAGAGGTTGTACCACAGACCAAGAAAACCTGGAACTCAATTCAACAACAAAGGGAACAGTCGAGATGAAGGAGGTTTAGAAAATGGAATGAATCGGGATCACTTGGTCTTTACAAATCCTGTTTCTTCCCATGACTCCAAGAAAGAAGACACCTCCTCACCAAGGACCAGGGACTTTCTGTCTTGCAGAATGCTTTGTAGGTTGGAAGAGAAAGATTTCACTGATAACTATGTAAAGATGAATTGTTATGTAGAGGAACATAAAGATACTGAATATAATAAAATTCTACAAGATTAGCATTCAAATGGGCATTATGCTGTAGAAATCAGATTGTTATGCAGGAAATATTCACTCTTTCCCTCTCTTTTGCATAGAAGCAATATTTTCCCCTGCTCTGTTGGTGTTCAGTTCAGCCACACAACCCCTAACTTAGGAATCTGAGAAGCTACTAAGAGATAAAATTAAACAACAATACTATAATAGTAATCCTTATTTAAGAGCTTCTTGCCTATAATTCCCAGTTACTGTCCGGAGTTTAATATCTTAGCAGGACACACATCAAGTGTAATTGACACACCATGGAACAAAATTTCTCGACGTTTGAAATTTACTAGTATGTTGCTCAAGGTTTCTCTTCTTCGGGCTAAGAATCCCTAATAAATTAATTACATAGTAATTATTTGAGGATGTACTATGTTCCAGATCCTAAGGTAATAATTTAACATAGTACTTGCCCTTATGAAGCTTATGGTCTTCTATTCTAATATCAACTAATACTCATAGTTAAAATATTTCCCATTCAGATATCTCCAATTACTATAAAAATACCACAGTCAACACACTCCTAGATACTTATGCATATAAAGTCATATAAGACATAGTTTCTGCCCTCAAGGAACTTGTTGACTGGTTGAACAGCCAAAGACAGTTTCTTCATTTATTTCTTTTATCATAAATTTCCCAAGGTAATTAGCTATGTGGAGTATATCTGGCTAGTATACCCTCCTTTCTCAGAGTTATAGAAGCCATCTACAATTTGGATAAATACTTTGAGAATGAATTTTAATTACAATATAATGTAGTATTCAGCATTTATGAAACATTTAATATTAATGTACAGCCTGGATATTGACATGGAAAATTTTTGTGAGACATTCAAAGCCTGTTTACTTAAAGCACAATAATTGTTGCTTTATTCTGTTTGCTGGAGTGGTTTCCGTGATCTTCACTGCCCTTTTCCCTGCATGAGGCCTCCCAGTATTCTTGAGACTGTTATGCAGATGCTAAATTTTGAGGTATCAGAGAAACACTCTCAGCAATTCACTCTCTCTTTCTTACTGTTGGCTACACTTGAGGTTAGTGTGGCTTCCTAGTGTCAGGTGCCAGAAGGCACAACATCATGTGACCTACCCCCTCTCCAGCAAAGTCAGCACACACATGGAAACCTTCAAATATGCCCACTGGGACGGAGAATGTTTGTTGGCTTCTATTCTTCTTCCTCCCGTAACTATTTTGAATTCCTGACTTCACCCTCTTCTTATTGAGTACGCTTACAGGTTCTCAATCCATTCAGTTCTTCTATCTTTTCCTCTTTCTATATTAACAGATTGCTCCATGTTTTGATATGACTGTTTTTTCATGAGTCACTGCTCATGGTGAATCGTCAGCTCTGCAAGGTAGGGAGAGGTTGGCAATGCCAAGGCCATCGGTCATCATTTGTCAAGCAAAGTACGTGCATTCTGTTACCTTTTCAGACAGGCCTTCCCTGACCACCAGAACTAAGACAGCGTCCCAGCCACACCTTTCTCACATGACCTTGTTTAAGTCATTGCCTGTTTCACTATTTGGAATCCCCGTGTCCATCAACTTCTTTACTTCTTCTCTGTATTCCTTCAGCTCCCACCTGTTTCCCACCTCTAATTAAAATGTAAACTCTAGGGAAGCAGAAGCTCTGCCTTAGTTGCCTCATTTTCCAGCACACTCCCACCTGGCACACAATCAGTAAAGAGTAACTATTTGATGAATACACAGATTTTCCAATTTATTAAACATATTAAACCAGGACATTCTTTTCTTTACAACGGTTCATAACCTATCAGTCATTCTAGGCAAAGTCCTCATTCTCAAAGTGCACTTGTATCTTAAACATCTCATTTTCTCTGAAAATAATTGACAGCAATCATTTACTCTTAATTACTTACTAGATTTGGCTGCTCATCATCTTATGCCACTTTCTTTTTAAAACTATGAAGTTTGAACACCTGAATTTCTCTAGCATTCTCAACATTTGTTTATACAATATAGTAAATGCTTGGGGGGATATGAGTGCAAGGAGGTCAGATAGAGATATTTGAACCGCAATATTATTCCTGACGTTCAGGCTTCAGAGGAAACCTTTAATTTTTAACCATTTTCTCAGTACTTTCAAAAAATAAATATTTTATGTTTACTATAATAAATCTCCCTTAAAAAAGAGTCTAGTGACCAAAACTGATACTAAAGCTAATTTGGCTCTAAGACTTAAACATTACTTTGTAAAAACCTCTAAAAGATAATTCCATTAGAACTCTATAAGAATTTTTTTAATGGAAGTCCTCTGCAATGGGGAGACATTTAGGATGAACTAAGGACTATGTGTTTTTTTCTTTTTTCTTCCCTGCTCCCCCATCTCCCATGAACACTATTTAGTAAATTTATCTTATACCATAGCCAAAGGTTTTGCATTTTATATGGCTATTGTATCACAGTTATAGCAACAAATGCTGCTTTCCTATATCACAACATTCCAGTACAATTCCATCACACAGAAGCAAACACTACAAAAAACTCTTAAAAGATCTTATTTTTCAGAATAACCCTATAAATATACAAACTTATATACAATTGTAATTTGCCAATATCTAATAAATAAATGTAAAAGAATAGATGTACCATCATTAGAGCATTTCATCCCCTGAAGAGAGTAATATGTTGTTCAGATTAGATTACCTGCTGACGCATAGCTCCCGCTTGAGGTAGCAAGGTTTTAAGGAAATGGTTTCTGCTTGTTAATAATGACACCAACTGGGATGAGAGCTAACATGTTTTGAAAGGTTTCTATGCACCCAGCTCTCTGCTAAGCACTAGGCATACATACTTCACTTAATTATTACAAATCTGAGGGCAGGAATTTCTATCCCTTTATGTAAGTAGGAGAGGTTAGATAATTTTCTTGAGACAACAAGTGGAAAGCAAAGCCAGAACTGAAACCCAGGCAGAAAAGAAGAGATGGGGACTAGAAAAATGCCCAGCAGAGGCCCATGAGAGCCACAGGGAGCCAGGAAGAAAAGCCATGCCTACATCCAATGAAATATTAACAGAAACTTCACCTAACTTCACAATCAGAAAATTGACAATGGTACCCCCATTTTAAACAAATTCAGTCATCAAACGATAAAAATCCATGCTGAAATCCTAAAGCTGTGTATTTAAACGAGACTAATTTCTATCCATGAGGCCAGCAGTCTTGAACATTAACCTGAATCAGTCTGAGTCAATGACAACACATAATGGCAAATCAACATGGTTGCTTGCATGGAATTCAGGATCAATTTTGGGAAACTACTTGTTGATATCAGATCTTGAAAACTCAGTTTTCTCTTGTTCAGGGTATTATAACCAACTGAATTGTCTTCTCAAAGGACCTCATGATTTCTTATTAAGTGGAAATAATGTTTTAAGCATTAATCACATTCTTTCAAAGATTTTCCTTAAGTAAAAAAGACTCTGGAATTAATTGAAAGATGAAAGCCAGTGGAAGATACTTTTCTCTCATATCAATTATCTGTCATCTAAAGGCACTTGACTGGTAACTGATACAAAGTAGTCATAAATATATGAAGATGATTAATCTTTAATTTACACTTTAAGAATTTTTAAATGTATTTTTAATTACCTTATTACAGGCAAACTGAAGCTCCATCAATGTGTTTCTTCAACTATGATCCCTCATTTTGGGAGCCCGTAAAATGCTAATCTTCTCCTTACCTCTTCCTATAGTAGAAGGATTTAATAGTGTGCTAGTAAACTACCATATATTTAAATTTTAGGGTACTTGAATTGCTTTCTTAAGGAAAGTAGAAAAATGTGACAAGTAGAAAAATATTTCCAGATACAATAAGAAACAGTCTAACTCCTTAAATGTATGTGCAGCCAGGAGAACCATAGGATATATAAAGGCAAGTTAGCAGATATTTTGTTTTCCTTTTTGTCTTGAAAGGGAAACAAAATTGCATTAATGAAGCCAAGGTGGAGACATTGTGTCTTGCATAAAGATGTCTCAACTTTCAGAATCTTTCTGGGAAAGTGAGCTTCCCCACAGTCATTTAGATATTTATTCTAGTTTTCTTAACCTTGAACTTACTCCATTAGAGTCACAAAATCTAACAAAGTAATCTAAACAGATTTGTTGCAAACAAGTCTTTGACATGCAAAATGGATTTTTGTTTTGCCCTACCTAGGTCTTATGTTTCACTATTATTAAAAATGTCAGTAATATTTTGCCCACTGGGAACACATATTTTCCTTCAATTTTTTCAATCTTATTCAAAACCCCTTATTGAATATTTTACAAGTTACAGCGGATCTTTGTTATTGCTTTTTCAAATTACAACCTCTGAACCCTATGTTGGTATTTTGCTAAACGGTTTATGCTCATGTAGAGTTGTGAAGCATTATTAGAATAAAAAATGAGAAAACCATTCTTAGATAATTATAATTTTGCATTTGACCTTCAGAATAAAAAATAATACAGCTTCATCAAGGGAGCAAGCCATAGCCCTCCACAGCCCATGCACATCCTCAGCGCACAGCTGCCCTTTTGTTGTGCACCATATGATCCACGAAATACTTTATCATCATTTTTGTCTCTCCCCTTCTCGTCCCTCCTCCTGTCCCACATCCATATAGCATTAAGAAACCTATTAATTAGGGTCACGTGGAGACAATTCATTTGCTGAAAGTCTCCTCTTATCACTTTGCCTTAACTGTGTGTTTACTATGAACTTATAAATTTGTACTGTGTGTCTTCAGAATGCTAAGGCTGCTGTAAGAACTGTCAAATTTGCAACTGAGATAAATTAAGGAGGACTCAAGGGAACAATGAAACAAAAAACTTGGCAGAAGGAAATGAGTGGAGGAACACAGAGATGTTAGAAATTTTATTTTAAATATTTGTGGTTTGTATAATAGTTTTTAGAAGAACTGAAAAGCATTACATGAGATAAGATATATATGTACCAATAATATTCATTTGTGTGTGCTTCCTTATTCATAAATTTAAACTCAAATATATATTCATGCATATATTCATATCTATATCTAGATATTTAAAAAAGTATTCACACTAATACCTGCAATTTCGTTCCAACACCAAAGCATTTATTTCAGCTTCTGGTTTTCTACAACTTGGACTTTCTTCTCTGACAGAGAGGAACCTAGCTGTCATTCACAATACATTCACTTATGTGCTCAGCTCTGAAATATACAAGTCATTGAGGAATGTCTGACCCATAACATTGTGGAAAACAGGCTGACTAATAAAGTCATTATTTTAAAAACTTTTTTGTCTTCAGTCTGAGGATATACAGTAAAAACACAGCGTCCAAAAATTAAAACTTCTTTATATAATTAATTTGAAATACAGTTAGATTCATGTATTTCTATTCCTATCCCATTTCTCCCAAATCCTTGCTGATTTTATTATTTAGTTTTTAAAATAGAGCATGATTCTAAAAGCCAAAGCTATGTTTTAAATGATGCACTTAGAAGGAGGGTTATATCTCAATCCTTTCCATCTCAATCCTCTCCCTCCATTCATCCCACTTCCTTTCCATCTCCAAGTCCTTTCCATCCAGTTTCCATACATGCCCTGGAGGTAGTCCATCTCATAAATTTGTAATGTGTCCTTTCTCTTTGTGCACAAATGAGTAGACACATTTCCCCCCCCATATATTTTACACAAAAGGTAACATATATAGTTGTCCTTTGCACTTTGCTTTTGCAATCAGATGTACATCCAGGAAGTAACTCCTTGTTAGTTTATGGAGAGCTTCCTTCTTTTTTATAAAGCTGCATAGTACTTCACTGGATTTATTTATTATAGTTTATTGAACTACACCACTATATATAACATTTTAATGTTTTAATTTTTTGCCACTATTTACAAGCCATGCTGCACTGAATAATTGTGTGTTTGTGTGTACATGTGTAGAATGTGTTTTCTTGGTAAATTCCTAGGAGTGGAATCAGTAGGGAAAAAGGTAAATGTGTATGTAGCTTTGTATGATATTGCCAAATTTCCCTCTCAGAGTATTGTATAAATGCGTCTTCCCACCAGAAATCGATAAGGTATGAGAATCCTCTTCTTCCTATAGTTTGGCCAATAGAACAACAGAAGGTATCGTTATATCTCTCTGTATCTAGATAAATAGGTAATTGATACAAATATGTATATATGTCAATAATATCCAAACTAATGGACTAAAACAGGTTTTATAGTTTTATTAATAAAGCAATGCATTTTAGTGGTTGAATTCAGACAAGAACTAGCAAGTGAAGAAGAAATGTGGTAAGGCTATCTAATATTGATCAAATCATTCCCACAACTATTTACTTTTTCCTAAACATTAGCCTTTATCAGCCTCTTCCTTTCTTTCACACATACCCTATTTCATCTTTTTACAATATTTTAAGATGTCATAATTTTGTACGTTAAAACTGATCAATTTTAAGGTAAAATTTGATGAGTCTTTATATATGTATATATTTGTGTAAGCATAATCATAAACACTGTATTGAATATTCAAATCTCCTAAATAAATTTCCTCATGCCTCTTGGTAGTCAATTCAACATTTCTGTATCCAGTCCTTAGGGACTAGAAATCTTATTGCTGTCATTTTATTATTTTCTTTTGTAGAATTTGGTATAAATTAAATCATACTCATACATAATTCATTCTTTTGTATATCCCTTCTTTCATTAGGAAGAAGCTTTTAGGATTCCTCTGTACTATTGCACTGTGGTTTTATTCCCTTTATGCTCAGTTGAAATCCATTGGATAAATATACCACAATGTGTTTATCTATTTACCAGCTGATGAACATTTGTGACATTTCTAGCTTTTAGCTATTGTAAATATCTGCTATGAATATTCTCATATCACTTTTGAATGTATGCTTTTATCTGTCTTTGGAAAATACTTAGGACTGAAATTACCATGTCACAGAATTAGTGAATGTTAAGTTTTGTAGGAAACTACTAAAAAGCTTTCCAAAGTGGCTGTGTCATTTTGCATTTCTACCATCAAAGTCGGAGAGTTTCAGTTGCTACACATGTTCATCAACACTTGATATTATATATATATATTTTTTTCGAGATGGAATCTCACTCTGTCACCCAGGCTGGAGTGCAGTGGCGCAATCTTGGCTCACTGCGAACTCCATCTCCCAGGTTCACGCCATTCTCCTGCCTCAGCCTCCCGAGTAGCTGGAAAAATGAGTAGACACATTTTTCCCCCATATATTTTACACAAAAGGTAACATATATAGTAGTCCTTTGCACTTTGCTTTTGTAATCAGATATTCATCCAGGAAGTAACTCCTTGTTAGTTTATGGAGAGCTTCCTTCTATTTTATAAAGCTGCATAGCACTTCACTGGATTTACAGGCGCCCGCCACCACGCCTGGCTAACTTTTTGTATTTTCAGTAGAGACAGGGTTTCACCGTGTTAGCCAGGATGGTCTCGATCCCCTGACCTCGTGATCCGCCCGCCTCGGCCTCCCAAAGTGTTGGGATTACAGGCGTGAGCCAAAGCGCCCGGCCTATAATTTTTTTTTTTTTTAAAGTAGACATTCTAGTGGGTATGTACAAGTAACTCATTGTGGTTTTCATTTGTATTTCTATAATGACTAATGATATTGAGTATCTTGTTATGCAATAATTTTCCAAATATTTTCAAATAGTTTAAAACTATTTGTCCATTTATAAATTGATGTTTTCAATTTATTGAGCTGTAAGAGTTCATCATACATATGAATACTAGTTCTTTATCAAGTGGGTGTTTCCTGAATAATTTTTCCCATTCTATGGCTTTCTTTTTCATTTTTTGAAGTAGTTTACAAACATTTATTTTATGAAGTACACATAACCTTTTTAAACCTTTGCCTAAAACATGGTCACTAAGACTTTCTCCTGTTGTTTTCTTCTAGAAGTTTTATAGATTTAGCTCTTAAATTTCAATCTATGATCTATTTTGAGTTTTTTTTTTTTAATTTAGTGTGAGCTAATTATTAAGGTTTCCTTCTCACTTAAAAAAATATGTATATCCATTTGTTCTAGCGCAATTCATTTAAAAGCCTATCCTTTACCCCCATTGCTTTAGCATATTTCCTATAAGGGCTATATATACAGATACCTATATATGTATATATTGGTGTATATATATATGTATATGTATATATTGGTCTATGTATATATACATATATACATATGTATATATTGGTCTATTTTTGAATATACAGTTTACCCTTAAACATTGTGGGTTTGAACTTCAAGGGTCCACTTAAATGTGGACTTTTTTCAATAAACCTCTCCTGCAACTCTTTCCATCCCCCCACCCTTCTCCTCCTCAGACTTCTTAACGTGAAGAATGAAAATCTTTATGATGATCCACTTCTACTTAATGAATAGGAGACACATTTTCTTTTCATTGTTATTTTCTCAAAAATATTTTCTTTTCTCTAGCTTACTTTATTATAAGATTACAGTACCTAATACATATAAAACATATGTTAATGAACTATGTTATCAGTAAGGTTTCCAGTCAACAGTAGTCTACTGGTAGTTAATTTTTGGGGGAGTCAGAAGTTGTTTGTGGATTATGACTGCACGGAGATCAGCACCCCTAACCCTTACATTGCTCAAGGGTGAATTGTATATTCTGTTATATTATATATATATATATATCATTATACCAATACCACATAGCTCTGATTACTATAGCTTTATAGCTTTGAAATCAAATACTGAAAGTCCTTCAACTTTGTTCTTTTTCAGAAGAATTTTATTATAATAACCTTTTGTATTTCCACATAAATTTTGAATGAGCTTGTCAGTGCTACACAATGACTGCTGGGACTTTGTGATTGTGTTGGGGAAAATTGACACTTTAACAATGTTAAGTTTTTCTGTTCATGTCATGGTATATCTCTCCCTGTGGTGGTTAATTTTATGTCAATTCGACCGGACCATGCAGTGCTTAGATATTTGGTCGAATATTATTTCAGGTGTGTCTGGGAAAATGTTTCTGCATGAAATTAATATTTGAATTGATAGACCGAATAAAGCAAGTTGTCCTCTCTACAGTGTCTTCCCTTATGCAATCAGTTAAAAACCTACATAGAACAAAAAGGCTGAGCAAGAGAGAACTTGTGTTTGATTGCCTTCAAGCTGAGACATCCGATTTTTCCTGCCTTTGGACTTATATGGAAATATGGAATTTTCCTGGATCTTGATCCTGCTGGCATTTGGGTTGATACTACATCCTTAGCTCTCCTCATTCTCAGGCTTTTGAATTCAGGCTAGAACTATACCCTCAGCTCCCGGGTCTCCAGACTGCCAACTGTAGATCTTTGGTCTTGTCAGCTTCCATAATCATGTGAGCCAATTGAGCCAATGCTTTATAGTAATCGTTTCTCTTCGTTTATATGTGCATACACACACACACACACACACACACATTCTTTTACATAAATATTCACTATTTATCTGAGAATTATTCACTATTACATTCCATTTTAGTTGCTTCTCTGATTTTTTTGATTCATGTTTTATGATTTTCAGGATACAGATTCTACACAAGTTTTGTTAGACTTATACCTAAGAAGTTTCTATTTGTGAAGTATTCTAAGTGGTATTTGAAAAATTTGAAAAATATTTTCCCATTACTCATTTTTCATATGTAAGATACAATTGTTTTTTAATTATTGATCTTCTATTCTGTGACTTCGATGAATTAACATACTATTCCAAGCAGCTGATTTGGAGATTTCATAGGATTTTCTGCATGAACAATTATGTCATCTGAGAATAAAGGTAGGCTTAACTTCTTTTATTTTGAATGTAGTGCTTTTTATTTCTTTCCTGGCCTTATTGCACTTAGTATATCTTCAACAAAATATTGAATAGGAATGGTAAGAACAAGCATTCTTGTCTTGCTTTCAACCCTGGTAGGAGAGCACTTTACCTTTCATTATTACGTATGATGTTAGCTGCAGATGTTTTAATAAATGCTCTTTATTAGATTCAGAAAGTTTCTTCAATTCTTAGTATGCAGAGATTTTTTATTATCAATGGGTGTTGAATATTGCCAAATACTCCTTTTGAATTTATTAAGTGTATCATATGTTCATTGTTGTCATTTGTTACTGTGGTGAATTGTATTAATTAATTTTCAATTTTTAAACTAAGTTTGCAGTCATGGGATATACTTCAACTGATTATGATATAATATTTTTATCTGATTCTTAATATGATTTACTAATATATCATTTAAAAATCTTTTTGCATATATGTTAGTGAATGTATTGATCTTTAATTTTATTATTATGCCTTTATTTGATTTGAGCATAAGTGTAATGCATGACAATTATGGTGTTTCTAAAATTATTTTTACCTTGCTTTAAGTTGATACTGACAAGTATCATGATTCTGCTGGATCAAAGTATTCTTTATTTTTCCTATCAGGTATCAGAACTCTCTTTTATCTAAGGCCATATTTTCTTCTGGCTGGGCATTGCTTTCTATCTCAGCAGGCAGTAGACAAGCCAACTTACAGCCCAGGAGCCCTGTGATTGGCTGTCACCAGGGACTAAGCACTATGGCCTAAGGGTCCCTCTTCCCAGCCCCAGCATCTGTCTTTCTGTGCACAGAGCCCATTTCCTAGTCAACATCTAGTTTCTTGCTGAGGTATTTAATAGATCAGAAGAAGATAGTTGATGAAAAATTTACTATAATTTCAGGCAGCCCAAATACCTTTTGCTCTTAAGAAGTAAAATTAAACTTCTTTCTTTCCTCCGTTTTCCTCCCCAAGTCTCCTCCCATTCCTTCAATGTCTCACTTCACAGAGTAAAAACTTCAGAGATAGAAAAGGCTACAAAAGCAATCAGATTTTTGTTCTAACTTAGAACTCTGCAAGTTCATCATATTGATGACAGCAGGGAAAGAAGAGGTGGGTTGGTTGCCCTGCTGAAACATTAATTTCGATTGAAAGGAGTAGAAATACCAGCAATGTACAGGCATAACGGCTCATTGCCAAGATCGAAATGACTTTTCCACGCAATTGATAATATCTCAGATGGTGCACCATTAAGAGATGGCAACCTAGTCCACATATAAATTCAGTATGTAATCCAAATTTCTATCTCTATATTGATAGTGTATGTACCATGTCTGAATCTAAACTCATACACAGTACACCTCTCCCCTCTCAGGGTTGATCTTAAGGATCTCAGGGGTCATTCACATGACGAACTCAATTTTTTTTTTTTCTGGATAATTCTTGAACATCTAAGTATGTAATAAACGTTAAAATATATATCAGAAGAGAGATAGCCTTTTAATATTATATTTTGCAAGCCACTAACCTATTTTATTCAATGGTCAAACTGCATGTCTCCAACTTCACTCGTATTTAAGGACTTTTGCACCTGCTTTTCACATTTTCCCAAATATATTTCTCCTGATCTTCCCATGGCAGAGTCTCTTATGTCAATCAGGTCTCATCTCAAATATTCCCTCTTTAGAGAGCTTTCCCTGATCACCCAACCAAACATCCCTAACACACAGCCCCTCTCTGTCAACTGTATTAAACTTGATTAAAATAATAATATCTCAAATTGTCTTGCTAAATGAGATGTTAATATTGCTATTTAACACCATGACCCAAAATGCATACATACACAATCTAGACCATAAAACCCTAAGAAAAGCCATCTTCTCTGTATTACCTAAGGCTCAATTATGAGAAGCTAAAACAGTGCCTGGCACATAGTAGACTCCTAAAAAACAATCACTGAATACATGTATGAGTGGGTCATCTAATAATCAGATTATTAGTTATATAGCAAAATGCATTTTCTGTTGATTACAGTAAGCCAAGACTCCAATGGGAAATAAAAACAGAAAGAACTAACTAGCACCTGCTCCCATTTGGGAGCCTCTGAATTTCCGTGACTTCATGGCACATTGCTGGACTTGTGTTTCTACCACCCAAATGGGCCCTTTCTCCTATTTGTGGGGCTGTCCAGTATCCACTTAGAAGCATTCTAAGTGCCCAAAGGAGGTAATTAAGACCAAGAAATCCAGAGAAGTGCGTATTTATTGTAAGTGCTATCATATGTTGAGTTTTCTCTTTCTGACACAATGCTGGATGCATTTCATCCTCACTCATCCAATTTCCCACTTTATTCCCGAGGTAACTGTCACTTGCCTAAGTTGACACAGTTAGTAAAACAAGGAGCCAGGATTAAATCCACAATGGAATAACTGCTATAACCCCTGATGTTAACCACTGTTCTCTAACATGCATTGATGAGTTGGGGTAAAAGAACACCCATTAGAGGTAGTGCAGCCGGAGTACACATCACATTTTCAAGGAATGCTATCCTCAGTTTCCAATTTGGAATCTATTTGGTGTTTATTTTTACTTTCTCTTCTATCATTTTTTATTCTTCTTGGCATGCCATTTATTGCACACAAGCTATCCCCTTAACTTTAATAAAGGATAGGCCATTTCTCATAATAGTTTCATTAGGTACATATTTAATAATTGATTTTTTTCATTTTTGAGATCACTTTAGAATATAAAGAGATGCACAGATAGTTCCTAGAGTTCCTGTATATGTTGTCCAGCTTCTCCTAATGTTACTTTCTTACATAACCAGAGTACAGTTATCTAAACTAAGAAATTGACACTAGTGTAATACTATTCACTAAGCCATAGACTAGAATTCTATAAAGCTATAAAACTGGAATTAACTAGTTTTCCACCAAAATGATTTTTCTCGGTTTCAAAATATAATCAGTCTAATCAAAGACTCCACCTTGCATTTAGCTGGCATATTCCCTTAGTTTCCAACCTATGACAATTTCTCAGTCTTTCCTTGTTTTTCATGATTTTGAGATTATTAAAGTCAGATATTTTGTGGTATGTCCCTCAGATTGGGTTGGTCTGAGGTTTTCTCATGATTAGACTGATGATACTCATCTTAGGGCAGAATACCATAGAGGTGATGTGCTTCTTTTTGTGCATTATATCAGGCACATATTGACATTATGTATATATGTCTTATTGCTGGAGCTGTCACCCTGAGTACTTGGCTAGGTAGTATTCACTATAAAATTAGTGTCTTTCCCTTTGTTGTTAGTAAATATTTATTGCAGAGGGCAATAGTTTGAGATCATGCAAATATCCTGTTTCTTCTTAAACTTTAGTCAACTGAATTTTGTAATTATTGGTAGATGTTGCCTAAAGCAATTATTACTGTCTTTTTCTAATGATAATTTGTCTATTTCCTTCATTTGTTCCACATGTATTAATTAAATTTCTCTGCAAGAATAAGTTATTTCTTATCTCCTATTCACTGATTCATTTACTTATATAGTAAGGGTTTCATGATATTTATTTTACTCTTCTGATTTTTATCCAACACCGTCATTATTTATTTTGTTATTTAAATTATTCTGGCTTTGGCCATTGAGATCTCTTTCAGGTATTTTTCCTGATTTTTCAAGTGGGTAAACTATTTAAAAGTTCATTTCCTACAAAGAAAAATTAGAAAGCAGCTTGGAGTTGAGGATCTAGGAAAACTTGTGTGGACCTATTGCTGCTGATTGGACATACTGCTGTGAAAACATAAATGGCTCTCTTTGGGTCTCAGTTTCTTCATTTGTAAAATGTGGAAGTTGGACTACATAATAGTTTATTTTCAAATTCTAGTGTTAAATAATTGTGAAGTATAACTTTGTAACATTAATTCTAGAGTGTAGAAGACTTTCTTACCTGGGAGATGTTGGTGGCAATTAATAATTTCTTTTTAGGGAGCATGAAATGGAAGGAGGAAAGGGGACTGAAGTCACATATTCTTTGAAAACACAGCCACATTTTGCTTCATCCCTTTAATTTTTGTTTGTTCCCAATTTTTAGTTTGGATTTCAGATTATGTTAAGAGAATTTTATTTTTTTTAAAAGTTAACATTTCTCTAGATGCTTTTAAAATGTAATTGGTTCTCAACACAGTAAAAGTTATCACAGCTGCAAAGTGAGTTTGTTTAGTAGTTTTCCAATTTTTTGATGCCAAGGCCTATCTTTATCCCTTCTTATCCACCCCCACATTTTCACATGGTGTACTCTTTCACTGCATTATGTTTCAGCTTCCATGTGCCCTGTGCAGGGGACCTTCCCCCACCTCCCTATGAAAAATGGCATTCCTCTTCAAGTACTGTCACTTTCTCCCCCAATACAACTTCCTCTTCCTTTATAGTTCTTATCACTAGCTGAAGACGCAGTCTTTGCTTGTTAGTTATTTATGCAGTGATTGATTCTTTGCCCGACTATTCTATCTGCTTCATTTTTTCTCATTTAACAATTTCGTACACTTAGCAGTGTGATTCCCTACCATCCAAGAATGGTGAAAAGTATGGTATAGGGATTAAGGGTATAAGGATCGTGTTCTTTTTTAGCTTTCATTACCCCTCTCAGTGCCCTTTTCTCTGTGTCTCTTCCACCCTCTCTCTAATTGATAAGGGGAGAGGTGTTGGTAATAATAATAAAGTTCATTTTTCTGAATGTTAATAAAGACACTGTGAGTGAGGATTAATGACCTTAATAAGTACTGTCAATGATCTTAATAAGTATTGTTACCTTCTTATTTTTATTCAGTAACAGAATAACTGAATCAAAAGAATAAATAAGTGATTTAACCAAGCCCACTCAGAAAATAAGAGTACTTTCAGTGGAAAGTCCTGCAATGTCTGTAATAGTAATATCATTTATATGTGTAAAGGCTTTGTAACAGTCCTACTAGCAATGTTAGTAATGACAATAAAACTTAAAATTTTATAGTTACCTATGATCTAGGTTACTGTTTTTTAGATTTTATTGTAGTAAGACATTTAATACTCACTGAAACCCTTAAAATAGATTTAGCAATTGTCTATTATGCAGAGATATTTAGACATATTATCGAAACTAGTTATCACGTAATCTCTGAAAGTAAGCAGAGCTGTATTTTTTAAAAATTATCTCTATCAGTGAAGAAGAATCATACTGATGATATAATGAAGTCAAACTCAGAGAAATGAGTGAAAGAGGATGGATTACAGCTTTAACTGCTGAGTTCTAAAAGTTTAAAAGATAGTTCTAAAAGCCTTCTCTCAGAATTATCAAGAGAGTGTTCCCTCTCTGCAAACTAACCATAAGACCGAGAAAAAATACCAGAGTCATCAAAGGAAAAACATCTTTGGGAAAGAGTGGGGGAAGGACATTCATGCCACTGGCCACACCCAGGGTTGATACCCAGCAAGGTTCCCAGTCTCAGGTCAGAAACATGCAAAGCCCCCTTAAGGTTCTCAGGCTTAGGGAAAGTAGAAACAGACCACATCCAAGGTCATTTACCAAAGAAGCCTCCAATTATTTTTGAATTTTTTGATTTTTAAATTTTATGGGTACATTGTAGCTATATATGTTTATGGGATACATGAAATGTCTTGATACATGCATCCAATATATAGTCATCACATCCTGGAGAATGGGGTATCCACCCCCTCAGGCATTTATCCTTTGTGTTACAAACAATTATCCTCTTTTACTTATCTTTAAATGTACAGTTAAGTCATTATTGACCATAGTCACCCTGTTGTGCTATCAAATACTAGTGTTACTGAGCACTGTGAGCATCCTTGGTTTTTGTCTTCTTGAAATAAAGATTTCAGTCAAGAGATGCACAGCAAGGGTTAAGTAGCAGAGTTGATTGAAGGAAGATACAGTACATTCCAAGAGAGGAGCAGCCAGCTTGGCTGGAAAACAGCTCCTGGTTGGTGTGGCTAGAAAAATAGCAACAGTAGTGTTTATTTAAAGAGACAGTACACTTGGAAAATGAGTCAGAGTGGGCTGGTAGAAAAGAATGAGCTAGCAGCAGCCAGCCCTGGGAGATTCTCTTTATTAGAATCTTACATGATTATTCATGAAGGGGCACGACAGTGTTGTGTGCAATCATGTTTTAGGTGGTACACTCGGATGTGCAGGCTCTGTGGTTGTACATGCTAGTACACATATGACATGTATCACTAGTATTTAAAATCTTCACCCTGGGGTGTGTGTTTTACTATTATAACAAGCAAAAGGCTACTCTGGGGTGAGTTATTAGAGGAGTGTGCATGCTTGGCAGCAGGGAAAGTCCCTACCATCGTTATCTCTGGATGGGGCCTGATAGGTCTCCTTTAGGGCCAGAGGAGCCCAACTATAAGGCTAGAAGCAGTCAATGAAGCCAATGTATTTTTTGCTGACCATCAATGGGCAGCACTGACTATCAGTGGGCAGTGTCTCCAAGTCTTCTTTTCGCAGGCTCACTTGCTTGCTCATTTCTGGCTATTCACCTATGCTAACAGTAGGTCTTATTCATTCTACCTATTTTTTGTACCTATTAACCTTCCCTACCTCCCTCCCAGCCCCCCAATACCCTTCCCTGCCTCTGGTAGCCATCCTTTTACGCTCTATGTCCATTAGTTCAATTGTTTTGAGTTTTAGATCCCCAAAATAAGTGAGAACATATGATATTTGTCTTTCTGTGCCTGACTTATTTAAAATAACTTAATGATCTCCAGTTTCATCCATGTCATTGCAAATGAAAGGATCTCATTCTTCTTTTATGGCTGAATTGTATTCCACTGTGTATATGTACCACATTTTTTAAAAATCCATTCTTCGGTTGAAGGACACTAAGATTGCTTCCAATTCTTGACTATCGTGAATAGTGCTTCAAAAAACATGGGAGTGCAGGAGTCTCTTCTGCATATTCATTTCCTTTCTTTTGGGTATATGCCCAGCAGTGGGATTGCTGGATCTTATGATAGCTATATTTTTAGTGTTTAGAGGAGACTTCAAACTGTTTTCATAGTGGTGGTACTAATTTTCATTTCCACCAGCAGCGTAAAGGATTGCCTTTTCTCCACATCACCAACATTTGTTATTCCTGTCTTTTAAATGTAAGTCATTTTAATTGGGGTGAGATAATATCTCATTGTAATTTTGATTTGCATTTATTTGATGATCAGTGATTTTTGGCATGTTTTCATAGGCCAGTTTGACCTTTGTATGTCTTTTATTGAGAAATGTCTATTCAAATCCTTTGCTCATTTTTTGATCCAATTGTTAGTTTTTTTTTTTTCCTGTAGTTGTTTGAGCTGTTTCCATATCTGATTATCAATCCTTTGTCAGATGGTTAGTTTACGAATATTTTCTCCCATTCTGTGGGCCATCTCTTCACTTTGTTGATTGTTTCCTTTGTTGTGCAGAACCTGATATGATCCCATTTGTCTATTTTTGCTTTGGTTGACTGTGCTTGTGGTGTATTGCTAGAGAAATTTTTGCCCAGAACGATGTCCAGGAGATTTTTCTCCAATGTTTTCTTGTGGTGATTTCAGAGTTTAAGGACTTAGATTTAAGTCTTTGATGCATTTTTATTTGATTTTTGTATACGGTAAGAGACAGGGGTCTAGTTTTATTTTTCTGCGTATGGATATTGGGTTTTCCCAGCACCATTTATTGAAGAGACTGTCTTTTTCCAGTGTATGTTCTTGGAGCCTTTGTTGAATATGAGTTCACTGTAGGTGCATGGATTTATTTCCGGGTTTTCTATTCTGTTTCATTTGTCTGTGAATCTGTTTTTATGCCTGTTAGGAGAGATCCAGAACATTATTTGATGTGTGGTTGACAGTCCTCAGCCATGTGCTGACCCAGCTGCCCCACCTCAAGGTATTCAGGATACTCATAGCATTTTCCTGTATTTGGAAAAGTGACTTTTATTAGACTCCAAAATCTTGCCAGTGGAAGACGAAGCATTTTATTGGTGCTCAGTTCCTATCCAGCTGCATCTCCATATGAAACCTGGTGTTTGCTGACTGCCAATGATTTAAAAAAAACAAAAAAAACTATGAATGAAATGAAAACAAAAAAGCACAACAAATAACAACAATTAACCACCACAACAAAATCCTAAGATAGAGTTAGAACCCTCTGATTCTATCCTTTTCTCTTCAAAAAAATCATTGGTTTCCTATCCGATTTGCTTCATTTGGAAAAAAAATATATAATCCTGTCTTTTCTGAATATTTAGATAAGGAAGGAAGGAGAAAGCATTCCCAAAAATATATGGTGTTTGATCTTGTTTCATGGGTGATATGGTTAGACCTTGTGTCCCCACCCAAATCTTATCTTTAATTGTAAACCCCACATGTCAAGGGAGAGAAGCGACTGGATTTTGTGGGCAGTTTCCCTCATGTTGTTCTCATGGTAGCGAGTGAATTCTCACAGATCTCATGGTTTTATAAATGGTACTTTTTCCTGTACTCTCACATAATTCTTTCTCCCGTAACCCTGTGAAAAGGTGCCTTCCACCAGAAAGAGGTGCTTTCTGAGGCCTCCCCAGGCATGTAGAACTATGAGTCAATTATACCTCTTTTCTTATAAATTATCCAGTCTCCAACAGTTCTTTATAGCAGTGGGAGAATGGAATAATACAGTAAATTGGTACCCAGGTAGTGAGGCACGACTATAAAGGTATCTGAAAATGTGTAAGTAACTTTGGAACTGAGTAATGGGCAGAGATTGGAACAGTTTGGAAGACTCAGAAGAATACAGAAAGATGTGGGAAAGTTTGGAAGTTCCTAGAGACTTGTTGAATGGTTTCCATCAAAATGCTGATAGTGATATGGACAATGAAGCCCAGTCTGAGGGAGTCTCAGATGGAGATGAGGAACTTATTGGGGACTGGAGCAAAGGTCACTCTTGCTATGCTTCAGCAAAGAGACTGGAGGCATTTTGCCACTGCCCTAGAGATCTGTGGAACTCTGAATTTGAGAGAGATGATCTGAAATTGGAACTCATGTTTAAAAGGGAAGCAGAGTATAAAAGTCTGGAAAATTTGCAGCCTGACCATGTGATAGAAAAGAAAAAACCATTTTCTGGGAAGAAATTCAGGTCAGCTGCAAGAATTTGCATGAGTAACCAGGAGCCAAATGTTAATTACCAAGACCATGGGAAAAAAATGTCTCCAAGGCATGTTAGAAGTCTTCACAGCAGCCCCTCCCATCATATGTCCCAAGGCCTTGGAGGGAAAAACGGTTTTGTGGGCCAGATCCAGGGCCTTGCTGCTTTGTGCAGTCTCCAGACTTGGTGCCCTGCATCCCAGCCATAGAAAAAATGGGCCAACATACAGCTCAGGCCTTTGCTTCAGAGGGTGCAAGCCCCAAACCATGGCAGCTTCTATGTGATACAGGGCCTGCAGGTACACAGAAGTCAAGAATTGAGGTTTGGGAACCTCCACCTAGATTTCAGATGTATGGAAATGCCTGGATGTAGCAGCCGAAACCTGCTGCAGGGGTCGAACCCTCATGGAGAACCTCTGCTAGGCCAGTGCAGAAAGAAAATGTGGGGTTGTAGCTCCCATACAGAGTCCCCACTGGGGCACTGCCTAGCGGAGCTGTGAGAAGAGGGCCACCATCCTCCAGACCCCAGAATAATAGATTACCAACAGCCTGCACAGTGTTCCTGGAAAAGCTGGAGACATTCAATGCTACCCTATGAAAGCAGTCAGGAGTGGGGCTGAACCCTGAAAAGCCACAGGAGCAGAGCTGCCCAAGACCATGGGAGCCTGTATCTTGCATCAATGTGATCTGGATGTGAGACATGGAGTCAAAGGAGATTATTTAGGAGCTTTAAGATTTAATGACTGCCCCACTGGATTTGGACTTGCATGGGTCCTGTAGCCCCTTTGTTTTAGCCAATTTCTCCCATTTGGAATGGGAGCAATGCCTGTGCCCCCTTTGTATCTTAAAAGTAACTAACTTGCTTTTGATTTTACAGGCTCATAGGCAGAAGGGACATGTTTTGTCTCAGATGATACTTTGGACTTGGACTTTTGGGTGAATTTTGAAATGAATTAAGAATTTGGAGGACTGTTGGGAAGGCATGATTGGTTTTGAAATGTGAAAGAAAGAAGATTTGGGAGGGGCCGGGGTGGAATAATATGGTTAGGCTTTGTGTCTCCACCCAAATCTCATCTTGAATTGTAATCCCCACATGTAAAGGGAGAGCAGCAATTGGATGGTGGAAGTGGTTTCCCCATGTTGTTCTCGTGATAGTGAGTGAATTCTCACAAGATCTGATAGTTTTATAAATGGTAGTTTTTCCTGAACTCTCACACACTTTTCTCTCCTGCTGCTCTGTGAAGAGGTGACTTCTGCCATGATTTTAAGTTTCCTGAGTCCTCCCCAGCCACGCAAAACTGTGAGTCAATTAAAGCTCTTTTCTTATAAATTATCCAGTCTCAGTTCTTTATAGCAATGTGAGAACAGACTAATACAGGGAGTCAGACATATGATTGAGGCAAGAGAGAGGCTTTTCAGGAGTAGTAACATCAAATTGTTTGAAAGTTTGCTGCTTTAGAGGATCTGTCTGTGATTCAGCATAGTTAAAACTAAGAATTTATGTAGAAGATAGTAGAATATGGGGCTAGAAAAGCAGACTAGTGTCATATTGTGAGGAGACTCATAAGTCTTTCTAAAGAATTTCAGCTTTAGCCTGTGAGAGTCAAGAAGCCCCTGAAAGATTCTAAATAGGTATACACATATTCATCTTTGTATTTCAGCAAAATCACATTGATGTCATCATGAAGGATGGGTTGGAAATGGAGCAAGGCTGGAAGCAGGGAAATTTATTGGAAAGCTTTTGTGGGAATTCAGGCAAAAAAACGAAGATATTGGTAACTCCTACAGTGTACAAGGGGTAGATAAATTTGGAAAAGGATATTTAAAATGCAAATATGCAATGTGAACCAATTAGATGTGAGAATCACAGGAAAGTTTGTGGTTGTGGACTTTGATGACTATATCTGACTTATATGACCACAGAGTTAGTAATGTGATTAAGTGAAGAGGGAGGGAGTTCAATGTGGAAAAATTGAGAGACTATCCAGCCAGAACTCTAGCCTTGACTGTAGGTGTTAATAACACTAAATTGAGATGCCCTTCAGAAATCAGCCTTTTCATCCTAAGTAGCAACAGCATGTGACTGAATGTAATACAGAGAAAGGGGAACATGTCTTATTAAGTGAGATGAGGAAATGCCATAGCAGAGAACATCAGAAGGAGGTGAAAAATTAGGACAGTGGGAAAGGAGAAGAGAAAACTACAACTAACATGTGAGGAAACTTCACTTCACATGAACCTGTCTATGAACAATTAGATCAGGAAAGCTGTTGCCACAATTCTTGGTATGTGCTCTGTTCTTTTATGGGTGAATGAGTTATTGGTGTTCCTTAAGTGGAATTGCTATTCTGAAGATTCCTGCATTTAAAATTAGCAGAATTTGCAGTGGAATAAAATAAGTTTGTAGTGGCTTTGTAATGACATGTAAATCAGGTTTTGACACTACTGGAACCCATTTCAGGCAATTCTTTGTCTCATCTCAATTTGAACACACTGTCCCAGGATAGAGCTGTGAGGCAGAAGCTTCTAGAATGAGCTATGAGTTGCTTACAAAGGCACCCATGCTAGCCAATGAGCACCATTAACTCTGGATATTATTTGTACCCCAATATGATTCAGTCTCATGGCCAATGATATGGTTTGGATCTGTGTCCCCATCCAAATCTCATGTCAAATTGTAATCCCCAGTGTTGGAGGAGGGGTCTGGTGGGAGGTGACTGAGTCATGGGGGTAGAGTTCTCATCAATTATTTAGCACCATTCCCCCTTGGTACTGCATAGTGAGTTCTCACAAGATCTGGTTGTTTAAAAGTATGTGGCAACCCCCTCCCCTTTTCCCCTGCTCCAGCCATGTGACATGGCTGCTTTCTCTTCACCTTCCACCATGATTGTAAGTTTCCTGAAGTCTCCCCAGAATGAGTAGATGCCAGGAATTGTGAGCCAATTACAACTCTTTTCTTTCTAAATTGCCCAGTCTTAGATATTTCTTTAAGGCAATGTGAGAACGACCTAATACATCAGCATTAAAGACCATTACGGAAATCCAGCTGCCTTAGCAGATGTCACAATTTAAGTCTCTCTAAAACCTTGAATCTTTTTTGGTCTAAGTTATTTGGAGAGAAGCAAGCAAAAAAAATGCCAGAACAAAAAGTTACTGTGGGGAAACAAATCATTCTTCATAGGAGTCTGCAGTTTTTATGGTGAAAGTGAATGTTAAAAGCAGATCACAATAAATTAAGATGATTGAAAGGAAAATAAATGATAGCCAGAATCCTTGACACTCAGCCACAGTTATGAGTCTTCAGTAATCTTGTGACTTTTTGAAACAGCCTGACGGTATAGCAGAAATAGCAAGGAATTCAAACAACTACCAGAGTAGACAACACACAGCAGCTGACTCACCCATATTTACCTTGTTATTTGGTTGTTAAAACTGAGTGTGTGGAAAAGGGATGTTGCTAATGAACTGTGCAATGACCAAAGGGGAAAAAGAAAGAAGAAAAAAAAGGACATAAAATATACAAAGACAAGGCTGATTGCACAATTAAATTGAAATATGTATTTATTTATCACCCATCGTAACCCAGAACAAATGAAGTGTGAGACTCCTGTGATGGCTAGGTTATAATTTCAGCTCTCAGTTCCCTTTACAAACAGTGAAAAAAACAGGCAGTTGTGAAATTCATAGTACTCTCATGGACGAAGGCTGTACATTTCATTACATCTATGCCCAAATGGCTATGGTGTGATGATAGGAAAAATATCAGTAATACATTAAAGGTATCTTAATGCAAACATGCCAATACAGAGACATCACTAAAGACATCTGGGAAAGCACAGCAATAACCTGGCCTGGGTCATATTAAATTAAGAGCTACATGGGCTGAGTCTAAAGGAATGCTTTAATTTAAACAGCAACTAGGGTCAAAGTTGTCCACAACCAGTTTCCTAAGCAGGTAGTTCTGACCACAGACTAAAGCACAGCCCATAACTTATGGAAAGAACAAAATAACTTTGACTGGACCCTGCACCTGTGTACTCAGATGGTAACCAACAGCATGATTCTCAAGCACACACACCAGTGACACAGTCATCACAAATTTCAGCCATTATCAGAGACTCATCCCATATCTGGAGCAGGAAAAAATAATAAGCTAGTCCAAAGTGTCTCTGGTTATTCACTTCTAGCTTTATTCCATTGTGGTCAGATGAGATAACTGATATGATTTCTATTTTTAAAAAAATTTTGAGACATGTTTTGTAGGTTAATATGTGGTTTATTCTTGAGAATGTTTCACTTGCTGAGGAGAAGAATGTGTATTCTGTAGCTGTTGAATGCAATGTTCTATAAATGTCTGTTAGGTCCATTTGGTCTATAGAGAAGATTAAGCCTGACATTTGTTGATGATTTTCTGTCTAGATGATCTGTCCAATGCTGGAAATCATTAGTGATTATTATGTGCAACTATATACCAATAAATTGGAAAACCTGGAAGTAATGGATACATTCATATATACAAAACCTATAAAGATTAAACCATAAAAATCTAGAACTTTAATAAACCAATAACAAGTAATGAGATAGAACCAGTAATAAAATGGCTCTCATAAAAAAAAAAAAAAAGGCCGAGGACCTAATGGCTTCCCTACTGAATTCTACCAAACATTTAAAGAAAAACTAAAACCAATCATACTCAAACTATTCCAAAAAATTGAGGAGGAGGAAGTACTTTCAAACTCACTTTACGAAGCCTGATACTAACCCTGATACTAAGATCAGACAAAGACACAAAACACAAAAGAAAACTACAGGCCAATACCTCTGATGAACATAGATGCAAAAATCCTCAACAAAAGACTAACAAAATTTAACAACACACCAAAAAAAATCATTCACCATGATCAACTGGAGCTCATCTCATGGATGCAAGGATGGTTCAGTGTATGCAAACCAATCAACGTGATACATCGCGTCAATAGAATGAAGTACAAAAACCATATGGTCAGTTCGATAGATGCCAAAAAAATTTGATAAAATTCAATATCATTTCATGATAAAAACTCTCAACAAACTGGGGAAGTAGAAACATACCTCAACATGATTAAAGTCATATATAACAAACCCAGTAGCTGACATCATACTGAATGGAGAGATCTGAAAGCTTTTCCTTTGAGATCTAGAAAAAAATAAGGATGCACACCTTTACCACTTTTATTCAACAAAGTACTGGAAATCCTAGCCAGAGAAATTAAATAAGAGAAGGAAATAAAGGGCATCCAAATTGGAAAGGAAGTAGTCAAATTATCCTTGTTTGCAGATGACATGATCTTATATTTAGAAAATTTAGGGACTCCACCAAAAAAAAGGGCTTTCAGATTTCCCCATTCAGTACGATGTCAGCTATTGGATTTGTTATATATGGCTTTTACCATGTTGAGGCTTCTACTCACCCAATTTGTTGAGAGTTTTTATTATAAAATGAAGTTGAATTTTACCGAATGTTTTTTGGCATCTATTCAACCATAAATTTAGTAAAGTTGCAGCATAAAAAATCAACAAACAAAAATCAATAGCATTTCTATATGCCAACAACAAGCAATCTGAAAATAAACCAAGAGAAAGCCATCCCATTTATAATAGCTACTAATAAAATAAAATAACCAGAAATAAACTTAACTAAGGAAATGAATAACCTCTACAATGAAAACTATCAAACATTGATAAAAAAATTAAAGGTGATAGAAAAACTGAAAATATATTTTTTGTTTATGGATGGAAGAATAAATATTGTTAAAGTGTTCATATTGGCCAGGTGCGGTGGCTCACGGCTGTAATTCCAGCACTTTGGGAGGCTGAGGCAGGTGGATAACCAGGTCAAGAGATTGAGACCATCTTGGCCAGCATGGTAAAACCCAGTCTCTACTAAAATACAAAAAATTAGCCAGGCTTGGTGGCACATGCCTGTAAATCCAGCTACTTGAGAGGCTGAGGCAGCGGAATCGCTTGGACCCAGGAGGCGGAGGTTGCAGTGAGCTGAGATCGCACCACTGCACTCCAGCCTGGGGACAGAGCAAGATTCCGTCTCAAAAAAAAAAATTCCTATTACTCAAAACACTCTATAGATTTGTTCAATCTTTATCAAAATACCAATTCTTCACATAAATAGAAAAAAATAACTGTCAGGCATGATAGCTCACACCTGTAATCTCAGTATTTTCAGAGGCTGAGATAAGAAGATTATTGAGGCCAAGAGTTCAAGAACAGACTGGGCAAGATAGTGAGACCCCATCTCTACAAAAAATTTAGGTACTAGCTGGGTGTAGTGACACACACCTGTAGTCCTAGGTACTCAGGGGACTGAGGCAGGAGAATCACTTGAGCCCAGGAGGTTGAGGCTAAAGTGAGCTATGATTGTGTTATTTATTGTACTCTAGCCTAAGTAATAGAGCAAAACCCATTTTTTTAAAAAAGAAGGAAAAGAAAAAATGATGTTAACATTTATATAAAAGCACAAATGACCTAGAATAGCCAAAGCAATTGTGAACAAAAAGAATAAAGGTGGAGGCACCACATTACCTGACTTCAAATTATACTATAAAGTTATAGTAAACAAAACAGCATGATACTGGCTTAAGTACAGACACATAGGACAATGGAACAGAATAGAGAACTCAGAAATAAATCCACATATTTACAGTCAACTCATTTTGACAAAGGTGCCAAGAACATACAGTGGTGAAAGGATAGTCTCTTCAAGTATGATGCTGGGAAAACCTGATATCCATATTTAGAAAAATGAAAGTAGTCTCCTATCTCTCACCATATACAAGAATCAAATCAAAATTTATTAAGACTGAAATCTAAGACCTCAAACTATGAAACTGTTCCAAGAAAACTTTGGAAGACACACTCCAGGACATTGGTTTGAGCAGAGACTTTTGAGTAATACCTCAAAAACACAGGCAGCAAAAGCAAAAATGGAAAAATAGGATCACATAAAGCTAAACAGATTCTGCACAGCAAAGGGAAGAGTCAACAAAGTCAAGAGACAACCCACAGAATAAGAGAAAATGTTTGCAAACTATCCATCTGACAAAAAGGCTTAATAATCAGAATATTTAAAGAGCTCAAACAACTCAATAGAAAAATACCAATTTAAAAATAGTCTAAATAGACATTACTGAAAGGAAGAAATACGAATATCCAACAGACATGTAAAAAGATGCTCAACATTACTAATCATCATAGAAATGCAAATAAAAACTACAATAAGATATCAGCTCACCCCAGTTAAAATGGCTTTTATCCAAAACAGGCAATAACTGATATGGTTTGGCTGTGTCCCCACCCAAATCTCATCTTGAATTGTAGCTTCCATAATTCCCACATTGTGGGAGGAACCCAGTGGGAGATACTTGAATCATGGGGCAGTTTCCCCTATACTGTTCTCGGGGTAGTGAATAAGTAAGTCTCATGAGATCTGATGGTTTTGTACGGGGAAACCCCTTTCAACTGGTTCTCATTTTCTCTCTTGCCTGCTGCCATGTAAGACGTGCCTTTCACCTTCCACCATGATTGTGAGGCCTCCCCAGCCATGTGGAACTGTGAGTACATTAAGCCTCTTTTTCTTTATAAATTACCCAGTCTCAGGTATGTCTTTATCAGCAGCGTGAAAACTGACTAATATAATAACAAATGCTGGCAAGGATGTGGAGAATGGGGAACCCTTGTACATGGTTGGTTGGAATATAAATTAGTACAACCTCTATGGATAATAGTTTGAAGGTCCCTCAAAAAACTAAAAGTAAAACTATGATAAGATCCAGTCATCCCAGTGCTGGTTATATCTACAAAAGAGAGGAAATCAGTATTCCAAAGAGATGTCTGTACTCCCATGTTTATTGCAAAAGGATTCAAAATAGCTGAGATATGGAATCAACCTAAGTGTCCATCAATGAATGAATCGAGTTTTTATATGTGGTAAGTATACACAATAGAATACTATTCAGCCATAAAGAGAATAAAATCCTGTCATTTGCAACAACATGAGTGGAACTCAAGGTTATTACATTAAATGAAGAAAGCCAGGCACAGAAAGACAAATATTACATGTTCTCACTCATATGTAGGAGCTAAAAGAAAAATTGAACTTATGAAGATTAGAGTAGTATGATGGCTATCAGAATATGGAAAGGGTCTGGCAAGGCATTAGGTATGGAAGGATAAAGATGGAATGGTTAATGGGTACAAAAATTGCCATAGAAAGAATATGAAATAAGATCTAGTGTTTGTTCGCACAATAGGGTGACTATAGTTAACAATAATTTATTGTATGTTTCAAAATAGCTGAGTAGAATTGGAATTTCCTTAACACAAAGAAATAATAAATGTTTGAGGTGATGGATACACCAATTACCTTGAATTGATCATTACACATTGTATACTTATATCAACATATCACATGTACCCATAAATATGTGCAACTCTGATGTATCTATAATTAAAAGTAATTTTTTATAAAAATTGAAAGAAAAAATAATGAGCAAATTCAATAATCATACTTTCATCAGTCAAGGCTAATCTTACAATTTTAGGGAGATTTTCTGCTTTAACTAATGACACTAGTGTCACTAGTAAAGTATGTTTATATTTCTAAACTTTTGTTATTGTTTCATACTTTGTTTATTAATCATGAATCAACTTAGGGTTTTTTCCATATTTAATTTGGAATAGAATTTAAAAGAGTTATGGTTCACAACAGAAGTAAAGGCAGTTTCATAACTCAACCTGTTAATATCCTTTTGATCCTTAATTTATCAAGTTATTAAAAGTTCTTCTCTGCTATAGACAATATCCAAGGTGTCATCTTAACATTTTTTCAAATCCATGTTTAATAATGAGAACAATCTCTCCTTAAATCAAAGTTGTTGAAGGAAATTTAAATTGCCTATGCATAAAATGGAAAGGTAAAGTACATCAGTGGAGAGCAGCTTGTACTCCTTTTAAATTGTTATTAAGCAAATGCAGTTAGTATTTTTAGCATTCCAGGCAATTTACACACCTGAGCACAATTTATTACCTTTCTTTATGCATCTTTAGGAACAAGGTTTCCTACAGCCATCACTGTTTGACCTAATCAATGGATTCATATGTTTCTGCATTGTCCTGTCACTTTAGCTTTGTTTCTACAAATGAGTTTCTTTTCATGGGAAGGAGAAAAAAAATCACTTCAGTTTAATCCTAGCAGAGGCACAGTGCTGGGGGTCGCAGAGGTCCTGATTAACAGAAAGCCTCATTCCTGAAGATCCTGTAGACTGGATCCCACCAGGCTTCCCATATTGGTATTGTTGGTATACCTTTTGGGGGGAAGTGTCTCATCTGCTCTCATTCCAATCAGGGCAAGGTTGTTGAAGTGTAGTGCTAACTGAATTCTAGCTTTCAAGCATGCAAGAGGAGAGTCAAAATCACCAGGCTGTGGGACTTTGCTGAGACTTCAGCCATCAACTCCTCAGCCTCTCTCTCTCACTCTTTCCCTCTCACTCCACTCACCACTAACAGGACCCCCAATAATGTGCAGATAAATATCTATAGCAACATTCCTGGGGATGTTGTGATCCTAGGAATATGTGTTCAAGCCTGTACTTGGTCTCAAAAGTTCCATGCTGGACTACATAAAAAAATTGTTTGTTATTGTCATGATACAAATGAATTTTTATAAACACAGAAAACAAACTTGAACATGGAAAATTGCCCTTCTGTGTATCCTTTTTTACTTCTCCCTTTATCCTGTCAGCATAGTGTCCACACAAGTCAGAGCCCTAGATTGTAACTCAGCTTCCCTGTTTTCATTCCCCTTCATGAATGTTTCAGTATTTACATTTCTGCTTAATATGCTAAGATGGATAGCACTGCCTCTTGACAGATACTAATATAGGCTCCCCAGTTGCTGAGATGTTTGCTCTCTCCTCTAATTTCTCTGTAATACCTAAAGTTCATTTTCACTGCCCATATCCTTCTAGCATGCTCATTTTTCAAATATCTATCTTTCAATATAATATTGTCAAGGTAACAGCATTTACCCAAACGAATGATTTGATTAGCGCACAGAAGGATGTCTTAATGGCCGCACGTGCTCAGTTAAATTTCCTCCAGCTTTGCAGCTTGTCACCCTGGTCCTCTTGTCTATTCACCGACTGAGAAAATGCAGAGAAAAGGGAAATAATTTAGAATTTTTTTTTAAAACTATCAGTTGGCATTACAAGATACCTCAGGGACTTCTTCAAGACTCTTATTTCTCTGACCACTACTTCAATTTACCACAGCAGGTCAATTCAGATAGAAGGTGACCTACTTGGAACAAGAACATAAGTCCTAGCTCAGATCACAGACAATTTTCCTAAAATCTAACTCTGTGAACATGAGCAGATATCAACAAAATCTATTAGCAATGAATCTCAAGCTCAATGTAAGTACCTCATTTTTTTTAGACAACTTATGTAGTCCTGGACCTTGACAGAGATTCACTGAAACACGTAGTTGAAGGAGATATGAGTGGGAGACGCTCTTGGAGTCAAGATTTCAATCGGCACCAAGTCCTTTATACATGGACAACCACCAGAGGCTGGCTGTAACTGCAGCAGGTGTTTACTGAGTGCTTACAAGTTGTGCACACTGTGCTAAGTGCTATGTGGTTGCTATCTTAATCTCTCAACAACCAGTGGAAGAGGAAACTAAGGCTTAGGGAAACTGAGGATCTTGCCGAAGGTGACATCACAGGGAAATCAAGGAGACTGGTTTCAAATGCAGTTAACATAACTTTCAGCCATTGTGCATAAGTGGAGCCTATGCTGTGGGTATAGGCATTTCCCCACAAAATATATCCGGGGGAAATGTGTAGACAGAGAAAGAGGAAGAGGGAAACTATTCAAAGATTCAAACAGGGCAAAGCACTCCTTTACTACCACTTTCTTTGATTCTAGAAGGTACTAAGACCTGACTCTGTTGTTCCCTTACTTAGAGCACTTCAAAAATGCTCCTTATATTGTAAACACATTGCTGTTTTGGGTGCCATGTTAGTGCTTAAAAAATATGAATTAACTATTCATCATGGCCCCTAAACACTGGTCAAATAATTTAGTAGCCCTAAAAGCAATGAAAGAAACCATCATTGCTTCCAAACCTCCCAGAAACTGGGCTGTGGTGGTCTGGGTGAGATGGCATCTTGGTCTTTGCTGTGACACATTTAAGAGTGGTTATCAGGAGAAATTTTAAACTGATCCTCATACTTTGGTTTTATAAGTTAAAATCACAATGAGATGCAGATATTATCTGTTTCAAGGAACTTTCCCTTCTCTTTCTCATCCCAACCCACAGCTCAGAAGCCACAGGTAATTCCAGGCTTCTTATTTTTTTTGTTAGCTTTCATAATAAGGAATCTATAAAGATGGAAAGTGTTAAGAAATCCAGAATTTAACACAACTTTTAAATTAAAGTAAATCAAAATCAATTAAAGATGCCTCTCAGTTATAGGCTATTTTATTTTAGGTGTTTATAATTTTCCTAAACATTCTAATGACTCAACATTATTTTGTATCTTGCCAACACGAATGTGCATATTGGCATAAATATAAAAAATGAGTGAATGTAACACAGGAGTTCAATAACAAAGGTAAAGAGAGAGAAAGCATGAAAGTGTGAGGTCAGGCACAGACATGGACGGAGACAAATGTAGACAGATGAATATCACATGCTTGCTTGATTTTCTTCCCTCTTGTCCTACTTTCCTACCTCCTAGGGGAGTTTTGTTTTTGCTGATTTGGTTTGTTCTTTTCCTGCACATACTTTATAATTAATCACTTTCCCAAGCATCCTCATCTTGGTGTCTGCTCCTTGACCCCTACTCCAAAATAATAATCCTTTTCCAGATATCTTTTACTCCCTATCTCATTCATTGATTTTCCTGACAGTGATTCTTTAATATTCCAAATGAACTACTTGCACTGAAGTTCTTGTCTAGGCACACTTACATGTAACCCAACTAAGAAATATGTGACAAACAAACTGAGATAACTGTCTCCAAGCTGGTGTGCCATTTTCTGTAATTCATCAATATTCATGCTTACGTTCTCCAACGACAATTCCTTTTAATGATTTAGATGGTGGTTCCTGACTCACTGACTCCAAATCTCACAAGCGTGATGGCAGAACCCCACATTTACTTGGTTAGAATTGGTAAAATCAAGAATATCCTTTTAACTTGATGTTTGGGCTACTTTATGAAATATTTGTTTTCTTATTTAGATTTCATTCTAGTTTATATGACATCAATTCTTACTTGAAAACATCCACCTGTAACTGAAATGATTGAAGTTTGATGAAAAACATATTGACTGGCTGAGGAAACTATATGACAATTATATATTGCTATAGAGAAATGAGACAAGTCCAATAGCCACATCTTGAGAACCCACTATGTGCCAATAGCTGAACCCTTCCTGTGGACACATCTAAGACTCGTTGGCACATACTGGGATTTTGATCATTACACGAGGGCTAACGTATCTTGAGGCAGGAGCAGCTAGCTCTCTCTTCCCTTTGACAGAGTTGTGTATTTATAGCTGGGTTCATTGGCTCACACCTGTAATCCTACCACTAAGAGTTGTTATTCTTTTCATTATTATTATTATCTTATCAATCTGTTTTAAGCATTTATTTTAAAATGGTAAACTGTTTTAATTTATTAACAACCATTATAACAAACTCAGAAATTTTATTTTCTACCTCTCTTCATTTCATGTTCAGGTTCCCCAGAGATAGCCATTGTTTACTCAATAAGCTATTTTATCACATAACTATTTAAAATGGAATTTCTCTTCATACCATTTGTCCTTCCAAGCTTCAAGACAAGAAATGTTGCATTGGGAGACATTGTCTCTTTCTCCTCAGCTTGACTAAATTTTAGACATGTTTGTTTTTGACTATAGACTCCGTTCTCTCTTTTTAAAAACGCTTTTAGAGCACTTACTTTATAAAACTTGCAAATGTAAATTCTTAGTCTTTGTTCAAATCTCTTTGAGATTTTAAATCTTCTCCCAGACCCTATGCAGTTTTAAAACCAAGAAATATCTTTCTCAAGGGCTTGGTAGCCATTCTTCTGAAATATAATGATTAAGGAAGACAGGGTCCTGTTTTTCACTCTCTGTAAGAAGGTAGGAAACTACCTTTGACAAACACCAATTAACAAACACATTGACCAACCTTCCCTCTAAAGTCCTCCAGCCCTTTTCTACTAGCTCATCCCACTGCTTAAGAACCCTCCTACCTTTTGTTTTATCAAAGTTGTGCTTAGTCTCTCTTCTCTACTGAAATAGTCATAATCACTCCACAACCTATGCATGTAATAACATGAGCCACATGTACCATCACAATGTATCCCATAAATATATACGATTATTATTTGTTAAGTAAAACATAAATCTTAAAAAAGTAAAAATAAACCCTTCCTTGCCTGTTTACCTGTGTCTGGTGCATATTTCCCTTCGACTATATCCACCTTTATTTTGTTGTAATACCTTAAACCAGTGAATGTAGAGGGAGAGAGGACACATCAATGGTACACAGGACAGTGTCTGGAACAAACAAATGCACTGTGTCAGGTCACAATTTCTTCCCTGGGGCATTGATGGAACAGCTTTAGGCAAATATGACAAGCAAACCCTGTACAGCCCTCCCACCCCTCTTATGGTAGTTGGCTCCTCTCTAGCCTGCTCACAATCCCTATCTGGTCATGGTCCTTTTATTTCTTTCTTAGTTCCATATTCTCCCTCCCTCTCAGACTTTTTTTCTTTATCCTAATCGGAATTTAGATTTTTCACATGAAGGAGAAAATTATCAATCGTAACTAGGCCAAAAGACCATAGAGGGTTTGGAATCTCAGTTTTGCTTTGAATCCTGACTCTACCATTTTAATAAGGATGACCTTAATGAACTTATTGGATCTTTCTAAGCTTGAGTTATATATTTTCCAAAATGAGAATAATATTACCTAGCTTACATGACCACTGTGAGAGAAGTGTAAGGTATTTAAAGCAGCCAAAGGATACTGAACAAACAAAATAACTGAAACACAAGTGTGAAATAAATAAGTTACCTTCCCCTATAATGAAAACCAGTTGTTGAAAAGAAACAAAGAAGAAACATTGAAAGACAGCAACAACTTCAGTTATTATAACACCAATCTCGGCCATTCAAATACTGTCTCTCCTTCCCAGCAGTGACACTGATTTGCTGTGAAAATCTTCCATTTTTTGATTGTTGGTTTACTCGAGAAAATCCTCTTCTGTCTAGTAATGGACGTTAGTAGTCATTAATGGGCTCTACTCTCAACAGGGTACAAGAAGAAGTTAATTTATGCCTGTGGCGGGTTCTGGGATTGTCCTACTAAAGAGATCCAAGATGCTTTCAAATGAAAAGCAACAAAGAACAGAAGTTAAGGTCCCAGATTTCTTCCAGAAAAGCAGACAACTCCTACCCTCAAGCTAGGCTTGCAAGAATTCTTTTTTGTCGGGATCTTAGAAGTTTAATATTTTATGAGGGAGCTATTGATATTGATGTTGAGGACATGGTAGGACTTTACTTCTCCCTCAAAGGATAATTAGCTGTATCCATCACAGTTTCACAGGTAGGGATAATTCACTGCACCACTACTGCGCCACTGTGATATCTTCATGCTGGGCTATAAATGATTACTTCAGCATGCATTTAGTCATTTGGAAATTTAAATATCTACTGTAGACTCTGAGACTGCTCTAAAATCAAATTCCAGAAAAGAGCAGTAAAGAGAATAAAAAAAGATGAATTTTTGCTATAGTTCCTCTAGAAAGGGTTAATCTTAGGGGAGCATAAAAGAATGTTTTCCAAAACAGACTGGCTGTCGGATAGTAGATAAATAATTACTTTCAGTCACATACTAGAGGTTTTTTTTTTTCTCTCTCTCTTCATCTTCAGGCTCCTGTATTTTCTCTGCACAATGTTGTGTGCCTCATAGAGTGTGACACAGAGTCATCTGCTCTCAGAGCCCAGATGCTCTGAAGGTAAACTCTGTGCGCCCAGTGCCTGGGCTCATAGACAAATAACAGCCTAGGGACAGTCCTGCAGCTATCCCGTTCCCAGAGTGCCCAGATGACATTTGTACTTGACCAAAGTTCTAGAAAAAAACTTTTGCTGTCTCCAAGTATCCTGAAGTAGAGCCAAGACTTCTCAGTAGTTGAGTAGTTGAAGGAAACTTGGCTTATTCTACTTTCCATAAATGCCAGTATATAGAAATTAATTAACTAATCATCTAGACAGGCTTACAAAATTGTGGTATACTTTACATGTTCACAGTTTACAAATAATACTTTTACACATACACACACATCAAAAATCGAAATACAATTGTCCTATTCAAAAGATAATTTCAGAACCAATACAAAATATCATCTTACCATTCAGCATTGACAGTGTGCTTTAGTAATGACATATAAGCTTAAAATTGAATAATGAACATTTTAAAATCAAATTCAATTAAGCTATCACTGCAATTAAATGTGTATTTTTATTTGGATTTATAACAATCCTAAAATAATTTGAGATTCTTTAGATGACACTTTGCCCCATAAGAAGCTTTGGAAATATTATCTGACTCCTTAAAATAACTGTTACCATTTTAAAGAACAATTATTTGATTTAGCTCTGGGCCCCCAACAATAAAACCTTAACTCTTTATGCATATGAATCATTAGCTTTCTCTTATCTGTCTCGGTACTGCTATCATCTGCCAATTATACATCACAAATATGTCATTGTTAAAACAGACCTAACAATTACACAGAAAATAGACTTCATTTTCAGAAGGCATCATTCTCACTACTCTTCTAAGAGATTTATACATATGAGTCTTGACCCTCAATTTAGTGCAGGTCTGATGGGCAAAAATATGCAGTTCCATGTCCATGGTGACCCAATTACAATATGTTGTGTATTTTAAATGCTTGACTGGGATGTGAAAAGAATGAATTATGTTCTATAATAAATAGCATAAGCTCTAAAGCTAGAAAAACACAAATTCAAATCCCTAGAACAAATTACTTAACGTATCTAGGCCACTGCTGGATTAGAATAGTGTAATAATAACATATTATTTTAGGTTTTCTTTAAGATTTATATATAAAGTACTAGTAAAATACCAAGTATACAATCCTATTAATACATAATGAGATTACAGTCAAATTGTGATTTTTCAGAGGTTGCTTAATAGCAGTTAAAATGAAACAATTGTTATTAATAGTCACTGTATTTACAGAAACACAAAATATTAGAAATTAATTAAACTATTTCTAGATTGGATGACAACTCTTCTTTGAAATATGACATTCAGTCTAAGATCAGCAGATCCCTGTATTACCTCATGCAGCAAGTGTTACTTTGGGGAAAATATACCTGTAAAATCAGCATAGTTAATGATCAGATTGTGATGTACAACATGTCATGTTCCAGACATTGGATAAGGATGACAACTTGGTATAGTCTTTTGGGGGAGATAATGACTGTTAGAGTGAGGGAGAAGGAATTATTGACTAAAACAAGATGCCCTGAGTAGCAGACTGCTAGCTATTCAGGGAAAATCCTTAAAAAAAAATTCTGGGTACAAAGCTAGACTGCATTTCCCATATCTGCTTGCAGTAGGTGCGACCATGTGACTTAGTTCTAGCCAATAAACAAAAGCAGAAAGCCCCACTTTTAGATTTGATTAATAGACATACCCCCATGATTCTCTCCATGTTCTTTCTGCTATGCCATGACCAAACGTACATGAAGATTATACTGCAAGGGATAGAGAGATCACATGATGAAAGCTTCTGAATTCCTGAATCACCACAACGAGGAAAGTTATCAGCTGACCAGAAACACATGCCTTGGACTATTATGTAAGCAAAATACATAAATAATAACTCTTCTGCTGTGGTTGTGCCACTTTCCAAGTTAAGATCTCTTTGTTGCTATTGTTGGCCTGCATTAAAAATACAGCCGAGTGTTGTGCTTGGCCATTTAGACCACCCACTAGACTGCAGACACCTGAGAGAAACTTGAGGGGTGCTTTGTTATAGCAGCCCTAAGAAACAACATATTTTATAACAAAAGATATTTAAAACATCAGTTCTGGTGGCTAGCAGTTCAAAATCAAGATGTTGGCTAGGCCATGCCCCTGTGAAAACTCTAGGAGAATCCTTACTTACTTCTTCCCAGGAAGCTTTGGTATCCCTTGGCTTGAGCCTTCCTATAAGTCCAATCTCTGTTCATTGTCAATGGTGTTCTTCCTGTGTTTCTGTGTTTACATGGTCATCTTCATATAAGAATACAATTCATATTGGATTAAGGGCTCACTTTGTTCCAGGATGACATTATCTTAACTCATTACATCTGCAACGACCCTTTTTCCAAATCAGGTCACATTCTAAGACACTAGGAGTTAGGGCTTCAACTTAACATTTGTGTGTGTGTATGTGTGTGTCTGTGTGTGTGAGTGTGTGTGTTACAATTTAGTCTATAATAGTTAGTATTAAGAATTAGTAAAACATACTTTTGTATCATTATCTCACAAGGTGTCCCAAATGGCTCTTCTCTATACTCTTTCCGAATGTTAAGACCCAATGCCAGGTCTCTCTCGTTCAGCAGATTTCTCTAATGCTCTAAAACACAAAATTTGCTCCCTTCTAGGAAATCCGGTGTTATTGAAAATCTAAACCTTTAGCCTTTGTTGCCATTGGTGGCTAGTGATACCATGTCAAGATTAGCACAGAAAAGCATAACCACTGTAATCACTGGGATACACGGATCACACATACACACACACACACTCACATGCACACACACATATGGTTTAAAATTAGCTATTGATCTTAAGTAGTGGTGGGAGCTTATTAAACAGTCTTTTTGAGGTGGCCATTTCTGGGGCAGGTATTAGAAACTAAAATCTAAAGGGGCAGGTAGACAAAAGTTGAATGGTGCAAACAATGGCAAAGTGGAATCTGCAAGGTTGTTCTGGTACCCATGGTAAACAGGAACTGGGGTCAGTCTCTCATTGCCTCTAAGCTTCCACCTTCTATGACACAGGTGTACTGGAGGAGAAAGTGATGCATTTCATCATGAAACTAAATATCTACTTGACCCAGAAACTGAAAAGTTGAAGGCGGGCATCCAATAGCGGTCGTTGATCTACAGCCCTATATCAACCAGGTGGGATAACAGGTGACCGACGCCATACTCGAGCTTCAAAAGTACCTGTGTACTACTCTCAGCCGTCTGAATCTAAATACAAAAGGTGACTCCTGGTTCTCTTTGTCTTCCCAATCTATTACAAGATTTCTCCTGTACTCTGCCACATGTACAACAAATATCCAGAAAAGAGAATTCTGGAAACCACAGTTCAAGCCTAATTAAGTTGATGTAATACAAATCTACCACGCTAATGATCTTTTAATGATTTAAAGTACAGCTGCTTTCTTTCTTTGTTGATTTATTATTTAATTGAATGAATACTCATTACTCACATTATTTCTTTAATAATCTGTAATATGTATGAATTCAGCTGGAATTAATAAGACATGGTCCCTTGAGTCATACAACTTCTAGTCCATCAAAGAAACAGATGTACAATCATATAACTAGCACACAATTTAATTATGTTGTTAATAAATGCTTTTATAATGGTATATACAAAGTGGTATAGAAGCTTAGAGAAAACGGTGACCAACACTGTCCTGAGGTAATAAGGAAAGTTTCACAAGGAAAATATTTTTGTTTGCCTGCATTGATACAAAAGAGTCATCTTCAAGCTCTGAGATTCTTTCCTCAGCTTGGTGAATTCTGTTGTCAATATTTCTAATTATGAAATTCCTATAGTGAACTTTTCATTTCCAGAAGTTCAGTTTGGTTCTTTTTTAAAATGGCTGTGTCATCTTTCAACGTTTAGATCATTGTGTCCTCTTCATTGGATTCAGTTTCAACCTTCTTCTGTATCTTGTTGAGCTTGCTTGTCATCCAGATTCCGAATTTTATGTCTCACGTTTCAGCCATTTCAACGTGGTAAGAACTATTGCTAAAGAGCTTGTATGATCACTTGGAGATAAGAAGACACTCTGGCTTTTAGAGTTGCCAAAGTTCTTGTATGGGTTTTTTCTTATCTGTGAGGACAGATGATCCTTTATCCTTTGATGTTACTGTCCTTTGGATATGGCTTTTTGCTTTTATGTTCTTTTTTTGCCCTTGAGTTTTGACTGTGGTACGAGATAAGCATAGTCAAATGGCTTTGTTTCTGGTTGCTTTCACAGACCCAAGGCTCATCTTGGCACTCCTGGGTTATGTGCTCTAACACGGGGGTGCCGGGACAAGGCCCACAGCTTTGTTCCCTTGAGGTTGAAAACTGGCTATTGTGGGGGAGCACCAATGTGCTCCCAGACCACTGGCAACAGCACTCTGCTGAGGGTTGTGGATGAAAGTGCTCTGGTAGGGTGGCAATGAGGTCATAGGTGAAAGTGCTCCAGTGGGTCATCAGCAAAATTGCTTCAGTGAGGCAGCGGGGGTCACCAGTGAAAGTTGTATAATGGTGGCCACTGGCAAAAGCACTCTGGGAGGGCAGCTGAGGCTGCACTGTGAGCCAGTGTGGCCAGACAGGGACTCAGAGAAGCTGGTGACAGGGGGATGTGCAGATTAGACGTGCTCTGGTCCTGCAAGAAACAGCCCTGCTCTGTCCATGTCCACCAGTGAACAAAGGCCAGAACTATCTGGAGGAGTATGGAGAGCCTTGATGGGCGCCTATAGCTGTGTTCCACTGCAGCTGTCCCCGTGCCAAACCACCTGGGCTCCAGGTGGATTTGAGCTCTGTCTGTCTGCTCTCTGGGCCATTTCCCTGCCAACTCAAATGTCTGTGGGGGTTATGGGGGCTCCTGCAGCTAGGATTCTGGAAGTCCATGGTGGGAAGGGACCACTCTGCATTTATTTCACTCAGCTCTTCTTTAGGAGCCATTCAAGCCTAGAGATTTTGTTTTGTTTTGTTTTAGCTCTGAAAGTCTTTTGTGCTGGGAAACCCCTCAGTCCTGGGCAAACCTGAATGTTTAAGAACATTCTTCCTTCTCTGAGTGAAAAACCTAAATTGTATTCTTTAAGGAAATTTTTACAAAAAGGATTATATATTCTAAAGATCCTTGCTCCATGGGGAAAAGGGCACCTTTTTAAGATGCAAATAAAATCAGCTTTTTGTTTTGGAGACTTTCTCGACTACTTTCACTGAGAATTGAAGCTGCCTTATTTGGTGTCTCCAGAATCCCAGACCTGGCCAAGGGAAGAGCGCCCTCTATGAGTAGAGCTATGCCTATGCAGGCCATAAAGCTAAAGTAGACCTGTCCAAGTATAGCTTTTTCTACTGTGAGCATTCTTTTTTTTTTTTTTTTTTTTGTATTATGACTTCATTTACTTTGTAATATAATTTTTAGATACCAATTGGCATTTTTCCTGGGAACATAATTTGGTGACTCAGCCAAGTGTAAATGTAAAAAAGTGTTAATGTGTTAGGAATCAACTTTTTTTTTTTTCTGCAGAAGATTCAAGTAACACGACTCCTTAGCTTACTCATTTAGCACTATCCATTGTCTTCACCCAAAGTTCTCCTATTTGTGGGTCATTATGGAGGTCGTTATCCACAGACTTTCTCTGTGAATATCCAAAGATGCTTTATGCAAGCTACAAAATCACAGTAAAGGATAAGCTGTTTGGGAAATAGAGGGAGACTTTAAACCACAGTGGTGCTTACAACTCAGGCTGAGGGTTCCCGCATATGGTTGTGCATCTGGCTTTGAGGCTGGCAGAGTTGGAATCTAGTCTGCGGTCTCCTCATCAACACAGCCCCGATGGAGTTGTACCTGGCCAGAGGCGGCATCTTTCTCTAATTCAGATAAAGGTACTACATGGCATTATATAGACTAGACCAGGCCCTGGACCTTTTGTTAAGTTTGCTATATAATTCTAACTTGCAATGTATAATTTAGGATGATTTTTGGTTACAAATAGGGTAGCAGACAAATTAACAAAAACGTGAACTTTTTTACTCAGAAAGGGAATTTGCTGGAATAACAATAGAACTTACCAACAGTTTTGTAACTGGACTTCAGAAATATTAGAACCATCAAGATGCTATCCTCTTTTTATTGTGTTAGCCTTGTTCTTCTATCTTACCTCAGAACAGCTTTCTCCTCATGGCCAAAACACAACTGCCAAGAGCTGCCTAGTTTTATGTCTCACAGATTTAGTCCCAGGGAGAGAGTGATCATATTGTTTTTCCTCTGGAAGACACTCATTGCCCCAGCTTGGGTCAAGTACCCAATCGAACTTAGCTGGAATGAAGTCCCATGAAAATGTTATACCTCTAGAAACAATATAGATGGAGTAGAGGCTGGAGGAGCTGTCTCCTTGGACAAAGAGAAATACCTGTCCCAGAATGTGATCTGAATGTCAATCTGAACAATTAAGTGTCATCTCAACTATGTAAAAAAGGTAAGGCCGTGAATTAATCACAGATTTGAATTTCATTCCCTGCAAAGCAAAGTACAAAAAAATAAGTCAAAGATACATACCCACCCTAAGCCCTCAAAAGTTTCACCCCTCAATTCTAACTTGGATACTTCTTACATTTTATCCTGTTTAAATTCTGCTCGCTCCAAGGCTCAATTTCCTTTAGTAAGACTTCCCCAGTGTCATATTCTTCATTGACTTTTCTCTTCTGTCCATTTCTGAGGTACTGATAGCTTAATTCACACATTACCTCTCTTGATCATGCATTGAGCCAATTATTAATACATGACTATTAATTAGCAACAATCACCTACCTTCTATTTTCTGCATGGTGAACCAGTGCTAGGTGTACTCTCTGTAAACATGTTTAAGAATGGATTCTGGGAGACTATAACTTGGCATTGCTTTTGCAAAGAAGATTGGCTAGACTCACAGTAAGTCTAACAGATGAGTGCCAGGGAAACTTACTGTATTACTCAGAGTTCTCCGGAGAAACAGAACCAGTAGAAGATAAATAAATAGATAGATAGATAATAGTGAGAATTGGTTCACTCAATTATGGAGGCTAAGAAGTCCCATGATATGCCATCTACAAGCTTGAGAGCCAGGGAAGTTCATGGTATAACTCAGTCTGAGTCCAAAGGTCTGAGATCCTGGGAAGCTACTGTAATAAGTCCCAGAGCATAAGCTGGAGAACCTGGAGTTCTGATGGCCAAGGGCAGGACAAAATGGATGTCTCAGCTCCAGAAGAGAGGATGAACCCTCTTTTCCTCACCCTTTTTGTTCTATGTGGGCCTTCAATGGATTGGATAATGCCCACCCTCCAGCCCCCCAACAGTGGTGAAGTCAGATCTTCTTTACTCAGTCTACTGACTTAAATGTTAATCTTTTCTGAAAATACTCTTACAGACCTACCCAGAATCAGTTTCACCAACTATCTGGATATTCCTTAACCCAGCCAAGTTGATACCTAAAATTAACCACCACACTATTTTGGACTCACTGAAGTATATGCTATGGAATGACCTCAGGCTGGAAGCTGAGACACAGGTGTGGGTAACATAAGACATACGTCTCTGCCCCTCCCCCACCATAAATTGCTATAAATGAGTGGACTGAAAAGACCATTATTCTGTCTCTTCAATTTTCTACTTATGGTAACTTTTTAGGTAAAGAGGAAGTTCAGAAAACTTTTAGAAGGGGTACTTTTTGTAATTTCTAGAAGGCAGAGGTGTTTGTGTTTCAACATACATTTCCAGATGTGATGCAAGTCAGTGAATGTGATTAGAATACCAGCTCACTAATTTGAAGTAATTAAATGGAAATCAATTTAAATTGGTGGAAAAACACATTTTGAGCCATATTTAAAAGGCACAATAACTAGAATTTGACAAACAAAATGTTACAGGAAAATGCTCCACAGAGAGAACTTTGTTTAGGGAACTCTTCATGAAGGCTTGCATTAGCATATTTATTGTTAGGGTGTCAACAATGTTCCCAGAGTAATGGAAAACAATATTTTCTCTGAAGTAAAATAATGCATTCTTTTATACTTGTTACATTATTTGCATTTAATTTAACCTCTAAATGGCTTATTCTTTTGTGTAGTATTGTACTTTGCAGTTCAAAAGCATCTTCTCATTTATACCTTGCATGATCTATCAGGTAAATAAAGTAGAATTGCTAGACTTCCTCGAGCAAGAATGTGAGGCTTAAAGATAATTTATGAATTTCCTGAGACTGAAGACGTGTGAGTCATGTGATGGGATCAGAAAGCAATAGACTCCAGTTCATTCTGATACATCAAGTAACCATGGATCTGAATTACACCAATATTAAGACATTGAAGTCTAAATACATTGCATTTTTCTTTAGAGGCAAATGTTGATATACCCATAGGAAAACTGCAGGTTTAAAAATAATCCATCAGCCAGGTGCGGTGACTCATGCATATAATCCCAGCACTTTGGGAGGCTGAGGCGGGCGGATCACAAGGTCAGAAGTTCGAGACCAGACTGGCCAACATAGTGAAACCCCATCTCTACTAAAAATACAAAAACTAGCCTGGCATGGTGGCGTGTGCCTGTTGTTCCAGCTACTCAGGAGGCTGAGGCAGGAGAATCACTTGAACCTGAGAGGCAGAGGTTGTGGTGAGCCAAGATCGCACCACTGCACTCCAGCCTGGGCAACAGAGCGAGACTCTGTCTTAAAAAATAATAATAATTCATCAAATACAAAACTCTCATCACTCCTAGAATAATTCCTCAAGTTGTTAGGGACAATGTGTAGGAGGCATGATAGGCTTGGAGGAAAAACAGTCCCTCCCTGCTGATTCTGGCTGAACTAAATTGTGCTCTAAATTTTATCACATCCTTTTTTGTTGACCGATAACATCTGACTGATAACGGGGTCCCCACATAAATCTCATCTCAAACTATAATGCCTACATGTTGATGGAGGGACCCCGTGGCAGGTGATTGCATCATAGGGGAAGTTTTCTACATGCTGTTCTCATGATAGTGAGTGAGTTTTTACAAGATCTGATGGTTTTATAAGGGGCTCTTTCCTCTTGGTGCTCTCTCTTTTGCTCACTTACATGGGTAAGACATGCCTGCTTCCCCTTCCTCCATGATTGTAAGTTTCTGAGGCCTCTCCAGCCATGCAGAACTGTGAGTAAATTAAACTTGTTTTCTTTATAAATTACCCAGTTTTTGGCTGTTCTTTAGAGCAGTGAGTAAACAAACTAATACATTGACATATTACAATTGGAAAATAATAATGTATCTGGGTCAAGTTAAATATATGTAATCAAATACATATGTGTGTGTCTTTGTGTGTATATATTACATATAAGTTTGTATATATAATCATATCACATATTATGTATAGTGTCATATATGTAAAATATACTATTTGCATTATAAATACACAGTCACTTATATTTACTTAAATACATTAATGATATTTTTTTCCTTCTCCATCTAATGAAAGCAGATAATTGGACTTAATGATATTTTGAGGTTGCATTCAGTATCCTCTATCTTTTCTCTCTGTCTGTACTCCTCCGGCAGAGATGTGTTTATAGCGGAAATTGGATTTACTGTTTGCATAAACCAATATCTTTAGCTGGTGGCTGTGCAGGTCCAATTAACTCCTCTAACAATACAACTGAAATGAGGTTATTGGATTATGTTGGTAGGCAATTAAAGTTGATTGGATCAAATACTCCTTGTAAACTTATTTAAAATTAAGAAAATATATCTAAAAATACTGCATAGAATGCTGAGACATCTTGGAGAAAATTGGAAGATTTATTCATTTATCTTATATGAGGCAATGCAGCATATGGCCCCTAATTTATGCTGAGATTTTTTTCAATTTTTTTTTGGAGATTTAATTGACAAATATCATATATATTAAAGGTGTACAATATAACGATTTGATATACATATACATTGTGTAATAATTTCCACAATCAAATTAACACATCCATCACCACTCGCGTTTTATCTTAAATACCCACAACTTATTTATCTTATATATGAAAGTTTGTACCTTTTGACCAACTTCCCCCCAATCCCCCTACCTCCTAGCCCTAGTGGTTGCTTTTCAACTCTCTGCTTCTGTAGGTTTGACTTTTTTAGAGTCCACATATAAGTGAGATCATACAATATTTATCTTTTGGTCTCTGGCTTACTTCATTTAGCAAAATGTCTTCCAGGTTCATCCATGTTGTTGCAAATGGCAAGATTTTCTTACATTTTATGGCTGAATAACATTTTGTGTGTGTGTATGTGTGTGTGCATATCACATATTCCTTACCAATTCATCCATCAATCATAGCTGAATAATATTCCCTGTGTGTGTGTCTAGGTATGTCTGTGTGTGTGTTTATATCTCACATTTTCTTTATCCATTCATCCATCTGTTATGGTTGAATAATATTCTGTGTGTGTGTGTGTGTGTGTGAGAGAGAGAGAGAGAGAGAATTGGTGTGTATATATCTCACATCTTCTTTATCCATTCATCCAACACTTAAATTGTTTCAACATCTGCATCTTATCTCTTGTGACTGATGTTTCAATGAACATGAGAGTGGAGATATCTTTTTGAGATACTAATTTATTTCCTTGGGGTACATACCCAGAAGTAGAATGGCTGAATCATATGATAATTTTATTTTTAATATTTAGGAACCTCTATATGCTTTTCATAATGACTATATCAATTTACGCTCCTACCAACAGTGTACAAACATTCCCTTCTCTTCACAACCTCACCAATACTTGTTATATCTTGTCTTTTTGATACTAGCCATCCTAATAAGTGTGAGGTGATGATCGATTATTGTTTTGCTTTGTATTTCTCTCATGATTAGTGATTTTGAACATCTCTTCATATACTCATTGTGGATTTGTACGTTTTCTTTGGAAAAATGTCTATTCCACTCCTTTGCCCATTTAAAATCTGATTTTTATTATTATTATTTTTTGCTATTGAGTTCTGTTAATCACTTACATATTTTTTGGATTTTAACTCCTTATCAGATATATGATTAGGCAAATATTCTTTCCCATTCCACAGGTTGACATTTTAATTTGTTGCTTGTTTCCTTTGCTGTGCAGAAGCTTTTTAGTTTGACACAATTCAAATTATTATTTTTTAAATTTTGTTGCCTGTACTTTTGGTATCATATCCAAAAAAACTATTGGCAAAATTAGTGTCACAAAATAAAGGCCATATATGATAAGCTGACAGCATACTAAATGGGAAAAAGCTAAAAGCTTTTCCTCTAAGATCAGGAAGAAGACAAGGATGTTTACTTTTGCCATTTTTATATAACACAGTTCTGGAAGTCCTAGTCAGAGAGATAAGGCAAGAAAAAAAAATCATTCAAATTGCAAAGGAAGAAATTAAATGTCTCCATTTACAGACAACATAATCTTATATATAGAAAATACTAAAGACTCCATTAAAAGTCTGTTAGAAATACTAAACAAATTCAGTAAAGTTGTAGAATACAAACTCAATATACATTTAAAAATCAGGGTTTTCTTTACACTTACAATGAGCTATCCAAAAATGAAATTTTTGGCCAGATACATGGCATATGCCTCTAATCCCAGCACTTTGAATTTTAGATTTTTTTTTTCTAATCAGTGAAGAATGATGGTGGTATTTTGATGGAAATTGTGTTGAAATTGTAGATTTTTTTTGGCAGTATGGTCATTTTCGCAATATTAATTCTACCCATCCATGAGCATGGGATGTGTTTCTATTTTTTTATGTCATGTATTATTTCTTTCAGCAATGTTTTGTAGTTTTCCTGGTAGAGGTCTTTCCTCTCTTTGGTAAGGTATATTCCCAAGTATTTTATTTTTTTGCAGCTATTGAAAAAGGGGTTGAGTTCTTGATTTGATTCTCAGCTTGGTCACTGTTGGTGTATAGAAAAGCTACTAATTCTTGTACATTAATTTTGTATCCAGAAACTTTGCTGAATTCTTTTGTCAGTTCTAGGAGCTTTCTGTAGTAGTCTTTAGATCATATCAAATAGCCAACAGTGTTTGGAGGCCATTGATTTCTTTCTCTTGTCTGATTGCTCTGGCTAGTACTTCCAGTACTATGTTGAAAAGGAGTGGTGAGACTGGGCATCCTTGTCTTGTTCCAGTTTTCAGAGGGAATGCTTTCAACTTTTCCCCATTCAGTATTATGTTCGTTGTAAGTTTGTCATAGATGGCATTTATTATATTGAGGTATGTCCCTTGTATGATGATTTTGCTGAGAGTTTTAATCATAAAAGGATGCTGGATTTTGTCAAATGCTTTTTTTGCTTCTATTGAGATGATCATATGATTTTTGTTGTTAATTCTGTTTATGCAGCATATTACATTTATTTACTTGCATATATTAAACCATCCCTGCATGCCTGATATAAAACCCACTTGATCATGGTGGATTATCTTTTTGATATGTAGTTGGATTTGGTTTGCTAGTATTTTGTTAAGGATTTTAGCATCTATGTTCATCAGGGATATTGGTCTGTAGTTTTCCTTTTTTGGGTATGCCCTTTCCTGGTTTTGGTATTAGAGTGATACTGGCTTCATAAAATGATTTAGGGAGGGTTCACTCTTTCTCTATCTTGTGGAATACTGTCAATAGGATTGGTACCAATTCTTCTTTGAATGTCTGGAGGAATTCTGCTGTGAATCTGTCTGGTTCTGGACTTTTGTGTTGTTGTTGGTAATTTTGTAATTGTCATTTCAATCTCACTGCTTGTTATTGGTCTGTTCAGGGCATCTAATTCTTCCTGATTTAAGCTAGAAGCGTTGTATAGTTGCAGGAATTGATCAATCTCTTCTAGAGTTTCAAGTTTGGCCACATAAAGGTGTTCATAGCAGCCTTGAATGATCTTTTGTATTTCTGTAGTGTCAGGTGTAGTATCTCCCATTTCATTTCTTATTGAGCTTATTTGGATTTTCTTTCTTCTTTTTCGGTTAATCTTGCCAATGATCTATCAATTTTATTTATCTTTTCAAAGAACCAGCATTTTGTTTCATTTATCTTTTGTATCTTTTTTTGTTTCAATTCATTTAGTTCTGCTCTGATCTTGGTTATTTCCTTTCTTCTGCTGAGTTTGGGTTTGGCTTGTTCTTTTTTCTCTAGTTCCTTAAGGTGTGACCTTAGATTGACTGTGCTCTTTCAGATTTTTTGATGTAGGTGTTTAGGGCTATAAACTTTCCTGTTAGCATTGCCCTTGCTGTGTCCCATAGGTTTTGATAGGTGTTGTCACTGTTGCCGTTTAGTTCAAAGAATTTTTTTAATTTCCATCCTAATTTCATTTTTGACCCAGTGATCATTCAGGAGCAGGTTATTTAATTTCCACATATTTGCATGGTTTTGAAGGTTCCTTTAGGAGTTGATCTCCAGTTTTATTCCACTTTGGTCTAAGAGAGTGCTTGATATAATTTCAATTTTCTTAAATTGATTGAGGTTCATTTTGTGGCCTATCATGTGGTCTATCTTGGAGAAAGTTCTACGCACTGTTGAATAGAATGTTTATTCTGTGGTTTTTGGATGGAATGTTCTGTATATATCTGTTAATTCCATTTGTTTCAGGGTATAGCTTAAATTCATTGTTTTTTTATTGAATTTCTGTCTTGATGACCTGTCTAGTGCTGTCAGTGGAGTATTGAAGTCCCCCGCATTATTCTGTTGCTGTCTATCTCATTTCTTAGGTCTATTAGTAATTGTTTCATAAATTACAGAGCTCCAGTGTTAGGTGCATATATTTTTAGGATTATGATATTTTTCTGTTGGACAAGGCCTTTTATCATTATATATGTCCTTCTTTGTCTTTTTAAACTGCTGTTGCTTTAAAATTTGTTTTGTCTGATATAAGAATAGCTACTCCTGCTCAATTTTGGTGTTCATTTTCATGAAATGTAGTTTTCCACCCTTTTACCTCAAGTTTGTGAGGGTGTTCATGTGTTAGGTGAGTCTCTTGAAGGCAGTAGATAGCTGGTTGGTGAATTCTTATCCATTCTGCAGTTCTATATCTTTTAAGTGGAGCATTTAGGCCATTTGCATTCAATCTCAGTATTGAAATGTGAGGTACCATTCCATTAATCATGTAATTTGTTGCCTGTATTCTTGTTTTGTTTTTGTTTTTTAAATTGTATTTTTGTTTCATAGGTCCTGTGAGATTTATGTTTTAAAGAGGTTCTGTTTTGATGTGTTTCCAAGATTTGTTTCAAAATTTAGGTCTCTAACTTTTGGCAATTCTTGTAGTGGTGGCTTGGTAGTGGTGAGTTCTCTCAGAATTTGCTTGTCTTAAAAAGACTATGTGAAGCTTTCTTTCATATGTGAAGCTTACTTTCACTGGATACAAAATCCTTAGCTGATAATTGTTTTGTTTGAAGAGGCTAAAGATAGGCCCCTGTCCCTTCTAGCCTGTAGGGTTTCTGCTGAGAAATCTACCATTAATCTGATAGATTTTCCTTTATAGGTTACCTGGTGCTTTTGTCTCACAGTTCTTCTTTCCTTCATCTTAATTTACATAACCTGATGATAATGTGCCTAGATGATTATGTTATTGTGATGAATTCCCCAGGTGTTCGTTGTGCTTCTTGTATTTGGATGTCTAAGTCTCTAGCAAGGCTGGGGAAGTTTTCCTCAATTATTCCCCCAAATATGTTTTCCAAACTTTCAGATTTCTCTTCTTCCTCAGGAAAGTAGATTATTCTTAGGTTTGGTTAACATAATCCCAGATTTCTTGGAGGCTTTGTTCACATTTTCTTATTTTTTTTCTTTGTCTTTGTTGGATTGTGTTAATTCGAAGACCTTGTCTTTAAGCTCTGAATTTCTTTCCTCTATTTGTTCAATTCTATTGCCGAGACTTTCCAGAGTCTTTTGCATTTCTATAAGTGTGTCCATTGTTTCCCAAAGTTTTGATTGTTTTCTATTTATGCTATTTCCTTGAATATTTCTCCCTTCACTTCTTGTGTCATTTTTTGGATTTCCTTACATTGGGCCTCAGCTTTTTGTGGTGCCTCCTTGATTAGCTTAATTACTAACCTCCCGAATTCTTTTTCAGGTAAATCGGGGTTTCTTCTTGGTGTGGGTCCATTGCTGGTGAGCTAGTGTGATTTTGGGGTGGTGTTAAAGAACCTTGTTTTGTCATATTACCAGAGTTGATTTTCTGCTTCCTTCTCATTTGTGTAGATTCTGTCAGACAGAAGGTCTAGGGCTGAAGGCTGTTGTTCAGATTCTTTTGTCCCATGAGGTGTTCACTTGATGTAGTATTCTCTCCGTTTTCCTATGGATATGGCTTCCTGAGAGCTGAGCTATAGTAATTGTTATCTCTCTTTTGGATCTAGCCACCCAGCAAGTCTACCAGGCTCTGGGCTGGTACTGGGGGTTGTCTTCACAGAGTTCTGTGATGGGAACCATCTATGTGTCTCTCAGCCGTGGATACCAGCAATTGCTCCGGTGGAGGTGGCAGGGGGTGAAATAGACTCTGTGAGGGTCCTTAGCTTAGGTTGATTAATGCACTGTTTTTGCACTGGTTGGCCTCCTAGCAGGAAGTGGTGGTTTCAAGAGAGCATTAGCTGTGGTAGTATGAGGAGGAACAAATGGTGGACAGTGCCCCAGATTGTCCAAGCTTATATGCCCTTCATCTTCAGTTATCAGGGTGGGTAGAGAAGGACCACTGGATAGGGGCAGGGCTAGGAGTGTGTGAGTTCAGACTCTTCCTGGGTGGATCTTGCTGCGGCTGCTGTTGGGGATGAGAATGAGGTTCCCAGGCCAATGGATTTATGTTCCTAGGAGGATTATGACTGTCTCTACTGTGTCATGCAGGCTGGCAGGGAAGTGGGGGAAAGCTGGCAGTCACAGGCCTCACCCAGCTCCCATGCAATCCAAAGGGAGTCTCACTCCCAGCATGCCCCCCAACCCAACAGCACCGAGTCTGTTTCCAGGCAGTGGCAAGCAGGGCTGAGAACTTGCCCTAGTCTACCTGCCTCCCAGCTGCAAAAGCAAATCTGGCTTTTCTTCTTCCCCTGCCTGTGGAGTCTGCATACCAGATTCACGTCCTCGCCTGAGTTCTGCCAGGAGGCTTCTAAATCAGTTCAAATTTTTACAAAATTCAGCTGGAAATTTCCTTCTCCCTATGGCCCTTGCCCACTGCATCTTGCCACCCTCCTGAAGGACCCTTGTGAGGCCAGGCAAAAATGCCTTGCTCGGGGATCCTACACGCTCCCAGGGCTTTTCCCGCTGCTTCCTCTACCCCTGTATTTCACTTGGCTCTCTAAATTGATTCAGCTGCAGGTAAAGTCAAAATCTTCTCCCATAATCTAGGCCTTCAGTTTCCCCAGTTGGGGTGCATATTTGGGGGCAGATGATCTGCCTTTCCCGCTTCCACAGTTTGGGCACTCACAGTAATTCGGTTGTCTCCCAGGTCCTACAGGAGCAATCTACTCCCTTCATGGGGTCTGGGGTCCTCTCAGGTTTCCTGATTTATTCCTGCAGTCATTTGGGAGTGAAAATTCACGATGCGAGCCTCTACACGCTGCTATGTCCATCCAAGTCGGAGCTGCAATGCAGTCCTGCCTCCCATCTGCCATGATCCCCAAAGCTCACTTTAATTGTGCTGAAGATATAGAATTAATCCTCTCCCTCTGCTGATATAATATTTTGTAAACATAAATGGGTAAAATATTCACTGTGATTAGGTGGATCATCAGGAGAAACACAGAGTAATCTTTAAGGAAATTGAAGCATGTGTCAAAGACCAAGGAAGTCAGTGATTCTGACAACAACAGCAAAACCAAATACCTCTGCTCTTTGTTTCTAATCTCTTGCTCTTACTAGTTTTAGCTACACCTCAGTCTTAATCCAATAATAAAAATAGAAAATCCTCCAACAGTGTTTCTAGATTGTTATAATTCCTAGTTTTATGAGAAGGAAATTGAGGTTCAGGAAGATTAAATAAGTTATCTAAGGTCAAACAGCTAGTAGGTTAAAAAGATAGAATTTGAGCCACGTTTTACCTAGAGATTGCAAAATGCATGTCTTTCCATTCCTGTGGCCTGAACTAAGAAGTCAGTCATCTGTTCTATAAAACTGAGGTAGACTTTATCTTTGTGCCTTGCCTATGCTTAACCCAACATCTGCTTTATTATTTGGTCCTAGACACTAGCTAATTTATAAAGAAAAAAAAGTCCAATCAATTTCTATGAGCCATTCTAAAAGAGACAGGCACAACAGGTGACAGTAGGGTTCCTTCAGCTTCTCACCTGGTGGTAGGAATAGGCAGAATGGCACAAAGGGGTCACTGAGCAGCTGGGGATGCCAAACCCCTGAACACCTGGCTGGTGTGTGATGGGAAGTAAGGAGACTGGTAAGGGCAATGGGTGAGTATGGTCTGTACCCATTACCAACTGTAAATATGCTAACCAGCCCACCACACCAAAGGAAGTCCTGGCCTGTCCCATCCACAGATAAAATAATTGAGATATTCTCCAATACCCTCGAACACCTGGAACCCATTTATCCAAATAGCTTGGAAAATGCCTGGATCGGGGCCAGCTGCGAGAGTAAACAGTCAGATGAGTTTAGTTGATCACACTTTCAGGAAACTCTAACAAAGCTGGAGACCATTTTCCTGGAAGTTGTCTTACTTATGACATTTATTCGTCCATGAGTCCCATTAATTCTTCTTCTGGGAAAAACAAAGATGATTATAAAGCCAGTATCATGAATGTGATCGCTGTGTGGAACGCTTAGCTTTGCTGTCTTGCTCAGACAGTCTTCAACTCCATCCAGGTTTCACATAAAGAGGACTCTGCCAGAAACTGTGGATGAATCAAAGTTCATCTCCATTACTAGAACAAGCACATCTAACATTAGTTCTACTCGTTACAGGCTAGCAGAGTTAAAACAATTTTGTAAAAAATAAAGTATTTTAGGTTTCGCTCTGGGACAAGTTTATTTTTACTTTTAATTATAAATGTTCAATAAGTAATCTTTTCTCAACCCTCTACTCACATAATATTCATAATTCTAAATGCCCCAAAACTTTTTTTCTAATCTACCTCACCTACAGGTGCAGGAAGGATGTTTAGATACAGACCATACAATGCAGAGGTATCCATTCCTAATCTTCCTACACCTCCTGGAAAAGGTAGACCGACTTCAATGTTTCATGTCTAAGACGTTGAATAACCTGTAGACAGCTACACATCTATGAAGCAGCAGTTTTCATGCGTTAGCCATCTATGTCCAGACTCTGTTCTAGGAAACTCTACAAAATGCTGCAGTATTGACTCCTCATTTCAGCCTCTTGAACTGTATACCAATATTCTCTTCCTTTTTTAGGATGACTATATTTTATCCCCCAAATCAGGAACTTTTGGGAACAAAAGCAAGCACTATGGTCATCTAAACAGGATTTGAAGCCTGATTTTGCCACTTACAAGCAATGGTTTTTGAAAAGTCTCATCTTCTGAGATCCTCACCATAAAATGACTTTACTTTCTCGAAATAGTGAAGATGAAATGAGATAATTCATGTTAATTACTCAGTCCTGTGCCTTCCAAATAAGCACTTTAAAAATGCTTGTTATTATTATTATTATCAAAAATTCTTAAATTCTTTAGGCCAGAATTCAGAGGATAGCAGGGCACTTTGCAGGAGAAGAGCAGAGGGAAACAGCCTGGCCTTTTCTAAGTATGAAGAATTGGAGGGTGTCTTTGAAAGTAGGTAAGTTTTACCTGTCTTTTTGTATTTTGTCTGTAGAAGGACCACAACCAAAATAAAATCACATAATTAATAGTGAATTGAAATATAGACACTGACACAAACACACAAACAGAACACTATTCATTATAAACAATGCATTTAAGATATTTCTATATTGAAATAGAGAGCTGCATCAATCTTGTTAACTGTTTTGCAGAATTAGACTGGAAGCATTTTATTTTTTTAACCATCCTACTTTATGGATGTCCAAGGTTCTGGAGAAAGGTTGTGGGATAGAATGTGGTAAGCATATCATTTAGAGGAACAATATGAGGCTGGAGAGAAAGGAAAAAAAGCAGAGCATTTAGGGCCATGTAGGTCAAAGTAAGAAATTGTTATTTTATTTAAAATGAAGTATATAGAAATCTAAAGCATTTAAGTGGTATGTTTATCAACACTGGAATTTGCTATTGCAGCATTGTAGTTTTGAACATCCTCATACATGTAGCTTTATACATATTTTAAAAATGGTTCAGGGTAATAAAATTGATAGAAGCAGAAATATCAGTTCAAAACATTTGCACATTGAACATGTTGATATGTATTGCCAAATTCCCTAAAAATATGCCTCACTCCCAGCACTAGTATATGCGAAAATCCACGTCCCCACTTGGCTAATTCTTAATTCTATTTGTAGAGATCTGTTAACCTGTTAAAGCCAAATAATACAATGGGGTTGCATTTTAAGTGAGATTAAGTCAGTGAATAACATACAAATTACATATAGGCAAAACTACCTTACAAAATCATAAAATATGATAGATGTTATTTGAGGGTAGTTAACTCTTGATGATAATTCTTATGTACCCCGAAATGTAAAAAACACTGAACCAAAAAAAAACCCAGCAAACAAAAGGAAAGTCTATGCCAGTGTCTAAGAACTCAAAAATCAATCATTTTCAAGCTGATTGCTGAATACCTAGGATGAGAGAGTGATAGATAAGGAATTGTAAATAAAATGTTCAAATTTGCCCATAAGGTTCACACCATTCTGCTTTAAGACTCTACAGTATTGAAATAAGCAGTCAAAAGACTGCCTATTATTGAGATAATTAATAAAACAATATATAAAAGTACCTAACATAGATCTGGCACATTGAAATGCAAAAATTAAAAATCAAATTTTAAATATTTAAATTTTGTTCTATGAGACTGACATTTCTTTCCAGTGTCCTTTATTGTTTTCCACATTGGCAACTCCTCTTGTTATAACAATAACAAATTATTACCCATGAATTTTGGCATTGGTTTCAAGACCGTTAAAGTGGCATTGGAGGGTGAATAGGTAGAAATGGGGTTTTACATGCTAAGTTATAAAGTCAGAATTAAGTAAAACATAAATAGGTTTCAATACCAATATAGACAATGACTTGTAATTTAATTGACAATTATCCTGATTCCTTATGAGGTTAAGAATTTTTGACTTCTGCATTGCTCATTTCTATTTCTATTTTTATGAATTGATTACTTATATTCTTGAAACCAACTTGTGTTTAAGTTGTATTGATTTATAGTAGTTCATTGTGTTTGCTGTATGATGTCTCCATCAGTTATCTATTGTTTAAGCTTTGTTTATATAGTCTCCAAGATATAGAATGGTTTTTAGTTGATAGTCATATCATTAAATCCTTCCTTTATGCCTTTAATTGTATATATTTACTTAAGAATTACAATGCTATCATCAGAGTGAATAGACAACCTACAGAATGGGAGAAAATTTTTGCAATCTATCTGTCTGACAAAGGGCTAATATCCAGAATCCACAAGAAACTCAAACAAATTTACAAGAAAAAAAAACAAACAACCCCATCAAAAAGTGGGTGAAGAATATGAACAGACACTTCTCAAAAGAAGACATTTACGGGTCCAAAAAAATATGAAAAAAAGCTCATCATCACTGATCATTAGAGAAATGCAAATCAAAACCACAATGAGATAACATCTCATGCCAGTTGGATTGGTGATCATTAAAAAGTCAGGAAACAACAGATGTTGGAGATGATGTGGTGAAATAGGATCGCTTTTACACTGTTGGTGGCAGTATAAATTATTTCAACCATTGTGGAAGACAGTGTGGCAATTCCTCAAGGATCTAGAACCAGAGATACCATTTGACCCAGCAATCCCATTACTGGGTATATAACCCAAAGGATTATAAGTCATTCTACTATAGAGACACACATACACGTATGTTCACTGCAGCACTGTTCACAATAACGAAGACTTGGAACCAACCGAAATGCCCATCAATGACAGACTGCATAAGGAAAATGTGGCATATATACACCATGGAATACTATGCAGCTATAAACGAGGATGAGCTCATGTCCTTTGTAGGGACATGGATGAAGCTGGAAACCATCATTCTCAGCAAACTAACACAAGAACAGAAAACCAAACACCACATGTCCTCACTCATAAATGGGAGTTGAACAATGAGAACACATGGACAAAGGGAGGGAACGTCACACACCGAGGCCTGTTGTGGGGTAGGGTGTTATGGGAGGGACAGCATTAGGAGAAATATCTAATGTAGATGACAGGTTGATGGGTCCAGCAAACCACCATGGCACGTGTACACCTATGTAACAAACCTGCACATTCTGCACATGTATCCCAGAACTTAAAGTATAATACATTTTTAAAAAATTAAATGAAATTAAATATTCAGTTAAAAAAAATAATTACAATGCTTTCTACATCCCTCATCTTGTATCATCTTCATAGGAATCTTTGAGGTTCCAATTTTATGAATAAGAAAATGAGGGTACTCTGAAGTTAACTGCTGTGTTTAAGGAAGAGTCTAAGTTAGAAGATCCAAGATTTAAGCGTTAGAAGATCCAAGTCTTCTAACTATAAAATCGCTGTTGACTCCTCTAGCCATGAAGTCATGAAGTAGTATTGGGAGCAAGGGGAAGTACCTAGCCAGCTAAATGGGCAAGAAAAACTTTATTGAAGACCTTTGCAAGAAGAAAAAGAAATTGAACTCAACTATCCTGGTACAAATATGTACATTATTATTTGTAAATTACATTTTTTAAAAGGTGGGAAGGTTTTTAGGCAACTGAGTTAGCTAGCAGAAAAGTCCTGGAGAGCTTTAAGGGGGAGCGGCTAATGTGATTAGGCCAGCTGTGTTTGCTCATTGGTGGATATCAAAGTTATTCTCCCACCCTCTCGAAGAGACTAGGAGATAGCGATGCTATCTTTATAATTACATTTCAAAGGATGGCTCCCAGGTACTGAGAAAGACATTCCTGGCTTATAGAAGACTTATATGTCAAAAGGGCAAATAAATAATTTATAATTATAAGTTTTCTTATGTAAACACTCTAAGAAAAGGGAGGTCAGAGGCCTGTAGTCAGGAAGAAATCTGTCTAAACTTTTCTCAAAGTGAGGGAGAATATAAGGCAATTTTGGCCAGTAAAAGGGATGAATATATTTGCATTTTGAGTACTGTTCTAGAAAATGACTTATTATTAAGTGTGGTTGTTTTAGGATTCTTTTCTATGTGTTCAAGTGACAGAAATTCAATTCTAATTAGCTTATTATCTTAATAGTTCAGACCCAGAGTGGTACAGGTGCTCCAATGATGACACCAGAACTGGCCTTTTATTATACGGCCTTTTCATCTATTTATCCAGCTAAAAATGTGCCTTTGTTTTTTGACTATAAGTTACCCAGCACCTGTTTGCATGTTAATTTCATGCTCTCCTGCTAGATGGGCTCTCTGCACATGGTGCCCCACGCAAGCAGGCTGGTAGTAAAAGCAAATTTGCCATGACCCATCTCAGGAGCTCACTCAGATGTTCATTTGCCCTAGACAGGGCAGATGTCTCATCCCTCCATTACCCATCCTCCCAGCTCTTCTCTCTGGAAGAAACATGATTCTTTTGCCACCTGAGCAAGGACTGCCTCCCCTACTCCCACCAAAAAAATAGGGAAAAAAGTGTTTACACATTAAAAGTCTTCCTTCTACCCCTTGCAAATTTTGAGCCAGTATCCTAAAGAATTGGTTATGCTACAGGATGAATTCACTCTGGTGATCTGGGTTAGAGAGATTTTATGTTTTGTTTTATTTTTTTGCTCATTCTTCCTAGTCACTAGGATTACAGTGAGTTTCCAAATGATTAACTGCAACTGAGAGAAAACCACAAATAAGCACTGCCCTGGGAGAAGGCCAGTGGGAAGAACACTGGCTGGCTGCTGAGATAACAGGTGCTCCTCCAGTGATCTATTCAGCCAGCCCTTTGGAGGTGGTCAGTCGCCAGGTTTTATTTCAGTGATAAAAGAGAAGTGAATCTGGATCTATGATCAATAATTCATGCTGCCCATTGGGATTTAGCCTCCAATCTGAACCTTCTTTAAAGGGTAAACTATAAACCACACTAAATATTTAGAAATGAAATTTTAGGATTATACATTTATAATTGCCAAAGCTGGAAAAGGCCTTATATAGGCCTTTATTATTTTATGAGGGAGGAACTTAAGGCCCAGTGTGGTTACATGTTTGGCCTAAGTTTACATGAATCTGAAGAAATAAGAAAGCAGATCTCCATTGCTAGCCTCTCTTTTAGCTTTCCTATTGCCTACTCACTCATTTCAAAACTCATTTGATTTTTCTCTAAATTCCAAAAGAAATTAAACCTTACAATGAAGTTTCTCCTTTCTTTACATAAATATACAGATGTTGTAAGTTTTCTTTAAAATCCATATATACCACTGATTTTCTATTATTTGTTCATCTCTAAAATCCAGAGAATGCACTAAGAAACTGAATCAAGAAACCTATGGATTTACACAATTAATGCCCAATGAATCCACTTTTGTCAGTGAGTATAACACTGTAAAGAGAAAGAGGAGTTCGTCACACAAATGATAAAACAGACCCCCTCAGTTACTCAGAAACAGATGGATAGAGCTAAACAAAAATCTTTCAAGATTACCTAACGTGTAAGTAATGGAGCTAGATTTAAACTTACGTTTCTCTGTTAGAGTTCATGTTCTTTGATTCACATCACATTAAAAGGCAAGAATTTATTTGTTGTGCAAAATCACCTTCTGTGATTCTTACTTAAGAAGGAATTTGACAGAATGGTATCAATGAAGTTCTCCTAAATGGAGAAATGGAAAGAGGTGGTTTTTCCAGAACAGTATTACCAATTTCTGGAAAATACACATTTTAAATAATATTTTGTACTTTTGGAAACAGACAGAGAAGTCTAATGACTTAGGAGAATTAACAACAAAAATAGTGGTAGGACTAGCCTATAAGCCAGACATCTTACCTTCAGGGCCTGAATACTTTCCACCACATTCTGCCGCTAAGAGATGGAAAGAGAGAAGGTCTCATTTATTTTGACATTAGTGATTTATTCGCTAAATAAGCCACATTGTCTTCCTCATACAAGATAGTAGATCATAAAGGTGGACAGTTGTTACACAGCCAAACTCTGACAGCCACTGGTGCAACTCAGGAATCATGGTTTCCTCCCACCTGCTCTGTTTCTTTGACCCAGAGAAAATACAAAAGGGACAGTAGTGAAAGAAACCCCACACTGGGCAAGGATCATGCCCTAGAAGTTTTCTGGTGGGCCTCATAGTGGGAGCTGGAGGCTTGGCTTCTTTGAGCTATTTTTTGGATGAATGGCCAAGAAAGAGAGGATTACTGTGCATTACTTGTCCCTTTTGAGCACAGATCTACGTACTTACTGCAAATGTAACCTCTAAATGGTATCTGCACCTTGCAAATCCCAGGAATGAATTGTTTATTTTGGGGTAAATATGAGATTAAACATTTGTAAAGAGTTTTATGGAGTTCTGCCATACCTATCATCTCATTAAACCTGTGCAAGCCCCATTGAGTTACTATCCTAATGTTTTATATGAAGAATCTGTGTGGACTTGAAATTTGTCCTTATGTTTTCAATCTGTTTCTTACCAATCTGCTTCTCTCTTAATGACCTTTATTTACTCAAAGTTGCAGAAATCTGAAGAAAGCATTCAGGGGCCCTAAGTCTTAATATTCCATATGCAGATGCTGGGAATGGCTCTTGCTTTATAGATATACTTTCTTCCATGAGGAGGACACATCACAGCGGAAACATGTGCTCCTCTTCTTACTGCAGATAAGAGGAATCTGCATTTGGACTGATGCTTCATCAATAAGTTTGTGTTCTTGACTGGTAACTTGTGATCTATTATTTCTCCATTTGGTGTGGCAGTTGCCCAGCTGCAATGACCTCTTTGTGAAAGTCCTCAATTACCCTCCTTTATTCTTTTCAAAAAATTATTTCTACTTTAACCAATTCACTTCACGGGCTTTCATTTTTAAACAGGATGAGTTTTCTGTTTTAGACAAGGTATTCTGTGTACAGTAGAGAAAAATGATAGAAGCAGGAGACCATGACTCTATTAATGTGTCCATTAAGTGTAGCAGCCTTTCCATGCAACTGTACAGCCTATACATGTGAAAACTGGCACCTCAGCCCACACTGCTTCCTCTAGAGAACTTTGCTGTGCTTTATTTCATTACTGTTTCTCATTTCTATGATTCTAACACTACTGGTTCACCATAATTCTTACTAGATTTTTTTCTTATTGACAAACCAAAGTTGCTCCCAGCCCTCTGGCTTAGTGAATTCAGAGTTCCAAATTCAATCTGTAGACTACGTGGATTTTTGTGTGTGTTTATTCTTCATTCTTACCCCCTTCTTTTCACAATTTAAGATTCCCTTGAAAAGAAAGGATCTTTGTAACTAACACCTTACAATCCAGTATCCCCCAAATAGAGAAGGAGAGTTTGGGCCATTTCTTTTCCCCACTCTGGAATCATCAAGTTGTATGATTTGTATAGATTATGTTCCTTCTATGGATATTCTTCTAAAGAAACAGCAGATAACATGTACTGTCACACAGGAAGAAAGATCAGAAATCCAAAATTGAAATGGGCATGAGAGAGAATAAAATCAAATTCCTTCTATTTTACAAATAAATAAATTTTGATGTTAACCTTAAGATTTTAGATCATGGAATCCATTGAGAATCTGATAAATCTACAGACAAATCAGAAGAAAATGTGTGTACACACTCAATTTTCAGGAATCTTAGAGACATACTAAAGCCCAATTACCCTTGCATAGGCCAAGTTTGACCAAGACTCAGTATAATTGGTGTTTAAATCATTAATTTTGGTAGTTTGTATGGAACACAAATTAGTTGTCTTATGTTTATCTTGCATTCTTCACTAGTCTTTTCAACCATATTTTATTAATATGTTTACATAAGCTGTACACAGAAAAAAAACTGGAAAGAAATGTACTGGAACATAAGCCAAATTTAAGATATAAATATTTTTGACTTTCTATAGATTATTTTTGAGTTTTTATAAATAGTTACATATTAGGTTAAACAAGATGTTATGTTTAAAGTTCATATATAACCATATTTTTCAACCAGGATAAAAAGTTTTGCTCAACAGAAATTCTATTATTTAGTGTGTAAACAATCTTCATTTATGTCACAGCAAAACTGAGAAAATTGTAAATCAAAATTCTTAACCAGATACATCTGATGGTGAAAAATTATCAGGTTATTTTCCATGTTAAATAAAGTACAACCTAGAAAGAAAAAGCAGGCTCTCTACACTTGAATGATAAATGATCATAAATAAGAAATGTTATAAATGTACTGAATCATGAAATAAAGCTATTATAATTAATCATGAAAATACATCATATCTGCTGTAGACAGATAAAGAAAAAAATGGTCTCAGCAAAATTCCAAGCTCAATAAAGAGTTTAAAAAGAGGCTTTAAAGGTAAGTGTTTACAGGTGACTTCATGTTCTCCTATTAAATAAAAAAAAAACCTCTTATTTAATTCCACAGTAAAGATATATAATAGTGCTCCATCAGGATTGACAGACTTAGGTTAAGTACTTCAGGAAGTCTCTGCAGGACAAATAAATGAGTATATATCACCATGTCAGAAAGTTACTGAATAAACCAGTGAATATGTTTCTCTTATCATGTTCAAGATAAAGAGGCAGAAAATGCTGAGAACTCAGGAATTTACAGCAATGGAGAATTTGTCTGAAGTAGTTCGTGAGACAGAGTCAAGATCTGGGTTCATTACTGGTAGGTCAGAGTCTGATTATGAAAACTCGTGTCCAAACCTGAGGTCTCCACAGAGGACTTGGTTGCTTGTATGTGTATGTGTGTTGCAGAGTTGGTGGGTCAGGGGGCGGCATGTGTTTTCATTACTGAGGCTTTTTATCATCAGAGAAAGTTTGTCATAATCCTTGATCTGAACATGAGTAAAGGGTAAATTATCCAGGATTAAAAGCAAAACAATAACGTGAAAGAAGGTAAATTCAGGAAGCATATGTCATCAATTTGAGGTTGGGAAGTTACGGAAGAAAAAGTTCTGTTCTCAGCTATAGCATCAATTCACTGAATGGCCTTTGGGGACTCATAGAGTTGGAAGGTGGATTACATGTTGTACTTGTGATGCTTTCTATTGTGAGATAATCTCAACTCATAAGAATTTATGAAATAAAGAAGTGGGAGGGAGGTTAATGGCTTACAAAGTGCAAGTAAAAAAAAAAAAAATTGTGGAGGTGGGCCATCAGACACATCTGAAGCCAGAAGTCGGAGTGGTAGTAATGTGGCTCATTGCGGGTTCTCACTGCTCAGAGAAAACAACATTGGTCCATTCGAAAGAAAAAATAGAAATTTTATATTTTATGTTTTTTTAAAAAGCTATGATCTCAGGTGTGTCCCAGAATCAAGTAGGAACGATGGATGGGATGAGTGACCTTTTAAATCCCGCATAGCTCTAAGAGTCCGTGACAGTCTGTAAGTTTTAGAATATCCAGAATGTTGGTTTTTTCTACTCTATGAAGTTGGTTCCATTTCTTAATAGTAATATTATTATTATGTCAAGAGAGCTGTTTCAGTTTCCCTAAGGTAAATTATTAAGAGGCAGTAGTAATCTGTTGGATAATTGCATAAGGTTTGGCATCATAGTGTTCTGGATTCAGAATGTATCAAGCATTAATCAGTTATGGAAATTGACACAATTTATTTCACTTTCCTTAGCGCCAGTTACAGAATTTACAAAATGAGAATAATCATATTTATTACATCATAATTTTTGAATATTAAATGAGCTCATGAATATCAAGTACTTACTACATACCCACATATAGAAGGAGCTCAAAAACTATTACTGCTGTTACTATTATTATTGTTGGTTTTGCTGCTGATGATATTACTATTAGTACTACAATTTCTACTGTAGTAATAATATTGGTATCTCTTTTCACACAGCTATTCATTTACCACTACAGAGGGCTCAATGCATAATAACAGGAGAATATTACATATTGCAAGTTCTGGCAACAATATTTCCAAGACTGATCACTGCACCTTCCCTTGAATGATGGATACTACTACCCTCTGTCATTGATTGCATCACAATCCTGTGTTTTTACAATACAGTTTATTTGGTTCTATCCCTTTGTCAGGTCATTTTTTCATGCTTAGAGGTAATTTAAGTCATGCAAAGAAAGAAGTATAACACAAAAAATGCCTGTTTGTCTTTAAAATAACTGTACCAAATTTTAAATACCAATCCCCAGAGTGTCAATAGGAAAGATAAACACCACTTACCTAGTACTTTCAATTTTTCCATTTGATCTGAACTGTAATCCTGTGAGATACCTATGATTTATATCACAACTATATAAATAAGACAGCTAAAGCTATAAATGGCACTTCTTTCCATTTGAATTCTAAGTGACTGGTAGAGCCAAATGTTGATTGTGAGCTGTTCTTTCCACTATAGTCTGTATTGTGTAATCCATTAATCTGGTCAGCAAATAATTTACCATATTCACAATTCACCACATCTCACTCAATTTACATTTAAAGGGTTTGGTTAGAGCCCTCATTGGCTTAACAATTTCTCTCTCTTTCCTCTTGTAAGTATCTTAAGAACACAAAATAATGCCCTAGTTGCATCTATCAAGGAGCTAGATACTACTGAAGAAGAGAGAAGAGATATTTCTGGTGGTGGAAAGCCAAGGGGGATTTTAGATTTCAGGAACCTTGATTGAGAATGAGTTGGAAAAATAGGAGATCCAGGGGATTTTCCTTAGGTGAGCACATGGGTAGTCCTACAGCTCCCTTAATGATCTAGAATTGAGGCCACAACATTCGTATGACAAACTGAAGTAGAGTAGAAAAGAGTAGCTACTCTCAGATTTTCAAAGTTCTATGGCTTATAATGCGCAAATCAAGCTCAAATGGAAAGTCATGCTTTATACATTCTGATCTCTCTCTCTCTCTCTCTCTCTCTCTCTCTCTCTGTGTGTGTGTGTGTGTGTGTATATATATACATATGTTAGGCTATAAGAGTAGAATAAATATTGGGGCTTAGATTCCTCCTTCCCTTCTATGATAGTGGTTTATTGATCCTTACTGATCTTCAAATAGGATAAAATAGAGGTTAAGTTTCAGGAAAAGACAAAAGAAGGATGCCTAAAGTTTGATAATGCGTAGTAGATACTTTCTCAACATGATGAGTCTGTGGATTTTCTTTAGAATTAGGGAATGGCTTTCAAGTTTTTTTTCTAATAAATATTTCCTTCTAATTGGGTACACTCTGGGAATATTTGATCGTTTCAGGATTTAGCATCTTTTCTAAGTGGTTTACTGAAGTACCACTAATGTCCCAAAATATACAAAATGCACACATATCCTGCATCAAATCTCTTCTCTTACACATATTTTGTGCTTCTACTAAGGATCGTGCATCTGTGTTCACCTTTGAAATCCAAATAGCATGGCCTTCAAGAGCATGGTCATCCTTGCCAAGTGTTAGACACTCTTTGTTTTCTATTATAGCACCTGTCCTAAGACTTTAAATAAGACCTTTCTTTTTTTTTCAAATTACCATGGAAGTGTTAGGAATTTAAGTTTTGATATACACAATTTGTTTCTCCAGGTCACATCTGCTTGGCATTTAAAAATGAGCACAACAAACAAAACAGAATTTCTCTGGCTTTTACCCCTACATATTGTTGTGGACACTGCAGCAACCTCTGAACTCCCTAATTTACATCGGGAGTCTCCTTGTAAGGATGATGTTTTGAATGGGCTGACCGGATTTGTCCCCACAGGGCAGGGAGGTGGAACATGGGCACTTTTATTGCCATTTTTAGCTGATGATGTTATCTGTGTGATAATACATATTTCCACAAGCCACATGGGTGTGGGGAGTGGGTACTGCTGCTCTCTAGATTGTAAGCATAGAGGGCCCTCCTATTGTCTCTATCATCTGGCCCCGCACACCTGATAAACTTCAATTCTCTCCATTCAGACCATGAACTCCATGAACCTGCCATGTGAACTACTTAATGTTCCTCCACTGTGTCAAAATCTCTGTGGGTCTCACTTCTAGCTCGAATTTTCCTTTGCTTCCATTTGCTCTCTCATTCTTAATAATTCTTGACTTATGTCCACAGTTATTTCCTTCCAGAGCCTTCCCGGGTTCTCCTAGACATGTTCTCTGTATTTTTCCCCTCAGGACTCTTGCTTCTACTATAAATGTCTGCTTAATGGTTTCCATTTCTGGATGGTGAGCTCTTGAAGACAGAATATGGTGTTAAACATCGTTTTATTATCTGTGTTTTGCACAGTGCTTAAGATGCAGTAAGTATACAATGAATACTTGCTGCATGAATAAATTAATAAATTTCTAACTCAAATTCATTGTAATTTCTGATTGCACATAATGTTTTGGCCAAAAAACATAATTTTAGACTTTTAAATTAACTACAAATCCTATCAAAACTAAAAGCAGAAAGAATAGTAGGGGTTTACTAAAAGTAAAAATCAAAACAAAACCCGGTGGGAACTCAGAGTGGGAATGTAGTTAATCCACTTCTGTAAATATAGTACTATAGCACATATGTGAGGGGGCCAATTATTTACTCACTGACTAGGAGAAATTCAGCAAAATTATCTGATGGAGCCATTCACCTAGTACACCCTAGGGACTATTCTATCCAGAGAAAAATGATCTGTGATAAGTGCAATTTCTATGTGTTCAATTGTTTTTTTCCTTAAGTGCATAGTTTCCCAGGCTCCTGGCCTTTCCAGCTCCTGGGGGAATTTCTGATAAAGTGACAATGTGGTCAACATATCCATCTAACCTCTTTGGAGATACACAAATAGAAATTGTACTGGAGTCCACAGCTCCATATTCTCATGAGTTGAAGAAGCTGTTGCAGAAATGGGTTTATAAATGTAAATACTAGAGCTGTCTTAGAATGTATCTGAAGCTTCTCTCAGCCCCATAACTTCGGGTAGCCTGAAAAAGTTTCCTATAGAAAGTGCAAAGTGCTTCCCAATGTCAACCTCTTAACCACATTGCTCTCTCACTCAATGATAAAGCTGGAAATCTCTCAACAAACCTTTTTACTTTTGTATTAGCAATCACAAAATGCAAGAGTTCCCTGAAAGCCACGGCGGGCCAATCAATGCTGAGCAAACCACAACAGGAATCCTGTGGGCTCTTGGTGGAAAGTAAAAGGCTCATTAAAAACCAGTCATTCCAAGATAAGAAGAAGATCAGATCAGAATTTAAAGATAACATCTTTTCATGGAAAACTGATATTATTGTTTTGAAAAGAAATATAATACTAATAAGTATACTCATTTAAAAAAAAAGAAGAAAGGAAGCTTTTCCATTAATGTAAAATCTGATGAAAGCTAAACCATGTCATTAAAGTATAAAAGAGGCTGTGGAATGCATGAGACCTCTGAGTAATGTGTGGCATTGGTCCATGTCATGGCCTGGGAAACTTCTTGGTTCAGTCTTAGCCACCCGTCAGCCACAAACAACAATCTATAGCTTGTTGCATTGGCAGTATAAGGATAAGAAACTATGGCAATTAATTGAGGAGAGACGTAAGAAGAAAATAATTTATATGGGCAGAGAGATCCAATCTTAGTGATTAAAACAATAAATAATAGCAAGAAATTGCTAGTATTTTTTGAGATTTTACTATCTGCTATCTCTGTGTTAAGCACTTTCTATGTATTAGTTCATTTTAATTTTGAAGAAGCACCGTTTGCCTTTCTCAGTTGGCCATAAAGATCACCTCTGTCTTATGTAGCCCTGAGTGTGAGCTGAGGGAGAGGCCCTGGTGCAACTGATGGATGACATGAAGGTGAGTGAACTGGTTGTGCAGCATAATTGGGCCCTGTCCCGGATGTGACATTTCCATCTCACAATAAATTGCTACTGGGTCTTCCTTTCCACCATCTCACAATGCTCCATTTTTACCAAGACCTAGTAACATGCTTTTTAGAGGAGTGTACAAATTCATGCTGTGGTTGGCACAGCCTTGCTCCAGGACTCTAGAAAACTCTATTGTGGGTCTCCATTTGAAGCTCGTGATAAATTCCATGTGGCATCTTGTCCATCCTAGAAACTTTCAGTAACATAAGCTCTGGATGATCATGTGGTACAAATGACAGGGCTACCTGAACTGCAGCTTGAGCCTGCTTCACAGCTTTCTGTGCTCTGGGCTTCCCTCAAAGCCATCAGCCTTGTGGGTCACCTGGTACATGAGCTGTTGCAGTTTTCTTAGGAGTGATGCTTGCTGCCTCCAAAACCTGGAGAGCCCTACAAGGCGTTTTGCTTCCTGCATAGTTGAAAGAGATGTGAGATATAATAATGTGTTTTTTATTTTGGAGGGAAAGTCATAGCCTATCACAAATCATTGACCTAAATATTTCATTGATGGAATGTACCTCAAACTTTGTAGAGTTTATTCCCATCCTTCTGGAGCACATGTATAATAATAAGGTCTCAGATATACTGCTACTTTTGGCACATACAATGTAATAACATAATATCATCAAGACACTGTACAATGTAAATTTACTTGTACAATGTTCAAGTAAAATGTTCTATGGAGGGTCAGATGGTCTAGATCTCTTCAGACTATATTACAACCGAAGGTGGGGAAGTTACATAGCCCTTTGGAAAGGATATAAATTAATCTACTGTTAACTTTTACATGAATGAGAAAAGTTTATCTGTGCCCTTTCTGATAAGGATAGAAAAGGATATATTCCCTGGAGTAATTGAGGCACACATGTATCCTGAATGTATGTTAATCTGCTCTAGCAAAGATACTGCCTTACCACTGCAAATGGAATTGAGGCTACTATTTGGTTGAGTTTGTGGTAGTCCACTAATTTTTTCCTGGAATAAACCTAGGTTTTACAGGGACCAGATTCTTGGCGTAAATGAAGATGAAAAACACCACTGCTTAATCTTTTAAATCTTTTAGGGTGGCTCTAATTTATGCCACTCCACTCTCAATTTTATTGGCACTTTCTATTTTGACTAGAGGAGAAAATTGGCTTAAAAGACTATCATAGGATTTTCTACTGTAATTGTTCTTACCCCACTGTACAAGCAACAAATGTGGTGCTTGGGCTGAATTCAACAGTTCTTTTTATGTTTAGATATTCCTACCTCCCTAGTGTCTGGATAACAGGGTAAATCACAACATCCCTTCAGGGCAACTGTGAGAGTGTCGTTTCTATATACACATGCCACACTGTTGTGGAATCTTTTTCCTGGAGGCCTAGCCTTTCCTTCATTTGAAGGGTTCAGGATCAGGAAACTATCTTGGGTCTAGAAACTAACGAATTATGAATTTTTATTGAGGAAGTTGCCCTCAGACTCCTAAGTATTTGCCTTTGTTCTATTTGTATAGAATAGTAAATACTATTGTTGATGGACAATCCTCCTTCTCCTAGAGATACAGAGCTCTGCTAACCATCCTCATGATCTCTACAGGTCAGATTCCTCTTACCGCAACTTTAGTCTTAGTGCTCATTATGATAATTCAGCCTGCCTTTTCTTTGGAACCTTGAATGCCACTACTTCATTCCTATGATTTCAGAGGTCTATTATCACATTGCTATTAGTGAGGCCAGTTCCATACTGAGATCTTCTGGTGATACTGGTGCCTCTCTTACCAGCCCATTCACCCTTGCTTTGGTAACATAATGCCCGCCAACACCTATTGAAGAATATAGCCATCTGGTGGTTATTCTGGCCTTACTTATTATGTTCACTATAACATATATTCTCCTCTAAATCATTTGATCCACTCTTCTGCCATCTGCTGCTGCAATTCTTTCAGCAGTGGGTCCAGAAATCCACTTTCTGAAGTGGGTCCATCACTTTCAACAAATGGACCCACCCAGCAATGTGTTAGACCCATCCTTTCTGGTCCTTTACAGGGTGTTAAATATGTAATCTTTTATGAGTGCTAGCAAATCATTAACTATCCCTCACCAGATTTTGTCTTCCAATTCCCTCCCCTCCTCCAGACGAAACTCTCAGAATCTAGTACTCCCATAAGTACTTTTCTGGTTCACATTGGAAAGAAATGTCTAGGTTTGGAAGTTACAAGGTACAGCATCTTTTATTCTTTAGGAGGTCTAGCGTCTTCCTGGCCATATTGTGCTGTAACTTAATCCTTATTATTGGACTGGTAGTAAGGAGAAAAAGTAGGATCAGATTCTGGAAAACATAAGAAGATGATATATTTTCTTGCAAGGGAGTGGGCACTGGATTATTGTCTAGCAGAGGTGGTAGGGTAGCAGGGTGACACTAGCCTTTACCTGTGAGAAATGAGCCATTTTTACTAGTCCAGAGGTTTCATTGTAATCAGAAAATTTAAAAAATTAAATGGTCATTCCTGATGTTCTCATTCTCTGTCTCCAGGTCCTGCCTTATTCTAATCTGTGTCTTTACCTGGTATAGAAAACCCAGCTAGTTTGAAATTTCAAACTTTTCTGAAGCTCTGCTACTTTTAAGATTAAGGGCTACACCTGGTATGCCAGTTTTTCTACTCTCTGGTTACAGGAAATTTTAATCACTTTAAATGTTGTCAAAGAGGACTTCTGGCATTGATACCTACCATTTAATTGTTTATTAACCATGCTCAGCCTTTCATTTTCTTTTTGCAGTCACCAACCACTCCTGCCTGATGCCACTAGCAATGGCAAAAGCAATATTTTTTTTCTATATTGTCATCAACTAACCTAATTTAAATATATTTGCTGCCCTGTGCTCAGTCAATAGTTTCAATTTTGGCTTTCAAACAAAATCATTATATCCTTAAATATCTAGTAAAATATACTATCCTCTCTAGGGAAAATCCAATGTTAATCCACGTGTCAAAATGGAAGAGTGTGAAAATGTGGCTTTTTATTGTTATTAAATAATTTCAGATAGCATATAGAATCATTTTTATATTTTATAGGATGGTTTGTTTCTTTCATATAAAATGTCTTTCAGGATTGATCCTTAATGTCATCTTCAAATCTATCTTCTGGTCTCATTTCCACATATATTTCAGCATACATGATTGTTGCCCCATACTTCCTTATCTCCGAGTGAAGGGTCCCCTAAAATGCCTGACCTGTGGTCCTTTACTGTACATTTTTGTCTGAAAGCATGCCTGAGCCAAGGAATGCAAGTCTATCAAGTACTAAGACCATGTATAAATCCACTCTGCATTCCACAAAGCAAAGCAAAATGTCTGGCCTCTAGTTAGTTCTCTACAGAGTTGGTAAATATCTAGGATAAAAAGTGCATCATAAAAAAAGAGCCAGACAGAAAGTTAGATGCTTCTAGGTGTGAAGTAGAAAATTGTATACAAAAGAAATTGAAAGTTGTCAAAGTATTAGGGTGTGAACTTTTAGGTATATATATATTTTTTTCCATTTTGTATTTCTTTTAAGGAATATGTAATGATATTTGTTTAAATAAATTAAAGTAAAAAAATTAAGTAAACTGCCCAAAGAGGAAAGATATTAAACATCAGTATCTCTGTAGGGGATCCCTCCATTCCAGGCAGCAGTGAAGAAAAGGAGTTGCCCCAGCCTCAGTGATTGAGATCTGCCTTTATTACCAGCCCAAGCTAACTTCTCAGGGGGATATTTTCAGGTAGGGTGCCAGCAGGCTTACCTTGTTAGCAGTGTTCCTATGTTCCTGGGGCAAAAAATCTATATAAATATTTTTGTGATGTTATCTTGATACTGTTTTCATGCAACACTTTATATAACTTACTTCCAGAGATTATGAGAATTAAGGCAATATTTACAAGGTTCCTAAGTTCATTGGACTTAAGGCTCTTAACTGTATAAAAGAAACTATTATTTTCCACATTGGACAAAAGCAAAATCATTTTCTCCCCATGTAATGTAAACTTGTTTCCTGACTATGTGAGGCAGGAATGGAAGCAATCACTGTTATTTAAAACAAAAAGAATCAACACGTTTGGCCTGTGCACAGGCATGAAACCCTTCTGCTAAGATAAAGGCAGGAAAACAGCTCCAAAGGAAACAGCATGACAGGAGTGTAGCTTGGGATCTGTAAAATTGGGCTTGAGATTTGACTCTACCACCAACAAACTACATGGTGCTGGTCAAACTGCAAGTCTCTCTGACCCTTACTTTCCCATCCTAAAAGCTGGTATAATAACAAGGCAGCAATCGTCTCTCCCTTGTCTGTTTCCCAAGGAAGAAGATGGAAGAATAATCCTGGAAAAAAGAGACTGAATGGATTGGATGGTCGAAAGATATGAAATCCACTGAAATAGCCAGACAAAGTTAAATAATATTAAATGAAAATGTGCTACCTGCCAGAATTTTATCATAAATTTAAAAATCAACTAATTTGATTATGTCAGTCACCTATATTTTCTCTGTTACAAGCCGTTTACCTATTTCTAATTGCAAAAGTAGAGACTGTCCTTCCGTAAAAAAAAACAAGACCTCAAACAACAACTATTATTCAAAACAGTTAAGTGCTCACTTAATTTTGTGATAGTATTTGTGAAATACATTTTATTTCAGTTATTTTATGCTTATGATAACAATGTGGAACAAGAAAAATCATGAGCACATATAGAGTTGAGTAAATAGAAACTTTCAGAGGTTCTGTGTTGGTCCATTCTTGAACTATAAGGAAATAATGGAGAAGAATTTGAATCAAGGCCCATCTCTCAAACCTGGGTTTTTAACTTCTCTAGTATATCATCCTGAGGACAGTGGAGATTTTTACATATTACTTGGCTTTGAGAAACTCGTCCTAAAATGAGAAATTTGATGTGGAAGGCAAAGCACAAGCTCTGAAGTCAGAAACGCCTGAGTTTGAATACCAGCTACACAATTTCAGGAGCCACAGAAAATTGACCAAAACTTATCTGAGCGCCGGTTTCCTCCACTGTAAAATTAGATGGAAATACTGTCTTTGAAAATTTGCATATGGTTTATAAACTAATGTTTAGAAACTAATATATGGTTTAGAAAGTAGCACAATGCCTGGCCCGTATTCAGTATTTTGCAAATGGTAATATTGGTTTCGCTATTATTGCAAATAGAATTATTTTATTTAGTATAAGAATAAATGATAAAATTGTCATGGTTGTATCCCCCAGAGTTTTGTACGTGACACTCAGATGGATATATCAATCCATATTTTCATTCCCGCAGCATAATGCTATGAAAGTTCACGCAGAAGGGGAAGAATAGCTCAGGCACTACTACTGCTAACAGCATTAATAGCCTACATGTATAGCACTTCCTACATGCCAGTCATTGTTCTAAAGGCTTTATAGGCAGTTAAGCCACACCAACTCTATGAGGTAGGTGCTATGATCACATCATCCATGTTGAGGATGAAAACTTGCTGCAAAGCAATATTAAATAACTTACTTAAGGCCACATAGCCAGGAATGGATGGAGCCAGAACTCGAAGATAATTTGGTTCTAGATTCTGGGCTCTCAACCATAACTGGTTACTGCTGCAGAACTCCTAGGGACTGCAACAGAGATAATACAAGAAGGAAAGGGTAATGGTGTAGTGACAGTTTTGCATGAAATTGATGATTTTTCTTGCAAGTAAAACAAAACAAAGTCAAAAAAAGAGACACAAAACCAACAGAGAACCATTGTAGCATTTCTCTGTCTTCCATTTTTAAAGCTCTACACTCTTTCCTGGTGAGAGTGTGTGTGTGTGTGTGTGTGTGCGTGTGCACGCATGTGTGTGTGTGTGAATGTGTGTGTGTGTGTGTGTGTGGTGTAGTAGCAGTAGTAGTAAAAGAAAATACATAAACACATTTGGCCCTGGAAGATTTTTCCTTAGTGAGAAATAAATTGTGCAACCATGTAACTAGCATACATAGCACTCTTCAATAATCAAAGTTCCTTACCTACGTCTAATTCTCATACTATGTCTTTGAAAAAGGTGATGATCATGCCAATTTTCAAATAAGGAAGCCAAATCACCATTAGTTTTGGCCTATAAATCAATCTGTTCTCTGACTCTAAGCTCCACGACTTTTATTTTATAGATACAGTAGGTATGTCCTGCTACTATGTACCAGACTGTTCTAGGCACTCAACAGATGGAGATAAATAAGACACAGCACAGCTTCAGCCTTGAGTGTCTCCTCACAAGCTAGTGGAAAATAGAGACAAGAAGATGTACAACCATACAATACAGTATAATTCTCTAATTTTTGAAAGAGAGCTAGAGGGGAAGAGTACTGGAATGAGGGTGAGAAGATAAATCATCAATAAAGTTCTAAATACAAAAATGACTATGGTTGTGTAAAGGTATCAGCCTCGCTGTTACCTAGCCATCTCCAAGCATCTGTGACTGACACATTTCTACAGAACAACTGACTTCATTCCTGGGTATCAGAGTGCACAGATCATGTGTCTTTATTGATATCTTTTTCTTGGCATATAAGCCCTAAGTAAATGTTTGAATAAACTCAGTTGTACCCCCATATACTTTCCAATTTGAATGGTGGTGCTGTGAGGCAAAAGAGAGTTTAAAACATGAAGAGATATTTTATTTCCTCTTTTAACGCCTCATATTCAACAGCATTACCATCACAGTGTACCCTTTAAACCGCTGCAGCAGCCTGTTGAATTAAGGAGTGACAAAAACAAGTTTTCCTGTATTCTTCATTAACAAACAATTCAACAACACATTCACAGAATTAGGCAACGAATCATTTGTTTCTAATGTTCACAGAGGGTAGTAGGCTCTATTTCTAACATGTGTAGCACTATCTTGATGAAGCTTAGCCAACTACTCAATTCCCATTGCTGCTACCCTTGATGTAGTAAATACACAGCAGAATTTTTCCCCAAGGAGTGCACTTAATAAAACATATATCATCAGTTCTGAGGAAACATCATAGTGAGACCCAGTAACTACTGAAAAATCTGCAACAAGTCTCGTCCTGACCAAGTTGTGCAAATGAGAGAGACAGGGATGGGCAACCTGGGCAATGACAGCTATACAGAATCCACATATTTAGTATTTAACTATGGGCACAGTTTTTCATCTATAACAATTCTTCAGAACACAAACACACATACATGAACACACACACACACACACACACACAAACACACACACACACACTTCCCAGGAGTTACCAGTGGTTGAAATTTGATTATAATTACCTTTCATGTCTTTCTTCAGTTCCTGATTACCCTGTGTGTAGATGACTTTAGCAATCAATAAGTGGTTAATAATAGACGATTAAGAGGAAGGAGGAGGATAAAGACAAGACACTTAATCCTCAGACAGGATAATCAGTTTCTGTGTTTCTGTAAAATCAAGAATCACCTGTGCATATAGTGATGCTACAGGGATCCATGGAATGTGGAAAATTCCAAAGAGCTTTGGAGTCCAATAAGCCTGGGTTAAAACCCTAGCTAAATTACTTTGTATAGACTCTCAGTACTTCATCTAATTTGTCTGTAAAATGCATTGCAGAGATGTTGAGAACTTTGACTGGGGCCATAAACATGATAGTTCTAGCTTAACATTTTCTACTGCATCAGTGAAAGGAATGCAATAAACAGTTGTCTCTTCTGCTCTGCTACCTGTTAGTCATTCAACCAGTAGTGGGGATGGTTTTACACTGAAAAATCCACTCTTTTAACCAATCCACCAGAATGATAAACAGATGGCTAAGTGGTATCTCAGCTTCAGAATTTAGTTTTCAAAATGTGCTTACAGTGTGCTTTATCATGTGACCAATGCTCTTTTTGAAGACCCTCAACACTTTGACTGTCTGGAACATGGAGATATGTGTTGAGCTTCTTGAATCACCATGACAAAAGGCAAATGTGAACAACTAGTGAGAACTAAAGAGTTCAGACTCAATTTTGGATTGTTACCAGATGTCCAAGGAAAGCCAACTGCTTTCAGCACAGGTTACATCTGCTTAATTAGCAGTGAAAAGCATCTTTAGATGACCACAGAGGAATTAAATAGCTGCAGATAAATGACCAAAATGAGCTCAACGATGCTATATCAAACAGAGGGGAACAGAACACAATCTAGTAACATGACTGCAAGTAGAATTGCAGATTAATAACTTTGTGTTTTACAAGTTAATGGGGCACATACAGCACCAGACTGGAAGTAAATGAATGACAGGACATAGTGCATATCCTGGCACTTCAATAAATAAATAATTTTAACACTAATTGCAATTAAATTGCCTTTCTTTAATATGATCCTATAATTGCACAATACCTTGTTCAGTGCCTGACTCTTTCCTAAATGGGCTACATATAAAAGAAGTTGATTTAGCTAAAATGGTCATAAATGTACCCTCGTACTTTTCTTCTATTGGGCTAGTGACTGCTGGGCATAATAACTATATCCAATGGGATTGTTATTGTTTGTTTGTACAAACACAAGAGGAAAAATAGCATTACAGTGAATTGGATAAATCTGAACCCCTCTTGCACTAAAAGCAGCACCACCTTTTTTCTGACTCATTCCTCTTTCTGGGATGATAACCGTTGCCAAGTGTTAAAGAAATGTTTTGGTTATCCAGTTTTGCTTTTTGTCTACCTTCTCCTTAGAATTAGGTAGACAACTCTCTGGTCAGAAACGCTACTGAACCTGTGAACTTGGCTCTGACTTTGTGTAAACCATCCGCAGGCTAATGCTTCCCCTTTGGGATCCTCGTCTTCCTATGTGTATTTAGGTCTCTTGTAGTGCTATTCTCACCACATGTATTCATTAGCCTGTTTATGTGGGTTTCTGAGTCCAGGAAAAGGACCTTATTTGTATGGTGAATGCTCTAAAAATATTGACTGTCTGGATTAAAAAAAGAAAAATTGAAGAATGTCAAATTCAAAAAAAAAAAAAAGTTAATGTGCATGTATGTCCTCAACCAATGAATACTTATTTAGCATCCGTCTTGTGGAAGAATCTCTATATAATTCCACCTGCCAAGCTAAGCATCAGAAGCTGTATCTGTCCAGACAGTTTTTTAATCTAACTAGTATTAATACAAAGAGATCATCTGCTTAAGAATTATATCTTAAATGTAAGATGTAATTTCTCCTTTCAAAAAATTAAACAATCACTTTGCAAAAAAGGAACATAATATTAAATTTAACCAACAAACAAAACCTTACTATTAGATGCTGCACTGAATTAAATATTAAGATGTTACTCCTTACCAGAGCCCTAAGCAAAAATCTTCTATTATTATCCTATTTCACTGATGAGGAAATGGAGGCATAGATTAGAAAACATCATCACTTGTTTCTCTGCAGGCAAGTGATGGACCAAGTTTAAACCTTAACCAAATGGTTCCAGAGCTTGTGTGTATCACAACCTCACCATATGACTCTCAAAAAATAAAAGTTAAGAATTTAAAGGAGGGAAGTCATTGATAGTCAAGAATTAGAGAGACCAGAGAAAGTTTCAAAGCGAGATGAACTAAACCATTAAACAAAGGGAAGATTTATAAGGGCAGAAAGGAGCAGATGAAGGGGCTCTATCAGAGTGAGAAAAATAAGCATAGATGTGCAAATGAATACGAGGTGACAGGAGGAAAAGGCATAGGTAAGCTGTAGTGAGCGACAAGGCCAGACAGAAAACTGTAGAAGACTTTGACTGCCAACTCAAAAATCTTCAGAGGTTTTTGCCACCCAAGCACCCCAGACAGACAGTGCTGTTTACCAATGTTTTGATACCTTAGCTCCACAGGATAATGTCTGCTTCTTCAAGAAAGCAACAATTGCAGAGGAATAAAGGACTCAGATCACACCCCATGCTACCTGCCTGACAATGAAGAATCCTGTAAGGGTCACAAAAGGCCTATAGGAATGTGCTAATCTGAAAAAAGTCACTCTCTCCAGATAAACACATGCCTTATTAAGCAGATGGTATCTCTGTACTAGTTAGATAAAGAAAGTGTTGAGGCTGATATAGTTACTGATAGCCAGCTTGGCTAATGCGACAAAGGCTGGATTTCAGTGTCCACTCAGTTCCTCACCAGGCTTTTGCATACTGCCAAGTTTGACCAACATTGTATACCACAGACTTGATCACAATGCAAATTTTTTGATTCTTCTGATTTTCAAATGTTTTTTTAATTACAAAGATTGTTTATATATGCATATATTCAAAGTATTCTTTTATTCTGTTCAAGAAACTGAGAAGCTATTGATGTTTAGTAGAACAATAATCAGTTATAAAATAATCTTTAACTAAGTAATTCTATCTATGGAAATGCAATTTGAGAAACTTTTTTTTTTTTTGAGACAGAGTTTCACTCTTGTTGACCAGGCTGGAGTACAATGGCACCATCTCAGCTCACTGCAACCTCCACCTGTCGGGTTCAAGTGATTCCCCTGCCTCAGCCTCCTGAGTAGCTGAGATTACAGGCACCCACCACCACACCCAGCTAATTTTTGAATTTTTAGTCAAGACAGTGTTTTTTCATGTTGCCCAGGCTGGTCTAAAACTCCTGTCCTCAGGTGATCCACACACCTTGGCCTGCAAAAGTGCTGGGATTACAGGCATGAGCCACCATGCCCGGCCCTGAGAAACTTTTAGAATCAACTTTACAAAGTTATACACAAAGATGTTCACCATGATATAATTTACACTAAAATAATATTGGAAAAAATAAGGCAATTGCATTCATGTGAATAATACAGTAGCCATTAAAATAGTGTGTTTGTAATTCTGTATGGGAAATGCTTATATAACATTAACATTATGAAAAGGATTAAATTGTATGCAGAACTTGCCAGCGAACCATGTTTATTTCAAATAAATTTTTTAAATACCAAGAATAAAGTTGGTTTAACGGTGAAATAATTTTTAAAATCTTCGTAGACTTTTAAATTTCCAGAATCTTCTACAATGACATGTTATATGTATTATTTTTAAAAATCCCAAAGAAATTCACTTCAATATACACATGCTTTCTGGCATTTGTGCTAGCAGCTAGACTGGACAAAGGAAAGAGATAGCACATGTTATTTACTTTGAAAGGGCTCACAATTTAGTGAAAGACAAGAAATAGAAACATAGTTAAGGCACAAGAAAATCTGAAGAGCAAGTGGGTTTGATTGTGCTAGAAAATAAGTAAATATATAAATATTTAACCTTGGCAATTGCAGAGGGAGAAATAATTTTTTTAGGAGATTTAGCAGATAAAAGGAGATTGACAAAGGAAAACATAGTTATCACCCTGTTGGAAAATAAGAGAAAAATGCCAGCTTATCCCATGTCACTGTAAATACAAATAAGAATAATTTCCAGGTTGAAATTCAACAGTTACTACTCCAGTAAGATTAAATAAGATGGAGGAAGATAGATTGGAGGAAAAACAGAGATATCCTTTGAATGTTCTTTACTCAAGAAATTTTGGAGTGGTTCTAATAAATTTATGATTTTATTATTCATCAATAAGTCTCACTTTGAGAATTCTGTTACAGTTGATCTGTGAATTAAACTTTTAGAAATACTTTATCGTCTCCTGCTGCCTACTATTATTTCCTAAATTATGATTTTGTTTACATTCTAGTTCTCAAAGTAACTATGTTATTATGGGAAAAAAAATCTCTTTCCTTTATTTGGTCTTAAGAAAGTCTAATGAGCATGGTCAGCGAACCAAGCACATAATGACTCCTTGTTTGGGGTTGATTTGTGTACGCAAAGTGATATGTTGAAGTCTTAACCCCCAGTACCTCAGAATGCAACCTTACTTGGAAATAGGGTCTTTGCAGATGTCCTCAAGTTAAGTTGAGATCATTAGGTGGGCTCTAATCTAATATGACCCATGGTCTTATAGGAAAGGGAAAGTCAGATTGACAGACACATACAAAAGAGAATGCAGAGACACAAGGCAAACAGCCTGTGCAAATGGAGGCAAAGGTTTAACTGATGTATTCACCAACCAAGGATGCCCAGGATTGCAAGCTATCAGCAGAAACCAGGAGAGAGGCAAGGCCTGTTCTTCCTCAACAATGTCAGAATGATTCAGCCCTGCCTACACATTGATTTCAGATGGTCAGCCTCCAGGATTGTGAGAAAATACACGCATGCTGTATTAAGCTAACCAGTTTGTGACATTTTATTAAGGCAGCATTAGTGATAGAGGCAGAAGGCAGACAAATGCCTAGGCAGATAGGGGCAGGTCCCCAGTGAAACCCGAATATCAAGTTGGAAACTGTCTCAGGTAAATCCTTGGACTGCATTGAGAACATGCTTTCCCATTTGGTGCACTTTTCTCTGATTGATCCCCATCCTTTACCTATTTTAAATATACCTACCCTTTCCTAATTGGGTTTCTACACTGTTGTCACCACCTTTGAGTGGTGTCTTCACTTGTACTGTTTTTGCATACTCACAAACCAATCAGTACACGCTCCCTATGCTGAGCCCATAAAAGCCCCAGGCTCAGCCATATTGGGGAACTTTCCTGTCTTCAGGTAGGAGAACCACCCCCCTGCATCCCTTCTTTTTGCTGAGAGCTTTCCTTTTGCTTAATAAATGCTACTCCACTCACTCAATCCTTGATGGCCACATACCTAATTCTTCTTGGTCATGAGACAAGAACCTGAACTTAGCTGAGCTAAGGAGCAAAAATCCTGCATCATTTTTGTGGCTAGTATGGAGATCAGAGGAATGGTAAGTAAAATGTGGACCTAAAAATCCTCTTTCACTTTTGTTTTCAAGGCTTCTCATCCTCAGACCTTTTTTCTGAAAACACATGGAGCACTGGGTCTCTGCTAGCCAATTAAGAATGAATGGCACACCTGTAGAGACTGCTACCCACCCCCTATTACCATCAAGGGTTGGGAATGTTGGCCCTGTTCCAATCCTGTGTGTGTGTGTGTGTGTGTGTGTGTGTGTGTGTGTGTGTTAGACAGTTTCCCCAGCTGGAGTGCAATGGCATGATCCCAGCTCACTGCAACCTCTGCCTCCAGGGTTCAAGTGATTTTCCTGCCTCAGGCTCCCAAGTAGCTGGGATTACAAGCACATGCCACCATGCCCAGCTAACTTGTAGTTTTAGTAAAGACAGGTTTCATCATGTTGGCCAGGCTGGTCTTGAACTCCTGACCTCAGGTGATTCACCCGCCTCAGCCTCCCAAGGTGCTGGAATTAAAGGCGTGAGCAACTGTACCTGGCCCCAATCCAGTGTTCTTTTATGTCATTTTCCCTCTTCCTTTCAGGGCTGTTATGGCACCTACCTTTTTTTAACGATATTGGGGATGTTATTGCAAACTGCCAAGATATTACTAGATAGAATGAGCCTTTGGCCCAGGCATCAGATATGCAATTCAGAACCATGCAATTTCTGTCTGTTTTTATAGGCATCCCCAACCCCTAACTTACTGGCCTCAGGCAGCACGAGATGGATGGGTGAGTGGTAGCTCCCTGCTGCTACCCCATCCCCTCCCAGCTGGGGCTCATGGCCATGTCTGCTTCATGCACACACTGCATACAATAGCCATGCGGGGCTAGAATGAGCTGCAGCTGCCACCCGGGCCACAAGGTGGTTTCAGGGGCTAAGGACCCAGTGTGTCTGGCTGGCTAGTTTTTCCTGTTCGCTGTCCCTTCCTGCCTCGTGCCCACGGAGTATTTCCTCCTATGGCTGAACCAGGAAGAGGGTACAAACAATTATGAGTTTTCCACCATGTTGGAGGAACCCATTTGAAAAAAGCCGGAGGCTTTTGTTCCTTCAGCCATCTTCCTCACCCTGCACTAAAGCTGTCTTTTTTTTTTCCCTTTTCTCCACCATGTCAGGAGTTAACACATAGCCCTGTGAATACAGACAGCTTTTCTATATGAGAGGTTATTTTTTCCTTTTGAAAGGCATCTTGCAAAGCCAGGACCCCAATTCACAGGACTGCTTTTTCTCTCCCTTGTTTCAGGAGGGCCACCTGGGACTTAATGAGTCCATGAACCATTCTGAGGCACATTTTTGTCCCAAAGTCAATTACAAGCTTTGGGTTGAAGTCCTAGCAAGGAAAACTGGATCCAGAGGCCAGATGACAATGGAAGTCAAAAGGCACAGTGCAGGTGAGCATGACTAATTCCTGCCGATTAGCCACCTCATCCCATCTCATGGACAGAGAACGTGCTAGCATCCATGGCATAGGTAAGGTTTAGGGAACTCAAAAGTTACCAACAGCAGGAAGAATAGGCAGCACGTGGGTGAATGTGGATAATTCCCACCCCTATGCCTCCCTGTTAACATGGGTGAAAGCCACAGTGGCACCCATGGGTGGAACCCTGCCAAGGTCGCTGGGACTCAGGGATATAAGGACAGAAGAAAGGGGGACACTTCTTCTTTCTCTCCCTCACATACCCAGTTATTGACTGGGAAGAGAAAGAAACTAGGAACACCTTGTTCCCTTCTTTCTGGATGGGTAACCAATAACTTTCAGTCTGTATTTCACTCAAATGCCTCCTGAATCATTGTGATTCCTTTGGGGAAAAGAAAAGCCTTATTTCTCCTTTGTCCTCATCTGTCCTCAATTTGCAAATGGGTAATTGTATCCCGTACCATGGAACACTACCCTTGGACACATCCCCCAAACTGAGAAAAGTTAATTTCCCCAAACCTTAAACTGCTTGGCTTAAAATTGAACTCGGGGGAAGGGAGCCCAGAAGCATGACATGCTGGCAAAAGAGTAAAAGTTCTTACCAGTCAGACATCTGGTCTCCCTCTCACTGAACACACCTGTTGAATGAATGATAAAATCACTGTTTATATCCTATGTAAAGTTTTGATTAATGGGAAAAATTTCTGAGGCTAGTCTTCAGCTGTAGCCAATCTGGTGCACATTGTGTGTCTTTCTGTATGGTTATGTCATGAAGAGGGGTACTTAAGATAGAATGGGGGCCTAGGACCCCATAAGCCCACTGTTCAAGCCAGCCTGCCAAACTGGTCATTAAAAAACTTTGCTGCAGGTCTCCATCTTGTTTTATGTCCTTGGAAGCTTGATCCTCTAATCACATGGCAGCACTTTCTTTTGATATCCACTTTTTTTACAATGTTGGCCCAGGTTCAATCCTGGCTTAGGGAATGACTGCTTTCTGGTTAATACCTGTGTGACCTTTGCCATTTGCTGATTCCCTTCCTCTCCGTGAACAACTTCTAGCTTCCTTTTTAAAAATATTCCTTCTTCTGAGCTACCTTTACAAATCTAGATTTTGTAAAAACTGCTTATCACCTTTTTGAAAATATCTTCTACACTCATGGTTAACTCATAACCTTAGTCGAGGCTTGTTGGTTTCACCTGTGACATTACTTTTGGTAAAGTTCAAAAGCTGGAAACATTGGCCAGTTGACATAACTAAAGTCAGGTAACAAGGAGTTTAAAGGGATTTTCTTAAAAAGCAATCAGCTTAATTAAAGTGAATATCCAAGCTATAGGTATATTTAAAAGGCCTTTATGTTTTTCTCTTCCTGGATCTTGTTTTTGTGGAAAAGATTTTTTTCTCTGTCTACTGAATTGCCTTTCTCCATTTTGTCTTGCCACTCTTAATGCATGCATGAGAGGCCCTAAGATAACTTCTGATGGACTGGGAGACTCCTGGAGAAAAACAAAGAAGGTGCACAAAACCAATTTTGGGGAAAACAAAAACTTCTCTTTGCCTCATGGAACCCCAGGAATTAAAAGCAGATAGATCTCTCTCAAAATCTGTTTTTGTCTTCCAGCTATATCTGCTTATTAGGCTCTATTAAACCACATGCTTTCCTAGCCCTGTTTCTTGGAGGGCTTCACCCTGCAGCCAATAATTCAATTAGGAGATTGACAGATGAAAAATCTTACAACTATTGGATCTTCTTCTGTCTTTCTGTGTATTTATACGTGTGGTGTGTGTGATGTTTATAAAGAAGAGCTCTAATTAATTGGTCTAGAGAAAAATAAGTATTTAGATCAAATATTTTTGAAGGAAAAATAAAAGCTATAACACCTTTTAGTTCATGTGACTTTAATGTTTGAGAAATACAAACATTTTTAAAGATAATTGGTAAAATACAGATGTCTTCAAAATGTAAATATGTGTTCTAAATTAGGGGTGGTCAAATACTCGGTTTGCGAAATGTTTTAAGGATACAGACTGCTTCTTTGGCTTTTGAGAACTGTTCAACTTGCCTGATTTACAATTTGATAAGGCCTGGGGACATACGGAATTAACTACATTCTTAAATATGCTGGAAAGAGACAGACTTCATTTGTGCCTAGTACATAATTAAAATAACTTAGCAGGTTTTACACTAAAGTTAAAAATTGCTAAGAGTTCCCATTATAACATGTAATTGAGACTGCTGAAAATAAATTTACATGCAAAGCGTGTAAGAAAAGTAAAATGTGTTTGTAGTGAAAGATTATAAGAAGGCATGGGAATGTAAATTTTTGCCTAGTTTAGAGGGTTAAAGGATTGTTTTGAATTAGATAAGATAAAGCTGAAACTTGAAATAAATTATGGAAGGTTTGTAAAAATTAGTCTTACAAAATAAATTGTATGTGTGAACATATTGACTAACTTCAAAAATGCATTATATGGTTTTGCCATAAATTGAACATCAGAATAAAAGCACAACAAGGTTGTATTAGGGTACTGATCTACTCTTTAACAAACATTTTTAAAGGGTTATACAAAGTTTATGAGAATCTCACCTCGTGGACAAACTGGTTAAGATTGGGTAGAATTATCTATAAAGTTTCGTTTTAAAAAATTGGGTTGACATTAGTAGTAGACTAATGAAAGGGTGATATTTGGCTTTCTCCCCATTGATTTTCATGTAATAATAAAGGATAAGGAAAGATTTTGGTTTGCCTTGCAAATATACTACCAAAAAAAAAAAGAAGAAAACAAGAGATAGACTAGTTGGAAAACTAAGTCCTCCCTCTTAATGAGTAAAGGTTTTTGCCTTGTTTAAACATGTTTGAGTCATTATTTTGGCTAAAATAAATAACTTATAGTAATCTGGAATTCTAGTTCATAATATCAAGTGATTTGAACCTCTAACATATTTAATGGGCTTCCAAAAATCAAACTTCAGCTTCAAAAATTGTCTTTCCTGACCCCTGAGTTTTGGATGATGCAGAGGGCCCCTGGAGCATCTAAGAGTGAGGTAACCAGAATTATTTCACATGTTTAGTCATGTGGGATTGCCAAAATAACAATAATATTTGACCTTCTTCAGGTTACATTTTAGTGAGTAATGTTAATATATGTTCCAAAATTATATAGGAGTTCTAAAATTCTAATGTTCGAGTATATGCTATCAATCATAATTAAGGTTACTAGGTTCAGTTAATGTAAACCACGGAAATAACCAAATTTCTTTGTCAATCATGTTTTCTATTGTAACTACCCTGGACCTTTTGTCATTCACAGACAATTATTGTCTTGTTTGATCCTTTTCAAAATGTGGTTTATAAACAGGTATAGGACTTTTACAGGTGTTCTCAAATGCAGGTTTCTGATAACCTTGGAGATTGTGACATTGGAAAAACCTACCAGACTCATGAAGAGTTGATATATTCATGAATATCAAGCAGAACAAGAGTTAACAGAATGGACTGAACTAACGGAAAACTGAAGTAATCTTTTTAACCTTTTTGTTTAAAACGTTGCTAATCCTTGTTTTGTTTATCAGTGTCAAGGAAACTTATTTTGAGTTTTTTACAGTCTTTAATAATTGAGTAAGGTATATTACTGTGAATAAAATTTGGAGCATATTTGTTTCTTTCTGTCTGGCTTCTCCAGAATTTGGAAACTATCTATGAGTATTCCTAACTTACAGAAATATAGTTTTTTGCATCAGTGCAGTAAGAATCCATTTTCTTTTGCAACAGGAGACAATTGGAAAAACTGATTGTTTTATCAAGGCTTTGACTAAAATTATATGTTTCCCTTTAAGTAATCAAGCTTGACTTGCAGAGCTAATTAAACCCCCTTAGGAAAACTGGCCTCATACTTTGTCTACACAGTCCCTGTACAGGGTTCCTAACCTGTGATGAGTACAGAATGTCACTTTCTGACAAGACCAGGAGCCCCATGTTCTTGGGACCTCAAGAAGAGAGAGATTTACCCAACTCATAGTTATTTGAGGGTACAAACTCATGGCTGGGCTAAGCTTTAAAAGGTCTCTCTGAGATTCCTTGTGTTACAGAGTTCCATCAAAGCCAATTTAAAAGCCTATATGAAAAATAATTATTCTTGCTGCACTTTATGCAAATAATCAGGCCAATTGTAAGACTAAGGTTTATTTTGCAGAAAACTTAGTCCTATCATTATTTGTTTTTGAGAAATAAAATGAGGACTGGAGAAAGAAAGATTATGTTTCAAAACTTATCATACACTTGTCATTAAATTCTAATCTTATCAGTTGTTTTTAAATTTTTACCTACATTTTAGGCTAACCCTGCTTATTCCTGTGAACCAACGGTGATCTCCAGCTGTAGCTCTGAAGAAACAAAAGGGATGGGCCATCAAACTCCAAATGGTCATGCAACTGGAACATTGGACGATGGCTACCTTTTACTGGGGACCCTGAGATAGGCCTGCCTATCTGACTGCTGTTTTTGCAAAACAGCGCCCCCTGTCAGCAGGGGGCAGTTAAGATCAGTCTTCATCCCTATGCTAACAGCACTTAGATGTACCTCTTCAGAGAGGAAAATGATAGAGACAGGAGGCAGACAAATGCCTAGGCAGATAGGGGCAGGTCCCCAGTGAAACCCAACCTTTAAGCTGAAAACAGTCCAGGGTAAATCATCAGACCAGATTGAGAACCCACCTTCCTGTTTGGCATGCTGTCCTCTGATTGATCCCCATACTTTGCCTATTTTACATATACCTACCCTTTCCTAATTGGTTTTCTACACTGTCATGCCAACCTTTGAATGGTGTCTTTGCTTTGACCATTTTTTGCATACTCACAAACCAATCACCACACACTCCCTATTCTGAACCCATAAAAAGTCCCATGCTCAGCCATATTGGGGAACTTTCCTGTCTTCAGGCAGAAGAACAGCCCCCTTGCATTCCCTCTGTTTGCTGAGAGCTTTCCTTTCACTTAGTAAATTCTACTCCATTCACTCTTTGATGTCTGCATGCCTAATTCTTCCTGGTCATGACACAAGAACCCAGACCTAGCTGAGCTAAGGAGCAAAAATCCTGCATCACTAGTATCTGATACACTCCTCAAGGAAGCTGAAAAATAATTTATTTAAATAACTTTCCAAATGGAAGTCATCAGGAGCATCCAGGAGAACTCTGCCTATGGTATTCCTCAGAAGGTTCTCTACCATGGCTTAGATGGCATTGAGGGCCTTGGAACCTTCATAAAAGCCTTATCCCAGGTTGCTTGGCTAAATGACACTTCAGTTAACCTGCTGCTTCCCCTCAGAACTGTCAGAGATTTTTTCAAACAAAGACCCAAAAGGAGGTAAGTAGACTTCCCCTCCTTTTTAATGCACAATGATACACATTAATTTTATCAGAAAATGGGAGAATGTGGGTTTTGGCAGTGAGCCACAGGCCTTGTGGGCTGCAGAGTTTCCCCTTTGCGGAGGTTTTACAGAGTCTGTTTTCTTAGTTTGTTGTACTTACAATGTCAGTGTCCAGCTGCTCTGACTAATTGAGGCATCCGGCTTCAGATGGCCCAGGATCATTTGTGCTTAGGTGTACATCTTATTTTGTCAGCGTGATTCACTTCCACTCCCAGACCTGGCCATAGGAAATTAGCTTGCTCCCAAATGAAGATGAAATCAATAGCTATTTCAGGTCCCAGGGTTTTAGTTAACAAGATATTTTATTAAATTACGGTGGTATATGATGGAGATGTTCTCAGTTCTTATCAATTATGAATGACCTCCTTTTTGAGAAAACAAGATGTGTCTTCTGGAGCCAGAGATCAGCCAGCCACATTGCTGTGTCTGCAGCTACTGGCATCCTGAGTTAGCAGACAAGCAGACTTGGCTTTCATGATCCATGCTCTAATCTAATTCAATTAACAATCCACTGCTCTCATTCTGAATAACTGAGGAAGGTAGATCTCTGCAGAGTAGATCTTGGCCTTCACAAAGGCCTACAGAAATTTCCACTTAATCCCAGCATCCTGGGAGAAAGCAGGGCATGAATTCTACAGGGCTAGCTAAAGCATGGGGACTAACTGGGTATTCTGGATGAACAAAGATTTAAACCATGTTAGATCAACATTATTATTCCTAATAATGGCAGTGATGGTATGCTAATAGCTGAAATTCTGGAGGTCTTTCTGCCCAAGGCCCTGGGATAAGTGTATGTCTCACTTAGTCTTCATTATGACCTATGAATTGGAAAGTATCACCGTCTCTATGATTTTTGGACTTAGGGTTGAAGATACTGAGTCTCAGAATGGAAAAGTGATTTCCCAAAGGCCAAATGGCTATTTATTGTCAGTGCTAGAATTTAAGGCCAGATCTGTCCAATTCAGAAGCTCATAGTCTCACCCATTGTGATCTAGTCCTCTAACACTTCTTCTAACACCCCAGGTTAATGGGGTTCTGAGGAACCTGTGCTGGAGGACCTGAGTTCCAACAGCTATTTTTTTGATATTTGGTGTCTATGATCTCATTGAAAGCCTCTGTTTGATTTCAGATTGTTACGTGTAAAGGGGGAGATGGAGCAGGGTGAGAAATGTCTGACTGGACCACCAACAGATAAAAGCACACATATGGGAAGAGGAAGTCCAGATTTCATGGCATGTCATAAGGTACTAGAGCAAAGCAGTAGGTTTCATTTGTTATTTTGTTTTGTAGATTTTTTTTTAAAAAGATCCTCTAGAAAATTCAAGATTTATCATAGTGGACTAAGGGAGAATATTTTGTTTGTTTGTTTATTTGTTTTCAGTATCAGCCACTCTCAGTGATCAGATATAGTATTAAACAACAATTATAAAAGAATAAGATCTGTTCAGTCCTCTGTGGGATAGTATAGAGCAAGCCTTAACAATCCCATTTGCAACTGAAGAAATTGAGGCTAGAATGCTAAGCAAACTGCCTAAGGTCAAGCAACTGTTTTTAATCAGCAGAGCTACCCATGGTTCTTGTGTCTGCAGTTCCAGATGCTTCTTTCTTGTAGCTCAGCAGCAAAGAAAGAGACCCCAAGGATAAGGTGCTGGGGAAAGGTCTTTTCCTACATGCAGAGTATATGGGACAGACCAGAGTTGAACATTCAAGCTGTGGCCCTAAATCATTCTTATTTGCTCTATTTTGTATATGGAACAGTTTGAACTGTGTATTGTTCAGCTCACTTTCCTGGGAAGGAGCATGGAGTAATCAGACAGAATAAAGGGTACTCCATTGTTTTGCTGGCCAGTAATGATAGAGAGCTCTGGTAGAGTCTGCTTTTAATAGAGGCAATGTAATAGGCAAGGCTTTTTGTATTGGTAAATGTCAGATGCCAGGCTTTCTCTAGGGGTGAAGCAGGGTGGGGTAAGTGGAATGTTGAGATGTCAGTGCACAGGGATCTTTTTTGCTTATGAGGTCACCATAAGTGATGCAAATTACCAGAAAATCCAGTGGCTGTATGATCACATATTCTGCTTCTAACAGTGGCAGTTGTTTCATAATAAACTCATTATAAAGACAACAGTTCCCATCATTGCCAGTTGATTAGAAAAACAACTCTGATTATTTTTTGTTTCAAATTTTTGGGAGGTGAATCTTAAGCTAAGCAGAAGGAAACAATCTAGTATTTGAGAGCTGGACTCATGTTGCAACTAGTCTAGTGTTATGAAAAACTCATATATGTGGTTTCTGCATATAAGAAGCTTACAATCTAAAAGAGGAAAGGAGTCTTAGACCTTTGTAACAACTGGAGAAACAGGGAGGTGGTTTGCTAGAAAATGCAATCAGAATTGGATGATAAAAACCTTCCTTTGTCACTAACAAGTATATTATGGTACATAAATATATAGGCTTCACAGCCAGATTCAAGTGAGTTTGCATTCCATTTTGACCACTTTTTAGCTGTGCTCCCCTATGTGTATTTATTAATTCTGAAAATTAATTTTATTACCTGTAAAATAAAGATTATTAACTGACTAATAGGATTTTTGTGAGGAGAACATTAGACAATGCAGATAATTTTTAGGTTGGATGATTTATGTGCAAATTTAATTCTGTCAATATTGCAACTTAAATACACATATAATAAAGAGAAATTAATATATATTTTTCTTACTAAGTATTCTAAAACTCATAGTTTAGTCAGAATAAGAGGGGGAACTATGTTAAAGATATGTTAAAGAAAAAAATCAATTCAATTCAGAGTGTTGTTAATAGGACCAATTATATCTCAATGGGCATTATGAGAAATGATTTGCACTTACTCTTACAACTCATTTTTTAATGTGATGCCTGACAATATAACATCCTAACTACTGAATCGGAAGTAGATTGACATGGAAATATAATCCATCCTTGTCTTTCAAATGATCAGCTAACAAACAAACAACAGTTGATGGATCTGTATTGCAGAGTACATAATTCAAAATTGCATTTAAAAAGCCTTTCCTAATTTCATGTACATAGCGAGTACAGTTTGCTATTAAATTTATGTGTTTCATCCTGTTAAATACTCCTCTGCTGAATTTTTCTCACTCATTTCTCTGAGAACACAGTTCATCTTCAGGCTTGTCAGGTGCTCTTTCCCCAGGTCCTGATGGACATTAAATCTGTCAGGGAGAGGCATATTAAATTTGACTACATGTTTAAACAGTGGCAGCCTGAAGCTCTTGAGTCACAGTGGCACTGAAGGTGACATATTATCCCTCATGTGCCATTTTATACTGGAAGCTCTCATAGCTGTTTGGTCCCCACCATTCCAATTAGAAATGAGTGGGATGACATTTGCAGTTTCTGTTTCTCTTTAAGGGGTCCATCTTCTAAAGCAGAAAAGTGACATAAACCTCGGGGTACATTGCCAACTGTTCAGGCACACAGTGCTCCTTTTCCACCTTACTTTTCCGTTGGGGTGGGAATAAAGGAACCCAGAATTATGTGATTGCACATCTCCAGGGCAAGGGGACACTCATTCTGACAGCTACAAAGCATGCCTTTAGAAATTACTAAGAGTTGGTTTAAAAACTGTCATCCAAGGAACAAGGCAGAGATGTTTGTTCCCAAAGTTGACAGCTTCTATCTGGTGATCCTGAAGAGTTCTAATGTGGTCGAATCCAGCACAGCTTTCCTCTAATACCCTCTGTTTTGCAATTAAAGTCATGCAAACTCATTGAATGACAGTATTTTAGCAAACTGAACTGTATAAACAAGGGATTGTTTTCCATCCTTCTAGCAAACAGTATTGACACATCAACTCTGATAAAAATAAAAGAGATTGTGGTTTTTGTGAAATATACTTGACTGAAAGTTCCTAGCACAGTACTTGGTACTAAATAGGTGTTCTGTAAAAGGATCCCCCTCTGTCTTCATATAGGGCACTCTGCGTCCTTCCTTTCTGAGATTCTGAAGACCCTTTTAGTGACTGACAGAGACTTCCTTCCTCAGCAGAAGTTAAGGTTCAGGAAATACCTTTCTACTTAATAGTCAGGCAAATGACCACCTTAAATAGGAAGGAAACATTATTGCTTTGTTAATGCTGAGGGAATCCCGGTTAACTTTCTATCAAACTTATGTGGACTTCTAGCTTAGTATCACCCAATTGTCCCCTATAACAAGATATTCTATCTTAGAGTAGGATGGTTAGGCTGAGATGGTCATTTTGCTCTCTTTACCAGCTCTATCATGTAGGACAAGCTAACTAGCCTCTGAGCTGCAGTGTTTTTGTGTTTTTTAAATTTTTAATTAAAAAATGTTTTTTGTTGAGATGAGGTTTCCCTGTGTATCTCAGGTTGGTCTCAAACTCCTAGGCTCAAGCAAGCCTCTCCTTCTCCAGCCTTCCAAAGTGCTGGGATTTCAGGTGTGAGCCACCATCCCTGGCTGTGTTTTTGTGTTTTATTGTTATATTTTTCATGTGAAATAGGGATCAACATCCTTGGTAAGGTAAGGTGAGGATTAAGTGCTGGCATAAGTAAAGGCACAATAAATGATAATTTGACTTAAAATATTGTAATAGTTAATTTTATGTGTCAACTGGACTGGGCTATGGGATGGCCAGGTATGTGATTAAACATTTCTAGTGTGTCTGTGAGGGTATTGCTGGAAGAGATTAACATTTAAACCTGTAGACGACATAAAACAGATCACCCTCCCTCATGTGGGAAGGCTTCATTCAATCCTGTGAAGAGGTAAATAGAATAAGAGCCTGAGTAAGGAAGAATTCTCCCTCTGCCTGACTCTCTTCAAGTGGGAATATTGGTTTTCTCCTGATTTCAGACAGACTCAGACTGCAATTTACATCATCAGCTCTCCTGCTTCTCAGGCCTTTGGACTAGTCTTAGAACTATACCACTGACTCTCCTGCATCTATACTTCTCAGCCTCCAAAATCGCCTGAGCCAATTTAAATTTATCTTCTACTGATTTCTTGTCTTTGGCGAACTCTGCCTAACACAAATATTATGACTTAAAATACATTTATTTAAGGTAAACATTTTACTTTCTCCACACAGCCTTACTATTAAGTCAAAACACCACTAAAATATGCTATCATGAGTTATCAGTTGGTCATTATAAATATTATAATGGATTACTTTGCCAAATGAGAGGACCCCATGGTGGCCATCAATGAGGGGGTAGAGGAAGGAGTAACCCACAATATTTTGGAATGTCCTGTGACAAACTTTTGCTTGTGTAAAATGAAAAAAAAAATTGTGCCAAATTTTGCAGAATTTCCCAAGTCTCAAAATATCTCTATTCATTAAGGAGAAATCTATACAGTGACTGATACTTTATTACAAATTTGTATGAAAATAAAAAATATCTGAGCCTATCATATGCAAATAAGAAGAGAAAATCCAACATTATTAGCTGAATAGCAAAAAGTCACAAAACTGGAGGCTCTAGTCATCATTATTGAAAGGAAAAAAAGATAAAGAAAAACAAAATAAAAAATTAGCCAGTTCTCTGTCTTTGAGTTTCTCTAACTAAGAATATTTGAGTTTGAAGAGGTTTCTCAATAAGTCCATTAAATATAAAAATCCCACTAATTATATTATTTCCCCAGATTTGAGTTTCAAGAGATTTTAGTCGAATAGGAATGGGCATAGTAGCTGGAAGTAAGGCTTAGAATCAATTTCTGGTTTCAAGTAGCAAATTTAGGACTGCCTAAGTCTGTGATTCTAGCCAAAGCTTTTTCGTCCTTGAAGCTTCAGTTTTCTCATCTGTGAAATGTGAAAAATAATAGCCCTAACCTTATAGGATTGTATAAGAAGTAAATGAGATAGTGCAAGTATATTTATGTAGCCAAATTTTGATGTATGGTAAGAACTGAAGAAATATTATCAATATTATTTCTAATCAATCAAACAGGAAGTAGACATTACAGGCATGACCATACAGAAGATATTGCTCACAAAATCAGCATCGACATCAAGTAGATTCTATTATCATTATTCTAGATAAATTAACCAGCAGTCAAGTATTGGGCAAAAGAGCTTGGATGCTTGATGAAGAAAGATTAAGTGTGCTCAGAAGCATTGAGAAGCTATGAAAATAAAACCGAAGAAAATATAGCCAGAAACAAAGGCCTTCCAGGGAAGAAGCTTCCTAAATAGAAGCCCTCTCAATGAGCCAAAGAATATCCAAGGGAAAATGACATTCTCTAGTAACAGAAGATACTAATTCTAGGGTTTCTGCACTAAACAGAATATCTAGGATTTTAGTACTTGTGTCCTCAGCAGGAAAGGCAAGTGCTTCATGGCTAAACACAGCCCTGGAACAGGAAACTGCATACTTTCATGAGCACTGATTTTGCTAATCCGATATAAGAAAATCATATACATGTGGCAAATAGGAGTATGCACACTGTCCCTTAAGATCCAAATAAGTGTTTGAAAAAACTCTTAGAACCTTCAAATTATGCAAAACACTGCAAAAATGCTAAATGCTTCTAACACTCACCACTAATGATAATGCGATTTCTTGCTGAAGCTCTTCCTTAGGTATTTTATGTTCTCTATTGAGAAAATATCATTATTTTTACTTACAATGTTTATGGAGAAATACTGACCTAAATTAACACCAAAAGAAAATAATTATTAAAAGCAAGGACATCTTTCCCTCTATATTTTTAAAGTAGCTAGTCTCCCAATGTGGACCTATTGAGGAACTATGTCTCCCAATACCAATGCACTGTGTAATTCTCTTTACCTGGAATTTGGCCAGGCTTATCACTTGCTTTTGACCAATAATATATTGCAGAAAAGGCATCTTGTGACTTCGAGCCTAAATCATAAGATATTTTTCAGCTGGTGTCTTGGTGTTTCAAAATGTTTATCTATATAGCTTATAGGTAGGAAGTACAAATACTCCGAAAATGCCATGCTCTGAGGAAGCTCAAGCTGGTCACATGGAGATGTTACGTGAAGAAAGAGAGATGGCCAACTAGTCAACAATTGTTCCACCCCTTCCAAATGAGGTGCCAAACATGTGAGGGAAGAAGCTACCTTTGTTTTTCATACCATCAGTGTCTTTAGCTAACTCCAACTTCAACATGTGACACCCTGCCTATGAACTGTCTTGCTGATCCCAGCCAACTCACAGTTGGTAAATTACATAACATCTTCTTGTCTTAGTTTTCTGTTCTCTAAAATGAAGATAATAGTAGTACTTACTCTTACGCTTAGTAGAATAATTTATTATTAAAAATAAATACTACCATTAAAAAGGAAATAAAGAAGAAATAGAGAAATAAAAGTGAAAAAAAGGATATAAAACTACCCTGAAATCACTACTTTTTTAGTACTAAGACAAGACATGTTGCAATGAATCCTTCTTGGAGTTAAGGAGTTTACTAAAGGAGTCTTTTCTTGTTTTCTGAACTTCATGGAAAATATCATTAGCAAGAAAACTGTAAATTTGAGAAAACCCAACAGCCTCCTTCTGGGAGCCAATGCCACAGAGACCATTAGAGGAGTGACAAGCAATTTTTGTTAAGGTCTGTATGTGTGCATGTGCATATGCTTGTGTATCTCTGTGTGTATGCATGCGTATGTTCAAAGAAAATGAGTTTTTCCAGAGATAGACATAAAGGGATTCCAGAGCTCATCCTCTCCAGCAAATAGAATCTACAGCAGAATGCTTTGGTATGTGTTAGGGAATTAAAGGCATAATTATGGAGGGGAGCTGTAGGAAAAAGTGTGGTTACAGCGAAATAGAATAATAAAGGTTAAATGATTATCATTAGTCAGTGTCACTGCACATTTCCTTAGATCTATAAGGAGAAACAGTTCCGCCCCAGCCTCTGTCTACTGTTATCAATTCTCACTGGCCTTAGACAATTAGTTTTAAGGGTAGCACCTCTCATTATTTGGGGTCTAGAGAAAAACATAATGAAATGACCACACTTTTTCATCAAGTCAGTGCTTCTCATAAACTTAAAACAATCAACATGTTTTGTCTTATCATAGTGGGAGAACACAGCAGTCACATGCTGCAGAATATATAAGGTAGTTGTAAATTTTGTTAGGTATATCAGGATACTGCCAAAAGTAAAACAGGATACTATTACAAATTTCTTTATAACCTGCTCCAAAAACTTGGACTGTTCCCTGCAAGCAGGATGGATGGATCCCTTAAGGATAAGACGACCAGCTGAAGCAGGGAGTTAACATGGTTAGAGCTGCTCCTCACGGGAATCTATAACACAAAGAAGCAAGTATGTCTTTTCCATTGGTTAAACATCTTCTTGTGTAATATAATAAAGAGAATATAAGTAAAATCAATATATATTAACACCAAGAAGCAGGAATATCTGGCAAAAATCTTCAAGCAATTTCTCTATACAGAAAAGTTTTAAATTCCCATGATAAAGGAAACTAAAGTGCAGCAAAATGTTATTTCACCACAAGAGAAGAGTTACAATTTCTAAACTGTCTAGGGCCCCACAGTACGGCAACTCCTAGTCTGATATGACTCCAGTCTACTATCAGAATGACTTGGGTGGAAGAAGAGGTAGAACTTCAGCCACAACAGAATAGGTAGCTTCAGTTGTTACCTGAAGAAACCTTGAAGAAAACTTCTTCTGTCCCCTGATATCTCCCTTATTATCTTACTGTGGGGTCTGCATTTTCTGCCTTCAGTTGCTGATTTGAGGAATGGGCCCTATTAAAATTCAATAGTGTTGCTTGGAAAGGTTGATGTTTTGTGTTTTGGAATAAGTACTTGGAAAGGAGTCAAGAAACTGAGTCCTAGCACCAGGCTTGTCAGGACAATCTAAGTATCACTGAACATTTTTGAGCCTCAGTGCTCTGTCCTTTTTAAAAGTTTGGTATAAAGATAAATGAGAGAAAATATTAGAAGAAAACATACAACAGAACCCCCAAATTTTTAAAATAGTAAATATTATATATGTATATACACACACATATATATACACACATATACATATATATATATATATATATATATTTATGGTTACAATAGTATAATATGGTTATACTATCCACAGTTTTCAATGTGTAATTTGGACATTGGCTCAGATAAGTACACGAAGTAAACGGGTCATATTTCTATGACCTTAGCTGAATTTCTTAACCTTTCTGAGACTCAATTCCTATATATTTAAAGTGGAGTTAATAACTCAAATTACCTTTTAGGTTTATTAATGGAATTATGAGACAGCCTGTAGAGTTTGGCCTGTCATTTGGCTTAACAAAGTCATTTAATAAATGTCAGAGGAAAAAGGTTTTTTTTTATTTTTGTTTTTCTTTTTTTTTTAAGAGAAAAGTTTTCATGAAAATAGAGGTCTGTGGAAGCACAGTAATGGGCCATTTCTTGCGCAGGGAGGGCATGAATGGGATTCAGTTCTGGAGAGCCAGGGCAACCCTCCAAGGACATGATAAATACTCTAAAAGGAAATGGCAGAAAAAGCAGGCTCTCTTCTGTCAGATTTGTAACTAAGCCATCCCTGCCAACCTCATTTACACAAAGGTTTAACGTCATGCTAAGCATTGTGTGCAAAATGTGATGTATCACAGTTCCATTGTGGTTAATAATGTGGGCTTTGGATGCTCTGCTAGGAACGTGCTGAGTGACCATGGCTAGTTACTTAGAGCCTCTTTGTGCCTATTTCTGTGTCTTCCAGAATGAAAAAGGACTTTATTTGTGTGTGATGTGTGCTTCCCACAAGACCTGTTACCAGGAGTAAGCTCTTAATAAATGGTAACTGCTATGATTACTATTTTTCTTGTCCTCACAGAGTTTACATTAGAGATGGAGGGACAAAGCTAACCTACACAAAATAAAGACCCAAGAGTAGAATAAATAATTAAAGTACAAAATTATTTATTGATTTTATACATAAATATTTACTGAGCAGCTACTGTAAATCAGGCGGTGTGCTGATAGCTGGGAGTAGTGTGATGAATTCACTATCTATGCTGTCTGTCACATAAAATTTACATTCAGGTGATGCTGATAACTCAAAGATTCTTCAGTCCCTGTTACAGATGAGCCTTATAGTTTCCTACAACAACACACATGCACACATGCATCTGTTTATCTATCTATTATCTATTTATTATCTACCTATCTAATCTATCATCTATATATCAAAAAAGGGAGGATTGTTGCTGAAAGCAATATTTTTTCCCTAAAATAATCCATATCTCAAATAAGCAGAAATATTTATGAAGGTGATTATTAGCTCTAGTTCATCCCTTTTCTAGTTAATGTAATTTATGAAACTTGTATATCACTGAAGACAAGCAGCTGAAGCAAGGACTAATGCTGCAGCACTCCCACTTAATGCTAAGATTTAAAATATCAAGGCCACACTCTGGTATCCATGAGGCTTAATATGCCTCCATGGATATACAACAGCACAAGTGACTAGTATGGATTCCTACCTTTGTGATGGATGTCAAACCTGTGCCTATAACTTGGAGGCCTCCCTCTCTGACCAAGCACCTGCTATAGATGATACGACCCTAAGGGCTTGAGAGGAAGGAAAAACAAATCACTCTTTCCCCTACTACTTTTTGGCTACTTACACTGCTGTCTCCCTTCCCTGATTTTTAAAATCTTGTTTAAGGATTGGATAAAAGGTGATATCTGCTTCGCAATTTCTTCCAGCCCTACCCCTTGCGTGGTGGTGAGAAAACTAACAGGTAAATGCTTTTATTATTACTTGACTGAGACTAGAAACCAATAACAATGAAATGCGTAATTTTAAGGGTATAACCAAATAACTACTTCTCCAGAGAGTCAAAAGAGATGGAGGTTGATATTTGATATTATCAGACAATTTTTATTTATTTTTATTTTATTTTTAACTTTTAAGTTCAGGGGTACTCGTGTGGGTTTGTTACATAGGTAAACTTGTGTCATGGGGGTTAGTTGTACAGATTATTTCATCATCCAGGTATTAAGCCTAGTACTCATTAGTTATTTTTCTTGATCCTCTCTATCCTCCCACCCTCCATCTTCTGATAGACTCCAATGTGTGTTGTTACCCTCTATGTGTCCATGTGTTCTCATCATTTAGCTCCCACTTAATAAGTGAGAACATGTAGTATTTAGCTTTCTGTTCGTCTGTTAGTTTGCTAAGGATAATACACAATAGCAAAGACATGGAATCAACCTAAATGCCTGTCAATGGTAGGCAATATTTATTTACTTTAAGGACATTTATTATATAATTAACAGATCTTTTGAAATAAAGTCACGAGATATCTGCCATTCCTTTTAGAGATTGAAAGAAAAGTATTCCATTCTGCAAAGCCCTGAAAATAGTCCACCATTCAAAGTCAGCCTCAAAGCCTATTGTCATGACTATAACATTTTCTTCATCATCATCATCATCATCCTTTTCCTCCTCCTCATCGTCATTATCTTTCTCCTCAATTGATTAAACCTCTTTGCTATAGAATCCAATCCATTTTGAATTCTGTTGATGGGGACTGGATCATCTCTAGTATAGTGGACACTTATCCTGAAGAAAGAAACAGGACCCTGTGGCCCAGGCTGAACTCTGGATGAACTTCATCTCCAAGAGGGTTGCAGAATCCCCTTCTAGCTCCTAGCCTTCTCAGACCTTGGGGCAGCAGAGAAAGAAAGTCAGCACTAAAGGCTGTGTTTAGACAAGATGCCACCACTCTAAACAAGAGTTTTACACAACAGACTGTTGTCTTAAAAAGGTTACGTTATCTAAAGAGACATTGCATTTTGGTAGATAAGAGGACTATTTTCATTGTCAGAATATATCTGATGAGAAAAACCCAGAGAAGCTTTGGAAGTGGGAGAACAACATCCATTCATCAGTCTTCTTATACCTGTTAAGCTAGTAGCTTCAAAAATGCTGTCCTTTATTTTCAAAGATGACTTCTCATTGTATATATTTTCCCATTTACAGACAATTAAATTGACATTCAGAGACATTAAGGACTTGTCCAAGGCCACAAAGCCAATAACTAGCAGACAAATAATTCAAAGTCAGGTCTGACTCCTGTCCTAATGTTCTTTCCACCCTACCATGTGCCTCCAAAGACTTGCATACTGGCTCTAGCTCTGACTGAATAGCGACAGACACCATTTTATTCAGGACACAATTTTTCTCTAGAATCTCTGTTCCGTGAATAAAAGCAATGATTGGGCTAATGGAGTGCCAAGATTTCTTCACGCAATGAGGTCTTCACCATTTGGCCCAAAGTTTCAGTGCTGTGAGTGCTCAACAGGAAGGAAGTTAAGCTCAACCTACGCAGGGCCCCAAACTATCACCCATTATGAAAATTAGAACTGCCCTCAGAACTTTTAACCCCATAAGAAATGCTGAGGAAATGTACATAAGCCTACTATAAGCTTGGCTGGATCAAGTTGGGCTGGTGACACCAGACAACAGGATGTATTGAGGACATGGAGATTTTTCTGAAAACACAAGGAGCCTATGAGATTGTCCTATCCTTCAATCCTGATGTTTTAGATACCCTTCAGCCTGGGAATAGAAGAATTGCTCAGGAGGTATTTAGATATCTGTATTCATTTAAGACAATTTAAGGCACTGTCCTTTGGCATAAGCAAGAACCTGTAGGCTCAAAGAGTCATAACACCAACTATGAGCCATGTAGATAAGTCACTCAACCTGGTTAGGCTTCAGTTTCCTCGTCTGAGTGCCTGCTCTTCTCATTTCGATGTACAGGAGTCTAGTGATAAACATGAACGTATCTCAACATGCAAGCTTTGGGTGAAAAATTACAAAGGAAAATATGACCAAATTGAAGAATAAATAAGAATGGTTAAATGGTTGCTTGCTTTGATAATTTAAGCTTGCTCGGAGTAATATTCTCACTATATCTGTATCTATATACTTTCCTATGTTTATGTGGATATCATCTACATCATATTTATCTGGACAAAGAACGAGAAAGAGAGAAACCATATTTTTTGAGAGTTATTTTACATGTGTTTATAATTCTTACTTTGACCCTAAAACACAAATCAGAATCAACTGAAATGCTTATTTAAAAAGCTGATTTTCAACCAGATCTATTGAATTGGTGTCCTGAGTCAAAGGAATATGCAACTTAAATAATTACCCATGTGATTCTTACATGGGTAAAAATCTATGATTCTGATTCTAGATGTCCCACAGAGCTCACTTTGGGAAATGTTACAGCACTACCTACTTTACATGCTGTCCTTAGAAAATCAGGGAATATCAACATTTGGTCTGGCAAAAGCAGTTCATAAGTCTATGTCTATAGAATCAGGAAAAGCCTAGCAGCTCAGAACATTCCCTTTGGTGTAGTCAGCAATACCAGAGTTCTTAAGCCCTGAGACTTTCTATTGAGACAATACAAAATTTAGTGGTAAGGCAGCATGAACTCTGGAATTGGACAGTCTAAGACTGAATGCCAGGTTTAACAGTAATTTTCTGGGTGACCATGGAAGTGAGACTTACCTGCTTCATCTGTAAAATAGGTTAATAAGCCAATCCAACTCTGTGTTTTTATGAATACATGAAATATATTAAGATGCTTGATGTAGTGTTTGGCACAGAACTTGAGAAATGTTAGCCAGCTAGGAAAACCAGGCTTTTATGTCATATATTTATTCCTGGTCACATCTGAAGAACATGCCAATGTAAATAAGGATAATTATCTTAGAAGAACAAATAAAAGTATATCAGTTATTTTTGCATTAAAAAGATGCACAGTGGCTTAAGCAAAAAATGATTTCTTAGTTATCATAATGTTGTAGACTTTTTTTTTTTTTTTTTTTGAGATGGAGTTTTGCTCTTGTTGCCCAGCCTGGAGTGCAATGGCAGGATCTCGGCTCACTGCAACCTCTGCCTCCTGGGTTCAAGTGATTCTCCTGCCTCAGCCTCCCTGGTAGTGGGATTACAAGTATGTCCACTATATAAGGCTAATTTTTGTATTTTTAGTAGAGACGTGGTTTCGCCATGTTGGCCAGGCTGGTCTCGAACTCCTGACCTCAGGTAATCCACCTGCCTCGACCTCCCAAAGTGCTGGGATTATAGGCGTGAGCCATGGCACCCAGACGACTGTTGTTTTTTTTTTTTTTTTTTTTCCAACCAACTTTTGTGGATGAAGTCAACTGATGGCTTAACTGGAACTGGAGAGTCCAAGTAGCCTGACATTTATATCTAGCTATTGGGGCTGGCTGTTAGCTGGGGCAGCTCAGCTTTCCTTCTTTTCTTCCACTAGATTAAATAAATAGGGCTTGTTTGCAGTAGGGTGATCTCAGGGGTTCAAAAGCCAAGAGGAAACCCTATAGATAGGTCCCTTAAGGTCTAAGCTGCAGAACACAGAATCACTTTCACCACATTCTGTATTGATTAAAGCAAATAACAAGACGAGTCCAGATTTTAGGGTATGATAAATGTACTTCAATTCTGGTGGGAGAAGTGACAATGTCCATTACAAAATGACACAGATATAAGGGACCAATGCTCCATTAAGATCATTAATATAAATATCTATAATAAACATCAGTCAAATTGAAAATATAGCTGTAAATAGGTGAGGGAACCATAATCTCATAGTCTAATGTAGACCTAATCTAGGAAAAATATTTTTTTCATGGAATGTATGCATGTGCCTCTGACTCCCTTTACTGCCAATATACTAAACATATTTATGAGAGTGACCTGGTGCTTTCATTATCAACATGATTCAGATTGTTCTGTATCAGAAGATTCACAACCAGGAGATGAGAGGTGGATTCTCCTCCCCATCCCTTCCTAGCTGCCTCTTCCTCCTTCTTCTCATCATCACTGTATATCAGACCCAGGTGTAAGCATTTTAAATTTTTAAATTTAAATTATTAATTATTTGTTATTGCCCTATTTTGCTGATACGCAACTGAGACTTCAAATACTGTTCATGTGTACAGAGGCAAACTAAAGAGGCAACTTCTTAATCTTTGCTGCTGCTGCTTATTATCAGTGTTTACTCTACTTATTCGGTGTCTTTTGCCAGAGCACAGTGAAGGGAAAACCTATGACACTGCATGCATGTACAGATTGAGCTTTGGTCGGTGACTAGTGATGCCTTCTCTGATCCCTTCTGCCAGGAGAGCTGGACATTAGGGGTGGTCCATGATGATAGTCATCTCTACATCATTAAGCATATCTCAGTTTGTCATTGTCAAAGCCCTACTAAGAGCACATTATGCTTTAGGAGAACAATGAATTTTGCCTGATAATAAAGAACAGGAATTAGATATATTCTCCCAGAGACATAAAAGGATTAATGATATTAAGTAGGCCCCAAAATGCATAGATGTACATGTTCTTCAGTTATTCCTTTGTAGTTTTATGTTGAATTGTGAATTGGAGCCACACTACATGTACCATTCAGGTCTCTGCTTAACATAGTCTTCTCATGAGCAACTTTCTATATTTAATGGTTGAGTATATATTTACATGGTTTAAATATGTGAAAATATGTATATAAAAATCTTAAAACTGTATGGAGAACAGACTCAGTTTTTTCCTTGTTCACTTAGATTCTACTCTCTTCTTCATAGAAAACCAACCACTTTTATCTGTTTCTTAGACATCTTTTTTTGTTGTTTTTTACAAAAATATAAACAAATATAAATTGTTACTACATCTTTTTCTAAACAAAATTTGCCTGCCATGTCTATTATTCCCAGTTTTTATTTAGATATATCTATTACAGCTCCTTCATTATGTCCATGGGTCCATGGAAAGCTTCCTCATTCATTTTGCAGATGCTTGAAATTCTAACAAAGAGATTAATTATAATTCATTTAACCAGCCCTTTGTTAATGGATAATGTGATTTTGTTGTTTTAATTATGTGGCTATTACAAGCAATGCTGTCATTGAATTCCTTGTGTGTATACAGACAGACATATAATTTCACATAAGTGAAATTAAATCAATTTTAAAAATTTTTATTTATATTTTTCATTTTTGTGGGAATATAGTAGGTTTATATATTAATGGGTTTCAAGAGATGTTTTGATACAGGCATGCAATGTGAAATAAGCATATCATGGAGAATGCGGTATCAATCCACTCAAGGATTTATCCTTAAGAGTTACAAACAATCCAGTAAAGCCCTTCGAGTCATGTTAAAATGTACCATCAAGTTATTATTGACTGTAGTCATCCTGTTGTGCTAGGTCTTATTCATTCTTTCTATATTTTGTACCTATTAACCATCCCCACCTCACCCCACCCCCACCATCACACCCAACTACCTTTAGCCCGGCCTATGGTAACCATCTTTCTACTCTCCATGTCCATGAGTTCAATTGTTTTCAATTTTAGATCCCACAAATAAGTGAGAAGGTGTGATGTTTGTCTTTCTGTGCCTGGCTTATTTCACTTAAACGTAATGATCTCCAGTTCCAGTCATGTTGTTGCATCTGACTGGATTTTGTTATTTCTTATGGCTGAATAGTACTCCATTGTGTATATGTACCACATTTTCTTTATTCATTCATCTGTTGGCAGACACTTAGGTTGCTTCCAAATCCTAGCTATTGTAAATAGTGCTGCAATAAACATGGGAGAGCAGTTACCTCTTAGATATACTGATTTCCTTACTTTTGGGTATATACCCAGCAGTAGGATTGCTGGATCTTATGGTAGCTCTATTTTTAATTTGTTGAGGAACCTCCAAACTGTTCTCTATAGTGGTTGTAATAATTTACATTCCCACCAACAGTGTCCAAGAGTTTCCTTTCCTCCACATCCTCACTAGCATTTGTTATTGCCTGTCTTTCGGATATAAGCAATTTTAACTTGGGTGAGATTATCTCATTGTAGTTTTGATTTGCATTTCTCTGATGATAAGTGATGTTGAGCACTGTTTCCTATGCCTGTTTGCCATTTGTTTGCCTTCTTTTGAGAAATGTCCATTAAATCTTTTGGCATATTTTGATCGGATTATTCATTTTTTTCCTATAGAGTTGTTGGAGCTCCATATATGTTCCGATTTTTAATCCCTTGTCAGATAGGTAGTTTGCAAATATTTTCTCCCATTCTGTGGGTTGTCTCTTTACCTTGTTGATTGTATTCTTTGCTGCTGTGCAGAAGCTTTTTAACTTGATGTAATCCCATTTGCCTATTTTTGCTTTGCTTCCCCATGCTTGGTGCTTGTCGGGTATTGCTCAATAAATCTTTGTTCAGACAAATGTTCTGGAGATTTTCTGCTCTGCAATGTTTTCTTGAAGGAGTTTCATAGTTTGAGGTCTTAGATTTAAGTCCTTAATCCATTTTGTTTGATTTTTGTGTATGGTGAGAAATAGGGGTCCAGTTTCATTCTTCTGCATATGGATTTACAGTTTCCCAGAACAATTTATTGAAGAGACTGTCTTTTCCCCAGTGTATACTCTTGGCACCTTGTGAAAAATGAGTTCAGTGTAAGTGTATAGATTTATTTCTGGCTTCTCTATTCTGTTCCATTGGTCTATGTGTCTGTTTTTATGCCAGTGCCATGCTTTTTGATTACTATAGCTATGTAGTATAATTTGAAGTCAGGTAATATGATTCTTTCAGTTTTGTTCTTTTTGGTTAGAATACCTCGGGCTATACTGGGTCGTTTGTGGTTCCATATAAATTTTAGAATTTTCCTTATTTCTGTGAAGAATGTCTTTGGTATTTTGATAGGGATTGCATTGAATCTTTACTTTTTTTGGTAGTATGAACATTTTAACAATATTGATTCTTCTAATTCAAGAATATGGAATATTTTTCCATTTTTTGGTGTCATATTCAATCTCTCTCATCAGTGTTCTGTATTTTTCATCATAGAGAACTTTCACTTCTTTGGTTAATTTCCAGCTTTTTAATTTTATGTGTGCTGATTGTAATTGAGATTAGTTTTTTATTTCTTTTTCACATTGTTCTCTGTTGGCGTATAGAAACGCTACTGCTTTTTGTATGTTGATTTTGTATCCTGCAATTGTGCTGAATTTGTTTATCAGTTCTAATAGTTTTGTAGTGGAGTCTTTAGGTTTTCTCAAACATAAGATAATATCGTATGCAAACAAGAATTTGGCTTCTTCCTTTCCAATTTTGATGCTCTTTATAGCTTTCTCTTATGATTGTTCTAGCTACAACTTCCAGTATTATGTTAAATAACAGTAGTGACAGTGGGCATACTTGTTCTGTTCCAGATCTTACAGGAAACGCCTTCAGTTTTTTCTGGTTCAATATGATGCTAGCTGTTGGTCTGTCGTATATGGCTTTATTATGTTGAGTTATGTTCCTTCTATCTCCAGTTTTTTAAGAGTTTTTATCATGAAGGGATATTATATCATACCTTTTCAGCATCAATTGAAATAATATGGTTTTTATCTTTCATTCTATTTATATGACTTATTACACTGATTGATTTGTGTATATTGAACCATCCTGGCATCACAGGGATAAATCCCCTTCTATCATAATGTTATCTTTCTAATATATTGTTGAGCTTGGTTTGGTATTTTGTTGAGAATTTATGCATCAATATTCATCAGAGATATTGGCCTGTAGTTTTCTTTTTTTGATTTTTTTTTTTATATCGGGCTAATACATTGTCTGCTTTTTGGTATCAGAGTAATACAAACCTCATAGAATGAGTTTGAAATTATTCCCTCCTCCTCCATTTTTTGGGGGTAGATTGAGTAGAATTGGTATTAGTCCTTCTTTAAATGTTTGGTAGAATTCAGCAGTGAAACATCAAGTCCTTGGCTTTTTTTATTTTTTACTGGGAGAGTTTATTACAACTGTGGTCTCATTACTTGTTATTAGTCCGTTTAGGTTTTGAATTTCTTTCTGGTTCAATCTTGATAGGTTGTACTTCTATAGACATTTGCCCTTTTCTTCTAAATTTTCCATTTTTTTGGCATATAGTTGCTCATAGCAGCCATTAATGATCATTCGAATTTCTGCAGTAACAGTTATAATATCTTTTCATTTCTGATTTTATGTATTTGGATCTTCTCTCTTTTTTTCTTAGTCTCGCTAAAGGTTTGTTAATTTTGTTTAATTTAAAAAAAAAACAACTTTTTGTTTCATTGATCTTGTGTATTGATTTCTTCATTTCAGTTTTTCTACTCAGATCTTTATTATTTCTCTAATTTGGGGTTTGTTTTGCTCTTGCTTTTCTAGTTCTTTAGGATGCATTATTAGATTGTTTATTTGCAATTATTCCTCTTTTTTGCTGTGGGCATTTATAGCTATAAATTTCCTCTTAGTAACGGTTTTGCTGTATTCCATAGGTTTTAGTATATTGTGTTTCCATTATGATTTGTTTCAAGAAGTTTTTCAATTTTCTTCTTAATTTCTTCATAGACCCACTGGTCATTCAGGAGCATATTGTTTAATTTCCATGTATGTGTATAGTTTCCATAATTTCTCTTGTTATTGGTTTACAGTTTTATTCCATTGTGGTCAGAGATGTTTGATATTATTTCAGTGTTTTAAAAATCCTTTAAGACTTGTCTGGGGACCTAATAAATGGTGTGTACTTGGGAATAATCCATGTGCTGGGGAAAGGAATGTGTATTCTGCAGCTCTTGGATCTGTATGCTCTGTAAATTTGTTAGATCCATTTGGTCTACAGTGCAGTTTAAGTCTGGTATCTGTTTGTTGATTTTCTGTTTGGACTATTGGCATGATACTCAAAGTGGGGTGTCGAAGTCTCCAGCTATTATTGTATTGGGACCTATCTCTCTCTTTTGCTCTAATAATATTTCCTTTATATATCTGGGTGTTCCAATGTTGGATGCAAATATATTTAAATTTGTTATATTTTCTTGCTGAATTGACCCCTTTATCATTATACAGTGACCTTATTTGTCTCTTCTTATAGGTCTTGTCTTTAAATCTATTTTGTCTGATATAGGTATAGCAACTCCTGCTCTTTTTTGGTTTGCATTGGCATGGGATATCTTTTTTTTCCACCTCTTTATGTTCAGTTTATATGTGTCTTTATAGGTAAAATGTGTATCTTGTAGGCAACAGGTCAACGGATCTTGTTTTTTTTTTTATCAATTCAGTCAGTTCATGCATTTTGATTGAAGAGTTTAGTTCATTTTTATTCAGTTTTTATTATTGATAAGTAAGGACTTATTCCTGCCATTTTATTTGTTTTCTAGTTGCTTTGTGGTCTTAGCTTCCTTCTTTCTTTCCTTCTGGTGTCTTCTAGTGAAGGTCATTTTCTCTGGGGATATGACTTAGTTTCTTGTTTTTTATTTTTTGTGTATCTATTGTTTTTTGGTTTTAGGTTACCATGAGGCTTGCAAATACAATCTTATAACCTATTATTTTAACCTGATAACAAGTTAACACTATTTGTATAAACAGACACACAAGCAAGCAAAAAGAAAACTAGTAAAAACTCTATGCCTTAACTTTGTCCCCTGGCTTTTTAACTTTTTGTTGTTTCTATTTATATCTTACTGTACTGACTATGTCTTTAGAAGTTGTAGTTATTTTTGATTGGCTTATGTTTAGTCTTTCTACTTAGAATGAGAGTACCTTACATGCCACATTTAAAGTGGTGTGATCTTCTGTGTTTTTCTGTGTACTTATTATTACCAGCGAGTTTTGTACCTTCAGGTGATTACTTCTTGTTCATTAGTATCGTTTTCTTTCTGGTTGAAATACTCCCTTTAGCATTTCTTGTAGGACAAATATGGTATTGATGAAAACCCTTAGCTTTTGCTTGTCTGGTTTGAAGGATATATTCACTGGATATACTATTCTAAGGTAAAAGTTTTCTGTTTGTTTGTTTTTCCTTCAGCACTTTATATATGTCATGCCACTCTCTCCTGGCTTACAATGTTTTCAATGAAAAGCCTGCTGCCAGATATACTGGAGCTCCATTTTATTAATATGTTATTTTTTTATATTCTCTTACTGCTTTTAGGATTCATTCTTTATCACTGACCTTTGGGAGTTTGATTATTAAAAGCCTTCAGGTAGTCTTCTTTGGCTTAAATCTGCTTGGTGTTCTATAACCTTCTTGTAATTGGATATTGATGTCTTTCTCTAGATTTGAGAAGTTCTCTGTTATTCTCCCTTTTAGTAAACTTTCTACCCCTATCTCTTTCTCTACCTGCTGTGTAAGGTCAATAGCTCTTAGATTTGCCCATTTGAGGATATTTTCTAGATCCTGTAGGTGTGCTTCATCTTTCTTTATTGTTTTTTTGTCTCCTCTGACTGTGTATTTTCAAATAGTCTGTCTTTAATCTCACTAATTGTTTCTTCTACTTGATCCACTCTGCTTTTAAAGGACTTTGATGCATTCTTCAGTATGCCAATTGCATTTTTCATCTCCAGAATTTCCCTTTGATTCCTTTTAATTATATCAATCTCTTTACCATTATATAATGCCCTTCTTTGTCTCTTTTGATTATTATTGGTTTAAAGTCTGTTTTATCAGAGACTAGGATTGTAACTCCTGCTTTTTTTGCTTTCCATTTGCTTGGTAAATCTTCCTCCATCCATTTATTTTGAGCCTATGTGTGTCTTTGTATGTGAGATGGGTCTCCTGAATACAGCACACTGATGAGTCTTGACTCTTTATGCAATTTGCCAGTCTGTGTCTTTTAAATGGGGGCATTTAGCCTGTTTACAGTTAAGGCTAGTATTGTTATGTGTGAATTTGATCCTGTCATTATGATGCTACCTGGTCATTTTGTCCATTAGTTGATGCAGTTACTTCATAGTGTTGATGATCTTTACAGTTTGGTATGTTTTTGCAGTGGCTGGTACTGGTTGTTCTTTTCCATGTTTAGTGCTTCCTTCAGGAGCTCTTGTAAGGCAGGCTTGGTGGCGACAGAATCTCTCAGCATTGCTTGTCTGTAAAGGATTTTATTTCTCCTTCACTTATGAAGCTTAGTTTGGCTGGATATGAAATTCTGGGTTGAAAATTCTTTTCCTTAAGAATGTCGAATATTGGCCCCCACTCTCTTCTGGCTTGTAAGGTTTCTGCTGAGAGATCTGCTGTTAGTCTGATGGGCTTCCCTTTGTGGGTAACCTGATCTTTCTCTCTGGCTGCCCTTAACATTTTTTCCTTCATTTCAACCTTGGTGAATCTGACGATTATGTGTCTTGGGACTGCTCTTCTTGAGGAACATCTTCGTGGTTTTCTCTGTATTTCCTGAATTTGAATGTTGGCCTGTCTTGCTAGGTTGGGGAAGTTCTCCTGGATAATATCCTGAAGAGTGTTTTCCAACTTGATTCCATTCTCCCCATCAGTTTCAGATATACCAGTCAAATGTAGATTTGGTCTTTTCACATAGTCCCATATTTCTTGGAGGCTTTGCTCATTTCTTTTCACTCTTTTTTCTCTAATCTTGTCTTCTTGCTTTATTTCATTGAGTTGATCTTCAATCTCTGATATCCTTTCTTCTGCTTGATCGATTCAGCTATTGATACTTGTGTATGCTTCACGAAGTTCTCACGCTTTGTTGAATTTATCTGATAGAATCTGAATCTATTCTCTGTGATATCTTAAACTTTTTGAGTTTCCTCAACTCATCGATTTTGAATTATCAGACAGAAAGGTCACATATCTCTGTTTTTTCAGGATTGATCCATGTTGGCTTATTTAGTTAAGTTGGTGAGATCTCGTTTTCCTGGATGATGTTGATGCTAGTACATGTTCTTCAGTGTTTGGGCATTGAAGAGTTAGGTATTTATTGTAGTCTTTACTGCCTAGGCTTATTTGTAACTCTCTTTCTTAGGAAGGCTTTCCAGATATTTGAAAATATTTTCATCTTGTAATCTAAGTTGTATCTGCTTTAGGGTTTATCCCAAGGCCAGTAACACTGTGGCTCTTGCAGACTTGTATAGGTACTGCCTTGATGGTCTTGGACAAGATCTGGGAGAATTCTCTGGATTACTAGGCAAAGACTCTTATTATCTCCCCTTACTTTCTCCCTAAATACATAGAGTCTCTGTATATAACTGAGCCACCTAAACCTGGAGGTGGAGTGACAGAAGCCCCCCTGTGACCACCAGTGCCATAATTGTGCTTGTTCAGACCTGAAGTCAGGATAGTGCTGTGTCTTACCCAAGACCTTTTATAACCACTCCCTGGCTACTGCCTATGTTAGCTCAAGGCCCTGGGACTCTACAATCAGCAGTTGCAAAACCAGCCGGGCCCATGTCCTTTCCTTCAGGGGAGCAAGGTCCCCCAGGCCCTGAGTGAGTCCAGAAGTGACATCTGGAAGTCAGGGATTAGAGTCAAAAACCTAAGAAGTCTATCTGGTGTTCTATTAGTTTGTGGCTGATTTGCTCTCAAACCACAAGATACAGTCCTTCACACTCTTCTCTCCCTTTCCCAAAGGCAGAAGAGCCTCACCCCATAGCCGCTGTCACCCTATGCCATGAGGAGTACTGGAAGACTAACCGTGATGTTCCCTTAAGGTCCAAAGTCTTCTTAAGGCCCAAGGTCTCTTAAGTCAGCTTGTGGTGAATGCTGCCTGGCCTGGGACTCACCCTTCAGGGCAGTGGGCTCCCCTCTGGTCCAGAGCAGTTCCAGAAATGCTGTCCAAAAGTCAAGTCCTGGAATCGGGGACCCCAAGACCCTGCTTGGTATTCTACTGCCTGTGGGAGTTTTGGTACCTAAGGTACAAGACAATGTCTCTTTACTTTTCCCTCTGCTTTTCTGAAGCAGAAGTTTTATCCTATAGCCACCATAGCTGGTAATGTGATGAGTCTCAGCTGAAGCCAGCAAGTCTCAGAGACTCACTCAAGGCCTTCAATGTAGTGCCTGAGTATTGATGCTGGTTATTCAGGGCCCAAGGGCTTTTCAGTTAGCAGGTGATGAATGCTGTCAGAACTCAAAGTAGTCAAGGCAGCAGGTTCCCTCTGGCCCAGGGTGTGTCTAGAAATTTTGTCTGGGAGCTAGGTCCTGGAGTGGGGGGCCTCAGGACTATGACCAGTGTCCTATTCTGCTGTGGCTATGATGGTATCCCAAATTCAAGACAAAGTCCTCCCCACACTTCCCACTCCTCTCCTCAAGCAGAAGGGAGGGATCTCTTTTGCAGCCACAAGCTGTGCAGCCTGGCAAAGAAGTTAAAAACCTTGAAAAAAAGATTAGATGAATGGCTACCTAGAATAACCAATGCAGAGAAGTCCTTAAAGGACCTGATGGAGCTGAAAACCATGGCACAAAAACTACGTGATGAATGCACAAGCCACAGTAGCCGATTCAATCAACTGGTAGAAAGAGTATCAGTGATGGAAGATCAAATGAATGAAATGAAGCGAGAAGAGAAGTTTAGAGAAAAAAGAATAAAAAGAAACAAACAAAACCTCCCAGAAATATGGGACTATGTGAAAAGACCAAATCTACGTCTGATTGGTGTACCTGAAAGTGATGGGGAGAATGGAACCAAGTTGGAAAACACTGCAGGATATTATCCAGGAGAACTTCCCCAGTCTAGAAAGGCAGGCCAACATTCAAATTCAGGAAATACAGATAACACCACAAAGATATTCCTCAAGAAGAGCAATCCCAAGACACGTAATTATCAGATTGACTAAGGTTGAAATGAAGGAAAAAATGTTAAGGGCAGCCAGAGAGAAAGGTAGGGTTACCCAAAAAGGGAAGCCCATCAGACTAACAGTGGATCTCTCAGCAGAAACCCTACAAGCCAGAAGAGAGTGGGGGCCAATATTCAACATTCTTAAAGAAAAGAATTTTCAACCCAGAATTTCATATCCAGCCAAACTAAGCTTCATAAGTGAAGGAGAAATACAATCCTTTACAGACAAGCAAACGCTGAGAGATTTTTTTTTTTTCCTGGAGCTGAAGCCATGTCTTATATTTCTGACTCTTTTCATCAAACTAGCAAAAGCTCTTGCACATAATTCATGCTGGTGAATGTTTGTGGTGATTCTCATCAGCTCCCAGAAGCTCAGAGCTGTGATTTCCCTGCCCTTTGATCTGAAGAACTGCAACAGCTGCTATTTTCACGGTAATTTCCTGTGACTGCTTCTGTTGATGTCTGGCTGATTTTCACTCCTGTAGCACTTTCAAAGAAAACCTGTTGATATCCTGCAAAGCTGGACAGCTTTATTTTGTTTTTCTCCTTTCTAAAAGCAGTTCACAGAACGACCTGGTGAGATTCCTATAATGGGTGTTCTGCTGTACAGTTTAGATAGCATCTAGGGAGGATATTTTGTATTACAAGCATCAGAAAATTAATATTAAATTGGCTAAGCAAAATTGGGACTACACTGACTTCTACATAAGATAATTTCAGGAGTAGAATTCAGCTTCACTCATGATCCATGGACTCAGTAGTGATCATCAGGGACCTCCTGCGCTGTTTCTCTCACTTCTGTTTTCCTGTGTGTTGGCTTCACATGCATGAGGTCTCCCACGTGGCCACCTTATTGCCTTATTGCCTTAGGACTTCTTTGAGTCCAGCAGAATGAGAAGGCTTCTCTTCAACAGCATTTCCAAAATGTGCTAACTTGGATAAAGGATTATTCCTGAACTATAACAGTGGCCAGAAAGTGGCAAATACCACTGATTCAAATCATAATGACACAACAGTGGAGAGAATTTCCTGAAAAAATCAGGCCTTTATAACTAGAAGTGGGGTGGATATTGTGAAAGCCAAAACTGAAAATCACAACAGTTCATGAATGTATTTTTCTCAAAAGGGAGTCTGTAGATATAATAAGATATTCAATGTTATCGAATTCCCTTAAAATATCTAGGAACTGTTGACAAAGAGTCAAACTCTGTAAAATATTTGGAGAGATTTATTTTGAGCAAAATATGAGTGACCATGGCCCATAACACAGCCCGCAGGAGATCCTGAGGACAGGTGCCCAAGGTGGTCGGGATGCAGCTTGGTTTTATACAGTTTTGGGATGCATGAGGCTTCAATCAGATGCATTTAAGAAATGCATTGGTTTGGTCCAGAAAGGCAGGACAACTTGACGTGGGGGAGCTTCCAGCTTATAGGTAGATTAAAACATTTTCTGGTTGACAATTGGTTGAGTCCATCTAAAGACCTGGGATCAAAAGAAAGGGATGTCTGGGTTAAGATAAGAGGTTGTGAAGACCAGAGTTCTTATTTGCAGAAGAATCCTTCAGGTAGGTAGCAGGCTTCAGAAAGAACAGGTTGTAACATGTTTCTTATCAGACTTAAGATCTGTGATGATATTAATGCTGGAGGGGTATAATGAGGCATATCTGACCCCCACTTCCCAGCATGGCCTGAACCAGTCTCTTGAGTTAAAGTTTAAAAATGCCCTGTCTGAGAAAGTCCATTCAGATATGCGGGGAGCGGGGGGGTGGGGGGGCGGGTGTTACAATTTTAATTTTAGTTTACAGAACTGATACAAACCAATGCTCCTGTATAATGTCTGCAAATAGATACAAAATGGCAGAAAGCTGAAATAAAATTATCTCAGGTTCTGTCTAAAAAAACTGTTGAGTTATTTCGGTCTCTACATCTATAATATTAAAACTGAAATATTAACACTGGATTTATCAGAGTACATTAGACTTCTTTCCTCAAAGACCCCATAATTAGCATTTTTAGCTCAATGTCTGCCTCACATAAGCTATATGAAAGCAGAGACCATGCATTTTCTATTCAAATGATTGGTCACTTCCTGGTAGCACACAATAAGGTATTAATAATATTTGAAAATAAATTTAAATAGATAATACAAGATCTGAATAGGGATAGGAACAAAAAGCAAATAAGATCAGAATTTTATTTAACTAATAGAAAAGCAGACCATGTACTGAATAGTTTGTCAGAATGTCTGGACTGTAATTTCAGCTCTTCTGTTAGCTAATGGCATAATCTCAAATAATTACTGACTTTGCTGAACCCTTTTTTTTCTTCTGTAAGATATGGACTATATCTAAATGATTCTTCAAAACTAAAATGTATGAGTTTGATATGGGATTGACCAAAGTATGTCACTTGAAATACAATGTTTTAATTAATATTAATGATTAATGATCAATATTCTATATCAAAATTTAGATATAAAATGATTGCTCTAACTTTTATGAGCATGCATATGAGGTCCTACTCTTGAGAATATCCATTTTATGCTTTTCCCTTCTTGTTTCCCTTCTCCTCTTTCATACATTCAGAATGACCGGACATTTGTTCTGTATGTATGTTGACCCAAGTTAGCACATTTTGGAAATGCTGTGGAAGAGAAGCCTTCTCAGGATCTACACCAATCCTGAGTGTTCTATAATTTAGTCACATTCCTCTGTAACCTGGCCTTGAATTAGTCATCCTACCTAATTGTATCCACCTTTTCATATCATATAATTTCTAGTTATTAATAAAATTCCATGACTTTATTTTAGAAAATAGTTATAAACACTTCTTTTCTGACTTAAATGCTCAGTCCATGACATATGATGTAAATGATAGGAAACAAATTCCTTGTGTAGCTTTATCTTAAGAATATACTCAGCAAACTAACTCAGGAACAGAAAACCAAACACTACATGTTGTCACTTATTAGTGGGAGCTGAATGAGGAGATCACATGGACACATAGGAAGGAACAACACACACTGGAGCCTATAGGAAGGTGGGGGATTGGGGGATGGAGAGCATCAGGAAGAATAGCTAATGGATACTGCACTTAATACCTAGGTGATGGGATAATCTGGGCAGCAAACTACCACGGCACACATTTAGCTATGTAAGAAACCTGCACATCCTGCGTATGTACCTCTGAACTTAAATAAAAGTTGAAGAAATAATAATAATAATAATCATAGTCATTCCGACTGCTGTGAGATGGTATCATTGTGGTTTGATTTGTATTTCTCTAATAATCAGTGATGTTGAGCTTTTCTTTTTGAGACAGTCTCGCTCTGTCTCCCACTCTAGAGTGCGGTGGTGCAATCTTGGCTTACTGCAACCTCTGCCTCCCGGGTTCAAGTGATTCTCCTGACTTAGCCTCCCAAGTAGTTGGGATTACAGACACAGGCACCTACCACCATGCTCAGCTATTTTTTTTCTATTTTTAGTAGAGCAGGGTTTCACCATGTTGGCCAGGCTGGTTTTGAACTCCTGACCTCAAGTGATCTATCCACCTTGGCCTCCCAAAGTGCTAGGATTACAGGCGTGAGCCACCCTGTCGGGCCTTGAGCTTTTTTGTGTGTGTTTCTTGGCCACATGTATGTGTCTTCTTTTGAGAAGTGTCTGTTCCTGTCCTTTGCCTGGTTATTAATTTTTTTTATAAATTTGTTTAAGTACCTTGTCCAGGCATCAGCCATTCAGTATTTACCCAATGAAAGCAAATGTATTTGCAAAGTCTTGTACAGAATGTTTATAGAAACTTCAATTGTAATAGTAAAAAGCTGGAAGCAACCCAAATGTTTACCATGAGGTGAATAAATAGACAAGTTTTTAGATACCCTTACAATAAAAACAACACAATACTACTCCACAATAAAGGAATGAACTATTGATATATTCTACAACATGAATGAATCTCAAAATAATTGTGCAGAGTTACAGAAGTCAGACAAAAAAGAGTTTATACTTAATGCTTTCTTTTATATAAAAGTCTAAAAGATCCAAACTAACTTACTGTGACAGAAAGCAGATCAAGTTTGTCTAGAGTGGTTTGGTAAGAGTGGGAGAAAGATATTTTAAGGGGAACAGTTGACGACTTGGGAAGGGTGACTTTGTTTGCTATATTGCAACAGTGATGGTTTTCAGGTTTGTACATATATCAAAATGAATTCACTTACACTTCTTAAATGTCTGCATTTTATTGTATGTCATATAGCTCAATACAGGTGATAAAAAGAAAACAAAACTTTTCAGAAATACAAATGGTGAAATAATTCATCAAAAGCAGAACCATACTACCAGAAGTATAGTACAATGAATCTAATATATGTAGAACAAAGACTCCAAGACATTTGAAATTCTCATTGATGGTGAGATTTTTTGGCATAGAGAATAATAATCTTCTCTAAAAGAAGTATGCCTAAAAGCTGAGTTTCACTGATACCATCATTCTACCCTTACCACCCAGACTGAAAATGAAAATCCTTCTTGACGATCAAAGGGAAATTTGACATCCTTTATTTATTTAATGACTACAGATAGGCTTAAATTATGAGCAAGTTTGGAAATCACCATTCTAGCCATAGCCAGTAAAAGAAGCCTTTCTTGCTTCTATAGCAAATGACAGGGATGAAGGGCTGACCCTTGCAAATAGGTAGTCATCCACAACATGTATCCAAAGGTATGTAACAAACTTAGAAGGGTTTCAGACATGTTCTGATATTCATGGATATCAAATCCAGAAGTGCCAACATGATTCCTGTAAAGACATGTTTCTCTAAGTTTGAATTACTATCCCTCTGGGTAATATGTTCATTTGCCACAAGACGCTAGCATATGGCTGATGATGAAAGAAAATTCATCTTCATGGGAGAAGTTGATCACAAAATCAGGATGGAATGTCTAAGAACCTTGCCAAGTAGGCTAAGATTCAGAAACCAAATGTGGGAATTCAAGTCTAGTACAAAAAAGCCAAGAGAGAAATGCCCAGTCCTATGGCCAGAAACAACATGGCAGGAAGATGAGGTTGAGAAGGCAGTAATGTTATAGACACATTTATATCCAGATCACACAACAGACATAATAGGCCAAGCACAGTGGCTTATGCCTGTAATCCCAGCACTTTGGGGGACCAAGGTGGGAGGATTGTTTAAGCCCTGGAGTTCAAGACCAGCATCGGCAACATAGGGAGACCCTGTCTCTACAAAAAACAAAATTAACCCAGGCATGGCAGTGCACGCCTGTGGTACCAGCTATTTGGGAGGGTAATAGGGACGATTGCTTTTGCTCAGGAAGTCAAGACTGCGCTACTGTACTCCAGCCTGGGCTACAAAAACCCAGTTTCAAAATATAAAATAAAATAACTAAAAAGTCATTATAAATCCTGTGAATTATTCAGCAGCCAGAAGTGCTACTTAAATTCCATGGCTCAGGAATGTCTCTGAAGTTAGTTAGGAGTAGAGAGATGTCAAAAGCCCCATTAACTCCAGTCAAAAGGAGATGGGAGAAGTGAAGGTTGCTTCAATGTTCTTTTTGATCAAATGGATTAAGCTGGTGGAGCTATCCTCGGTCCCTCCAAACCGAGTGCCTGCTGCGAGTCAGGTGTATGATCCTATGATTTAGTTATTTTGCTAACTCAAATTCATGATGTTATTATGATCAATATTGCATGGGAACTAAAAAACAGAGAAGTAATCTATACAAGTTTACATAGCTAAGACAGTGACAAAACCATGATTCAAAGCAGAAAAGCCAAATGGTAGAACATGCATATTTAGCCACTATGTTATAATGGCCCCGCTACTTGTTGGGATAACTTTGGCTGGGGGCAAGGAAGCATATTAGCTCACCAGCCCTAAATTCACTGCCACCTGACTAAGGACCCTTGATTTCTCGAAGCACGAGAAGTATTTTCTCTAGAACTCCAGGAGGGTCTTTAAGGTTTAGTAAATAGCAAGTACTGCATTTTCCTTTGTACACTAGATTGTTATATTGATAGACTAGAGATAATAGTTTTCTAGTTACTGAATTTCAGTTGAAACCAAAAGGAAAAACAAAACCTCTGTCTATAGCGCATGAGATTATTATTTTCTTCTTAACACATACAGAAAAGAGGCATGGGGTGAGTAGAAAATTGGAAAAGTATAAAGAAGTATATAATACCAACCATTTTAAAATGCAGAGAAATTTACAAAATTTTATTAAATGGAATTTATCATGTCTATTTTGAAATGCTGCACCAACCTCTTAACTATTAAAATCTGCATAATGGTGTTGCTATATTGTGATGAGCTGTATATTTTATCCAATGAACTATTCTCAGTTACAGAAATTTTTGTTTAACTTTATTAAGGGTTGTTTTTCATTATATTTCAAACAAATTAGACTTTGATAAATTATTGAGTGAAAGCTAGATATGAATCCAGCACCCCTTGCACATAAAGCAAGTATGATTCAAGTAAATGTATTTTTGACAAATGACTTGCGCCTTCGTGATTTAACAACATGATGTGAAATGGCCCTATAATAGCATGGTATCAGGCCTGTTTTGCATTTGTTTCCTCTATGGCAGACTGAGAGAACAGTGGCAGAAAATATAATTTATTTCCATGAGGAAGGTAGAGAAAAATTGGGTTTGTGTTAAATTCACAGTGTGTGGCTCAAACAACAGAGAAAAAGAAAAAGTAATAAAGAAATGTAAAATTTGCTTGAACCTACAATTATGGAAATTATCTTTGATCTCTGAAGAAAGAAGATGCATCATTAGAGCTAACTGAGCTTATTAAACCATAACACAAATTGCTTTTTTTAATGCGACACACTTTAGGAGGCTACACTCAGCTTAAAGGTAAGGGCACCACTACAGCCTTAAGCAGGCTTTTAAAATGTCCTTATTTAGAAACTGCTACAGCAAAACAGTTTGCAGTTATTTACTTGAGCAATGCTATCAAGAGATACTTAGAATTACCAGAAACTGATGAAGAAACTAGATGCAGGGAGGAAGGGAGACAAAGATATGAAGGATGGTTTCTACATTTGTTCAACATAATAAATATTTAGACCTACACATTTGTGATGCTATGCACCAACCAGGTTATGGGAGTATTGACCAAGATCTCAGTTTTGGATTTGCTGAAATTGAGTTGCTTTTTAAATATTCAATTATATATGTTGAACAGGAAGTGGAATATAGTATACTAACCTGGATATCATAAGTAAGCTGTGGGATAAGCTGAAAATAGATACCTGAAAGGAGTTATCTAAACTTGATATCACTTGAGGGTGTGTGTGTGTGTATATGTATACACACAAATACATATATGCATGTATGAATATGTATTTCTGTATGTATGCATTTTGAGGGATATATGCTACAAAACTCCATTTTTTAAAAATCACATAGAAAACAACTAGAAAAGGTGGTAGAGTAACAGCAGTCAGTGTGGTGGATGAGAGATCAGGAGAGACAGAAGCCAAAGGAAGTGGAAGTTTCAGGAAGAAAGGAATGGTCAACTATGGCCACTGCTACTGAAATGTCAGGTATAATGAGGGTGGCAGCTGAATAATATGAGATTCAAGTATGTAATGGTTATTTTGTTTATTTTACATAAAATTGTTTTATTGTATATATAATATATATTGTGTATATATGTATGTACATATGTATGTGTGTGTATATATATATATATGTATGTGTATATATATGTATGCATATATATCACATCATATAATACAGTGCCACACAATATAATTTGATTTTGGTAAGAACACCTAACGTGAGGTCAACGCTTTTTATGAATACTGTATTTAAATGAACAATATTGTTAACTAAAGGGACAATATTGTACAGCAGATCTCTAGAACTTCTCCATATTGCAGAATTAAGACTTTATATACATTGATTAATAATTCCTCATTTCACCCTCTAGTCAGCCCCTGGCAACAATCAACTGTACTCTGATTCTATGAGTTTGAATAATTTAGATATCTCATATAAGTGGAATCATGCTGTATTTGTCCTTCTGTGATTGGCTTATTTCACTTAGCATAATGTACTCAAGGTTTAACCATGTTATTATATATTGGAGGAGTTTAAGAATAAATATTATTCCACAGTATTTACATACCATATTTCCTTTATTTATTCATCGATGGACATTTAGGTTGTGACCACATCTTCACTATTATGAATAATTCTGCAATGAACACTAGAGTGCTAATAACTCTTTGACATCCTGATTTCAATTATTTTGAGTAAATAATTACCCAGAGGTGGGACTGATGAATTATATAGTAGCTCTAGTTTTAATATTTTTGAGGAAACTATACTGTTTTTCATAGCAGCTATATCCATTTGCATTCCCACCAAGGGTTCCCTTTTCTCCTTATTCTCACCAACAATTATTATCTTTTATCTTCTTGATAGTAGCCATTCCAGCAGGTGTGAGGTGATATCCCATTGTGGTTTTGATTTTCATTTCCTTGATCATTAGTGACACGGAGAATCTTTTGATATACCTGTTGCCCATTTTTATGACCTCTTTGGAAATGTCTGTTTAAGACTTTAGCCCATTTTATAAATCACATCATTCATATTTTTTTGGTTTTGCTTTGTTTTGTTTTTGCTATTAAGTTGTAGAATTTCCATATAATTTGGAAATTAACTTTTTATCTGATACATGGTACACAAACATATTTTTCCATTTCATACATTGCCTTTTTACTCTGTTGATTATTTCCTTTGTTTTGCAAAGCTTTTTAGTGTGATGTAGTCCCACTTGTCTATTTTTGCTTCTGTTGCCTACTGTTTTGGTGTCATATCCATAAAATCGTTGCTAAAACCAATATCATAAACATGTTCCACTATGTTTTCTTCTAGGGGATTTACAGTTTCAGGACATACATTTAATTCTGTAATAGATTTTGGGTTGATTTTTGTGTGTAGTGTAAAAGAGGGATCCAATTTCATTTGTTTGCGTGTGGATACCCAGTAGTCTTAAATCAATTTGTTGAAGAAGCTATCCTTTTCCCATTGTGTACTCTTGGCACCCTGATCAAAAATCAGTTAGCTATATATAGAGAGAGATTGGTTTCTGGACTCTCTATTATATTTCATTGAGCTATATAGTTGTCTTTATGCCAGCATCATACTTTTTTAGGTACTGTAGCTTTGTAATATATAGATGCTCCTCAACTTACAGTGGGGTTACATCCCAAGAAACCCATTGTAAGTTGAAAATATCCTAAGTCAAAAACACATTTAATACATCTAACCTACTGATATGGTTTGGCTCTGTGTTCCTACCTAAATTTCATCTCAAATTATCCCCCCGTGTCAAGGTAGGAACCTGGTGGGAGGTGATTGGATTATGGGGTGGTTTTCCTCAAGCTGTTCTCGTGATAGTGAATGAGTTCTCACAAGAGCTGATGGTTTTATAAATGTTTGACAGTTCCTTCTTCACACTTGTTCTCTTGTCTGCTGCCATGTAAGATGTGTCTGCTTCCTCTTCTGCCATGATTGTCAGTTTCCTGAAGCCTCCCTAACCATGCAGAACCGTGAGTCAATTAAACCTTCTTTTCTTCATAAGGTTACCCAATCTTGGGCAGCTATTTGTAGCAGTGTGAACATGAACTAATACACCCACAAATACACATAGAAAACGAACTAATACACCTACATTAGTACACTAATACACGAACACACTATAGCTTAGCCTAGCCTACCTGAAACATGCTTAGATCACTTACGTTAGCCTAGAGTTGGGAAAAATCATGTACTAATATTAAAAGTGATTTGCCACCCTGGCGCAGTGGCTCACGTCTGTAATCCCAGCACTTTGGGAGCCTGAGGTGGGTGGATCATGAGGTCAGGAGTTCAAGACGAGCCTGGCCAAGATTGTGAAATCCCATCTCTACTAAAAATACAAAAATTAGCCTGGTCTGGTGGAGAACACCTGTAATCCCAGCTACTTGGGAGGCTGAGGCAGGAGAATAGCTTGAACCCAGGAGGTGGAAGTTGCAGTGAGCCGAGATCGTGCCACTGCAATCCAGCCTGAGCAACAGAGCAAGACTCCATCTCAAAATTAAAAAAAAAAAAATGATTTACCAGTCCCAGCTACAATATTGCAATATAGTTATCCTTATTATATGTAGTGGATTGGTTCTAGGACCAACCCCCCACCATATATACCAAACTCTGTGCATACTCAGGTCCTGCTATTGACCCTGTAGAATCTATGCATGTGGAAAGTATACAGAAGTTTCATGTGTATTTTAAATCTGCATTTGGTTGAAAAACATCCACATATAAATGCACCCACACGATTCGAACCTTTGTTGTTTAAGGATCAACTCAATTTGTATTTGTCTGTATATTTACCTTTAGCAATGAGTTTTATATGTTCTTATGTAGTCTTGTTGTGGTTTAGCATGTTTTATTTCAAGTTGAAAAACTTCCTTCAGCATTTCTTGGTAAGGCAAGTCTGATAATGATCTCCCTCAACTTTTATTTGTCTGGAAAAGTCTCTTCATTTTTGAAGGACATTTTTGCTGAGTATAATATTCTTGGTTGCTAGTTGCTCTTTTTAATTTTGTGTTTTTAAATTTGTTTTGTTCTTTCATATCTTTCAATATATTATTACATTTCTTCCTGGCCTGCAAGTTTCTGTTAAAAAAAATTCATGGATAGTCTTGTGGAGATGTTCTCGAAAGTGGCAAGTGATTTTTTTCTTGCTGCTTTCAAAATTTTTTCTTTGTCTATCAGTTTTACTGATTCTAATGTGTCTTAGTGTGGATTTCTTTGAATTCATTTAGTTTATTATCTTTTGAGTTTCCTAGATTTGGATATCCACTTTCTTATCCAGATTTGCAAATATTTTAGCCATTATTTCTTTGAATACACTTTCCAGCCATTTCTCCCTTTCTTCCTTATTTTACTTCCATACACGCATATTGGTCCACTTAATGGTGTCCTATAAGTCCTTTAAGCTTTCTTCACTTTTTTCCCTCTTTTTCCTTTTATTTATTTTATTAATCCTCTTCCTCAGCTCCATGATTTTTGTTTGGTACTTTAAAAATATTACTATCTATTTTTTGATATTGTAAATACTCACATATTGTTCTTCTAACCTTGCTGTCCTCAGCAGTTATTTTGAAATCTCTTTCATATAAACTATAATAACTCCATTTCATGAGGGTCAATTTCTAGATATTTATTCTGTGTCTTTGTTTGGGTCACATTTCCCTGTGTCTTCATTTTCCTTGACTCTCTATGTTGGTGTCTGCACATAAGACAAAACACCCACCTTTCAAGTCTCCAAAGAGTGGACTTTTACAAAATAAGACCCTCACCAATTAGCCTGGCCAGAGATTCTGGGGGCCTCTCCAAACTTCATGGTGGTTCAGCTTGCTTTCTTTGTTGTTAGTGGCCTACTGTGGTCTGGAGAATGCTGCATTTCATTAGTTCTCCAAGATAAGCAAGAATAAAGAAAATTCCTTAGGAAAGCCCCCTCAAATTTAAATTTTTGGATACTCTGCCCAAATCGCTCCCTCCCCAAAGAGAAGTTAGTATCTGGAGTTGAGATATTACCTTTTTGCTATGGATTCACTAGTGGGGAAGGGCTGTGGCGGCTAGTTGTGTACTAGGTCCAACTATTAACTCTGTTCTCACTGACCCCCAAGTGGCTAGATTATGTTGGGTCCTATCAACACTCTGAGACAGACTAGACTGAAGCCAGTTCTCTGAGTAACCCTGGAAATGTAGGGTAAAAGGTACACAGCCCATCTCTTTCCCTCCTCATGGAGAAGCTGGAAGTTAGGTTATTTTCTTCCATTGAGCTGAAAGGAGCAGCTCTAGTGACTGCCAGCTTAAACCACTGCCTCTGTTCTCTCTTAAGTGGCTAGGTTATTTCAGATCCCATCAGTGCTGCAAGATGGGCTAGACAGAAGGCACTCCTATGGTTAGCTCCCAGAAAAGTTAGGTCATTGGATGCAGTCTACTCTTTCCTTCCTCAGGAAGAAGCTGAGTGTTGGGGGGTTTCCTCCTAATTGTATGGCACTGTGCCAAAGGTAAGGAGTATAGTAATATGGTGTTTAAATTATCCCTACTCCCTTCAATTTGGGTAGTTTTGTTCTCATCCAGAATTTAAGAGAACTCTGGTTCTACTAGTTTCTAGATTTCTCACAAAGATAATTTGTTCATAAATTTTTGCTGAATAGGTATGTTTGTAGGGGAAAGGAGGGTCCAGGCCTTCTTATGCTACCATCTTGCTGATGTTCCAAGCAAAAAGTGGTTTCAGTATGTTTAAATGCTGTGTTGCATAAAGAGGGAATGTTTGAAGAAATGAGAGAAGTAGGAAATAAATGAAAGCTTGGGGTTCTTAAGAAGATGAGAAGAAACAGGATGCAGAACACAGGCAGAGGGATTGTTTTATTTTATAAAAGGAATTTATTTATGTATTATTTTCATTGAGATATATTGTGCATGTTATACACACTGCTATTTTATAATTTTTCCATGGCTATTAAACCATCAACATTATGTGAAACTTGAATATTTTCATCAGCAGCAAAAGAAACCAACCATTAATGGACATCCACTATACTCTCTTACTCTATTTTCTAGTGAACACCTATCTACTTTCTTTTTCTATAGATTTGCTTCTTCTGGGTACTTCATATAAATGAAATCTCACTGTATCTGGTTATTTAAATCAGTGCAGTGTTTTAAAGTGTCATTCATATTGTAGCTTGTAACATTGCTTCACTCATTTTTAATCAGGCAGTATAATATGCCATTATATGAATATATCATTTTTTCATCCATTCAGTTGATGGACATTTTTCTTATGTTTACTATATGAAAAAAATTCATTATTATGAATAAGGCTGCTGTGGAAATTGTTTACTGGTATTTGAGTAAGTTTTCAATTATCTTGTTAATGTAAATAGGAATGAAATTGATGGGATAATGATTTTATTTTTAACTTTCTGAAGGAATGCCAAAATGTTTTTAAAGTGCTTGGACCATTTTACATTTGCACGTCCAATGCAGGAGGGTTCCAATTTTCCCACATTTTTTCAACTCCTATTATCCACCTTTTTTATCATAGCCATCATAGCAGATGTGAAGTGGTATCTCATTGTGGGTTTGTTTTGAACTTCTCTAAACATTAATATTACATTTGCTTATTGGATAGTAGTATATTTATATTGGAAAAAGTCTATTTAAATTATTTGTTCAATTTCTAATTATTTATCTTTTTGTTGTTCAGTTGTAAGTGTTCTTTATATATACTTATACAACTCTTAATAATGGAATATGTTCTTTGAAATGCATCTTTAGGCAATTTAGTCCCTGTGAAAACATCGTAGAGTGTATTTCCACCAACTTAGTATAGCCTACTACACATCTAACGTTTATGTTATAGCTTATTGTACCTAGGCCGCTAACCTGTACAATATGTTGCAGTACTGAGTACTGTAGGCAATTGTAAAACAATGGTTAAGTATTTGTGAATCTAATCATCTAAACATTGAAAAGGTACAGTAAAATGTGGTTAAAAAAAGGAAAGATGAAAAATTGTATACCTCTCTATAGTATTTACCATGAAGAGAGCTTACAGGACTGGAAGTTGCTTGCTCTGGGTAAGTCAGTGAGTGTGTATTGAGTAAATGTGAAGACATAGGACATTATTGTACAAAAATGTAGACTTTATAAACACTGTGCTTAGGCTACACTGTGTTTATAAAACTATTTTTCTTTCTTCAATAATAAATTAACCTTAGCTTATTGTTACCTTTTTATTTATAAATATTAAAAAAACCTTTGTATCTTTTGCAATAACACTTAGCTTAAAACACATTCTGCAGCTGCATAAAATGTTTTTCTCATCCTTATTCTTTAAGCTTTTTTCTATGTTTAATATTCTTATTTAACTTTTTAAACTGTTTTTATTAAAAACTAAGGCACAAGCACGGCATTAGCCAAGGCCTACACAGGAACAGGATTATCAATATCACTGTATGTCTTGTCCCATTGGAAGCTCTTCGGGGCAATTACATGCATGGAGCTGCCATCTTCTATAATAACAATGCCTTCTTCTAAAATATCCCCTGAAGAATATTCCTGAAGCTATTTTACAGTTAAGTTTTTTATAAGTAGAATGAGTGAACTCTAAAATCACAATAGAAAATATAATATAGTGAATACATAAATCAGTAACAGTCATTTATTATCATTATCAAATATGATACACTGTACATATATACTGTACATATGTATGTGCTATACTTTTATATAACTGGCAGCACAGATTTGTTTACACCAGCATCACCACATCATGTGAGAAATGTATTGTGCTATGATGCTATGATGGCTATGATATCATGAGGCAATTAGAATTTTTCAGCTCCATTATAATCTTATGGGATCATCATTGTATAGGCATTATATCATTGACCAAAATGTCATTAAACAATGCATGACTATAATCCTGATGCCTGATGCATAACAGACACATGATTTGACAATATTTTCTCTTCTTCTGAGGCTTGTCTTTCACTTTCTTGGATGTCCATTTTGAAGGATAAAATATTTTATTTTTGATGGAGTCCAATTCATCTATTTTTTGGTTGATTTGTCAATTTTTTTAACCTTTTCAAAGAACTGACTTATTTGTCTTTATTTCCTCTATTGTTTTTCTATTTTTTATTTACTTTTGCTTTTATAATTACTGTGTTCTTACTTCTGGTTGCTTTAGATTGCTTTTTCTTCTTTTTTAGTGTGTAACTGAAAAAGTTAAGATTTAAGTTTAGAATTTTTCATTTTAGATTTTAATTTTTTAAATATAAACATTTATAGCTATAAATTTCACTGAATATTCTAAATTTGGATATACTATGTTTTCATTTTCATTTATCTCAAAGTACTTTCTAATTCCTTTGTGACTGGTTCTTTAATTATTTAGGAGTAATATTTAATTCCATGTATTTGTGAGACCCTCAAGTTTTCCTCTAATATTGATTTCTAATTTCATTTTCTGGTTGTCAGCAAACATTTTTTGCATAATTTCAATCATTTTAAATTTTGCCAAGGCTTGTTTTATGGCCTAAATATAGTCTACTCTGGAGAATGTTCCATGCATGTGTGCTGGAGAAGAATGTATATATTATGTTGTTTTGTTTTGTTTTGTTTTGTTTTTTGATGGCTCTAGTGTTCTATATATGTCCGTAAGGTCAAGCTGGTTTACAGAGTTGTTTAAGTCTTCTGTTTCCTTCCTAATCTTCTGTCTGATTGTTCTGAAAATGTCTTTTCAATTTTTAAGATTTCGCTTTCATTTTAAACTAGTTTCTCACAGTGTGATATTTCTGATAGGCCTGGTATCCATTATAACTTCTATAGACTATGCCAATGATGTTATTACGAGGATTATGGTATCATGATACTAACAATAAACAGTATTAATATCAGCTGCTTTTTAATCATGCCTTACGATAAGAGTTTTTAAGATAAGAGTTTTCTTATGACAAATAATGATGATGGCAAGGGAAAATTCTAATTCTGAAACTATGTCCTTGTATAGTCCGTGATATCTATAACTGGAAATAATATTTTTTTCTTTTTTGAGATGGAGTCTCATTTTATTGCCCAGGCTGGAGAGCAGTGGAGTGATCTTGGCTCACTGCAACTTCTGCCTGCTGAGTTCAAGCGATTCCCCTGCCTCAGCCTCCCAAGTAGCTGGGACTACAGGTGCCTGCCACCACACCCGGCCAATTTTTTGTATTTTTAGTGGACACTGGGTTTCACCGTGTTAGCCAGGATGGTCCTGATCTCCTGACCTCGTGATCTGCCCGCCTCGACCTCCCAAAGTGGTGGGATTACAGGCATGAGCCACAGCACCCTGCCTGGAAATCGGCTTTTAAAAAATAGTCTTAAAAAGCTCTAAGGAGGGGTTGGAGAAACAACTATTAAATATTAGTTTTCCTTGAATAGCTGTTGCTGCCACTTTAACAATTGGTTGGAGTACAGAATTAGCGCAATGACATCCGCTATTAAACAATATCAGCCTAATATTAATATGAAGATACATATCAGACACAGCAGACGACTCTTCTTCAGTTTATTTCCCTGATAAACATGGCCAATGCTTTTCACATGTTATATAGGAGAGAACAGATTACAGTTTGCAGTTATGATTGCCTTCAGCTCCAGAGAGAAAAGAAGTTACTGTGGCTTAAAATTGCATGTAGCCATCTATACAGTAAATGGTCTTATCACTAGATTCAATGTATGACATGAATTAAATGATTCAAAACGCACTTCTAAGAGAGAGATGGTAATGTTTTGCCTTTAATTTTTAGTATTTTTTTCAGCTAAAAGATTTTTGCTGTTTTTATGAAAAATATCATTTTGCCTTTTAGATTCCTCTTTGTTCAAAATAAAAAATAAAGATATCTCTCTTTCCAAAATACTTTCATAGAAAAGGTGATGGCCCAAAGCTAAAGAGGAGAGGGAGTAGTAAGTTCCTGAAAACTGAAGAGTGACTTGACACCTGCAGTGTCCTCTGGCTAAGTGACTGGGAGGTTAGTTACCTGGGCCCATGAATTGTGAATTGTAGCCTAGGAGACTCCTTCCCAAGGCACTGTCCAATAGCTCTCTTGGAGATGACTACCACTGGCTTCCTTGCTGGTCTCCATACTCAATTTTTCATAAGATTGCAGGATCTTTTGGTGAACTTATTGGACTCTTGTCTTATCTTCCCCAAGATCATTTTTTTTCGCCCATCGTAGATCTTTTTATATGTATCATTTTTTTCCTCCAGTCATAGATCTTTTCATATGTGTTTGTTCTCTGGCTGCACATACCGGGGCTACCATGCTTCAATTGCCTTCACAATCATTCATAGTCAAGTGTCTCCACTGAGTGGAAGCCTGACATAGATGGTCACTGGACCTTTAATATCCCTAAATATGACTGAAACCCCCTGCCCTCCCCAAAACTGCCCAAGACAGGCACGGGGATTTTCTTTCTGCCTGCATGCCCCACTATGCCACTTTGGTTTCTCATCTGTCTGCTGCTGCTGCTATAGATTTTACACCCCCCTCCCTCCTCCCACCATAAACCTGCTTGCTCATCTCTATCCAGGGAAGGCTTTATTTTAGCAAAACTGATAGCAGAAATAAAGAAGAGACAACTTTGACACATTTTTTTTTCTCTACCCCATGACTCCCTTCTATCCCCAAGCTCTTATCTTTACATCTTCTAACCCTCAGGCCTTCTCACTTCATTTATTTATTCCTTCTTTTCTTCATTTATTCCATAAACATTCATTAAACATGTCAATGTGCTTGGTATAGAATGGTGAATGAGAAAAAAATTCATGTTCTATCAAGATTTATATTCCAGTCAGGAAGGCAGGCAAGAAATAAGTAACTAAGTAAATACATAAATGGCAACATTTAAGGTAATAAGTGCAATGAATAAAAATAAAGTAGGGTAAATGAAGGGAGGTAACCAGGCTGGTGGCAACTGTGGCTACGTAGTTTAGATTAGAATAATCAGGAGAGACCTCACAGAGCACTTCTCATCAACCCATAGATCTTATCCTGCTGGATTCCCAAAGCCCCTTTCATCATTCATCAAGTGGAAGAATTTGAAGTAAAATGGAAGATAAGTTCCTAGTATTAGAGGTAGAAACTTGAGATTCATTATCCACTAAATATTGTTCTGCAGTGGGGTAGAGGTTTTGTAGCAATTCATGCCAGCTGCTTATATAACATCCATTATCTTCTTCCATAACAGAATACCACTTTTTCTTAAAAAGTAACAAAGATACAACAATGTATACATCATAAGTACACAGTTTAATGAATGAATGCATGATGAACACACTTATTTATCCATCTCCTCTCAGACTTTCTTTTGTCTTGTCCTAATCATCATTCACTCTGTTCTTGACAAAGTTACACTTAATTTTTACTTTGAATACAATTGATAGTTTTTGCCTCTTCTGAATTTTAAAAGATATGATACATTTTGCATTATTTTTGTCTTTGGCTATTTTTGCTTAATATTATATTGGTGAGATTTTCTCAAGTGGTTACATATATAGGAGATTTACTCATTTTTATTGAAATATGGTATTCTCTTATGTGAATATAAAGACACTTATTTAGGCATTCTAATTTAAATGAGCATTTTCATTTTTATTCCGATTTGGGAGATACAATAGTACTACTTTGAACATTCTTGTACATGTCTTCTGGTTAAAAAGGTGTATGTATTCTGTTTTTATATGTCAGTAATGAAATGCTGGATCATAATTTATACATATGTTCAATACTGATTGTACTAATATAAATGCTTCTGAGCAGTTTATGAGTTTCTGCTGGTCTACATCTTTACTAGCATTTGGTATTGACAAACTTTTTAACTGTAGCCATTTCAAGTTGATAATATTTCATATAGTTATTATCCATTTTGATATCATTAAAGTGACTATTCAAATTTCTTATCTATTTTTCTATTGCATTTTTTTTATTTATCAGAAGTTCTTCATACATTCTTGGAAAGCAAAGCCTTTTGTTGTTTATAAATACAGAAAATACCATTTTTTTCCATATATAGAGACGCCTTTAATTCTGCTAATGGTATCCTTAAGTAAACATAGGATTTGTGGCACATGAACTCTTCTGTATGTAGGTATTTATTTCTTGTACTATTTGCTAACACAAGTCACAGCTGTAGGAAAAAATAATTCTGAGATGAGAATTTGGTCTATTTTTTATACAGATTAATTTCATATTTTATGACTCAACAACTAAAAATATTAGCCTCAAGTTTTTAATCTCATCCATACTCCTTTCATAACTAGACATAATACTACCTAAATTTACTGGTTTTGCTCAAATAAGGGCTTTATAAAACATTATTATTTTCTAATAACATTGTTCTCTAGCTTAGTTCTTATGAAATATGAGTACCTTTTTCTTAGGGATAAACACGTCTATTTTATTGGAAATCCTGTGAAAGTGTGAAGTCAAACTTCAGGGTTTGAGATTGGTGACCTGTTCAGAGGATTCTTATCAACCTGAATCTCATTCTGGGGTGAATTTTTACTACAGGAAACAAAAATACTTCTTTCATTTAGCCAACAGTGCAAGAAACGTAAACATTCCAAGAGCAAAGGAAAAGCAAATTAAAACAAACAAACACCAGTTCTTTTCTATGCTAGGGATTATGTCATAAAATCAGAAAGATCTTTAAAGGTAGATGGTTTCCCTCATTTTGAATTTCAGATGTTTTAGGAAAATTATCTTTTCACATTTGGGAACAATCCTAAAAGGAAACCCCTACTACAGTGTAGATAACCCTTATCTGAAGCTACTTTCTTTATCTTACAGTTTGTATGTGAACATCTACTAGGATTGGAAAAATGTAATGGAGTCGAGAAGCAGGAGGCACAGAGAACAAACTGTGATCAGTTCAGTCCAGATCAGTAAATGGGCAACAGTTTAAAATTGTTGGGTTCAGAGGAAGATCATTTCAAATGGAACCAGAAATAACTTGAAGTTCAGGAAAGAAACAGGACATAAAATGATCTGAAATCTGTGCCCATTTGAAGAGGAATATGGACAACTCAAGAGTTCAGTAACTAAAACCAGGATAGTACTGTGATTTGGTAACTACACTTCTTAAACACACTGCAGATAGGTTTGTTTAGATTACAGGTTGGTGGGAAATTGAGTAGCATCTGTGGATTAGTGGAAGCCCCTTTTTGGGATGAAGCCAGCAATATCAATATTTGTGCATGACAAACTAATGTCCTCAGATATTTCTCCTTCCACACTGTAAAATATTTAATAGAAAAGGTAGCTTTGGGGTCTCACTACTCCTCACTGGCAGACATGCATGCACATTTGATCTCTGCCCTATAGCCCCTTTTCCTGTGCTTCTGTTTCTCCCCGTGGGGGGAATGGCTCTCCCTGAGGTGCATTCTGGGGATGCAGGTCAATCCAGTTGGCCGTTATTGTCCAAAGGAAGTTGAAAGAGGCCACTACCAGGAAGAAAACATTGGAGTCTCCTCTGTATAAGATGCAACCTCCTAGTTTCTGCTTCCAGAGAAGACTAGTCACACGTTCAATCCTCTCTCTGCCTCATTCACAATCCTTAGGCCTTAATCTCCTGTGAGCCTTTCCCCCTGCGGTGACCTGGAGGCATGGGCTGTTTGGGATTGCCATTTGGCTTCTTGAGCACTTCGGTTCTGGGGTTCTGTGGTACAGAGAAAAGGCCTTGGACAAGTCCACCTGTGGTGGTATCACCAGAAAGATGAGTGATGGCGGTGTTTCTATAGAGCCCCATGAGGCCCTCTGCCATTGCTGAATTTTGTGTTGAACACAGAAATGATGTTAATATACATTTTGAAAAATCCAAAGTTGCATTTCTCTTGGAGAAAGTTAATCATTGTAAACATTTCAATGAAATTATCTTTTTCATTGGGTAGATCCAAATGTTTCCAAGCATAAAAGAACAGATGGGTCAACACTATGTTTGTGAAAAGGGGAATCTGGGCAGTCATGGCCAAGGTTAACAAAAGAGCAAAGCATGTTTGGCTTAGTGTTGACTCACATAATTGGAAAGAAAAGAAAGATGATTTAGATATGTTTAATTCTGACCATTTCTCTGAGACGATAAACATGGGTGGTGATAAGGATGTATATTTACCAGAAGTAGAGGGAACAGATGATGATCCAATGATGATTTTAAAGGCCAAATCTGGAGTAAGGAATATTGCTGTCACCAGGATTGTGAGAAAAAGAAGCAAATTTTCTGCAAGATTCCGTAATTGAGAGAATTTCTGAGTTGATAGCTATAATGGTAGAAGCTGTATTTCTCCCCTTTAACCCATTTTTCAACTTGTTTGTTTTTTAAAGGTCTTCACCAAGGGTTGAATGGGACAACTTTATATTGTGTAGGATAATTTTAAATCAGTTCAGGCAATAACCTTACACATAAACATTTCCATTCTATGAGATTGTTGAGGTCCTAGGCAATTGATATCACAGTTGTAATAAATAAAAACATTTTTTCTAAGTCTTCTTAACTTCCCAACATAGATATGGGCATGTAGAAAGTTCTCAGCATATGGAAAGATAACCAAATTTTAGACTTCAGAAAATGGACTTAAAAGTTGTGAAACAAATTACCTGACACTTTAAACTGGCAACCTATTGTTCCTCTAGGGTATCCTTCAGGACTTTTCCACTACAATTTTAGTTTTATAAAAAAAATACACCTTGTTTTACATAAGAGTCACTTATCAGTGTTGCAGATACATAATAATTAAAACTAATGAATATCCTAACTTACATGGTTGTGAATCCTGTACATTTAGTATGGTTTGACCCTTAAGCTTTGACAACTTTGAGCATGGGGTACAAAGATAAACTATGTTATTGCTGGAAAGTCTGTATATTTAGAACCAAATTTGTAATTTCACTATTGATATGGAAAATGAGAGATTTAAAAGGTTGATACGATATTGTATCTTTTTCATCTTTCTATTAAGCTTACATCAAGGCTGAAACACCTCAGTTTGTTTTCATAACAGTGGAGATATTTATTCATGTCTACATTTTTATAATAAATTATTAGAAGAATTAAAAAAGCATCCAGTGTTAGAATATCCCTCTTCTTACACAACCACACTTTCTCCCTCAATACATACACTCAGGTAAACTTAACATGTTCTACTTTTTAATCACGGAGCATATTCGAACAGAGGTATCCACAATATGCAATTATCACTATATCTCTAAATTTAAAATTTGACCTTTGTCTTTGTCAGAGAGGGGAGAAAATGCCACAGTTGAAGAAGCACAGTGTTCTTTATTCTTATTCAAAAGGCAGGGTCTTCATTTCCATTCCTGAGTACTTTTCCCACTTGAATATTTTCTTTATTGTTACAGCTAACAGAAGATGGATCCATTTTCAGTAAATATGGTGATTCTAATTTTCAGTCCTTTAGTTTTCACCTGACTCTGTTCATTATTATTCCTCTTGTTTAATTCTACCTGAGGCTGCTCCTCTAAGGGAACAATTCACTTAGATTCTTTAGAGTACAAACCTATAAATGCTGTATTTGCATAGTTTGGGTTGTCCTAAATATTCTAGCTACTTATCTATTAATGTTTTTCTGTTTATTCTCTTAGAATTTGTTAAGCTCAGATAAAGTGAGATAAAAGTGACTCTAAGAAAACTCAATTGTTTGTATTTTGACTATAAAATATATATTTCAATAAAAGGTACTGACACTTTATAGATGTTTTTAATAAAAATAACTTGGGATGAAGTTAGTTGAATGTGAAGCCAGAAAGAACCACGTGTTATCATTTATGAATTATGTTTACATTTCCATTGATAATTCTCAAGTGTTATAAATTTAAACTAGATTCTTTGTTGTTATTTGTAACAACAGCAAATGATGATCATTTGAAATTCACGGTTATACTGCAGGATCTCCACAAGACTAACTTACCTAAATACATATGTATTTCATACAATTATTAAGAACATAAATATATAAACTATGACTCATATTTGCTAAAAGTTCTTTCCCACTGTGAACATTAGTCTTTGTCTATTGTCTTTAAGCAAAGGTGATAAAATTGTCCACAGTTAAAGTGGCCATTAGGCAACTCTGTCATTCTGTGAGCATCACAGAGTGTACTTACACAAAAGTAGATGGTATAGGCTGGGCGCGGTGGCTCATGCCTGTAATCCCAGCCCTTTGGGAGGCCAAGGTGGGCAGATAACCTGAGCTGAAGGCTTTGAGATCAGTCTGGCCACCACAGTGAAACCCCGTCTCTACTAAAAATACAAAGATTAGCCAGGCTTGGTGGCATGTGCCTGTAGTCCCAGCTATTCGGGAGTCTGAGGCAGAAGAATTGCTTGAACCTGGATGGCGGCGGTTGCAGTGAGCCAAGATTGAGGCATTGCACTCCAGCCTGCGTGACAGAGTGAGATTCCCCACCTCCCTCAAAAGAACAACAACAACAAAAAGATGTAATAGCCTACTATACTACCCACCTAGGCTATATGGTATAGCCTATTCCTCCTAGGCTATAAATTTATATATCATGTCACTGCACTTAATGCTGTAGGCAATAGTTACACAATGGTGTTTGTGTATCTAAACATGAAAAGTTACAATAAATAGGGTATAAAATATTTAAAATGATACCCCTGTATATGCAACCCATTACAATCTTATGGGGTCACCATCACATATGCAGTCCATCATTAACTGCAATGTCATGTTCCCACGGTTTGCCATGGTTACTATGGGACTGAATGAAGGGGGACAAATGCAGAAATGAAAACTTAAAAGAAACTGTTTTAGAGAAGGGGTCTGGGGAAGAAGAAGGGCTCCCTGCTTCTAGTGAGCAAAGGCAGCAGCCACCCTGAGCTTCTACAGCCCTTTGTATTTATTGGGCAGAAAGAGCAGCCAGGAGGAGGTAATGATTGGTCAGCTGCTTAACTGATCATGGGTTCATATTATTGCTAACAGGCTTCAGATGTGCCTAATCACAAGCAATACTGCACTTGGGGCGTGACTGCCCTCAGCATTCCTTCTGGGTGGCAGATGCAGTTTGTCAGTTTCCCAACATTCTGCATTCATGAGAACAGTCTACTATTTACTCATATAGCTTCCAGTGATACACTGAGTTGATCACTAACCTCACTCTTTTGCCCTGCAACATCATGTGACACATAATTATAAATTGATAAGTATTAATAAGCAGTTTTTTAAAAAATCTCAGTTTTACTGTATAATAGATTGAGTGTTGATAGAGATATAAACCACATAAACAAGAGCTCTTTGGGGTCCCCACTGACGTTAAAGAATGAAGGATTTTTCAGTACAACAATTGTGAAAATAACAGCCTTAAATGACAGTCCACTGTTGTTATTACTAGGGCAGGTGGAAGCCACTGCCAGTTGAGAACTCTGTGACTGAGAAACACATTTGTTCCTTGAAACCTTGGTTTCATCATTTGTGGAATTAGGATAATAATGGTGCCGTAATATTAAGTAAATAGTATTACATCTGTAAAGTGCTTACTGAAGTGCCTGCACATAAATAGATATTGATCATTGCTAGAGATCATTTTTGTCATCACATAAATGAGAATTTATTGAATGTCCACTTCATGGCTAACATGAGACTCCTCTTTTGGAGATCAAAGAAGCACATGATGATGAACCAAATTTCCCCAATTAAATACTCATTGAGACAATGAATAGCAACACACACACATTGCTAAGAGAACAATAACAGAAAAACAAGAGAAAAATAAGTTGAGGCACATTTAGCACAAGACACCTTGTAATTATTCTAGGTGTTCAGAGAAGAAAAAGCGACCAGAAAGAGGTTGGAGTAGGCAACATTTCCCTGCTTTTATGGACTTTTGAAAACTTCTGAACTTCTCAAAGAATGGGAGCAATGTGAATATCAGAGAGGAGATAGAAGGGTATTCCAGGAAAGGTCATAGTAGAAGCAAAGAAATCTCCAAGAGAAGTGGCTGCTGGAGAAGAATAAGAGAGACATCATATAAGGGTAAGGGAGTTAAATTAAAGAAATAGATTGAAAAAGTAGGGAGAGGAGATTTAATTTGAAGAGGTGAGTTATAGGTAATTTATGCAGGATCTTGCACAAAGGAACTATATGAGGAAAGTTGTAGTTTTCTTGTTTACAGCAGTGCCCACTCTACAACTTGTTTACAGCCATGTACTCAGAACAATGTACGTTACTAAATGATTTACATGCAGTATTGCTTTTAATCTTATGATCACCTCATGAAGTGCTGTCATGAACATTGAGATTTCCTCCACAAATTTATTCAAATTCTTCCTCTTGATATACCAGCTACATGGTTCGATGGCATTGACTCCCTACTTTTACCACACCCTGAGAGTGGACCTTGATTGCTCTCACGGCGTTTGTTTGATGGTTGTAGGGAATTATAGGCACTCTCCCTTTAGTTGAATAAAGGCACCTTGCAATGATTAGGAGAGTCATGCTGAGGACAATGCAGACACATTGAATATGGTAAAGCTAGGAAAAATGCAGAGCCATAGTTCTGTGATTGATGCCTACATTCACATTTATCAACTAATACAGTCCTTTGTTTAATCTGAGTTGTATTTTCTGTAACCTGCAACTAAAAATATCCTGTCTGATACAAATAGATATTTTCATCTATTTTAAAGTTGCAGAAAGTAAAGCTTAGAGAGATTACGTTAATTGCCTAAGACCTCTAAGCCAGCAAATGTCAGTGCCACGAATTGAACTTGGCTGAATGTAACAGAAAAAACAATGAATTTTTCATTTAAGAATGTTTATCTGTCTAGTAGGACTTCAGCTGAGACTGGCAAATGCACAGCAGGCTAACATGCTAATAAGCACCTGTGGGTTCAGTCAAGTGTCAGCATAATTTGTGATAATGGGGGAGAAGAGAAGAGAAACCTTTGATACACACTTCCTTCGCCTTACTTGCAGGCACCAAATTGCTTGAGCAAATAATTTTACCTTCTTTTCCTGTTTCCCCTCCTATACTATGAAGTTACTCTCCAATGATGACAGATGACATGCTAAGAGTAACACCTAAATAAACATGCAATTCTTTTACACATGTTTAATTTAAAATGGTAATTATGGTGATGATTCCAGATTTTAGAAAGAAAAAAAAGGAAAAGTACAGATTATGTCACTCCTAATCATACATCAGAGAAACCAACATGATATTCCATTTATTTTGTGATTTTGTGGTTTTGCATGTGTGTGGTTTATAATTATGGTAGTGACATATAAATGTACATATTCATTTCTCTATTTGACACTATAAATGTGTGTCTCTTCACTTAGTATATTTGAAAAGAAGATTGTGAGTGTTGCATGATAGTCTGTTCTTTGGTGTAGTAATATTTAAACATATTGAAATGTATTTAACCATTTCTCAATATGTAATAGATTAATTCTAATTTTTTTGAAGTAAAAAAACTGTGTGTGTAACAAATTTTTCTTACACTTAAACACAGATTAGATTCCTACATGAGTAAATATGTGCTATAACTTTTTAAAGGATTTTTTTATATAAAATGCCAAATTACATTTTAGAAAGTTTGGGCCAGTGTAAAATCATGTCAGGAGCGTAATAGCCCATTTTGCTTCACCCTAACCAATATTGAAATTTATCATTCTTTTCATTATTTGTTATTTGCAAGGTAAAAACAAAACAAAAAAAAACCAAACCTAAGAATTCTTGAATTAGTTTTACTTAATAAACCAAAAGAATTAAATTTTTGTTTTCATTAGTGTCACTTATATGATTTATAAATCACACATTTTCCTCTGGCTTTAATATGTAGGTACTTTTTGTTTTTTTAAAAATGTCTTTAAATATTAATATTATCATTAATTTATTCAAACATTATTTCTGGTTTGCTGTTTGCTTTTAATTTGTTTATGCATTTAAGTGTGAACAGTTTCTAAACCCATTCTTAGAAATTGATCACACCATGCTATTTTTCTCTTTCTTATTTATTTAGTTTTTCAAATCCACAAAAAGAAATCCATCAATAACTCTGTGAGATATTTAAGGATATAGTTCTTTTGTTTGGTTAAGGTTACATTTAACTTTTAACCATTTGACATTTAAATTGGTGTTTTGCCAGAAAATGGCCTACTTTTTCATAATCTTCTTCATCCCTATTAAAGGAAATAGAATCGAAATGATGAAGACACGAATGATTTTTGGAAAAGGTGATAAACACATTATTCACTTGTTGACATTCTTCTATCGACATTAGTCAGGTATTATCTATATATGAATGAGGTCTTGTGTTTAAGGAATATGCACTTCAGTAGGATATGATATACATAACTGATTGTGGTGCAAACAAACAAAAAGTTCACAAAAGATAATTAAATACTGTGGTGTAACAAGAAAGAAAAGAGAGAGGAAGGAAGGAAGGTCAGTCAGTCAGGAAGAGGGACAAATAAGAAAATACTATAGTTGTTGGGAGTAGAATCACACAGAAAGTTTCAAACAGACAGAGGGCATCCCTTAATTTGGCCATGGAGAAGGAAAAGAAACAATAGGTAGAGGAATAGTTGAAGTTTTGTAGGCTCAGGGATATCATTAATAAGAATTTATGAAACCTATTTGGGGAATTTTGAGCAGTCAGTTCTACTGCAGTGACAGAAAGTAGTGTACAACAGGCACATTATGACTTTAGGGCCTCAATATGGAGAGCCTGTTAATTTAAGGTTCAAGAATATTCTTTTTAAAATATATTTTTATCAAAATGCAAGTAATGAATTGTTACAAAACATTTTTAAGGGAGTGGTAATAAGAGGGCTCTAAAAGTAAGAAAATAATCCGGTAGAGAAATACGGTTTTCTAGGATGGAGAAGCCTAAAAGTACAGAGACTACTGTAGATAAGTAGTATTGGGTCCCTGAGTTAGGACATGTTCAGGGGAACTGAAAGTGAAGCTTTAAATGAAAGAAAAATGTGGAGGCAACAATCTAAAGAACTTCAAAACTGATAGCACGTGGAGACAGCAAATGAGTCAGAGTTGAACCCAAATTTGTCATATGAAGCATTGATTAGTCACTGGTTTCAGGAACTTAATATGTGCTTGAAATAGCGCGGCTGCAACTTAGGATAGAGACCATGGCTACAGATGTAGATCTGCAAGTCATTAGTATAGATATGTTAGAGCTGGGGAATAGATAACATTTCCTAGAAATGCTAAACAATTTTGGAAAATACTTAAGGAGCTTAAGTTGGAAAAGAAGTCAGTGGAAAAAAACAGAGAAGCCAGTGAAAGGTACAAAAGGAATGGACAGGGAAGTAGGGGCACAACAAGGCAAAGGTTTGGTGCAGCTTGGTGCCAGGAGGTCCAGCAAAATGCCATCAAGAAAGGGCTTTTAGAATTGGTCTTTGGGAAAATATGTAGAGTATTAATATTAAAGAAGCTGGCCAGATGCAGTGGCTCACGCCTGTAATCCCAGCACTTTGGGAGGCCAAGGTGGGTGGATCACTTGAGGTCAGGAGTTCGAGACTAGCTTGGCCAACAAGGTGAAACCCAGTCTCCACTAAAAATACAAAAATTAGCTGGGCGTGGTGGCATACACCTGTAGTCCCAGCTACTTGAGAGGCTGAGGAAGAAGAATTGCTTGAACCCGGGAGGTGGAGTTTGCAGTGAGCCGAGATCCTGCCACTGCACTCCAGCCTGGTGACAGAGCGGAACTCCGTTAAAAAAGAAAAAGAAAAAAAAAAAACTAAATTACTATGCAAACACAAGAATTTCATGGTGGAGGGAGAAGAAATGTGAGCTATTTTAAGCTGTTTTTTTGAAATTTCTATAGCACAGAAAAGAAAAAAAGGCCAAAATAACTTACAGATGCATCCAATTAGAGGAAATGTCCCTTAGGAGGAGAAACAAATAGTTTGATGTTAATGTTTATTTTGTTGTTGCTCTCCATTTGGCATGGAAAACTATTAAAAATATAGAGATGAGTATGAAAAGAAGCTGTCCAAGAGGCCAGTGAAAGATAGGCAAGAACTAATCACACAAGATAAAAAGGTGGTAGTAGATGAAACATAGGTATTTAAAGACAACCAAAAGAGGCAACGCTATATTATATAATATTGACCCAAGAAAGCATATGAGATGTTATTTCGTGAGCATAAAGGGTCCAGAAGTGAAACTGGAGGGTGAAGAAAAGTAGGAAATATTTGTAAGAGTAATCACTGAAAATAAATCCAACATTCAAAAAGAAATAAATAAAAATATGTATTGGTAGTAGGAAGAAGCAGACTATGATGAAAAAATGTAAACTTTTAAGTAGGTACAAAAACAGATCTGTGGATTTACCTAGCAATATAAGAATGGGTTTTATTCTTTGCAGCTGAGGGATAGATAGAGCATATATCCTAGATAGATAGATAGATAGATAAATAGATAGATAGATAGACAGACAGATAGATAGACAGATAGCAAGCATACATCATAGATGCTTTATCATAGATAAAGCATACATCAACAATCTTTATTTCATGTATTTGTTTAGTAACATTTAATGGTCATATATTTAGAACATATTACACACTTCTACTAGATAAGGTGTGAGTAGAGATATAAGAATACATAGGACACAGTTCAAACTATTGAATAATTGAGAGTTTGGAAGGTATGAGAGGCTAATATATGGACATGCACAGTGAAATATACTGAGTGCTTGGATGCAGATATGCTCTGGGATTTTCAGGAAGTTTTTCCATAGGATCATGAGCTGTAAGTCACAAAGAATGAGTAGAAATTACCCAGTGTGATAGGATGGTCTAGGAGTAAAGAACATTCCATACAAATGGAAACATGCAGACAAAGATTCACAGGGCTGAATGAGGACTGAGAGGAGAACTAAATAGAGCTTCATATGTCTTGAACACAGTACACTGTTGGACAATTGATGATGGGCAGATGAGACTGATGGATATTCAAGACTCAAATGGAAAGACTTGGTTTGACATACTAAATATTTGAACATGAAGACAAAAGGAATTTATTGAAGGATTTTAAACAAGTGACCAACATGACATATTTAATATTTCAGAAAGATTACTCTGTGATGGGTTAGTGAAAAAACTGGAGAAGGATATACCATATGTGTTTAACATTAACACAAGTTAAAAAATTATTGCAATAGTCCAAGTGAAATGTGATAAGGGTAAACCTAAATCAATGACAGCAGGAATAAAAAGGGAAAAGATTACAGATATGAGAGCTATCAGGCAGTCAGACTTAATATGAATGATGACTGACTGGATAAGAAAGGTGAGACATGGGAGGAGTCATTCCATTGGAAGAAACTAGTGATACCATCTGAAAATAATAAAAGAGAAGTGAGGAGCATGGAGTATGGAACTAGAGGCATTGTTAATGCAGCAATGGAAAAAGTTGAAGGAGTCTGTGATTCTAGGTAGGACATAGACACACAGTTGAAATAGCAGACCTTGGGATATATGTTAGGGCAAATGAAATAAAAAGATAAATCAGGGAGGCCGAGGTGGGCAGATCAGGAGGTTAGGAGATCGAGACCATCCTGGCTAATATGGTTAAACCTTGTCTCACTAAAAATAGAAAATATTAGCCAGGTGTGGTGGCGGGTGCCTGTAGTCCCAGCTACTTGGGAGGCTGAGGCAGGAGAATGGTGTGAACCCAGGAGGCGGAGCTTGCAGTGAGCAGAGATCGTGCCATTGCACTCCAGCCTGGGCAACAGAGCGAGACTGTCTCAAAAAAAAAAAAAAAAAAAAAAGAGATAAATCCATGGAGCTAGAGGTCAAGGGGGGAACACAAAGGCACTGTATACCAGGAAGTGAAGAAAGTAGAAGGCTAAAATATCTGATTTTCTTACTAGATGGTCTATTTTTAGCCTTTGCTTCTAGGACCATCCATATATTAATGACTCCAGCTCTTATGTCCTCTATCCTGGTTTCTCTCTAAACCTCCAGCATCATGTTTCCAACGTTCTTTTCTTAATTTCTCTATGACAATTTTCAGCAGACACTTTGAACTTAACCCATATCCCAAACTGATCTTGTGTCTATCCAGGAATTATATTGCAAATATTCACAATCAGTATGGTACAAGCTCCTACTCATTGCAATAGGTCTTCAATTAATCAGAATGAACAATAGCAGTAAACAACTGGTGAGCCAGACCAGTGTATGCCAGCTGAATATCAAGTTCTTGCATTTGCACTTTATGTCAATAGCTCTACCATATGGCAGTTTTCAGTTATTGTAAAGACAAATTGTCATTCCTGACAATACAAACACTTGGATAGCAAAAAAAATTAAGTACTTAGTTGGTTAAAATGAATTCCCATTCTATGGGAATGTGCTAGGAGCTAGAATAACTGTTTTTTTTGTTTTTGTTTTTTTTTTTGTTGTTTTTTTTTTTGAGATGGAGTCTTGCTCTGTCACCCAGGCTGGAGTGCAGTGGCACAATCTCGGCTCACTGCAAGCTCCACCTCCTGGGTTCAGGCCATTCTTCTGCCTCAGCCTCCCAAGTAGCTGAGACTACAGGCACCTGCCACCATGCCCACCTAATTTTTTGTATTTTTAATAGAGATGGGGTGTCACCGTGTTAGCCAGGATGGTCTCGACCTCCTGACCTCGTGATCCGCCCGCCTTGGCCTCCCAAAGTGCTGGGATTACAGGTGTCAGCCACTGCGCCCGGCCCTAACTGTGGTATTTTTTTAATAATCAGAAGAAAATAGAGCATAGTTTTAAAGTGTATATCAAATTTAGATATATAAGGGGCAAGGATATATATTTCAAAGGAGAAAAATGACACCTTAATGTTCTAAAATAGTTGTCGATTCAGTTTTCTTTAATTGGTATTCATTATTGATGATATCTGTCATTGAGTAGTAAAGGTAGATTAAAATGACAGCCCACAAAGAGCAAGAGGAAAGGCTTTCTTGTGTCAGATAATTCTGAAACTATTTTCTATTTAAGATCCAGGATCTAAAAACTGAGATCTAAAAACTGATAATTCTCCCTATGACATTGGGCTTTAATAATTTCTTCACATACTAACTTATTAACTTTTTGTTCCAACTCTAGTCATGGTTTTCTCATATATCACAGAACCATTACAAACAAGTAATAGTTGATTTGCTAAGATATTAAAGTATGAAGTAAAGCTTTCCTAATTTTCAACCCACTTAGCTTTGTTTTATGGAAAACTCAAGCCTATTACATTTTATTTAATATTCTTAGCCTAAAATACTTTATAGATTTTGTGCCTGGGTAAAACAAAAGAAAAACTGTTTTAAGAAATTCTTCATTTGACCTCAAAATAAACTCAATAATAAATTACAAAAATATGTCATTTTTGGACTAAAGTCAACAATATAATAAGCCTGGTTTATCCATTGGCTTTGAGTCACAGAAAGTCCCTTGATAATGTGTGACAAAGTATTAAACTTTAACAATCAAAACAGAGTTTCTGTTGAGGAATAGAACTTTCTCAGTGGACATTATATTGATTTTCATTATTTTTACAGGCAGAAAAGAAAAAAGGAAGATGGTGATTGCTAATAGTAAGAGTTATACTGACATGACTATATATAAAATATTGTGGAAGAATTCTGCCCTTTCTACTAAGAATCCCATTAAATACTCTCATTACTTTCTTTATCATGTAGATTATAGTGATATAAAGAATGGGTAATTTGACAGTTTTCTAATTATGCAGTGTCCTTTTTTTTTTTTTTTTTTAGAGTTTCTCGCTCAGAGTTGCCCAGGCTGGAATGCAGTGGCGCGATCTCAGTTCACTGCAACCTCCAACCCCCGGGTTAAGTGACTCTCATGCCCCAGCCTCCCGTGGGACTACAGGTGCATGCCACCATGCCCAGCTAATTTTTTACTTTTAGTAGAGATAGAGTTTTCCTATGTTGCTCAGGCTGGTCTTGAACTCCTGAGCTCAGATGATCCGCCCGCCTAGGTCTCCCAAAGTGTTCGGATTACAGGCGTGAGCCACCGTGCCCCGCCTTGTCTTGTAAATTTTAATAGTTAATTTATGTTTATTTCATTTATTGAGAAGTTAGTGGGGTCTTCTGAATTTGGCATGCACCATCCATAATTATCTGCTGTTCCTGGGCACTTATATAAATGAGGTGAATGGTGGCAATAGTGACCTAAAGCAGGAAGTCCAGATAACCATGCTGGAGAAGATTCTGTTGTACAATGTAAATGAAGCTGGCAGACCATCAAGTACTAATGAGCCTAGAACTATTTGCACAATATTATGGAAAGGCCCTAAAACTGAGTGTTCTCTACTATGTAGTTGTAATGAAGGAATTTCCACTTCTGTGGCCAAAACACTAGGAAAATCTATTAGAATATACAAAACAAAGGTCTTCAGAAGTTGAACCACATACAGTACAGTATTGTGATTCCTAAGATAAAACATGAGATTAGCCATAGGGCTGCCCAGTTTACTTCTTGGAGGTAGTTTCCTAACTGCAATGCAGGAAAGGGGAATCCGAACAGAGCCAGGTGGAGTTTTTCCATTTAGAAAATATGATTTGAGTTCAGGGATCCCAAAGCGGCTCAAATATGTAGAGCAGGCTACTGTAGAGGAATGAACTTCTTGGAAAGACAGTTGTGGAGATCTGAAAGTCCCCACTTGAATCCTTAAATGCATATTAAATTGCAATTGTGTGAGAGGAAACAGCCACTAGAATAGAGCAGACAGGACCCTTTTCAGCACTCAAATAGGGCTGGGAATAGTTTATGTGTTTACCAATCGTAGGAACAAGAACTCATAATACAAGAACATTAGGTAAAAATTATCAGATAAGTGTTGGATTAATTGTGGGAAAAAGTTAGTCTGAAATTAAAAGCATTCTTAACTAACCTGAGAAAAAATTAACAGCCAGTCTTGGAAGGACCAAACTAATTTCAAGTAGCTTAACTACACACCATAACAAAATGAATTGTATTTAATGGAATACAACAGAGCCCAGCACTCAGGGTGCAAAAATTTTAAATACCCAGAATCCAATAAAAATTTAAAGGCATGAAAAGACTTAGAACAATTTAACACTATAATTAAAAGGAAATAATTCAATAAAATTGATTCAGAAATGGCAAAGATGATAAAATTAAGTGACAACAGTGAGAAAAACAGCTACTATACAAATGTTCCATATATTCAAGAGAGCAGGGGGAACCATAAACGTGATAAAGTAGAAGGAAAAAGTTTAAAAGAAGTCCAAAATAAAATTACGTGTGGAGAAAAGTAAATAAACAACTTTAAAATATATTAATTGACATGACGAAACCCTGTCCCTACTAAAAATACAAAAATATTAGCCGGGCTTGGTGGCAGGTGCCTGTAGTCCCAGCTACTTAGGAGGCTGAGACAGGACAAGTGCTTGAACCTAGGAGGCAGAGGTTATAGTGAGCTGAGATCATGCCATTACACTCCAGTATGGGTGACAGAGTGAGACTCCATCTCAAAAAATATGTATATAAATATAAAATATATTTGGATATATGATGTATAATTTTATATTGCAATATATTTACAATATAATATATAATTATATATTATAGTAATCTCATATTATAGTAATCTATACTATATTATAATATATAATTACATATCATATTTATATATTGTATATAGGTATATATTATGTATTATATATAATATATAATTATATATTATATATTACATATAATTATAATATATGATTATATATCATGTTACATATTATAATATATATTATGTATTACTATTATATATTATATATATTTTTTTTATTTTTATTTTTTTAATTATACTTTAAGTTTTAGGGTACATGTGCACATTGTGCAGGTTAGTTACATATGTATACATGTGCCATGCTGGTGCGCTGCACCCACTAACGTGTCATCTAGCATTAGGTATATCTCCCGATGCTATCCCTCCCCCCTCCCCCGACCCCACCACAGTCCCCAGAGTGTGATATTCCCCTTCCTGTGTCCATGTGATCTCATTGTTCAATTCCCACCTATGAGTGAGAATATGCGGTGCTTGGTTTTTCGTTCTTGCGATAGTTTACTGAGAATGATGGTTTCCAATTTCATCCATGTCCCTACAAAGGACATGAACTCATCATTTTTTATGGCTGCATAGTATTCCATGGTGTATATGTGCCACATTTTCTTAATCCAGTCTATCATTGTTGGACATTTGGGTTGGTTCCAAGTCTTTGCTATTGTGAATAATGCCGCAATAAACATACATGTGCATGTGTCTTTATAGCAGCATGATTTATAGTCATTTGGGTATATACCCAGTAATGGGATGGCTGGGTCAAATGGTATTTCTAGTTCTAGATCCCTGAGGAATCGCCACACTGACTTCCACAATGGTTGAACTAGTTTACAGTCCCACCAACAGTGTAAAAGTGTTCCTATTTCTCCACATCCTCTCCAGCACCTGTTGTTTCCTGACTTTTTAATGATTGCCATTCTAACTGGTGTGAGATGATATCTCATAGTGGTTTTGATTTGCATTTCTCTGATGGCCAGTGATGATGAGCATTTCTTCATGTGTTTTTTGGCTGCATAAATGTCTTCTTTTGAGAAGTGTCTGTTCATGTCCTTCGCCCACTTTTTGATGGGGTTGTTTGTTTTTTTCTTGTAAATGTGTTTGAGTTCATTGTAGATTCTGGATATTAGCCCTTTGTCAGATGAGTAGGTTGCGAAAATTTTCTCCCATGTTGTAGGTTGCCTGTTCACTCTGATGGTAGTTTCTTTTGCTGTGCAGAAGCTCTTTAGTTTAATTAGATCCCATTTGTCAATTTTGGCTTTTGTTGCCATTGCTTTTGGTGTTTTAGACATGAAGTCCTTGCCCACGCCTATGTCCTGAATGGTAATGCCTAGGTTTTCTTCTAGGGTTTTTATGGTTTTAGGTCTAACGTTTAAATCTTTAATCCATCTTGAATTGATTTTTGTATAAGGTGTAAGGAAGGGATCCAGTTTCAGCTTTCTACATATGGCTAGCCAGTTTTCCCAGCACCATTCATTAAATAGGGAATCCTTTCCCCATTGCTTGTTTTTCTCAGGTTTGTCAAAGATCAGATAGTTGTAGATATGCGGCATTATTTCTGAAGGCTCTGTTCTGTTCCATTGATCTATATCTCTGTTTTTGTACCAGTACCATGCTGTTTTGGTTACTGTAGCCTTGTAGTATGGTTTGAAGTCAGGTAGTGTGATGCCTCCAGCTTTGTTCTTTTGGCTTAGGATTGACTTGGCGATGCGGGCTCTTTTTTGGTTCCATATGAACTTTAAAGTAGTTTTTTCCAATTCTGTGAAGAAAGTCATTGGTAGCTTGATGGGGATGGCATTGAATCTGTAAATTACCTTGGGCAGTATGCCCATTTTCACGATATTGATTCTTCCTACCCATGAGCATGGAATATTCTTCCATTTGTTAGTGTCCTCTTTTATTTCCTTGAGCAGTGGTTTGTAGTTCTCCTTGAAGAGGTCCTTCACATCCCTTGTAAGTTGGATTCCTAGGTGTTTTATTCTCTTTGAAGCAATTGTGAATGGGAGTTCACTCATGATTTGGCTCTCTGTTTGTCTGTTGTTGGTGTATAAGAATGCTTGTGATTTTTGTACATTGATTTTGTATCCTGAGACTTTGCTGAAGTTGCTTATCAGCTTAAGGAGATTTTGGGCTGAGACGATGGGGTTTTCTAGATAAACAATCATGTCGTCTGCAAACAGGGACAATTTGACTTCCTCTTTTCCTAATTGAATACCCTTTATTTCCTTCTCCTGCCTGATTGCCCTGGCCAGAACTTCCAACACTATGTTGAATAGGAGCGGTGAGAGAGGGCATCCCTGTCTTGTGCCAGTTTTCAAAGGGAATGCTTCCAGTTTTTGCCCATTCAGTATGATATTGGCTGTGGGTTTGTCATAGATAGCTCTTATTATTTTGAAATACGTCCCATCAATACCTAATTTATTGAGAGTTTTTAGCATGAAGGTTTGTTGAATTTTGTCAAAGGCTTTTTCTGCATCTATTGAGATAATCATGTGGTTTTTGTCTTAGGCTCTGTTTATATGCTGGATTACATTTATTGATTTGCGTATATTGAACCAGCCTTGCATCCCAGGGATGAAGCCCATTTGATCATGGTGGATAAGCTTTTTGATGTGCTGCTGGATTCGGTTTGCCAGTATTTTATTGAGGATTTTTGCATCAATGTTCATCAAGGATATTGGTCTAAAATTCTCTTTTTTGGTTGTGTCTCTGCCCGGCTTTGGTATCAGAATGATGCTGGCCTCATAAAATGAGTTAGGGAGGATTCCCTCTTTTTCTATTGATTGGAATAGTTTCAGAAGGAATGGTACCAGTTCCTCCTTGTACCTCTGGTAGAATTCAGCTGTGAATCCATCTGGTCCTGGGCTCTTTCTGGTTGGTAAACTATTGATTATTGCCACAATTTCAGAGCCTGTTATTGGTCTATTCAGAGATTCAACTTCTTCCTGGTTTAGTCTTGGGAGAGTGTATGTGTCGAGGAATGTATCCATTTCTTCTAGATTTTCTAGTTTATTTGCATAGAGGTGTTTGTAGTATTCTCTGATGGTAGTTTGTATTTCTGTGGGATCGGTGGTGATATCCCCTTTATCATTTTTTATTGCGTCTATTTGATTCTTCTCTCTTTTTTTCTTTATTAGTCTTGCTAGCGGTCTATCAATTTTGTTGATCCTTTCAAAAAACCAGCTCCTGGATTCATTGATTTTTTGAAGGGTTTTTTGTGTCTCTATTTCCTTCAGTTCTGCTCTGATTTTAGTTATTTCTTGCCTTCTGCTAGCTTTTGAATATGTTTGCTCTTGCTTTTCTAGTTCTTTTAATTGTGATGTTAGGGTGTCAATTTTGGATCTTTCCTGCTTTCTCTTGTAGGCATTTAGTGCTATAAATTTCCCTCTACACACTGCTTTGAATGTGTCCCAGAGATTCTGGTATGTGGTGTCTTTGTTCTCGTTGGTTTCAAAGAACATCTTTATTTCTGCCTTCATTTCGTTATGTACCCAGTAGTCATTCAGGAGCAGGTTGTTCAGTTTCCATGTAGTTGAGCGGCTTTGAGTGAGATTCTTAATCCTGAATTCTAGTTTGATTGCACTGTGGTCTGAGAGATAGTTTGTTATAATTTCTGTTCTTTTACATTTGCTGAGGAGAGCTTTACTTCCAACTATGTGGTCAATTTTGGAATAGGTGTGGTGTGGTGCTGAAAAAAATGTATATTCTGTTGATTTGGGGTGGAGAGTTCTGTAGATGTCTATTAGGTCCGCTTGGTGCAGAGCTGAGTTCAATTCCTGGGTATCCTTGTTGACTTTCTGTCTCATGGATCTGTCTAATGTTGACAGTGGGGTGTTAAAGTCTCCCATTATTAATGTGTGGGAGTCTAAGTCTCTTTGTAGCTCACTCAGGACTTGCTTTATGAATCTGGGTGCTCCTGTATTGGGTGCATAAATATTTAGGATAGTTAGCTCCTCTTGTTGAATTGATCCCTTTACCATTATGTAATGGCCTTCTTTGTCTCTTTTGATCTTTGTTGGTTTAAAGTCTGTTTTATCAGAGACTAGGATTGCAACCCCTGCCTTTTTTTGTTTTCCATTGGCTTGGTAGATCTTCCTCCATCCTTTTATTTTGAGCCTATGTGTGTCTCTGCACGTGAGATGGGTTTCCTGAATACAGCACACTGATGGGTCTTGACTCTTTATCCAACTTGCCAGTCTGTGTCTTTTAATTGCAGAATTTAGTCCATTTATATTTAAAGTTAATATTGTTATGTGTGAATTTGATCCTGTCATTATGATGTTAGCTGGTGATTTTGCTCGTTAGTTGATGCAGTTTCTTCCTAGTCTCGATGGTCTTTATATTTTGGCATGATTTTGCAGCGGCTGGTACCGGTTGTTCCTTTCCATGTTTAGCGCTTCCTTCAGGAGCTCTTTTAGGGCAGGCCTGGTGGTGACAAAATCTCTCAGCATTTGCTTGTCTATAAAGTATTTTATTTCTCCTTCACTTATGAAGCTTAGTTTGGCTGGATATGAAATTCTGGGTTGAAAATTCTTTTCTTTAAGAATGTTGAATATTGGCCCCCACTCTCTTCTGGCTTGTAGGGTTTCTGCCAAGAGATCCGCTGTTAGTCTGATGGGCTTTCCTTTGAGGGTAACCAGACCTTTCTCTCTGGCTGCCCTTAACATTTTTTCCTTCATTTCAACTTTGGTGAATCTGACAATTATGTGTCTTGGAGTTGCTCTTCTCGAGGAGTATCTTTGTGGCGTTCTCTGTATTTCCTGAATCTGAACGTTGGCCTGCCTTGCTAGATTGGGGAAGTTCTCCTGGATAATATCCTGCAGAGTGTTTTCCAACTTGGTTCCATTCTCCACATCACTTTCAGGTACACCAACCAGACGTAGATTTGGTCTTTTCACATAGTCCCATATTTCTTGGAGGCTTTGCTCATTTCTTTTTATTCTTTTTTCTCTAAACTTCCCTTCTCGCTTCATTTCATTCATTTCATCTTCCATTGCTGATACCCTTTCTTCCAGTTGATCGCATCGGCTCCTGAGGCTTCTGCATTCTTCACGTAGTTCTCGAGCCTTGGTTTTCAGCTCCATCAGCTCCTTTAAGCACTTCTCTGTATTGGTTATTCTAGTTATACATTCTTCTAAATTTTTTTCAAAGTTTTCAACTTCTTTGCCTTTGGTTTGAATGTCCTCCCGTAGCTCAGAGTAATTTGATCGTCTGAAGCCTTCTCTCAGCTCGTCAAAATCATTCTCCATCCAGCTTTGTTCCGTTGCTGATGAGGAACTGCGTTCCTTTGGAGGAGGAGAGGCACTCTGCGTTTTAGAGTTTCCAGTTTTTCTGTTCTGTTTTTTCCCCATCTTTGTGGTTTTATCTACTTTTGGTCTTTGATGATGGTGATGTACAGATGGGTTTTCGGTGTAGATGTCCTTTCTGGTTGTTAGTTTTCCTTCTAACAGACAGGACCCTCAGCTGCAGGTCTGTTGGAGTACCCTGCCCTGTGAGGTGTCAGTGTGCCCCTGCTGGGGGGTGCCTCCTAGTTAGGCTGCTCGGGGGTCAGGGGTCAGGGACCCACTTGAGGAGGCAGTCTGCCCGTTCTCAGATCTCCAGCTGCGTGCTGGGAGAACCACTGCTCTCTTCAAAGCTGTCAGACAGGGACACTTAAGTCTGCAGAGGTTACTGCTGTCTTTTTGTTTGTCTGTGCCCTGCCCCCAGAGGTGGAGCCTACAGAGGCAGGCAGGCCTCCTTGAGCTGTGGTGGGCTCCACCCAGTTCGAGCTTCCGGGCTGCTTTGTTTACCTAAGCAAGCCTGGGCAATGGCGGGCGCCCCTCCCCCAGCCTCGTTGCCGCCTTGCAGTTTGATCTCAGACTGCTGTGCTAGCAATCAGTGAGATTTCCGTGGGCGTAGGACCCTCTGAGCCAGGTGTGGGATATAGTCTCGTGGTGCGCCGTTTTTTAAGCCGGTCTGAAAAGCGCAATATTTGGGTGAGAGTGACCCGATTTTCCAGGTGCGTCCGTCACCCCTTTCTTTGACTCGGAAAGGGAACTCCCTGACCCCTTGCGCTTCCCAGGTGAGGCAATGCCTCGCCCTGCTTCGGCTCGCGCACGGTGGGCGCACACACTGGCCTGCGCCCACTGTCTGGCACTCCCTAGTGAGATGAACCCGGTACCTCAGATGGAAATGCAGAAATCACCTGGCTTCTGCGTCGCTCACGCTAGGAGCTGTAGACCGGAGCTGTTCCTATTCCTATATATTATATTTAATATATTTTAATATATAATATATTACTGTAATATAATTTATAATATATTTAATATATTATAATGTATTATGTAATTATATATTATATTATAATATATTATGTAATTATATTATAATATACTATGTAATTATATTATAATATATTATGTAATTATATATTTTATAATATATTATGTAATTATATATTTTATAATATATTATGTAATTATATATTTTATAATATATTATGTAATTATATATTTTATAATATATTATGTAATTATATATTTTATAATATATTACGTAATTATATATTTTATCATAATTATAATATAATGTATTATATATATTATAAATATATTTTATATATACGTATTTTCTGAGATGGAGTCTTGCTCTGTCACCCAGGCTGGAGTACAGTGGCATGGTCTCAGCTCACTGCAAACTCTGACTCCTGGGTTTTATTTATTTTTATATTATATATATATATGTATCTTTTATTTATTATATTATATTACATATCCATTATAGATAATGATATATTATGATATATAATAAATATATTTTATGTTTATGTTTTATATCTTATATATAATAAATGTATATAATTATTATATATTATAAATAATATATAATTATATGTATTTATATAATATTTAACTATATACTATGAACATATAAGAATATATTCTATAATATATCACATAAGTATATATTTTCATATATTTTATATATAAATATTTCTATATTATATATTTTTAAAATATATATATTTTATGTATAAGAAATATATTTATATAGTATTATTATATACTTGTATATTATGTATAATATATAACATATTATAATATATAATAAACATATTTATATTAGTATATATTTATATATATTATATATATTAATTGAGAGATAACAGAAGATGAACTATATAGAGGAAACTGATTCTTCCTGTTTTGTTTTATCTAAGTTTTCCCCAGACACCAAGGGCAAGTAAGGAAATTTTTTTTTTTAAGAAATTCACAATACACCAGTAGAAAGTGTAAAATTAATTACAGATTAAAAATATAAGGAAGTGATCCAAGCATCGGTAAATCTTGAGACAACAGCATGTGTCATAATATACATGAAATAGAGGAACCAGAAAATTGGGGAATACAGTAAAAACACTCATAGAAACAATGGTTATTTTGTGATGAACATGATAAAGCAGGATTGGCACAGTGCTAACTGCAGGCCAAATTCAGTGTGAAGCCTACTGTGTATGGCTTTTTAGCTATAAATTAACTTTACACTTTTGTTGGGAAGAAAATGTACACTTTTTTATGTGTACAGAGACACGATGTGGCTACAAAACCCAAAATAGATACTATTTTGTCCATTACACAAAGAGTTTGCTAGTCACTGTGATTAGCTAATCACTAGTCACTAGTACCAATTTAAAGGATAAAATGAACCACGAACAAAATAAAAATAAAGAAAAACATGCCAAGAAAACTTGTAATCTAATTGACAAAAATTAATAAAAATAAGAAACTCTTCAGACAGCTAGATTAAAAATGAAGAATTATCTGCAGATGACTAAACGTAAGAAAGATAGAATTTCTTCCAAAATGATTTAAACCAAGAAGATATTTGTTAATATGCTGATGGAATAACAAAACAAAATAAAATATGTCAACTGAACATTTTATACCAGGTGGAAATGTCTTTTAAAAATAAAGAAACAGTAACATTTGTAAAGAAAAAAAATAGCTGGAAGAATTTGTTGCCAGCAAGTCTGCACTACAAGAAATGTTAAATTAAGTTCTTGACACAGAAGAGAAATAATAACAGGTGTAATTTGAATCTACACAAATAACACTGGAATACTAAATGCACAGATAAATATAAAATATTTTTCTCAGTTTATTATCAACTTCTTAAAAGATTATGGTAATAACATGTGTTGTAAATGTCTAATGTATCTGTGATAGACTGGATGATATCACAAAGTATGGAAAACATAAAGAGAAGTAGTCTGTAGATGTGTATAGCTTACATTACCAAGAAAAATGTATAATATATTTGGCTGCAGACTTTGACAAGTTAAAACTGTGGTGTACTTTTGTACACCCTAGAGTCAGTACTAAAAGTTTGTGTGTGTTGTGTGTATACATATGTAGATGAGTGTGTAAGTATGCACATGATATGAATAAGAAAACAAATTGTGGAGGTAAAATTAAATAATTTTTGAAAAACAAACACTATAGTCAATACAACAAAAAACTGGAAGAGAAAGGAAATAAGAATACATGGGACAAACTGCAAAATGTAAATATAACCAATACTTATTGATTAAAAACCAATTAAATGTAAAAATCACCAATACAAAAAATGAAAAAGAAGCTATCGCAACAAACTTTACACATACTAAAAGGACAATAAGGGAATATTACAAACACATGGGTATCTGTAGCGTGACAAATTATGTAAAGTGGCAAATTATTTGAAAGCCACAAACTACTAATGTTTCTTCTAAAAACAATTGAAATATTTAATAGTATGCACCATATTTATATCTGAGGGAGAGAAAGAAAGATATTAAATAAATGAAATTTGTAGTTAAAAGCCTCCCAACAAAGAAAACCCCAGAGCTAAATGGCTTCTCTTGAAAATACCAACCCTATTAGAACTCTTCCAAAGAATGAAAGAGAGAAAATATTCTAATTTATTTGATGGGGCCAAGTTCTACTTAATACCAAACCAGACAAAAACATTACAAGAAAAGAAAATCACACACCAATCTCCCTCATAAATATAGGAACACAAACCCTCAACAAAATAGTAGCAAATTTTATCTAGCAATACATTAAAAAAAATATTATGACCTAGTCATATTTATCCTGAAAATTCAAGGTTGATTTAACATCTAATAAAGATCAATGTGATTCTCCATAGCAACATAATAAAAAAGAAAAATCAACCATCTAAAAAGATGATATAAAACATTTGAAAAGAGTTAACATCCATAGTCATGGTGAAAAGCCTCAGCAAACTAAGATAGCAGGACATCACCTCTGATTAATAAAAGACTTCTACACAATATCTACAGCTATCATATTTAATTAACATTCCTGCTGAATAGTAATGAATATTTGTTCTTGAAGTTGGGGAAAAACATTAAGTGTTTAACATATTTAATTAATATATTTAATTGTTAAACACTTAATGTTTTTCCCCAACTTCAGGAAGAAAGAAAATATGTTCACATTTTGCTATTCGATATGATTCAGCAGGACTTATCATCTCAATAATGCAAGAAATATACATAAAAATTGGTAAGAAAGAAATATAATTGTCTTCAGAATAACGTGATGGTGTAGAAAATCCCAAAGGATCTAGCAAAAATTCTGTAGAGTGCAGTAAGAAACATATTGTGGCTGTAAGATTAATGATCGCCATAAAGCCTGTTTAGATATCTCACTGGGCCTACACTATGTGTCACTTAGCAACATCATGCAACCTGGCCTGGGAATTACAGGGCCTCTATAATAATGGGACCTAAAAACCTTGGTTATCCTAGAGACAAGGCTTCCTCAACATGAATGAAACTTTTATGAGCCTTAAAACAAAGCTTACCTTTACAAGAAAAGATTAACTTCTTTTTATGAGAGAAACACCTGGTAACTGATCTGGCCTAAATACAGGTATAAGAAAGGTGGAAGAATCTTTCAAACTCTAAGAAGAGTCTTCTGACTGAAACCCTCCTGGTCAGGAGGTCATCCGACCCCTGACTGTACTTGGCTCATGCCACAGGTCTACTCCTAGTATCCATCTTGTAGGAGCACTGACAGGATAAACTGCTTAAACATCGGACGGTGGCTAAGATTCATCTTTGATGTGAATTGGACGGAAGGGGAAAAGTCCATGAGGAAGCTGGTTAACCAGAATCACTCAAGAGCTCTGAGTGTGGCAATAGTTATCAGACCTAGAAAGTCAGTTTAGCAAGGTCAAAAGGCACAAGTCAATGGAAACAAATCTGTTGTATTTCTTTATACTAGCAATAACAATTGGACACTAAAAGTTAAAAAGAATCACTTATAATATTACAGAAATTCATGGAATACCTAAATAATATGAAATGCATGTATATCTAAGCAAATATGTGTAAGATTTATATGCTGAAAAAAACACTGATTTTAAAAATCAAATATGGCCTAGATAAACAAACCCATATTCTGTGCTTATGGGCTATAAAAATCAATATTATTAAGATATTAATTCTCCTGACTCTGATAATGCAATCATGATAAAAAAAAATTACTGCAGGATTTTCGTAGGTATCAAAAAGCCATTTCTAAATTTTATATGGAAAGGCAAAGTATGTAGAATAGCCAAAATAATTTTGTAAAGGAAGAACAAAGTCAGGGAACACAATTTACTTACAATCTATTCTAACTAAGTGATTTCTAAGATGCCCCTAATGGTCGCAGGAGTGAAGCCGTTGAAAACCTAGGGGATTCTAAGCAAGGATAATGATTGACATGGTAGGACTGCATTATGTAGGTTGAAGGGCCTTATTCACTAGAGGTGCACTGCTAATTTTGGATTGTGAGCATCTGCCTTGGCCCTAGCCTAGTTCACTGCTTACCTGTGTCCTTCTGGACCTCAGTGCTTTCACTCTGGCCCATGAGTCAGTAACAGGTTGTCAGGCACTGCAGACACCTTGCAGTTTACCAATGAAGCTGTGCTTATTTGGGCCCTTCCTTTTGGCTTTCCACACACTTCTCTTCCTCAGCTGGTAGATTTCTACTATCATTCAAGGCACAGATCAAATATCTCAAATTATTCTTACTTTCTTTCCATTTAACACAAACTTCCCCATCACGTCTAGCTTCTGGTGAGACCCTGGGACTGAAACTCAGTTGATCAGTTTCAGTGCTTCACAGCTATGAAGCCCAGTGGACCCAAAAGTGAGACCAATTGCAAAGGTTCCCATCCTCCCTGTGTGTCTTAACACTGGATCTACATACGTTATTAGAAACTAATGGTGCATTTCATGTTCTCCAATTTCCCTGTACTAATGGTCTGCTTTAGGAGCAATTCAGGAAATTAGAAAGAATCACAATGCAGAATATTCTCATTCCTCAACAGCTTTTATGTTATCAGGGAAATTTAGCTCTACCCTTCAAAGAAACAAGATAAAACAAAATCTCAGAGGATCTGAGAATGTGGTTGTGTTTGTGTGTGTGTGTGTGTGTGTGTGTGTGTGTACGCACACAATTTTTTTTCTCATCTTAGTGTCTGCCAAATATAAATACATTCCCAGGTTACCAGGTCCAAGTTTAGATGCTTAATCATTTCCTTTTTGCATGTAAAATGTCATAACACATTCATAAACTTGAAAAATAAAGTCCCAAATTTAAAAATGCAACTTTCAATTTTCCCCTTAATGACTTTGCTTTTTACTTCTATATACATCTCATTCAGAGTAGGAAACAATGGAATACTGCTCTTTTGTTTGTTTTTTTAGATGGTCAGTACAAGTGCTTGGATGTAATAACAAATACACTCTTTTGGTACCAAGAAATAGCTGTTAATTTATCAACTCTGCATTATTTATTATGCTTAATACCAGTGCCATGGACCTTCATACCTGGAATTTAGTAAAACAATGGAAAAAAGGTATGGATTCAAATCTGGGAAATGCATTATGTGCTCAGGGCTAAGAAATAGTAGGATATGCTATTCTAAACTTACACATAGGACACAATGATCTGTTAGCAGGTAAACCAATTAATCACCAGATTGCCTCATTTTTACTGATTTTTATTCCTATCACTCCAACCTCTTCATGAGCATCATCTTCTATTATTCTTGCATACTTTATGTCAATCCATTTTTTCACCTTTATTCTAACTTCACATTTATCTTTCAGTTAGTGTAGAAACTAGATTTGTACTTGTATTAGGTTCCAGACACTCTTGGAGATTTTCAAACACGGAGAGCCTGAAAATTTACTTCAAAGATCTCACAACATGGTGGTAGAACTGGACACAACACGTGCACATTAAACAATTGATGGATAATTTACAAAGCAACTGTCAACAAAACAAAATAAGGCACTTGAATACATAAGTATGCCAATTAATTGTGACTTTGTGCTATTCTTGTTACATTGTTCCATCATCATGTTATTCCATTCAGAGCATAACGTTTTCAAGTAGTGGGGATAATGATATCTTGCAGAGACACATGTGGCTTATCTCAATAATAATTATGTCATTGTTTCTTTTATTCGTACAGTAAATGATTATTAAAACAAATCCTTAATGAGTTGAAACTCATAGTAATTCATCTCCAGTTTCATCTCACGCAGAGCTCTAAAGATTCATGAATAGTGATGGGCTAGAGTTTTTACCATGCTTAGTGATTCCTTCGATAGAAGATGTTATTTTAATATAAGATTACTATAATGAACCACCTCCTGAGTATCAACAGACATTCACAGACTCACAGGCACAGGTAATGACGGAAATGTACCATAATGAATATTTTGTATTAGAGTTTAATTACCAAGGCAGGAACTTGGTCTTTGATGATTTTTTAATAGAAGGTAGAATGTTTTTCTAATTTAGCATTTTTCAGTTAAAAAAGCTCATTAACCACAACATTCCATAGTGTAAAAGATCATCCATGTGAGATAAGGGTTAAAGATATGAGAACTACATTTTTAATAAAAGCCATTGTTAGACTGTTACATTTTTCCTTGATGCTGATGTTTCTCTCACACAATAGATGGTGCCTCATGCCAATCTGTCCTAACTGTGCGGTAGAATACTAACCCTTATTGCCTCCCCCAAACATAGGAAGACTTGGCATCACTGTACTTTGTACTAGGGCTGTTTTGGTTGCTGCCAACTTTGAGAGATGAAATTAATCTAAGAAAACTGAAGCTGAGTCTAGTGCCTCAAGGACGTAGAGAATTTATTACTTTGAATACAAATCTCTAGGTCCTTGTGTTACCAGTGGAGGGTCTTGACTAGGAGTTCTCCGGGTCCTTGGCATTTTGAATAAAGGATTGAACAGAACGCACAAAGGCAGAGGAATGAAATGCAGCAATGAAGCAGCGAAAGCAGAGATTTATGAAAATGAGAGAGCACTCTACAGGGTGGGAGTGGGCCCGAGCAAGGGGCTCAAGGGCCGCACTGCAAAGTTTTCTGGGCTTTAAGTACGCCTTGTGAGGCTCTTATCCCCTACTCCTTATCTGGATGAAGGATTTGTCTGTGACTAATTAAACCCTGAGGGGAATTGGCACCCTATGCAGATAAAGGGATGGTCCCTGCTTGGACCATGGCCAATTGAAGGCACTCTCCCTTTCCACCTGAGACATAGTGGAAGGAGGAGGGTTGTAGGGAGAGTAGCCTTTGATCCTTTGTTACTTGGAGTGGGGAGATGGGGGTTTTCCTTCTGCTTTAGCTTTAGGAAGTTTGTGTTAATTGGCTTAAGTTCTCTGCCTCCAGACCCTAATCTCCTGCCTCACTTGAGATTTGACATTATGACCCACAGGAAAGTGATCTAACCCTCTCCACAAGGAAAGTCTCAATGCCCTGGACTATTGGATATCTGTCTGTCTGTCTGTCTGTCTGTCTGTCTATCTATCTATCTATCTATCTATCTATCTCCTGTATCTGATTCTGTGGAAAAAAATGATATTGTATATAGAAAGGAGATGAAGCATGAGTTAGTTACAAGATAAAATAAAGGAAGAGGAGGATGAACAGAAGAATGGAAATAAAGTGGGAGCAAAAGGAGAAAATGCTTAGCAGGAGCAGATGTTAGTTACTAAAGTGTCAGCAAAGTACAGTCAGGGATCTTTGCTGCATGAACTCTGCTTTCATTCATTCTTCAGAAAAAATTTACAGGAAACTCAAGGTATTAGAATTTCATTAAGGATGACTTTCTTTCTATTTCATTTCTTCCTTCATTGATGCTATTAATGTTATCATTAAATTGAAAATAAAATATATTTCCACCCTATTAGACTTGTTTTAATGTTTCCTAGACACAGTCTTTGAATATTTGATGATAAGAAATAAATAAGTGCTATCTGGAGAGATTTTCCTCAAAATGAAGAAAATGGCAGGGGTATATTTATAATTATGAAGACATGCCCAATATAATTTAAATATCCAAGAGAGGTATAATTTTATAATTCTATATGATGAGGAGTTATTAGAAATAATTATCCCTTTAATAATCACTAGTTATTTTATGGAGATGGATTGAGAAATTTATCTGGAGGATTTGCTTTAAAATGGCCAGATTCAAAGCAGCTATAAAATGATTTTTGGAGGCTAGTTGCAATTGGAGCTCATTCAACCAGTCCATTTCCATTATAATGAGATTTGTTTTTAAGTAAGGTGGGGAGGAAAAGGACCTGTTACCATAAGTCACCTGATCCAGCAATTGCCTATTGTTCAATGGTGCATTATTATCTATGGTAAAGCCTAAAGGGTTTTGGTGAGACTGCTTTGAAGTAGATATCTAAGGAGGCACAATGATCTCAGTGTCCCTTCTCTCCACCCAATCTTATATTTAGCTTATTTTCTGCCTACCTACTCATTTTCCATTGAAGAATAAAAAGAAATGTGTTTGTTAAGTGACTAGACAAGGAACAGAATTGACTCATAGATGGTAGTTGAAGGTACACAAAGATTTTTGAGCTTTAACTCAGTTAGCAAATTAGGGATTTTTCCAAAGAGGAGCTGGCAAAATAAAGTACAGCCCGAGGAAACTGGAAAGCAGCTTGTATGGGCTGTTTGAGTCTCAACTATGGAAAAGCACATTTTTCCTTCTACCAAAACCAAAGAAGTATATTTTGGAGATTCCACCATAGCTTCTGAATGTCACATCATTTGGTGCTGAGATTCACTGTCACATATCAAATTACAATTGCTCAACTGACTGCACTGGTAATTAAACCATGGGGGAAGTCAAAATTCTAGAGCACACAACAGGAAGATATCATGGCTTCCACTAAGATTTTTTAAATGCGAGCTATGACCAAGAGGAGTTTTACGACTGTTTTCTCTGCTGTTAATTTCTGCTTTCTCTCAACAGTCTTTTACCCATCCTCTGTGCAAGGTGAGATTGCCATCCACCAGGGCAATGCAGTAGACATATGAGTTAAAAAGAATAAAGTACAAAGAAGAAAGATGAGGACAAAGGCAGAAGGAATCTGCATATGCATTATAAGCATTTTCAATTATTTCCATCATGGGCATGCATTCCTGTTTTGTAATGATTTTCGGAAATTTGAGTGTAAATTCTTTTGATAAAGTTAAATCCTATTTTAACTAGTGTCATAGTTCAATGAAGAGAATGCTTGGAAATCCCGGAAGTCATGTTTAATGGATGTTACTAATAAATATCCAGAAACAACTGAGACAAATTTTCATATTAAGGGAGGGGTAATGTGTAGCAAGAAAATGGAGGAGTTATAGAGGCCATTGAGTTCAACAATAAAATGCAAATAGAATCTCATTTGTCTCCAAACTCCTCGAGGGTAGGAATGTTACAGGTAGTTAGATAGGCATGAGCAGGGTAGGAGAGGGCTCTTCTCCCCCACCCACTGGAAATGTCAGGTGATGGATCAACAATTATCACACTGCCTCTCTAAAAATGATAATTCCGCAGAAGTGCCAGGGTGCCAGGGAAAGAAAATCTCCTGATGTTCCACAGCTGTTAAAATTAAAGTGTTAATTGAGTGCAGATGCCAGGGAGAAGCAACTTCCTGGACATATGTGTTAAGAGACAAAATGGCAAAGTATGATATTCCAGGGACGCTCCACCAGAAAAGGGAAGAAAGCCTCGGGCGTGTGTACAACGTCCTAAACACACTGCGCATGCTCACTTCCTAAGGGTGAGCAGGGCATTGTGCATGCAGGCAGCCCACACTACTAGAAAAATCATAGGAAAAGGGTGCAAGATAGAAGCCTATAAAATCCTAGAATCATGGTTAAACACCACACTTGACATTCAGGTGCTCACTTGGGTCTCTTCCAAGTGAATTTTCCTTTCTTTCCTGTTCTAAAGCCTTTTAAAATAAACTTCCACTCCTGTTCTGAAACTCACCTTGGTCTCTTCTTCTGCCTTATGCCCCTCAGTTGAATCCTTTCTTCTGAGGAGGCAAAAATTGAAGTTGCTGCAGACCTGTATGGATATGCTGCTGGTAACTCTGATACCTTCCACTGGTAACAGGAACAGTTTTATCACTGCATCCCAAACCTATCCCCAAATTTAGCATCGAGAGGGCACCAATAACTGTCTGTCGAATAAAGTAATCACTGCATATCGAATTAATTACACACATTTCTATGTACATTATTCCAAAATATCAGGTATCTTACCTAACTTTAGCGGGTTTTTTAATAGATAATAAAGGCAATAAATATCTCCTCTCAAACGGTATCTTTATTTTCTCCTGCATATACTTACTGGGGTATATATATGAGTACATGAACATAAAGTATAAAAGTTTTAGCTAAACGAGAAAAGAGTAAATGAATTGATAGCCAATGGTTACAAATATTTAACAGATTTATAGCAAATGAATGAGTCAATGAAGACTTGTCCCAAAGGTTCTTGTTTGAGGCTTTGTAATAGGTATGATGATAAATCCTAGCTCAGTTCTACTTCATATTTGCCCTCCTTCTCTCCTTCATTGTGAAGGCCTGGATTGAGGTAGTTCTTAGTCCTCTCTGCTCCTGCTCCCAGAAACCAATAGAACCTTGTATAATACAGCAACATATTCATCAGTTTTTTTTCTTAATCATCTTTGTTCCCAGGAAACAGTCACAAAAAGAAAAGAAAGAAAGAAGAGGAAGAGAAAGGAGAAGAAAACAAATCAGGTTCGAAGTTATTTGTTGATATTTCATATCTAAGAGGGGCAGAGTTTGCATAAAAGCAGTAGGAAAGAATTTGCATATAGATGAAAATAGCTTGTTGAAGTTGTGATGTAGAAGATGCTACTGAGTCACCTAAGAATTCAGCTATTAAAAAAATTATAGCAAAGCATGGCCAAAGAAAACAAATCATTCAGATAATAAAGTGACAAATGTATCTGGTTAAAAGTTAGTTAAAAAGCACTTCTAAAGTTTATATAATGGATTTAGCGTTGGTGATTTATTCATGGCTGCTTAAGGCACTTCATTCTTCCGATTCCACTAAAGGGTAAGCAGAAGTGAGGGTCAAATTATTTTACAGTCAGAGTGACCTAAATATTGATCATTAAAAATGGATGTCAGCTCATTGTACTGGAGTCACATCCTGGGGGCTGTTAGGCTTTGGCCCTCACAGCAGTCTGGGGTTGATCTCGCGGATTTGGCTATTTTTAAAGAATGTGGCTTTGGAGTCGTGTGGCACTTAAAGACAAGATACTTTCTGAGAAATGCGTTGTTAGGCTATTTTGTCATTGTGTGAACATCATAGAGTCCACTCACACAACTTACATGGCATACCCTACCACACATCTAGATTCATGGCTTAGCCTCTTGCTCTAGCCTATAAATCGGTACAGCATGTTACTATACTGAATATTGTATACAATTGTAATGCAATCATGTTTGTCCCCAAACATATCTAAACACAGAAATGGTATAGCAAAAATATGGTATAAAAGATAAAAAATAAAAAGGTAAACCGTGTAGGGAACTTACTATGATGTAGCTTGCAGAACTGAAAATTGGTCTGGGTGAGTCAATGAGCGAGTGAGTGGTGAGTGAGTGAGCGGTGAGTGAGTGGTGAGTAAGTGGTAAGTGAATGTGAAGGACTAGGATATTACTGTATATTACTGTACATTACTGTAGACTTTATAAACACTGTACAGTTAGGCTACAATAAATTTATTTACAGAAAACAAAATAACTGCACTATGACATTACAATGCCTATGTCACTAGGCAATAGAAATTGTGCTGTTCTGTTATTATCTTATGGGACCACCATCATATATGCGATCTGTCCTTGACCTATATTTCATTATGCAGTACATGACTATATTTTAATATTTAAAATACAAAATATTCATGATTTTTCATGACTGAACACCAGTCCCTTGAGATCATACTACATATGTTAAACAGATGAGAAAATGGGCCCACATAAGATACTGTTAGGCATTTCACAGCAAACAATGAGAACATTTTTTTCTGTTTTTTTGTGTGACAGAGGATTTTATATTGTATATTATGGGGAAAAAAAAGAGCATTACAGTTTGAAAGATTTATAGCCTGTGTGATGGTTAATATTTAGTGTCAACTTGATTGGATTGAGGGATGCCTAGATAGCTGGTAAAGTATTGCTTCTGTGTGTGTTTGTGATAATGTTGCCAGAAAAGACTGACATTTGAGTCAGTGGACTAGGAAAGGAAGATGTACCCTCATTGTGGGTGGGCACCATCCAATCACTGTCAGCATGGGTAGAAAAAGGCAAGGTGGACGAAGGTGGGATGTTTACTTGCCTAATCTTCTGGCTCTCTTTGCTCTTCCTGTGCTGAACACTTACTTCTGCTCCTCCTGCCCTCGGATCTCAGACTACAGGTTCTTTGGGACCTGGAATCTGGGACTTGTATCAGCAGCTTCCCAAGGGCTCTCGGGCCTTCAGCCATGGTCACTGTTGGCTTCCAGTTTTGAGGCTTTCAAATTTGCACTGAGCCACTACTGGCTTCTCTCTTTCCCAAGCTTGCAGATGGCTTATCCTGCCTTGCCTTGTAATTCTGTGAGCCAATTCTCCCTAATCAACTCCCTTTTATATATACATATATCCTATTGGTTCTGTCCCTCTGGAGAACCCTGACTACTGAAATTGTCATTAACTAAACAGATTTGCAGAGGTCATGTTTGCAAGGATTAGCTGTGGGTTGGTGATAGCATTTTCTTTTGACATACTACATTTCAGATTAGCTGGATATGTTGAGTTAAACATTAGGCATAAGAATATAATTATTAAAAAGCAGGGTTAGAATAAAGATGGAAATTTGGGTCTCTACTAAAAATACAAAAATTAGCTGGGTGTGGTGGCATGTGCCTGTAGTCCCAGCTACTTGGGAGGCTGAGGCAGGAGAATTGCTTGAACCTGGGAGGCAAAGGCTGCAGTGAGCCAAAATTGCACCACTGCACTCCAGCTTGGGCAACAGAGTGAGACTCCATCTCAAAAAAAAAAAAAAAAAAACAAACGTGGAAATTTGGGAGTTATCATCATCATACATAAAGTCACAAAATTGACTATGACTATCTAGGGGGAAAGGTTATACAGAAACCTAGGACTCAGGTATTCCAACTCCTGAGTCCTAGGGTGTTTGAATACATGGAGTGAGTAATGTGAAGAACAATTAGCAAAGACCAAGAAGGAGAAGTCAAAAAGTCCAGGAGAAGAAACAAGGCATGTGGTAACAGGGGAGCAAGTATAAAAAGTATTTCATGGAGTGATTGGGTCATATGGTACTAAGAGTTAAAATGACCTTATAATATATTATCCAAATCTGGATGCATTGCAGAATGAAAGCAGCAGCTATAAATAATTAAAACAGGACAATAGACAGAGATATGATTGTCCCAGGAAAAGTATAGGATGTATACTCAAACTATTCATAGGCCAGTGTAGATGGTCTAAGAATTAATTGTTAGATTCAGTAAAGTGGTGGCCATAAATATCCATCAGAAAAGTGATTTCAGAGATTGGCAATGATTGGAGAATGCTGAAGAGAAAACAGAAGTAGGTAAAAATTGGAGGACAGTGAATACAGACAATTGTCTCAACACATCAAAGGAAGGAGACAGAATAATGATAGTATGGTCAAGGAAGACAAAAGAGGAGTGCTTTTTTGTGTGTATATGTGTATATGCTTGTGTGTGAGTGTGTGTGTGTTTAATAAGAAAAATAGTAAGTCATTATTCTTATCTTCCTACTGGGCAGGCACTACAACCATACCATAAAGCAATCTGTGTCCAGGACAGGAAGCATCCAAGTGAAAATCCTTCATTGGCTTCAGATGGATGGTGGCCCATATTTTACAGACGGATGCTTTAATGCTGTGAGCCTGTGCAGTGTCATTTGGAATATTTTGTTACATCTAGAAGTAGAATTTAGCACCTTGATGATATTAAAGTTCCCAGTCTCTTCAAGACCTAAGATGCTATTCGTCTGACATGAGAACTTACTCCAATAACAGTAAAATCCACCAGCAAGACTAACTGAATAAATCAGGAAAGGCTTGCCAGACAACGTACCCTAAATTCTAGATACCAGAGTGTTAGACATGCAAAGGAGGCAGAATCACAGACCATGAATAGGCACTGTCACCCAATAGCATAGACTTGAATCCTGTCTTTAACATTATATGGCTATGTGACCTAAGGCAAGTTCAAATCTCTCTCTGATTCAATTTTCTGAGCTATAAAATAGAAATACAACAACAAGAAGACACCTACTTGTATTTGTTGTGAGCATTAAAAGAGTTAATACCCATTAAGTGTTTGGAACAATATCTGGCACAGAATAAATGTTCAAATAGAGTGAACTACAATGATTTAAATGTTGCACTTTGAGCAATGAATTTGGAAAGGGACCTCAGTTTTTATTATCAAAAAGCAAATAGGTTTTAATTTCTAGATGGAATTCAAAGGCTGCTTAAATAAAACCAGTAGAACAGTGTAATGTAAATAGTTAGAGCCAAAGTGATGAAATTTGAGAAACTGCAGCACATCCTGGCTCTGCTCTCAAAAGTTGAGGAACTTTGAATTAAAAACTCAGGTATTCTAAGTTTTAGTTTTCTTTAGGATAATATCAGATAATAATATATACTCTATAGTTTCTTTGTTGAGAAGACTATATGAGGAACCTCATATGTGGGGATATAATTACTACATATTAAATTATGCTTTCCTGTTTTCTAAGTTTTATTTTTATTTCTATCTTAAGTTTTGGGGTACCTGTGCAGGATGTGCAGGTTTGTTACATAGGTAAATGTGTGCCATGGTGGTTTGCTGCACCTATCAACCTATCACCTAGGTATTGAGCCCTACATGCATTAGCTATTTTTTTCTAAAGCTCTCTCTCCCCACATCCCTCCTGCCAGCAGAACCCAGTGTTGTTCCCCTCCCTTTGTCCATGTATTCTCACTGTTTAGCTCCTACTTATGTGAGAACATGTGGTGTTTGTTTTTCTGTTCCTGGGTTAGTTTGCTGAAAATTGCTTCCAGCTCCATACATGTCACTGCAAAAGACATGATCTCATTCTTTTTTATAGCGGCATAGTATTTCATGGTGTATAACTATCACATTTTCTTTATCCAGTCTATCATTGGTGGGCATTTGGGTTGATTTCATGTCTTTGCTATTGCGAATAGTACCACAGTGAACATACATGTGCATGTATCTTTGTAATAGAATGATTTATATTCCTTTGGGTATATACCCACTAATGGGATCACTCGGTCAAATGGTATTTCTCGTTCTAGGTCTTTAAAGAATTGCCACACCATCTTCCACAATGGACTAATTTACATTCCCATCAACAGCATAAAAGTGTTCCTATTTCTCCCCAACCTCACCAGCATCTGTTGTTTCTTGACTTTTTAATAATCACCATTCTGACTGGCATGAGATGATATCTCATGGTGGTTTTGGTTTATATTTCTCTAATGATCAGTGATGCTGAGGTTTTTGCCATACGTTTGTTGGCCACATAAATGTCTTCTTTTGAGAAGTGTCTGTTCAAGTCCTTTGCCCACATTTTAATGTTTTTTTCTTGTAATTTGTTTAAGTTCCTTGTAGATTTTTGATATTAGAACTTTGTCAGATGGATAGATTGCAAACATTTTAGCTCACTCTGTAGGTTGCTGTTCACTGTGATAATTTCTTTTGCTGTGCAGAATCTCTTTAGTTTAATTGGATCCCATTTGTCAATTTTTGCTTTTGTTGCAGTTGCTTTTGGTGATTTTGTCAGGAAATCTTTGCCCATACCTATGTCCTGAATGGTATTGGCTAGATTTTCTTCTAGGGTTTTTATAGTTTTGGGTTTTACATTTAAATCTTTAATCCATATCAAGTTAATTTTTGTATAAGGTGTGAAGAAGGGGTCCAGTTTCAATTTTCTGCATATGGCTATCCAGTTCTTCCAGCACCATTTACTAAATAGGGAATCCTTTCCCCATTGCTTGTTTTTGTCAGGTTTGTTGAAGATCAGATGGTTGTAGATGTGTGGTCTTAGAGTTCACTATTCTATTCCATTGGTGTATGTGTCTCTATTTGGACCAATTCCGTGCTGTTTTGGTTATTGTGCCTTGTAGTATAAAGTCTGGTAGCATGATGCCTCCAGCTTTGTTCTTTTTGTTTAGGATTGTCTTGGCTATATGAGCTGTTTTTTGGTTCCATACGAATTTTATCTTATTTTTATTTATTTATTTATTTTTTTGAGATGGAGTCTCTCTCTGTTACCCATGCTGGAATACAGTGTTGTGATCTCGGCTCACTGCAGGCTCCACCTCCCGGGTTCAAGTGATCTTCCCATTACAGGTGTGTGCCATCACGCCTGGCTATTTTTGTGTGTGTATTTTTAGTAGAGATGGGGTTTTACCATGTTGTTCAGGCTGGTCTCAAACTCCTGATCTCAAGTGATCTGCCTACCACAGCCCCGCAAAGTGTTACACTTATAGGCATGAGCCACCACACCCGGCCCCATACAAATTTTAAAATCGTTTAATTCTATGAAGAATATTAATGGTAGTTTAATGGGAATAGCATTGAATCTACAAATTACTTTGGGCAGTATGGCCATTTTCGAGATTTTAATTCCTCCTGTCCATAAGCATGGAATGTTTTTACATTTATTTGTGTCCTCTCTGATTTCCTTGAGCAGTGGTTTGTAGTTCTCCTTGAAGAGGTCCTTCACTTCCCTTGTTAGCTGTATTCCAAGGTATTTAATTCTTTTTGTATGCTTTCTTGTTTTCAACTGTTTTCACCTTATCGTTTTCCCTCCACCTCCTCTCCTACTTAAGCATATGTGAAGGCTTAATATGTGCACTACCATCAAGGTAGGATAAAACACAAAGAACCAGGAGTCGGATGTCAACTTTTAGTTTGTTAGGGATACTTTGGTAAATTTGTAACTGTTTCTTAATGGTTGTTGTTGTTTGTTTTTAATTTTTAGGAGTCTGGTGCTTGGGAAGAAAAACTGTGATTCTTTCTGCCCTGCCTCCCAATTTTATTTATTTTAATTTTAAAATTTGGTTTTAAATATGAAGAATTAATGCTTAGAAAACAGAGTTTAAATAGAGTTTAAACAACAAACTAGTAAGTGGGGAACAAAATGCACAATTATGTAAGGATCAATTTCTGACCTAAAGGTGAACATTTTGAGCAGTTAGAAGGAAATAAAGAATAAGAGGAAAATAAGCAGGTATTAAAAGCTGGTGGTATCTAAACAGCAGACCATCACTGTTTAGACGGTGTTCCCATCTGGACATTTTTTAAGTTGGTAGAAACCAAATAGAAATATCATTAACGTTTGACGTATCACAAAGCAGAATTGCAGAAGATGGCCACTTACAGAGAAGCTTCATGTGCTCTCTTGTCTAAATAGCAGAATGTCAGTGCTTGGAAGATCTATGCAGGTATGAGGGTATGTGAACTTTGCATACATTCCTGCTCAAATTCTACATGCTGCAGAGGATAGGCATGAGGTTGAGCACAGTGTCCTTGGGATGCAAGTGTAGCATATGACATAAACTAGAATGGGCCTCATAATCATAGCATCACAGCTTTTTACAAACTGTAAAGTTCACTCCTAAAAACCCGACTTTGGAGTAAGAATCCCATTTACGCTCTTTAATGGGAATAATAAAAGCACTTAGAGGTTTGTGTAAAAATAATATGCACTAATACATTGAATGACTTTAGCACAATGTCAGGCACATATGAAATGTCCAAAATGTAACAGCACTTACTCTTAAGAGAGTGAGAAAATATTATCGTTAAAATTTTCTCAAGTAAACAAAAGCAGAGTAGACCTTCCTAGCATTGGTTTTGATCTTCTGTCTGTGACAAATTAAACTGAATTGCATTTAAAAGCAGTTTCTGAAAATACACTGTGAAGGGAATAGGTTGAAAGTGTGAATTAATAGGTATGGAAGAATTCCACAACAGACCTCTATGATTTTTCTTTTATCACCTCTATTTCCATCTGTATGTGTTTCCATCTGTACGAGTTTTCCAGAAAGTTTTGGTTGTTTATCCCAAGTACATGGCTATTATTTTGTGACAGTATAACACTCAACATTCTAAATATTTGACAATGTTCGTTCTGTTTTCCATTCCTCTCTTTTTTTGTGATATATTTGGTTGCATACATACTTACCTGCAAATTTACTTTTTTTTATATTTTAAAATATGTGATCATTTATCTAAAATAAATTCTACTTATATTTTCATTATTAAGGAAGAAGAATTTCATTGAAGTTATGAATTATGTTGGTATCTTAAGTATTATAGAAGCTGTCTGTGAGCCCATCCCACTTAGTCATAGAGAAGGTAGTTGGTGCTTATACTTAAAGGAGAGACTTTCCTTTTAGGAAAAATATTTCTAGCCATCTAGTGACATCTACTTGGACCAAATCAAAATGCTGCCTTTGGAATAGTGAATTTAAGTCATACTAGAGAAAGTTGTCCTCAGTATGTTTGGCCTACAGTGAACAGTGTGAATATCCACAAACAAATTGAAGCTTATTACATAATAATTATATTCTTTATGCATTCAATACTACTACGGTGCCATCATGCACATATCAGGCACTTTGTCAGGAATTAAAGATATAAAGAAGAATACAATTTTGTTCTTGCCCTTAAGATGGAGAGACAAACAAGTCAACATGTTAGAATGTCAATTTCTTTCATCTGTTAATCTCCCAGTATAAAATGTACTTATTTATATTTGCACTGGAAACTGTACATTTCAGGGAATTTCCTTTTAAGGGTATATAAGATATATTGAGGAAGTTTGGTCATAGAAACAGGCTCAGGAGATAATGGGGAGGTGTCTCTAATACCTGAGAGTAAGCAAAAGTTCCCTAGAGATGTCTCCTAATCTGAACCTTAAGAGTATAGTAAACAGAGCTAGCCTGACAAAGAAGAGTAGAAAGAACGTGCCCAGTACATAAGGCCATAATGATCAAAGACACAGAATCTAACAACAACGTAACAGGTAATTGAGCTGGAGAAAAACACAGGTCAGGACTGGGGAGGAAGGAACTCAAGTCATAGCAATCTTGCTTATTATGTAAACAAACTGCACTCTATCATTATTTTTAGTTGATTTTGACAGGTTAAAGTTACACAGAATTCTGGTTTATAAAACAGATTGAAAAATAGACTTTATTTTGTTAAATTGGTGTGTGTTATAAGGAGGCACCATGTTCATCACACAAACATGTTATGTGTGGAGTGAGAGGGTCAACTTTTCTTATACTAGGTCACACGCTTGACCATGTGGGATAGATTTAAAGGAAATATGAATGTGAGCAGAGAGAACACTAGGAGCCTCTGATTGTTGTTTAAGCAAGAAGTGATAAGGACGTGGAGTACACTGTATCCTCTACTTCTCTCATAATGAATAACTAAGTCATATAGATACTATTTTTTTCCTTCAACATCTAAAGTATTCATTTTTTTCTGGAGAAGGTCCATCTTTAGGCCTCTAATGGTCAAGACTAAATATAAATATCTGAATCCTCATATGATTTGTGTAAAGGCTCCTGCTCAAGGACAAACTTTGTTTGTTATCCATGACAGGAGCCATTGAAAATCCTGTTAATTTATAAGGTAAAATAAGATAAATTTTAAGCATCATTGGGAAGAGAAAATAATAAATTTTAGAATCATTATATTTAATGGCTAAAACTAGGCTTGGTAACACATATAATCAAGTAATAAGCATGTTGTAACCAATTTTTAATTGTGTTTTAATGATCAATAAAGTTTGCTTTTTTCCTTGAAAAATCTGTATTATATACCTGTTTTATTACCTGCCTTAGAAAATAATCCAAGTTCACATTGCCACCCCACAATTTCTTTAGCTATGTTCAAGCATATCTAAATCCCTGAAGAAATCACAACACAGGCTCACACTACAGTTCCCCCTGCATCACTACCCTTGTCTTCACATTCTGCTTGATATAATCCTTAACAATTTATTATACTCAGTTATATTTTGTTGAATTCAGAAGTTGGTTCTTTAAGTAGTTGATTAACGAATTCATCATACCTGAAGTTCCAATCTCAAATCACATTAGTGATTACTGGAATACTTCATTTCACATAATAAATTCATGGCATATTCTTGAAATTTACACATAAATTGATTTTCTGAATACACTATATTTTCAATGAACTCTAGAGAAAGTTGTGGCACATCCTTTGGGGAAAATAAATTATCTCCTCTTAATTTATATAATTCATAAATTATTTTAATAAAATACCTCCCTTTTATTTCTATAAAGCCACCTATCGAGACCATTTGGTCCAGGAAATGAGATGTCAGGTACCCACAGATTTCTATTTACAGTGGTGAGAAGATTGAAATTCGCGTCTGTTTAAAATAGGTTACTAGAAATTCCTTACCTAATCTCATTTTTACAACTGGCTCTTTTACTTTACTCTCAACAATAGCCTACACAATGATTTTATGAAACTATGAAATTAAAATAGTTCCTAAATGTTAAGCAGTAGTTCTAATGGAATATAATTTCATATCTTGGATAATGTTCCTTCTTCTGTCATTTTATAAGTGAATTGGAAAGATAAATTAATTGGAATGTATTCAGAGACTGTGAGAAGGCTGACAAGGAAATTATCTCCTACATGGAATAGGCAATGGAATAAAACATATTTAGCTCATGGAAGGGAAGGTTCAGAACAGACATAATAGCTCTTTATAAATTTCTGAATAATTGTTCTCTGGGAAAAAGTAGTAAGCTCATTGTAATCCTTCAGGAACTCAGACCACAATTAGGAATTAGAAAAAAGAAAAATGAAAACTTCAGAAAAATTACTAGAGTTGCTCTAAATGGGAATAAGCTGCTTCTTGAAGTACTACACCTGTAGTCACTGGAAGTGTTCAAAAGAAAAGCTAAGTAGCCACCTCTCCAGCACCTCTTATAAGAAATGAATCTTGAAGCACCCTTCTTAGATTCCAGTTCAAAGAGTCTGAGTATCTAGTAGATTATAGCAATGACTATAATACCCATAGCTCCTCCTATCAAGGCATGGAGTTGATTTCCCATTAAGCACTAATTCTGGGCTTGGTCATATGACTTGGTCTAGCCAATGATGTGTTAGTAAGCAGAGGCTCAGAAAGGACTTGAGTAGTACCCATGGTACTGTGTTGCTGCTTTTGGAGCCTTCTACTGAGTGAATAAGGCCATACTACCCTGTTACATGATGAAGTGACTACACAGAAGAGATAAACCATCCCAGCTATAGACCTCCACTACTACCAACACAATGGACCCTCGTCCAGCTGAACTGACATCTGACCAAAAGGCATGATTGAGTCAAGAATGTCTCCAACCTCACAGATAATTCCAGACCAGTTTTCCAATCTACAGGGTTGAGGGCCAAATCGATGGTTATTCCTTTAAGGCAAAAAGATTCATAGTTGTTTGTTATGCAGCAGTAAAAAAATGACAAATATGTACAAAGTGGTACAGACCAAAAAAAGGTAATTATCTTCGGAGTGAAAAACGTCATGGAGTCCTGTGGTTCTCAGGAATTTCTTGAAAGGAAAAAGTGCATAAATGAGTTTGAAGGATGGGCAGAATATAAATAGAGGGATAATTAGGAACTGCAAAGTAGGAAATATTATGAACAGTATGACCCAGTTGTTCTTTGATTGCAAGAATAGAAGACAACTTTGGCTAAAGATAAAGAGGAATTTGTGTGGAGACAGGGAAAATAGTTTAGAAAACCAAAGGAGAGACTAAACAAACAGTCCCTTCAAAGGGCAATGCAGTAATAGGGCAAGTATGAGACTCTTAGTGGCAAGAAGTAAACACCATTCTCTTAAGAACACTACTCCTGGTATAAATTACCTTTAATTTGCCTTTCAAAATCTGCCCTGGTATAATTGCTCCATGTTTAAACTCCTGGGAGAGGAGTTCTAACTTGCCCAAGATGATCACTCACTCAACCCTTGGCCAGAGAAGGAAAGGCACCTCAGAACTAGGAGAGGCATGTGTAACAGAGAATTGGCTCTGAAGGAAATTTAAGGAAGTGTTACCAAAGGAAAGGGGAGGGGTGCCTGAACAGCAATTCAGATGGGGTAGACTACACATGATCAATTACAGATTAACCACAGTTAAATCATATAATAATGAATAACATGCCCAACACTGTTGTAGATTTTTGAAGTATTAACTCAACCCTTTGAAGAAGAGTACTAATATTGACCTTATTTTACAGATATGGAAAGGGAGGTTAAGTGACTTACACAAACATACGTAACACACACATACACACACACACACACACACACCCTACACAGTGACACCACATGTAATTGGGAATTAGATGTCTGTATTAAAAACTCACTATCTTCTTCATTAAAATATAGGAGATGTACTGCTTACTTATTATCAAAAAAGTTCATTTTATGTTTATTCATATATTAGAATTTCTATAAAGCAGGTGAATTCGCTAAGGCCATTTCATTGTACGTTTCTTATCAAATTTGAAAAAAGTTACATAATTGGAAGCTTAGTTGAGCATAATATACCACTCTATATTTATGCTTGCAAATTTAGACTATTTCACAGTGGATATAAGTGATCAGTCTTGAATATGGAGGCAATATAAGGCAAAGAATATGAAGCCTTTAAAAGGGAAAGTTTACAATGGCAGTGATACCAACACAGCAAGTGACTGAGTGAATAATTAGGACTAGTCAATCTGTATGCTAAAAATGTAAGAATGTTATATTAAATAAGATATTTTTATTGGATTGTACTCCAAAATGGACAAACATCCAATAGTAGAGCTGATGCAAAAATTAGTTTTCCACCAACCATTAAACAGATCAATGATCTATTAACTAAGTCTTGCTAGCAATGAAATTTCATTATAATCTGTGACCTGCATTTTGGACATCCTACTGACAAAGTTTAGCTTTGAATGAAATAGTTATTTTTTTTATATAACCAACACTGATAAGTTTGTTCCTAGTTGACAAGCATATTATATCAAAGTGATTTTGTCCTTTAAATCAAAGACTATTTCAGCTTTGTGTATGTTCAATATCCTTACATAATGAATAATTATATTCAGCTTATTTTGTAATACTTTTGTAGCCAAAACTTCACAAGAGACTCAGATGATTTTTAGTAAATCTCCACACTTAAGATAAAATATTATAAAGCCCTTTCTGTCAAAACACATTTTCAAAGTTATTTCCATAGCAGTGCAAATCTTTTCATTCTCTCCCTCCTCCACCCACATGCAATGTCCTCAACAAAGTCAGCAGGAGTTCACACATACACATGCAAATTGTTAGAGAACTACAGGCAAGATGGGGTTGGAATAGTTTATGAATAGTAGCATTATTCTAATTCTTAAATTAAAAGATTAGAGAAAGTTTATAAAAATATGGAGAATGATTTAATACAATTGCAATAATCACTTTCATATATATAACATTTTCTTCTTACGACAAACTTCTTCAGGATAGGGAGAAATATCAGACCTTATTAATAAAGGAAAAAAAACGTATTATTGGAAAAATATTCAACCAGTCATACAAATGTTAGGAAGACTATCCAATCTGTGTGTATTTTCTATAATGCTAATGAAGCAACATATGGAATTTCCTTTCCATAACTTTGAGCTAAAATACCTGTCCTAGTATTAAGACCTACTCTAAGGAGCAGTAGAAAAACAGAAGTTCAATTAGAACTGGGGCTTGAGAAGGCAGAGAAGGTTGAGCAAAGGTTTGTTTGTTTTTTTTGTTTGTTTGTTTTTTGTTTTTGTTATGTTTTTTGTTCGTTTTTTGAGATGAAGTCTTTGCTCTGTGGCCAGGCTGGAGTGCAGTGGTGCGATCTCAGCTCACTGCAACCTCCAACTCCCTGATTCAAGCGATTCTCCTGCCTCAGCCTCCCAAGTAGCTGGGATTACAGGCACATGCCACCACATGCAACTATTTTTTGTATTTTTAGTAGAGATGGGGCTTCACCATGTTGGCCAGGATGGTCTCGATCTCCTGACCTCATGATCTACCTGCATCAGCCTCACAAAGTGCTGGAATTACAGCCATGAGCTACCATGCTTGGCCACAGCAAAAGTTTTAAATAAATTTTACCACATATTAGTGAAAAAAGTAGACTTAAATAAAGTCAAGGAAAAGATGAAGAAAGGAGGTAAGCTAAGATTAAAAATAAGAGCTGTGTGACATTTGGATAAACATATGTTAAGTTTTCTTTGATAAGGTTAATAAACCACTAAGCTAATTACAAATACTAGAGAAATTGTACATTTTCAATTTTCCCACCACAATATGTATCTGTATTATATATTAATAAAAATAAATTTTATTAGGCAAAGGACACCCTGTTTAATAAATGGTGCTGGGAAAACTGGCTAATCACATATGGCAGAATGAAATTGGATCTCTATCTCTCACCATGTAAAAAATCAACTGTAGATGTATCAAAGGCTTTAAGACCAAAACCATAAAAATTCTCGAAGATAACTTAGGAAAACCTCTTTTGGCATTGACCTAGACAAAGAATTCATGACTAAGACCCCCAAAGCAAATGCAACAAAAACAAAAATAAATGAGACCTAATTAAGCTAAAAATCTTCTGTACAACAAAAGAAACAGTCATCAAGGTAAACAGGCAAACCACAGAATGGGAGAAAATATTTACCAAGTATGCATCTGACAATGCACTAATGCAAGGAACTCAAACAAATGAGCAAGAATAAAAGAAATAACTCCATCAAAAAGTGAGCAAATAACATGAACAGACATTTCTTGAAAGCAGAAGATATATACATGGTCAATAATGTTCAATATCACTAATCATCAGGGAAACACAAATTAAAACCTCAATGAGATACCACCTTACTCCTGCAATAATGGCCATTATTAAAAAGTCAAAAAACAACAGATAGTGGCATGGATGTGGTAAAAAGGGAATGCTTATACACTGCTGGTGGGAATGTAAATTAGTACAACCTCTATGGAAAACAGTATGGATATTTCTTAAAGAACTAAAAGTAGATCTACAATTTGATCCAGAAATCCCACTATTATTTATCCAGAGGAAAAAAAAAGTCATTATATCAAAAACACACCTGCACATGTATGTTTATTGCAGCCCAATTCACAATTGCAAAGACACGGAACCAACTTAGGTGCCCACTGACAAATGAGTGGATAAATAAAATGTGGTATATATACACCATGGAATACTACTTGGTCATTAAAAAGAACAAAATAATGTCTTTTCAGCAACTTGGATGGAGCTGGAGGCCATTATTCTAAGTCCATGTGCTGCACACCAGTCAGAGCGATTACATAAAATGTAAGTTAACATTATGCTGCTTCTCAGCTCAAAACCCTCCAAGAACTCCCCTTTTCTCATTATATAAAGTCAACGTCCTTACATGACCTGGCCTAATCCAATCTTTCTGGCCTCAGCTCACACAATTTTACCCCTTGGTCACTCAGGCAGCTGCACTGGCCTCTTCACTGTTCCAAGCTATTTGCTTTGCTTAGACTTCTTTCCTGCAGATATTTCCATGCTTTAATTCTTTACCTACTTAAAGTCTTTCTCAAACGTTACCTTAAATAAACCCACCTTTATTCCATAATACAACACATTTTTGCTTGCTTACTATGCTATCATTTATTGCCTATTTTTCCTTACTAGAATGTAAGGTAAAAGACAACAGAAAATGTTTTTATGTGTATCTTTTATTGTTGCTGTATCCCCAAATTCAACAAATAGTGCCTTTCGTATAATAGATACCTAAAATATATTTTAGTAAATGAAGAAAATATAAAGAAAATATACAAAAAATAACACTTATGAACACTTTGGGAAGATTTCATTTTGAGAGAGTAGTGCAGGTGTATGCAATGCACTACAATGTTTATATCACTTAAAATATTTGTGACACATTCCATTTGATCTTCAGATAAAATAATAAGTTATAAGTGGTTTAGAGGTAGTCATCTGTCTAAAAAAAATCTATACAATATTATATCTTGGGATCACTCATTTTTCTGTTGTCCTCTAAGGAAGAACTTTAGATAAGAACTGAATATAGGAATCTTCCCCAGTCAAACACGAGAGAGTTTAGTTTTCAGGCAGTTTGCATGAAGTTTAGTTTTCATGAGTTGAAGTTGCATGAGTTGAAGTTGCATGAGTTTAGTTTTCAGGAAGTATACATACAGCATTTGAAAAGTTTTCTATTTAAATAGATCAAATGCTCACAGCTACTCCTATTCTGTCTATGCCATTCAAGTTATCTGTGTACATCAATGTTTCTTTTTTGAAACAAACAGTTTTGGAGCTACTATAAGTATAATAAGTATGTATTTTATATTGGATGTTGCGTGCTTGTGGTGAAAAAATAAGTCTTTAACATTGGACAAAGCTGAGATTAAATTCAGTTCTTCTCTTTACAAGTTGTATAGCCTTGAGCATGTTGCTTAACTTCTTTGAATCTTTAGTTGACTAAATGTGATTTGGGGGTGGTGCTATCACCCACCACTTTATTGAAAAGATTAAATAAGATAATGCTTATAATATACAGTGGAGTTAGACAGTGACTGGAACAAGAAACAATCCATAATATTACTGATCATAACTAAAATTTATTGAGCATTTATATTTCAAACAGTCTCATAAGTGCCTTATGATAATACATATATATAAGATGTAAAAGGTACATATTATCTTATATACTTATATAATACTTGTAAGGTAATACTTTCACTCAAGCATCTCTGTAAACAGAGGAGGGAGAATTAATCCACAGTTTGTACAGGGCTTACAACTCCACACAGAATTTGCTGATTCTCTTTCCTATTTCCCTCAGATTCAAGAATGAACTGCACTGTCTTGAATTCCAGAGCAATTAAATAATATTTCTCTACCTTTTAGGTTTTTTTGAGATAGAGTCTCACTCTGTCGCCCAGGCTGGAGTGGAGTGATAAGATCTTGGTTCACTGCAACCTTCACCTCCCAGGTTCAAGCAATTCTCCTGCCTCAGCCTCCCGGGTAGCTGGGACTACAGGTGCACGATGCCATGCCCAGCTAATTTTTTTTTTTTTTTTGCATTTTTTAGTAGAGACGGAGTGTCACCATGTTGCCCAGGCTGGCCTTGAACTCCTGAATTCAAGTAATCCATCCTCCTCAGCCTCCCAAAGTGCTGGGATGACAGGCATGAGCACCCGCGCCCTGCCTATTTTTATTTATGTATTTTTTAAGATGCTAAGAGAGTTCGTTCGTTCTTCATTTTTCCTTTGTTGTCTTTGCAAAGACATTGTCATTTAGCTCCCTTACTCGAGGAGAGGGAGCTTCTGGTTTCCGAATTCAGTGCACACGAACTCCAAAATCAAGAAACAAAATCTTCCCCAAACTGTTTGGGGTGGCTGTGGTTACGGGCAGCAATCACAGGTGTAGGCTGGTATGAAATCCAAGTGAGGGAGGATAAAGACAGGCCTGAAGTATACTTCAGGATGTAAAGCAAAACAATAGACAGAACAAAGGGCCTCTGAAATGTAGAGGCCTCTCCTGCTTGAGTGCCCAAGGAAAACACTGAATAATAATTTGGGGAAATGAATCCACGCATAACAGTAAAACTTGAAAACACTGCACAAGAAAACTGCTCCAGCACTGTTGAATGGAAACACAAAAGGGACAAGAAAGCTGAGAGGCTGACCTGTATATATTATAAGCATGGGCCTTTTCAAAGAGGTATGTAAATGCTTTGAAGCTACACACAGCAAAGGAAGAATAAATTTCTCCATGGACAGTCAGAAGCTGGCTAAAACTAAAGTAAAGGGAAAAATAAACAGAAAGAAAGTGAGGTGACAGAGCTTCAATCCCGATCAGAAGAGTGACACTAATTACAAAATATATGAACTCTGACTAGGTATCAGCCACTATTTTACTATATACCTATACCTATATTTGTGTGTATATCTATATGCATTATGTCATTTGATCCTCAGACAACTCTGTAAGAGTGCAATTACTACCTACTTTACAGGGATTCTGAAATTGAAGCTTAAAATTATTAGTATGAGGCCTAAGGTTACTCAGCTATTTAATGTAAAAACAGCATTTAAACTCAAACATACATTATGTCTAAGTTCCTTCTCAATTACCATGCTGTGTTTTTAAGAAAGTGTCTTTCCAGTTCCTGTTGGAATTATTGCCAGAGCCCTACTAGCAGCAGCCATTCTTACCAGCCTGAAAGAGAATATTCCATTCTGCTGTTTTCAGCAATTTGTTGTTCATGACCACGTAATGTTTACACATGGCCAATTAATTACATATCATATCTTTCTATGCCAAAAATGTGAATCCATTTAAAAAAAGAGTTGAACTTTATTGTTATTTTATTTTTGTGTACCCCCCCCCTCCACTAATCTCTTTCTCTAAAGCAATCAGGAAAATATTACATTAGTTATCTTCAGATTATACGGCAATATCAAAGCTATCAGGAGAATTTAACTACAGAGGATAGACATATAAACAGTTTCTGTTACAAGGTTTCCTCTCTTGTTGGCCAAATCTCTTCCTGGAATATACTGCAATATCACATTTGGTTTGGCATTTAAATTTGTAGGGAGAATGCAAGGAATATGTGTTGGTTATATGTATGGTGAACATAAAATGTATAATTCTACCTGAAAGTTTTAGAGAGTAAACTGCTGGACAGAACATCTACTCAATACATGTATATTGAGACTATTCTTGGAAAACTGAGACCATTTGCCTGGTTATGTGTTGCTTCATCTCTTAGGAAGTGTGAAGAGTTTTAGACACATTTTAACATTTTTGTACTTTTCCTGGCAAGTCACGGATGTATCTTTCCAATGTCAGCTACTTATTTATAGCCCAGCAATGCACTAGATCCCTGAAAATGACAGACTGGTTTGTTCAAAATGAAAGGAAAGTTGAGTGCTGGGTGGTTGTGTCCTATTTGATAGGAAATTAAAACATATCTTTGCAGATAACTCAAGCCTTTCCTTCTCTGCTAAGTGAAAACAATCATTAAAGTTCTCTCCTCTACTTATAAAATGGTCTGAGCTTTCCAGTGTGTACCAGGTTCACAAAACTCAAAGACATAATTACCTTCCCCTCTCCCTCCAATTCACCTACAGATGTGAGCTTTATGCTCTTTCTCTCTTAAACTAGGGACTTTTACGTATTTCATATATTGTTAGCCACTCAAAAGAAAGCCTTCATTCATGTGCCTCCATTATTACTTTAGTAATATGTGTATTTTTGAAAATTTAGATTTCTTGGTATTACCTACCATACCCAAGTTTTATCAAAAATGGAGAAAAGCAGTCAAGTCTTATGTTTATGTAAGTCATGTGAACACTTTAAAGGCAAGGGAGTTTATTTTGTGAATAACTTATGTCTCCTCAATATGCACGTGTCAGTGAATATTGTTGAATGGATAAATTAATTATTTGTTGAATATTAATGGTTGAAATTGAGAGGGTCTTGAATTATCTAATAACCATCATTTTTAGCAAAGGTATCTGAGGCAAATTCACACTCATAATGCTCTAATCCCCATTCCAGTATCTTTCAAATTCTTTTTTACTGGGGAAAAAAACTATGTATTTGAAATACCTAAATTAATGTGTTGCTTAAAAACTCAACCATATTGATCCATGACATCTTCTGAGACCTAGATGGGTGGATCAATTTATTTTATGGCAACCCATGAACAGCTGTCCACAATAATTTCTAATGAGTTCATTTGATTCTGACACACAATGTCTTGACCTCATGATCTGGGCCCATCTGTGAGAATGGCAGGAAGCCCTCAAGCAAGGTGGCAGGCCACAGGCCATCTGCAGCCTGGCACAGGTAGGAGGGTGGGTGGAGTGGAGCTGGCAGAACGATGTTGCCACCAAGCCAAGTCCTTTCATAGCGGCAGCTTGGCCACCTCTCAAATTTGCCTTTTTAATACATTTATTTTTTATTTTTATTTTTTACTTTTATTCGTGACCAGTAACAACCAGGGAAAAATAAAAGAGTGTAAAATAAAATCTAGTGAAGGCTGTGAAATAAAAGGAACTAAAACTCACCAAAATGTAGACTGGGTTGCGATTAAGAACTAAAGAAAAAAAAAGGCACTAAAAATAATTATCATGGCCATAGAGTGCTGGAGCTACAGGATAACTTAGAGAAAAAGTTCTACTTCTGTATTAGACAAAACTGAGGTCCACAGAGAAATGCTGTATTTATGTACAGCAATAAATCCACAAAACTCCATATCTTTATATTACTACAAAGTGAGTCCCAAGAAGGTAAGGATTATCTATTTTGTTCAAGGAAGTATCTCTGAACTTACAATAATGCCTTAAACGTAGTAGCCATTTATTAAATGCGTGTGAATAAATCTCAAAGGTTTTTGTTGTTGAAGTCAGTGTAACACATTTTTAAGATATTAAAGTCAGAGTCAAACAGATATGGTATGAATGCTGATTATTACCTACTAGACATGTAATTCAGGGCTAGCAAGTGTTTTGATTGGATGGAGAAGGAACAAAGCCTTGGATAGAGTTAATCCACATATTATATCCTGCAAGGAAGAAAGGAAGAGAGAAAGGGAGGGAGGGAGAGAGGAAGTGAGGGGAGAGGGAAAGAGGAGGGAGGAAGGAAGAAGGATGAGAGAAGAAAGAGGGTAGAAAGGTGAAAGTAAAAAGGGGAAAACAAGGAAAAGGGAAAGAAGAAGAAACGAAAGAATATGAAAGAAAAATAAGAAGGAAGGAGAGGTCAACAACCCTATAAAAAGATGTTCAACACTAGTGCCATTAGAAAAATGCAAATTATAACCACAATAAGATGGCACTTTATACGCATTAGGATGGCTATTATTTAAAAAATCACACACCAAAACCAGAAAATATGAAGTGTTTGTGAGGCTGTAAAGAAATTAGAAGCTTTGTGCACCACAAGAGGAAATGTGAAATGTTGCAGCCACTGTGGAAAACACTTTGGTGGTTCCTCAAAAAGTTAAACATGGGACTTCCATATGATCCAGCAATTTCATTTCTAGGTGCATACGAAAAGGAATTGACAGATACTTGTACACCTGTGTCCCAGTGTTCTTCACATTATTCACAATCGCTAACAGGTAGAAATAACCCAAGTGATCATCAGCAGAAGCATGGTAAGCAAAATATGACACACGGATACAACGGAATATTAGTCAATCTTAAAAGGAATAAAATTTTGATAAATTCTACAACATGATTGAACCTTGAAAACAGTATGCTAAGTGAAATAAGTCAGACACAGATGAACATATCATGTGGTTCCACTTATATTAAGTACCTAAAGCATTCAAATTCAAAGAGAAAGAAGGTAAAATAGAGGTTACTAGAGGCAAGAGGGTCTTCCAGAGGAAGGGGGAAATGGTGAGTTATTGCTTAATGGGTAAAGAGTTTCTGCTTGAGATGATGAAAAGCTTTGGAGATGAATAGTAACAATGGTTGTACAACACCATTAATGTACTTAAAGCCATTGAATTATCCAATTAAATATGGTTAAAATGGCTAGTTTTATGTTACGTGTATTTTATCACAATAAATACATTAAAAAGAAAAGAGAGCTAATATACAACTAATGAACAATTAGGAGGAAAAAAAATTAATGGACAGTGCTTTGTTGCCTAACCAGTTTTTATTCCCTCACTTTTCTTATATCTCTTACATTTACCACTGGATGATACTAAAAGGAAATGAGGATAATTTCATCCAAATTGCCAGAATGATAGTTTAAGAGATTTTAAAGCAGGTACAAGTCAATTAGATCATTGAATTGCTCTGGCCATATAATTTTCTAATAATGTTAAAATTGAGAATTTGTTGTTGATACTTATTCAAAGCAAATTTCTACTGTTCTCCAGTTGTAAGTGAGAAGAACATACATAAATCTAATGGCAGGCACTTTACAACCACAAGGAAGGCATCCTTAGAATGACTCAGCCACATGGAGACGGGTATATCTTAGGAAAACAAATCTCAAATTAAAATGGAGCTGGCATCTTGATAGAAAGCTACCTGGATCCTACACTGCCTCTAGTCTTGTTTAAACAATAATGACATGGTTTTCAATTATTTTTCAGGCAAAATAATTATATTAGAAAATTAGAAATACCGAATAAGTCTTTCCTTAGACTAGCTCTCCTCATTCGTGCATTTTTATAAAAATGTTTGAAAAAATAATGAGATTTCCACAAAGATATCCCCTAACACTGTAAATCTATAATTCCTTCAACTATAATCTAAGGCCTGAACGGTCCTCTTCTTGGCCTCAGAGATTTTTGATATCCCTACATAAAAAGACAAAGTAACTTAGGAAAGGCGATGGTTTATTTGTAAAACTGCTTAATAACAGCTGCATGATCATATGCTGAACATCTTCATCATTAGATTAGGTGATCTCTTTTGCAAATAAAGCTTTTTTATTTTCTTATTCAAGGACCAACCTAGATTGATCTCCTGTAGTTTTTTGTTTGTTTGTTTGTTTGTTTTGAGACGGAGTCTCTCTCTGTCGCCCAGGCTGGAGTGCAGTGGCAGGATCTCAGCTCACTGCAAGCTCCGCCTCCCGTGTTCACGCCATTCTCCTACCTCAGCCTCCTGAGTAGCTGGGACTACAGGCGCCCGCCACCACGACCAGCTAATTTTTTGTATTTTTGGTAGAGATGGGGTTTCACCGTGTTAGCCAGGATGGTCTGGATCTCCTGACCTCGTGATCCGCCCGCCTCGGCCTCCCAAAGTGCTGGGATTACAGGCATGAGCCACTGTGCTCGGCTGATCTCCTGTAGTTTTAACAAACGAACTCATATGAAAAATTATGGAATGTCTCTGACTTTCTTGGAAATGTCAATTAAGATGGTGTCTAAATGATCTTTCTAAATGTATGGAGTATTTCAACAAACAGACCAAGATGTCTTTTTTTTTTTCTTGTTTTTTAATTTTTTATTATACTTTAAGTTTTAGGGTACATGTGCACATTGTGCAGGTTAGTTACATATGTATACATGTGCCATGCTGGTGCACTGCACCCACTAACTCGTCCTCTAGCATTAGGTATATCTCCCAATGCTATCCCTCCCCCCTCCCCCCACCCCACAACAGTCCCCAGAGTGTGATGTTCCCCTTCCTGTGTCCATGTGTTCTCATTGTTCAATTCCCACCTATGAGTGAGAATGTGCAGTGTTTGGTTTTTTGTTCTTGCGATAGTTTACTGAGAATGATGTTTTCCAATTTCATCCATGTCCCTACAAAGGACATGAACTCATCATTTTTTACGGCTGCATAGTATTCCATGGTGTATATGTGCCACATTTTCTTCATCCAGTCTATCATTGTTGGACATTTGGGTTGGTTCCAAATCTTTGCTATTGTGAATAATGCCGCAATAAACATACATGTGCATGTGTCTTTATAGCAGCATGATTTATAGTCCTTTGGGTATATACCCAGTAATGGGATGGCTGGGTCAAATGGTATTTCTAGCTCTAGATCCCTGAGGAATCGCCACACTGACTTCCACAATGGTTGAACTAGTTTACAGTCCCACCAACAGTATAAAAGTGTTCCTATTTCTCCACTTCCTCTCCAGCACCTGTTGTTTCCTGACTTTTTAATGATTGCCATTCTAACTGGTGTGAGATGGTATCTAATGAACTCAAACAAATTTACAAGAAAAAAACAAACAACCCCATCAAAAAGTGGGTGAAGGACATGAACAGACACTTCTCAAAAGAAGACATTTATGCAGCCAAAAAACACATGAAAAAATGCTCATCATCACTGGCCATCAGAGAAATGCAGACCAAGATGTCTTTCTAAATAACAATATAATAGGATGAAAAAGCATAGCTGGCATAAAGCTTCCTGGGGTATGAGCTTCCATCTCTTTCTCAGCTTCTAATTAGCATGTGATACTATCACTCCCCAACTTACAGGGCATGAAAAATAACACTGACTTTATATATACATGTGTACTGCATGAATACATGTATACACACATACATAAATACATACATCACATAAAGTGCATGTATATGTAAAATAAACCTCCTCCCTTCCAGATCTATTCTGAGAGTGGAATTTTCAAGCAAGAGCTTAGATGGAAGAAAAGCATACATGGTCAACTTATCAATTTGGAGGATCCTTGGGGACACTAAATCTTCTGTTACCATGAGAAGGAAGATCCTTATATACCCAAAGGTAAGTCTGACCGTCATGATAAAATGCAATGTTGTACTTACACATAGGTCAAATAAAGTATTTTCCCACTTGAATCCACTTCAAAAGAACAAGAGAGTTCTGCTTATTCAAATGTACTTTCTCAATGGCCTACTGTTGCACAGAATATCCAGAGGATACAAATTTCCATTTACCAGTATAGAACCCCTAAAGTATAAACAGACCTCTATGAAAGGAGTAATATTATATCATTTATTGAAATTTGCACTTTAGAAAAATACCTGGAGCCAGAATATTACCTGAGAGTGTGTTTTAATTGTGAAGGGCTTAGTAACAGAGAACATTGCATGAAGACAAAATGATGGCTTTTCAAACAACAATTTTTTTTTTTTTTTTTTTGAGACGAGGTCTTGCTCTGTTGTCTGGCTTGGCATGCTGTGGTGCGATCTTGACTCACTACAATCTTGGCATTCCAGGCTCAAACGATCCTCCCACCTCAGCCTCTCCAGTAGTTGGGTCAACAGGTGCATGACACCACTTTGAGCTAATTTTTGCATTTTTTTTTTTTTTTTTTGAAGAGACAGGGTTTCTCCATGTTGCCCAGGCTGGTCTCAAACTCCTGGGCTCAAGTGATCTGCCCGCCTCAACCTCCCAAAGTGCTGGGACTACAGGCGTGAACCTCCGTGTCTTGCCAGGCAATCTTAAGAACTGACTTTGGGCTGGGCGCAGTGGCTCACGTCTGTACTCCCAACACTTTGGGAGGCTGAGGCAGGTGGATCACCTGAGGTCGGGAGTTCAAGACCACCCTGACCAACATGGATGAATCCTGTCTCTACTAAAAAAACAAAATTAGATGGGCATGGTGGCACATGCCTATAATCCCAGATACTCAGGAGGCTGAGGCAGGAGAATCACTTGAACCCAGGGAGGCAGAAGTTGCAGTGAGCCGAGATCACGCCATTGCACTCCAGCTTGAGCAATAAGAGCAAAACTCAATCTCAAACAAAAAACAAAAAACAAACAAACGAACAAAAACACTTCGGTACCTTTTGCACTTGTGACCATTGGAAGTCATTTAATCTCTCTGAGTCCTAAAGGGTTGTTTCCAGGATTTTATAAAAGGTAAAACATCTAGCAGAATCCCTGGCATCGAATAATCAATGCTTATTATGGAAAGCACTGTGACTTTGAGGACCTAAAGGAAAAAAGTTGCAACAAAAATGGGGAACCAGTAGCAAAGATAAGAGAGGCTGGGATGTGCAGAGAGAATGAATGGACACACCGGACTACTAATTCCATATATGTTTCGCCAGTGGCAGCACCAGTCCTGAATGAGGCATGGAGCCCACAGTGAGCTTGCAAGATCTTGCCAGCTCTACACTCTTCAGCAGAAAAAAGTTCGTCTGATTAAATCTCACATGTTCAGTTTCAGTGTCCCACTAGGATAATGATCTTCATTCCCTAGTCATGTTAATTTTTAATTGGCTGCCAATATTGGGGATTTGCTGAGGTAGACATTGCCCAATGTGGATCAAGGGAAATGTCATCATGAGGCAGCAATGAGTCCATGAGTTTCCACTGCTAAATCAAAAAGAAGTGCAGGGATCAATTTTCCATTAAATGGAAGATAAATTGTTATCCAAGAGTTGATCAGAATGTGTCAATGGCTAAATATAGAGCAGAAAGCACACATTATTCATTATCAGCTTGAATTAATTCAAGGACAAGTAGATATTCACTAGCTCTCCTAAAGAAATGAACAAAAAAAAGCAACAACAGTAATTTTTAAAAATCCAGTGGGTTCTAAAACTGCTATTTGTACATATTAAATAATAGCCCAGTGATTAAATTTGCATGTAATCAGGCAGATGTGAGTCAAAGCGTAACATCCACAACCTGCTACCTTTATAATCTGGAGAAATTACCTAAACTTCTCTAAATTTTAAAAAATACACCTGCAAAATGGAGATAATTATAATTTGAATTATACAAGATTATTGTAAAAATCAAATGACAAATGCAGGCAAATGATGTAACACAGTCTGACACGTATCAAGAGCTTAATAGCTGTGAGTTTCTGTTATTTTACACTTGCATATCAGTGCTGAATCCCTAAGATAATCATAAATATAAATAAATTTCCTAAGCCCCAGCTAGGAACAAAAACAAATCATCATTCTTAAGTCCAGGGTTTTACCTATACAGCATCTCTTAATGAAAGGTTGTTTTCATTCTCATACCCTGTCATTCGTAAACTAAAGATTTCAATGACTCACTCCTTCACATTACCTTTGAAAAATGAAGTGTTCTTCCAAATTTGACATTCTATTTATAAAAATACACGAAGGAAATGTGTTTAAAATTAACATTCTAAGACCTTAATGTCACTTGCTGAATAGCTTGACAATTATTTTTGTTTCTTGAGAAGCATGATTACTCCCAAGTTGTTCATAGATTTAAACAGATAACATTGCCATAAAATCAGAGAACATTCTCAGTCAAGGGTATGAAGATAAAAGATTTCCTATGGGAGAGGCGATTATTGAGTGGTGTTCCTGGCTGTATAATGGTATGTTTCAACTTTAAGAAATTGACTCCCCAAACCTATGTTTATTAACTGCAATGAAATATAAGCAACTCTAGGGTTATATTCATCTAGGAAGATATAAAACAAATGAATGGGGAAAAGAAAAAGTCTTCTGGCCAGGATTGTCAGAGACTGCATATGGAGTGAGAAATAAAAAAATGAAAAGAGGTCAGCTGCAGTACTTAACAAAAACCAGTTTGGACAGTTAAAGAAAGCATACCAAATCAGAATAGCCATCTTGTTTTACATAGTATTATTTTGTTTTTGTAAAAAAGGTAAATGATAATTGAAATATTTAAAAACTTCAAAATAAGTTTAAAAACAACTTACAAATACCATACTCACCAAAATAAATGCATACTCTCACACCTCGAACATTATTTCACATATTCCTCTGGTCTCGATCTCCATATACATGCGTACATATAATTTTAACAGAGGACAGTACTATATATGTGATTTTTATAAATTTTTAAAATAAGTCATTATTCAACTTAGCAAATATAGTTTTATATTATAATTTTAAGTGATGGATAATATTTCATTGTATTTATATTCTCAAATTTATTTGCAAATTTTTTAAGGAAATGTGGTTCAATTTTGGTTTTTCTGATATTAGAAACTATAGTGGTTGGATGTGTGCACACCTCCTTTCACCTGTGTAATAATTTTATTGAGTCAAAGCATAGACACCATTCCTTAAGGAAAGCCACCGTAAAAATAAATAAAATCAGGTCACCTTGATTCTAGTCCTAGGTAAAATTTCATTCATTCTCTACATCTTTGTCTCAGTTTGCATGCTGGTAAAGTGAGAAAGTTAAGAACGCTGTTTAAGGTCTTTTTCAGCTCCAGACTTTGGGGTATAAAAATAGAGAGGGGCTGAAACAGTAATTTGAAAGTGACCGGTAAGTAACACAATGAGGATATCAAAATATAAATTCATCTTCCACAGTCAAAGAGGCATCAGAGGAGCTGGGTTATAATCTCAGTTCATATAATGAAACTTCAATAAAATATATTGGATTAAGTCTTATAACCATTTTTTAAATGGGGAAATCAAAGCCCAGAGATGGAGAACTTTCCCCTAAATTTTGTAACTAGCTAGTGTCAAATCCATTGGCTCAAGCCAGATTTCAAGACTCTGATGCACGGCTTTAAGCACCAACAAAACTGCTGATTAAAGAAAAGTCATGAGGTGCTAAATTAATGTCAAAACATATTACAGTTCAAAAGGGGCATGGGCAAGCAATTTGGAGAACATTATGCTAAGTGAATTGAGCCAGGCACAGAAAGCCAAATGCCACATGATCTCACTTTTATGTAGAATTTTTTAAAAAGTCAAAGTTTGACTATTAGTAAAAGTCAAACTCGAAGAAATAAAGAGTGGACTGGTGGTTACCAGGGCTGTGGTGGAGGGAGAGTGGAGATAGGCAGTTATTGGTTAAGGGGCACAAAATTTTAGTTAGACAGAAGAAAGAAATTTTTGAGATCTATTGCACAACAGGATGGATTGGATATTTCAAAATAGCTAATAAAATTTCAAATCTCTCACCACAAAACAATATTAAGTGAGGTGATGAATATGTTGATCGGCTTAACTTAATCATTCCATATTCTACAAATATATAAAAATATCACATAAGTATTTCATTAATGTCTACAATTATGATTTGCCAACTAAAATATTGCCAACAATAAAGAAAATGATAAAATCTAAATGAAAAACATGAATAGGACTTAAAAGAAAAATCGCTATAGAAATCAAGTGTGTGTGTGTGTGTGTGTGTGTGTGTGCGCGCGCGCGCGCGTGCATGTGAATCAAAGAAAACCAATGCCAAATATCACTTTTGGCCTGTAAAATTTTCAAATTTTATTATTTTAGAAAACACACACATGGCATGGTTGACATTGGGCAAAAGAATATGTACTTGCCAATTCTTTCAAATGACTAAACATGTCCATACCTTTAGTTCAATATTTCTAACTTTGGAAATTATCTTTAAAAAGTGTTCATAAATAGACATAAATGTTTATAAGCCATGATCATGGTGAAAAATGAAAAACAGTCTAAATTCCTAAAACAGGTCATTGACTAAATTAAATATACAGGGCCAAATAATATGCCCCATTAAAAAGCAAGATTATAAAATATTTGAGATTAGTTAATATTTGATAGTGAGGAAGAGGTTTTTAAAAATTTAGAGGTAGTATGGCTCCAATATTTTAAGAAATAGTTATATCCAAATCAAGCGAACATACCTGCACACACAAAATATGTGCATTTTAAAATTTTCTTTTTTTCTTTACTATTTTCTTCATTTTCCAAATTTCTGCAGTGTATTTGTATAGATATAATCAGAAAAATAACGAATAATACTTTTATAGCCCATTGTCAGGAGAGCAGTTTAGGGAACAAAATTATTTGTGCATAATATAGCCACTGTACATTGGACTTAACAATGATTACTTCATCTTAGTTAACAAACCTAAACTAAGATGTTTTCACGTCTGGGTCAAGATCAAATAAATTACCAATCTTGGTCTATTCCTCTAGCCATATATACCAAATATTTCAAAAGATCCTCCCTTTCTGATATTTTGGTATATAGCAATGACATCAAACAGAATTATTTAATGTACAGTAGATGCCCAAATCCTTTAAGATATTTAGTTGGTCTATCTCCAATAAGACCAACTAAATTCCGTGAAGGCGAAAGAGATCTACCCCATCGAGGTCTCTAACCCACAAACTCTCAAAACACAATTACTCCCTGGTGATCTCATCCTTCTCCTTGCTGCATGAATCCCTACCTAATTTTTCCTCCTGACAATTTCTCAAGGTGTGTTTGGGTAGTCTTTGAGCTATATCTCTTGTAATTATCATCAGAAGTGGGATATGCCTAAAAATGACAACATAGGAACATGTACCATTTAACACGAATCAGGAGAGCAGATGTGTGTTGCTGGACTCCAACTGAAATCTCGGCTCATCCCAGTCTTGTATTTTCAGGAACTCAACAACTGCGGTCTCTGTCTCCTTATATTATCTGTTATTCAGTAAAATTTTGATTATTCCATTTTATTTATTTATACTAACTAATCTTGATAACTTTTCTCTTAGTACAATAAATTCCCATTTAGAACAACATTATTTATATAAATGCGATTTTAGGATTTAGAGCCCAGTTCTCATCACCTTCACTCATCAATTTACTTCACTGTGCAAATTTACCTCCCAACACTACATAAATAATCTTGCTAACTAAGCATGCCAAAACAAGAAGCTCTGATGATCTGCTGCTTAATAATGTCCTGAAGAAATCTCTATCGTCTCACCTATGTGACCTTTCCTACTATTATCACCCTGAAAGAAGGCATGTTGTGAGGAATTAATGATTGGCACATTTTGGAGAATTTTAAGGATATAAACAGATTTGAACTTGTTTTAAGGATATAACCCATCTGAACCTGTTTCCTCACCAGAAATATGGAGATGATAGTTCTTGCCTGGCTTTCCTCCCAGGTTTATTGTTAAAATTCTAAGGATACAAACACATGGACATGACCAACATATTGAGACAGCCAGGCATTATCTCGATATGATGGTGCATTGGAAAGTCAGGGTGTGTTTAGTGAAAATATTTAAAGAAAATATGTTTCAGAGTCATATAGTAAAAATTTCCATGTAGACATCTTCGTACAGGTTGAACACTACAATTACTAAAGCCAATCTTCCTTATTTACCATAAGCAGAACTCTCCCACGTACAACAGAAGACAAGCCTAAGCTAATTGTAAGGAAGGAGACTAATTTTAGATTCCCCGATAAGAAAGTGTCTTTAACCAAGAATTACACAGAAATAGAATAGCTCAACTTAACTACAGAAATATTCAATCTGAAGTAGGATGAGCATAGAAGAGTATGGCAGATTGTATTCATGTATCCTAACATATTGACCATCTTATGGAGATATTGGCATTTCCATACTGACAGCTGAAGTCTAAATTCTTTCCCCGTGAATCTGAATGAGTCTATAAACTAAGGCAGATGTTAATCTATGCCATTTCCAAGTCAAAGTTTAAAAATGACGGAATATCTTTGTGTGTGTGTGTGTGCGTGCGTGTGTGTGTGCATGCATGCATATTCAGACACACACATACCTTTGCAGTCTTGTGATGAGTCTGACTACCTTGAAGATGTCACGCTGGAAATAACATTCAGGAACTGCATGGAGATAGACGGAGGTAGAGACATAAGGAAAGTCTCAGCTGTTCTAGTCCCTAGCAGTTCAAGTCTTCCCTGCCCAGGCACCAGACATGTGAGTGAGCACTTACTCATTAAGTGAATACAGACCCCAATCTTTGAGATACTCTATCTGAAGTTTAGTGGAACAGAAGTCTGAACCCCGCCCATCATTCAGATCTGCAGGCAAAGTAAATGTTATTTCCACTGACTTTGTTTTTTGTTTGTTTGTTTTTGAGACGGAGTCTCACTCTGTTGCCCAGGCTGGAGTGCAGTGGCGCGATCTTGGCTCATTGCAAGCTCCGCCTCCTTGGTTCACGCCATTCTCCTGCCTCAGCCTCCCGAGTAGCTAGGACTACAGGCTTCCCCCACCACGCCCGGCTAATTTTTTGTATTTTTAGTAGAGACAGGGTTTCACCATGTTAGCCAGGATGGTCTCGATCTGCTGACCTCATGATCCGCCCACCTCGGCCTCCCAAAGTGCTGGGATTACAGGCATGATCCACCGCGCCTGGCCTGACTTTGGTTTTAATAAACTTTCCTTGTATCTGGACCAGAGTGGTTGGTACAATGGGTTGGATGTTTGAGTTTATGACTTTCAAGAACCATCCCAAATTATACAGAATTGGGACTATGTTTGTGAAAAGTTGCTTTCTGTTTTCTCTTGTATATAAAGGATGCTATGTTTTATCATTTGGTCCTAAAGTAATTCACAAAAGAAAAATTCTGCTTTTCTAATCATCTTAACTTTGAATATGGCTTCAGGCAGGAATTGCAATGTCTCATTCATGCATCTCATTTAGCGCTTGGGATGTAGCATGCCCAATGTGTTACTGGGTTATGAAATAAAATACTATATTAAGATGAACTGGCTGATTTCTTCACTGGATTGCTGTATGACCATCAGCAGACATATGACCCATTTGAACCTGTTTCCTCACCAGAAATATGGAGATGATAGTTTTTGCTTGGTTTCCTCCCAGGTTCATTGTGAAAATTCTTTAAAATCTCTAAATTCACATAAAATGCAAAATTTACCAGTATACAATCTTTTTGTTTTAATTTCCTCTGAGAAATGTGATCCTGATCTATGAAAATTATTTTCATAGTTCCCATCACCCAAGAAGCAATAGGAACAATTCCCAACCACAAGTAATTGAGAGCACATTTCCTAATACTAAGAAGTGTTGGATTCATAACTCATAGTACCTGAAGCTGACACAAAGAATGTATTTGTTTTCACACACTGAATAATCTCCTGAAAAAGTCCATTTTCATTAGCTTCTGAGTTTTATTGTTGACTTATATCCTGAAGTTATCTTACAGTATCTGCAAAAGTAATTATGGAAGCCATTTGGAACAAGAGCAGAGAGAAACAACTGGCATTATAATACATAGCATGTTGGAGGCACAGTGATATTAACAAACCCACTCATTAAAAGTGGGCGGAAAGATATTCACCTGGAGGAAATTGCAATTGCTCACTGCCAGGCATGGTGTAGTCATGAGAATCCATTTCTGAAACAGGCAAACCTTCCTCTCTTATGTTATTGAGTCACAAACCCGGACCTTTAGTTCATTCATCATGGGAAGTAGTTCAATCTAATGGACTGAGTGGGACTGCGTTGTTGGCTGGTGACTCATTCAGTTACCTCAGCAAATTACTCATGTTTTCAGGATACTGAAATTATTGGTAAAAAGATGTAATTTTACCACCAGCTGACCCTAGAGGGCACAGTTTTATTGATAAAAGAAAATGAAATATTGATAAGTTTAACTTTATTGTTCATTTGTTTGGGAAAATAAAGGTAAAACAAAAATCTTAAATTCAGTATCTGTCTCTTAATGATTCCAGGCACGTTCTAGCTACCTGCACTATTTTGTTTCGGTAGGGAGATAGCAGAGCTTCATAAAACACACAATTTTAAAGTTAGACTACTAATACTCCTGTCTAATCTGGGGACATCAATCAACTTTTCAAGGCCTCAGTTTCCTCAACTGGAAAGTGTGGTTCCTATTGTAAAATTCTCATAGACTTTTAGTAAGAATTAAATGATGTGATGATACAAACACAAAGAAGTAGTGAATAAATACTAGTTATTGTCATGAATTGTTATTATTGTATTATTATTTCATACAATGATGACCATATAATTCAGGCCATAAATGTATCTGCTGTCTGCTTTCCTCCTTTCACCCTCACCCTTACAATCTATTTTTTTTTTTTTTTTTTTTTTTTGAGACAGAGTTTTGCTCTGTTGCCCAGGCTGGAGTGCAACGACACAATCTCGGCTCACCGCAACCTCCGCCTCCCAGATTCAAGTAATTCTCCTGCCTCAGCCTCCTGAGTAGCTGGGATTGCAGGCATCCACCACCACACTTGGCTAATTTTGTATTTTTAGTAGAGACGAGGTTTCTCCATGTTGATCATGGAGAACTCCCGACCTCAGGTGATCCACCCACCTCGGCCCCCCAGAGTGCTGGGATTACAGGTGTGAAACACTGTGCCCGGCCAACAGTCTTATAATAAAATAGAAATACTATAGAAGTTGAAAAATAATCAATACCATCTGATTTGAAGCTACCCTAAAACATAGTTTTGTTTTCCTGATTTCTGGACAGCTTCTTTCTTTGACCTCTTAAAACTAGGTGACTCTATACAACCTCCTGGATCTGCAAACCCGGTGTGCACTTGTGACACACAGTAATTAATAAGTATTCAGGATAAAACCAAAATATATTCAATCCTTGATCCAGTTGCCCATTTCTTATGGGAAGTGAATCACAAACCAGTCCAGGACTGAATCATGAAATGTTTAACAAAAGGTGAGGAGTACTTGAATGATTTAGGGAGACTACAGCTGAGGCCTGTGGTTATTAACATGTCGTCATTCAGAGGCCATAAAGATGAGAAAGAGAGCATAAAAGGTTGACATTGTGGAGATGCCAGAGATAAGATCAAGAATAACACTTCTCTGACAAAAGTACCTTTTAATACACAATCACAGCCACATGAAAGAGTCATGGCAAGTCACCTGTCTGCTGCCCACTTCAGTGTGGTTAGTAACAAAGAAGATTACACAATGAACGCAGCATGCTCCATTCAGATGGAACACCAGCCCCTCTATCTCATTTTCTTCCTTTAGTTCTGTTTAGATACCACAACTGGAATCAATGATTTATCCATCTGTAGGGTCAGACCTGCACCACATGCGAGACATATCTGGGATTGAGGGAAAAAAAGACTTTAATATCTCTAGTTTTTCTTCTTATACTCCTCCCCAAATCTGTGCACCATATTTTCTAGTCTTCTTCCAGTTTGGTTGAACTTAAATGCAGGACCCAGTGCTGGGCCTTAGACTCCTGTTCCTTCCAGCCACAGTTCTTTTTACCTATACCCTGCAGTAAATGCCCCTCAGTTCTCCACATCTTTTCCAGTGTCACAGTCTTCCCTAAGCTTCTAAACTGCTTCTACACCCAAACTTGTAACTATAGCCTGATCTCTTTCCCACCTAACCTGCCCATTAACCCTGTATCTCAAACAGATCTTCTTCATTGGTCCTTTTAGAAATGTCACTCAAACATTGTCCTCAAAACATATTCAAAGCTTTCTTAAACTACTTAATCAAATGGGATGATTCAGTGTAAACTTTCTTCTAAAAAGAATATCTAAATCAATGGCATTCATAGGCTGACTATACAAAACATTTCTCCATGGTCCGCTTGTAGATGAAAAAATGTTTTAAGACTCTTATCTAAAGATTTCATCTATTTGGTTCATATCAATGCTGATTTATCTATTTGAAATATTCCCAGGGATATTTCAGTAATACAAGTACTGGATCCTGTCTTCAGGGACTCTGACTGAGACGAAGACTAGGGCATTAATAATGTTTTCAAAGACCACAGGTAACTACAATGGGTAATCAATGTGGAGATTCACTGCACTAAAGCATATATAACCAGTATTTGACCCGAACTCTGAAAGGTTATTACTTTGAAAGAAAGAGTGTTCAGAAGGCAATGATTTACAGCAAGTCAGTTGGAATGAGATACTTTGCCTCTAAAACTGGTTTTGCCATCCATAAAAAACTTAACTTTTACTTAAACTGCTTTAAAGTCATAAAATAGGTTCCATTTTCTTCATCTGATTCTGCTATACAAAAGAGAGGAAAATGTAATGGATAATAGGACATGTGTTTTACATATTTTAGTTTGCTATAAGTTTTCATGAATGTCTTATTTAAGCATTACAACAACATGGAAGTGGGAACAGGGTATGGTTGGCAGGTGATGGGGTACAGGAAAAGCACTGTATTTACCAATGAGAAAATTGAGGCCTAGAGTGGTTGCATGAGTTATTGAAGGTCACGCAGCTAGCTGGTGATGCAAACTGGTACTCAACTCATTATACAACTCTGACTTGGTTGCTTCATACCTTTGTAACTTTGAGTCACTGAGTCTCCTCAGCAAATTTATGCATTTGATCAATAATTCATGGAGCTCCTTATTGAAGAGGGCAAAGGGTAGAGATGTATTTAAATTAATCACATCTCTAAGAGGAACTGTAAAAGCTCATACAAGATTCAACCCAATCCACATTATCTTAAACAGTCCTCCAAATGAATTATTTAGGCTAGGACACCTATTCCATTAGCTTTTGGTAAAATGCAGATAAACACATTCCTTCTCAAGCTATTTGCTCAGAATATTAATACATATTTCTTCCCAAATGTAATGTACTGGTACACACGAGGCCTTACCCAGGTGAATTCATCAGGAAAGTCCATTTCAGCAAAGGAAAAGCCCATTTCAGCAAAGAGAAAGCATCAAATTACTTGTTGTTTTCCAAAAAAACTACACTTTTTGCACTGTGTTTTTAGCATACCACTTCAGAATTAAAAAACAAACAAAAAAAGAAGCGAAAGAAAGGTTCTTCACAGATGATTACAGAGTAGGGAGAGGAGTTGAGCTGAGTGTCTGATCGTGCTATCTTTGAAGAGCAGATGTTTGCTGGTGAGCTGGGATCTGTAGTTTAATTCTTAGAGTAACATGATCTTCTGCAATGGAGTAAAGACTGCTGCTATCAGTCAGCCTTTTAGACTCACTGAACACTGCAGAACCAACTGGGTGGGAGAATCAGTACTGATCTCTGTGAGGTAGCAAAGAGAAACCAGAAAATTCTTCATGGTTTGTTGGTAATAATTTAACATTTCTAAAAAATCTTGAAAATGGGAAATCTGGCTCTACAATACCCAAAAAAATCTTCCAAAGGGAAATGAGCATATTGGTAATTGGGAAGTAGGGAAAAAGGAAAGTTAAAAAAAACCATAATACAAATTGACCCAATCTTTCCATGTGGTCTGTCATCCTCAAGGAGGCTGGTCAGGGCTCCTTCATATGACAGTCTCAAGACAGCAAGGGGTGCAAGGTCTCTTGAGGCCCAGCTTTTAGAATTCATATAATATCACATCTGCCACCATGTCTTGGTCAAAGCAAGCTACAACTTTACCTTTTACTGGGAAATATGCAGTGATTTTTGGAAAGGAGCATGCACAGAAAAATGTCTTACCTAACATTACCATCTACCCTCTATCTCATTTATCATAGTGTTTGATTTTGTCAGAAGATGACAAGCAAATTGCCCCCTTTGTCCCTTGCTGCTCCATGTGGTTACTTCCTAAAGCTGCTTATCTGCTCATACATGGCGGCATGGCTAAACTGATAAAGATCACTTGAAGCAGCAACTGAAATTATTTCAAAATGAGGAAATGATGTCCTTAATCTATCAGGAAAGACCTAGTCAAAATAATTGCAAAATCATTCACTGAGGTTCAAAAAAGCAACTACACAAATATAGCATGGGGACACACAGCTTCACTACCTGAATAGGAATAGGAATAACTGAGTAAATAATAAGTTCATGAATGGGAATAACTGAGTAAATAATAAGTTCACTTTGTATAAGTCAGGGTATAATCATAAAAGTACAGCCACTTTGACTATTGTGTGAATAAGAAATGTATATTAGGCATTAGATATTATGTACATATAGGAAGAGTTGAAGAAGTGAAGGCCGAAAGGGGGGTTAGGTTGATAAGGAAAAGAATCACTACCTAGTCTAGCTGAAACACTATGGTAAGTGGATAAGTTGAAAGTTATAGGGAAATCTTGGAAGCCAGGCACATCTAGGAAGAGAAATGGAATGGTAGTGGGACTCACGGAGATGGCACAGAGCTAATGCCTCTGTGTGCCCCACGCCTCTGCTAATCTACAGCTATCCATCTGCTGATATGATAGGTGTCATTGCTCTTCAGCAGGAACAGCAGCTGGGGGGAAAAGGAAGATAGGGAGAGGAGAAAAAGAAGGAGGGGCTTGTACTTTCCAAGTGGCTCTTCGTCTGCTTGTCATATATCTAACTGTGATGACCATCAAAGAATAACAACTTGTTTTACTTTTGCCTTTCAAAGCTCACACGATTTCCTCTTTTGCCCACTGAAACACAGGGCTATATAGAGAAAGCCATTGAAAAAAATGTAGCACCGAGCCTTAACATAGTCAACAACAGCGCAATCTTGCACACATTTATTTTTCTAAGTTATATTTTTGGAATAATATTCGTTGTAATACTTACGAATTAAACTGGTAACCAGGAAAAAGAGATCAAAATGAAAGAATCAATGTCTCTTCCACAACAGTACACAGCTTTTTAGATGTTTGTTCCTTTTGAAATTGTCTCTATGCCTTCAATATTTTCCTCCTCCCTTCCCTACAGATGAATAGTTTTTTTTTTCTATCAGAATAACTGTAATGGCTATTTTATGTATCAACTTGGCTAATCCACGAAGCCCAGATATTTGGTCAAACATTATCCAGATGTTACTGTGAAGGTGTTTTTGCGATGAGATGAGCATTAAATATAGTGTCCTTGAATGAAGCAGATTACCCTCCATAATAATTATCCTCCGTAATAATCTAATCAGATGAAGGCCTTAATAAGAGAAAGATTGACCTCCCCTACACAGTAGGAATCCTGCCAGCAGACTACCTTTGGACTTGAAATGCAACTTTCTAGATCTCCACACTGCCAGTCTACACTGCAGATTTTGAGCTTATCACACCTCCACAATTGTGTGAGCCAATTATTTGCAATGACTCTGTCTCTCTCTCTATATATATATACATATTATAATGGTTCTGTTTCTCTAAAAACTATGACTAGCATTCCTTATACTAAATTCCTTATAAATCATTGTCACTCATTTCACACTTCTTTGACAACCAAACCTCAGCTGTGAATGTGACAAAAGTCTCCATATCTGCATTGTCCAATAGGAGAACCAGTAGTCCCATGTGGTTCTTTAAATTTAAATCCAAATAATTTAAAATTAATAAAATTAGAAATTTACTCACACTTGCTGTATTTCAAGAGATGAATTGTTATTTGTGACTAGTGGCTAGAACATTAAACTGTACACATTATATTGCATTTCCATTATTATAGAATGTTTTATTTGACAGTACTGCAATTCTAAGTCAACTTGTCTGTGCCATTCCCCTACAGAAATGTCAGTTAACGAGATGATTTGTCTTCTCCAAAAATATTCCAGGTGACCAGGGTCCATCTCGGAAAATTTGATACAGTAGCCAGAGGAAGCTCAGATAATAAAAGATTAACCAGCATCTTGAAGTTAGCAAACACCAAGTGACTGACAGATTTCAACAGTCTCTCAGTACTCATAAGTCAGCAGGGACACACTCAGGTTCATGTGCTTCTAAGCCTTTATTTGTGATCTCTAATATATGCAAATATCATCCATCCCTATGACATATAGGATGCTGTGATGTATACATCCTATGATGTATAACAAGCAGTCCTTACTTCAACATAAGGAACAGAGATCAGTTAATGAGGTATAATGCTGGAAACACATTTATATTCTCCCCTAAAACATGAGGCACTTTTATTTACTCGGAGAGAGAAAAAATGTGACTTATAGTGCATGTTTTGTCAATTCACGGGCATTCTTTCAAAGAGGTAATCTCCAATTGCAAGTGGAAAACTCATTTTAATTTTTAATAATTGCCTGCTCCCTGACTTGGAGGGAATAATTCAGCCTTTTGCTCCAAGGATCTTGTCATCATTATCATTTCAACAGCAGACACTAAATTAGGAGAAATTTAAGATTAAGTAAAGGAGACAAATTCACAAATAAATCAGCAATTTTATGGCATTTTTAAATTATTTATTCTTTTTATGGCATTTTAAATGGCATTTTTAAATTATTTTATTTACCCATTTTATGGGTAATATTTACCCATTTTATGGCATTTTTAAATTATTTTATTCTTTTTTTTCTTTCCCACCCTCATTTTATTGGTGCTCAAGGATTTTGTTTTGTTTTTATTAGTCAGCACTGGCTTAATGCAAAAGAAGCAACACTTATAGAAGGGCAAAGTTCTGACCTGACAATTCTACTTATAAATAGGAGTCCATGTCAGTTTCTTTCTTTGATTAACCTGCCCGTCTGTAGTCATTTAGACCAAACAGACCCAACAATCAAAACCAAAGTGTTGCCATCTCAAAAATCTGAGGATAAACAAATGGGAGTGGTGGGAACTACAGAAATCTAAAGAACACTTGATCCATGGACAGAGCTGCCACATAGCTCTAACCGCTCAGTGAAGGAATGAAAGTCCAGCATTGCTAGGTTTTATATTTTTGAAAGGTATCTTAAAATATGATTACCTGAATAATGCCATCCCAATAATGTTGACAAATAATTTAAAATTTGAAAAAAAGTCTAATAAAGTATTTTTGCTCTAACTTAAATCAAAATGCATTAGCTTCTGATTTTAGGAGCCATAAACTCCTTGAAAATGAGATATTACTTCTGCTTCCTTTTCTTTTCATCCCATACTCCACTTCTGTGAGGGCACAAGTTAGGCCTTTAATAAAGGTTAACTCACTTGACAAGTCAGGAGTTGACATATCTTATCCTGGAAAAGGTCAAAGTCATTGCAGCCACTGATGGAAATGAAAAACAGTTATTGTGATTCCAGATCAATAGATCTCAACTGGCGGCCATTTTGGCAATATCTGAAAAATTTTTGTTTGTTGCAACTTGGTGGGAGTTGCCATTGGCATCTAATAGGTAGAGGCCAGGGATGCTGTTAAATGTCCTGCAATGGATAGGATACCTCTCTGCATCCCCATAAGAAAGGATTATTAGAACCAAGATGTCAATAATGCTAATATTGAGAATCCCTTCTTTAGATGCAGTCTTTGCATGCTGGATCCATTAGTGCTTGTCTACCGCGTCATTGGTGATTTGGACACTGACAGTTAGGTACATTTTCCTGCTCTCTAATATTAAGGCATACCCTTCTCCACATCCTCATTACAATATTAAGGATCTGCTTGTCTAGGCCCATACTGCAAAGGGTCTAGATCTTTTGAATTTCCAGAGGTGGTGTTCCATAAAAACTGAAAGACATCAGATCGGCAGAAATTCAAGTCTAAAAAGTCCAAGTGTTGGTGAGAATGACGGTAATTAAGGTTTTAAATTTTGTTTTGCTTTAAGAGTTAGTGTTTAGAGCAGTTTTAAGTTCACAGCAAAGTTGAAAGGAAGGTACAGAGATTTTCCATATAACCCTGTCCCCACAAGGCTGAGCCTCTCCCATTATCAGCACCTCCCAGCAGAATAGTATATTTATAATTAAGGTTTTTTCATACCTACTGCTGAAGTATTAATTTGGAAATCCAGAAGAGGTCAATCTACTCATATTTATTTCAATTTTAAATATACAGCCTTTTGATTTAGTAACTCCATTTCTTGCACTGTTCTTTAGAATAGAAATTGGACAAACATGTGCCGAATCAGCCCAACATCTGCTGTTATAAAGAAAGGTTTGGCCAGGCACAGTGGCTCATGCCTATAATCGCAGCACTTTGGGAGGCCAACGGGGGTGGATCACCTGAGGTCAGGCGTTCGAGACCACCCTGGCGAACATGGTGAAATCCCATCTCTACTAAAAATACAAAAATTAGCTGGGCTTGGTGGTGTGTGCCTGTAATCCCAACTACTAAGGAGACTGATGCAAGAGGATTCCTTGAGCCCAGGAGTTCAAGGCTGCATTTGCACCACTGCACTCCAGCCTGAGTGACAGAGACTCCGTCTTTATTAAACAAACAAAGAAACAGGCGGGGTGCGGTGGCTCATGTCTATAATCCCAGCACTTTGGGAGGCCAAGGGAGATGGATCACCTGAGGTCAGGCATTCAAGACCACCCTGATCAACATGGTGAAACCCCATTTCTACTAAAAATACAAAAACTAGCTGGGCATGGTGGCAGGCGCCTGTAATCCCAGCTATTCAGGAGACTGAGGCAGGAGAATTGCTTGAACCCGGGAGGCAGAGGTTGCAAGTGAACCAAGATCATGCCACTGCACTATAGCCTGGGTGACAGAGCGAGACTTTGTCTAAAAAAAAAAAAAAAAAAAAAAAAAAGTTTTATTAGTACAAAAACCCATTCATTTGTATATTGTCCATGGCTGCTTTTGCATTACAACAGCAGAAATGAATAGTTGAAACAGAGACAATATGACCTATAAAGTCTCAATTACCTAATATCTGGCCTTTTACAAAGAGAGAAAAAGAAATCCCGACTCCTGCTCTAGAGATATAACTTTCAAAATGTGTTCCTCGAGCAAGCAAAACCAGCATCACATGAACATTTGTTAGGAAAATGTTAGGTCCCACACTAGACCTATCAAATCACAAACTGTGGGAGTGGAAGCTAGTAAATCTATATTTTAACTAGCATACCAAGGGATTTTGATGCCTTGGTATGCTTGAGGAGCACTGATGAAGAGAAGTAGTTTCAAAGACTTACTGTGCCTTAGAATCACTTGGAGACAAATATTAAAAATGCAGATACAGGATCCTATCTCTAAAGATTCTAGGCTCATCAGGGCCTAATGAACCCCTAGATATTCAGGGTTGCTTTTTAGGTTCTTTAGTAGAGAATCAAGTGCTGACCTGCTAGCAGACTCATGACTATGGTCCATACCTGCATATGTGAAGGTTTACAGAAACATTGGGTATGGAGAACAGCCACTTCAGGGTTGATATCCTAATTTTTAAAAGTAAAAATACCAAGTTCACATTTTCACTGGGCCTTTTTCCTCAAGAGAGCTCTGCAGACTCTCAGATCATATACAGTTGTATGTGAGAAAGCAGAAAGAATCTCAGAGTAGGTAACTTTTGTATCATTTCTTTGCTCTGGGTCTATTTCTGGCAAAAGGGCATTTCATACAGGCTTTCACAGGAAAGGAAAATTGCCTTTCCATGATTTTTGGAGTTTTCCTTTTTAAGATCCTTGTCTCCTAAATGAAAAAAAGGTAAGTAAGATGTTTTAACATTCTTATCCATTGCCCTTCAGTGCATACACATTTAGGATTGCTATGTTCTCACTGTCTAGTAATTTCTTTTTCTCTGAAGTGCACTATATGTGATATCAATATAGCTACACTGTATTTTTTAATTAAGGTTTGCATGGTTTATTTTTTTTTCCTTTCTTTTACTGTCAACTTAGGTCATTATTTTTGTAATAGTTTTCCCATAAGCAGTATATAGTTGGATCATACTTTTTAATTTATTCTATAATTTCTGTCTTTTAATTGATGTATTTATACTATGTTCATTTAAAGACAGGGAAGTCCTAGACAGAACAACTGGGCAAGAGAAAGAAATAAAAGGCATCCAAATAGGAAAAGAAGTAAAATTCTCTCTCTATGCTGACAGTATGTTTCTGTACCTAAAAATCCCTGAAAACACCACCAAAAGGCTACTAGAAGTGATACATGATGTTTTAAGATTTCAGGATACAAAATAAATTTACAAAAATCAGTAGCATTTCTATACACCAATAATTTCCAGGCTGAGAGTCAAATCAATAACACAATCCTATTTACAATAGCCACATAAAAAAATGAAATACCTAGGAATACAGCTAACAACGAGGTAAAAAAAAAATCTCTACAAGAAGAACTATAAAACACTACTGAAATAAATCAGAGACCACACAAATAAAAGGAAAAATATTCCATGCTCACAGATTGAAAGAATCAATATCCTTAAAATGGCCATACAGCCCAAAGCAATTTACAGATTCAATGCTATTCCTATCAAACTACCAATGTCATTCTTCACAGAATTAGAAAAAACTATTTAAAAATTCATATGAAACCAAGAAATAGCCTGAATAGACAAAGTAATCCTGATCAAAATGAACAAAGCCAGAGGCATACTACCTAACTTCAAACTGTATTATAGGCTACAATAACCAAAACAGCATTGTCCTGGTACAAAAATAGACACATAGACAAATCTAACAGAATAGAAAACTCAGAAATAAAGCCATACGCTATTAACCATCTGATCTTCAACAAGGTCAGGAAAAGTAGGCGATGGGCAAAGGACTCCCTGTTCCCTACATGGTGTTGAGATAACTGGCTAGCCACAACCAGCAGAATAAAACTTAACCCTTATTTCTACCATATACAAAAATTAACTCAAGATGGATTAAATATTTAAATATAAGACCTCAAATTGTGAAAATCCTAGAAGAAAATCTAGAAAATATTCTTCTCAACACCAGCCTTTGCAAAGAATTTTTGCAAGTCCCCAAAAGCAATTGCAACAAAAACATAAATTGACATGTGGGACTTAATAAAAGTAAAGGCTTCTGCATAGAAGAAACTATAAACAGTGTAAACAGACAACCTTCCAGAATGGGAGAAAATATTCATAAACTAGGCATCCAACAAAGGTCTAAAATCCGACTCTGTAAGGAACTTAAAGAAGACATACACACAGCCAACAAACATATGAAAAAGTGATCGTCACTAATCATCAGATAAATGAAAATCAAAACAACGAGATACCATCTCACACCAGTCAGAAGGGCTATTATTATAAAGACAAATTAAAAAAAAACAGATGCTGGTAAGGCTGTAGAGGAAAGGGAATGCTTATACACTATTGGTGGTAATGAAAATTAGTTCAACCACTCTGGACAGCAGTTTGGAGATTTCTCAAAGAACTTAATACAGAGCTACCCTTTGACCCAGCAATCCCATTACTATTACCCAAGGGAAAACAGATCATTATACCAAAAAGACACATGTACTCATATGTTTATTGCCATACTATTCATAACAGCAAGAACATGGATTCAATCTCGTCCATCAGTGGTTGACTGGATAAAGAAAATGTGGTATAATTATACCATGGAATATTGCACAGCCGTAATAAAGAATGAAATCATGTCCTTTACAGCAACATGGATGGAGCTGGAGGCTATAATCCTAGTGAACAAATGCAAGAACAGAAAAGAAAACACCACATATTCTCATTTATAAGTGGGAGCTAAATATCCAGCACACATGGACATAATCATGGGAACAATAGACAATGTGGACCAATAGAGTGGGGAAGGAGGAGGGAATGGGTTGAAAAACTACTTATTGGGCACTGTGCTCACTGCCTGGCTGCAATCTACCCATATAACAAACCTATACATGTATTCTTCTATCTAAATGAAAGCTGAAATCTTAAAAAAGACGAAGACAGATACATTAGGGTTAAGTTGTTAAGTCTTCCATTTTATTGTTTTATAGTTGTTTGCTCTGTTTCTCATTCCTTTGCCTCTGTTTCTTTCTTTCTCTCTCTTTGGTTACTTATTTTGATTTTTAGATCTTCATTTTAATTTATTGATGGTATTTCAAGAATACAAATTTGTATAGATTCCTTAATGGTTGATCCAGTTATGACACTGTCCACAGTCTACTGTTACCATTGAAGTGTTGTAACCCCTCTTTTTTTTTTATTATACTTTAAGTTCTGGGGTACATGTGCAGAATGTGCAGGTTTGTTACATAGGTATACATGTTCCATGGTGGTTTGCTGCACCCATCAACCCATCATCTACATTAGGTATTTCTTCTAATGCTATGCCGTCCCTAACCCCCCACCCCCCTACAGGCCCTGGGGTATGATATTCCCCTCCCTGGGTCCATGTATTCTCATTGTTCAACTCCCACTTATAAGTGAGAACATAGGGTGTTTGATTTTATGTTCTAGTGTTAGTTGGCTGAGAATGATGGCTTCCAGCTTCACATATGTCCCTGCAAAGGACATGAACTCATCCTTTTTTATGGCTGCATAGTATTCCATGGTGTATATGTGCCTCATTTTCTTTATCCAGTCTATCATTGATGGGCATTGGAGTTGGTTCCAAGTCTTTGCTATTGTGAATAGTGCCACAATAAACATACACGCAGATATGTCTTTGTAGTAGTCTGATTTATAATCCTTTGGTTATCTACCCAGTAATGAGATTGCTGGGTCAAATGGTATTTCTAGTTCTAGATACTTGAGGAATCACCGCACTGTCTTCCACAATGGTTGAACTAATTTACACTCACACCAACAGTGTAAAAGCGTTTCTATTTCTCCACATCCTCTCCAGCATCTGTTGTTTCCTGACTTTTTAATGATCAGCATTCTAACTGGTGTGAGATGGTATCTCATTGTGGTTTTGATTTGCATTTCTCTAATGACCAGTGATAATGAGCTTTTTTTCATATGTTTGTTGGCTGAATAAACGTCTTCTTTTGAGAAGTGTCTGTTCATATCCTTTGCCCACTTTTTGATGGGGTTGTTTTTTTCTTGTAAATTTAAGTTCTTTGTAGATTCTGGATATTAGCTCTTTGTCAGATGGATAGATTGCAGAAATTTTCTCCCATTCTGTAGGTTGCCTATTCACACTGATGATAGTTTCCTTTGCTGTGCAGAAGCTCTTTAGTTTAATTAGATCACATTTGTCAATTTTGGCTTTTGTTGCCATTGCTTTTGGTGTTTTAGTCTTGAATTCTTTGCCCCAGCCTATGTCCCGAATGGTATTGCCTAGGTTTTCTCCTAGGGTTTTTAACAATTCAGGTTTTATGTTTCAGTCTTTAATCCATCTTGAGTTAATTTTTGTATAAGGTATAAGGAAGGGGTTCAGTTTCAGCTTTCTGCATATGGCTAATCAGCTTTCCCAACACCATTTATTAAATAAGGAATCCTTTCCCCATTGCTTGTTTTTGTCAGGTTCGTCGAAGATCAGATGGTTATACATGTGCAGTGTAATTTCTGAGGCCTCTCTTCTGTTTCATTGGTCTATATATCTGTTTTGGTACCAGTACCATGCTGTTTTGGTTACTGTAGCCTTGTAGTATAGTTTGAAGTCAGGTAGTGTGATGCCTACAGCTTTGTTCTTTTTGCTTAAGATTGCCTTGGCAATGCCAGCTTTTTTTTTTTGGTTCCATATGAAATTTCAAGTAGTTTTTTTTCTAATTCTGTTAAGATAGTCAATGGTAGCTTGTTGTAGATAGCATTGAGTCTATAAATTACTTATTTTCAGGATATTGATTCTTCCTATCCATGAGCATGGAATGTTATTCCATTTGTGTCCTCTCTTATTTCCTTGAGCAGTGGTTTGTAGTACTCCTTGAAGAGGTCCTTCACTCCCTTTTAAGTTGTATTCCTAGGTATTTTATTCTCTTTGTAGAAATTGTGAATAGGAGTTCACTCATGATTTGGCTGTTTGTCCATTATTGGTTTATAGGGATGCTTGTGATTTTTGCACATTGATTTTTGTATCCTGAGACTGTGCTGAAGCTGCTTATCAGGTTAAAGAGATGTTGGGCTGAGAAGATGGGGTTTTCTAAATATACAATCATGTAATCTGCAAACAGACAATTCGACTTCCTCCCTTCCTATTTGAATACCCTTTATTTCTTTCTTGCCTGATTGCCCTGGCCAGAACTTCCAATACTATATTGAATAAGTGTGGTGAGAGACGGCATCCTTGTCTTGTGCCAGTTTTTAAAGCGAATGCTGCCAGTTTTTGCCCTTCAGTATGATATTGGCTGTGAGTGTGTCATAAATAGCTCTTATTATTTTGAGATACGTTCCATCAATACCTAGTTTATTGACAGTTTTTAGCATGAAGGGATAACCCCTCTTTCATTTAATTGCCTTGACTGTCCCAACTTTTAAAATGTAATTGTCATAGGTATTTCATTCACATACATCAAATACCTCATCAAATGATATTACAACATTCTCTTCAGCCATAAAATATGACTTAAGAAAATCACTAGGGAATGAATATTCTATTATATTTACACCGATTTTTCACCTTTTTTCCTTCTAAATTTTCAAGCCTTCATTCCCATTATTTTTTGGGGTTTCTTTAGCCATTCTTTTAGACTATTTCTGCAGTGACAAAATCCATTACTTTACTGCCATCTCACAATGTCTTTATTTCCACTTATTCTTAAAAATATTTTCATTAAATATTGAATTTGTAGTTGACAGGTTTTTAAGACTTGAAAAATGATGACAGGGCAGGTAACAAGCCTCTTTAGCTCATAGGTTTTCAGAGTGAGAGAAACTGTACTCAATATGCTATACCTGAGGGCATATATTCAAAGAGCCTCATAGACATATTTTCCCAAATTTTGATAATGAGATTTTAGACATGGAGCTTATACCCTAGTGGGATAAGTCTTTGAGTGTCTTTATACGGGTGAGTATATTTTACATGTAAAAGGAATATGAATTAGTTTAGCCCGAGAATAGACTGTGTCAACTCATAATTCCCAAAGATAGCTTCAAAAATATGCTTTTCTACAATGTGATCTTTTCAGTCCATGAGTAAGAAGTGTTTCTTTCTGTATTTAACTAAATATGTGTAGGTCTCTGGCTGCTTTGACTAAGTAAATGAAATTAAATTTTAAAATGGTGGAGATTATTATGTACAAATTTTGAGCTTACCCCTTGCCTTGCTTAGCAGTTTCTGTTTTGGGCTATGGGAAAGCATCTGCCATATTATAAGTGTAAATGTTCTGGGATCAATGCACTGTGAGAAGTTGCAGTTATGTGAAGAACCCTTTTAGAACGAGACAACATGGAGAGAGAGAAAGACAGAGACATACAGAGACGGAGAGGGGGATACATCATGGAACAGAGTAGCTCAACTTCTAGATATACCCCAAGGAGAACCACTGAGTTTGTACACAGGAGTGTCAGGGATGATAATAATTTGCTATTTCAGTTTTGGAGTGCTTTTAAAATATAACAATAGATAGCCACATCAAAAGGAAAGAGTATGTTATAAAACCCTCCCAGTAGCTTCTAATTAGCATCTGTTGCCTATTCTTCTTTTAATACTAATTTATCATAGACTTAAACAATTATATTTTAAAATCTGATGGTTCTATTATATTCACCACATGAAACTGCTGTTCATCTCATGCCCATAAATGAATAAACCGGTGATCAGCAAATCAGTAGATGCATTTGTAAAACTCACCTTTTATTTACTGCTATGTTTATTTATCCACCTTCATGAAAACTCTCAGAGTATCATTTAGCCATAGAGATGCAAGAGTAATCACATACATATTTTATCACTTTGTCAAGTTCAACAAATACTATTGTGATGTGCTAATGGCCTTTCATAAAGACAGAAACTATCATGAACTTTCAAACTTATAAATTCAAAGATTAAGCAATTATATATTAGGAGGCTGGTTGTACTTGTTTCTAGAGATTTAAAGGATTAATGAGACACAGTGTTTCCTACTCTTGTTGAACTCACAATGTACTGATAAGGCTGCAAGAAAAATGTAAGTGAATTACTAAGAGTACTTGAGGCCAACCATGACATGAGATTCAGAATATTTGACATTGAGAACTTACTGCATTTATTAGCACATTTAAAGTTCATAACTGTGCTGTGGATATCATACTATAATTATGCTTTCTTCAGCTGTGGAGGCTGTGAGCCGACACTCAGAGATATTGAATATGTTACCCAAGGACCAACTGCTAATAAGTGGTGAGGGCAATATTCAAAACAGACAGTTCAAATTTCAGAGCTTATGCTCTTCCAAAAACCGTTTGTTTTTAATGTGATAGTGGTGGTAGATGGGCATTAACTTTCATTTGAAATTCAGCCAGGGACTTTAAGCTCACACATTTTAAAGAACTACAGGACACACATATACACGTTAACCACATACACGCATGTGAAACGCACACACACACAGGCAAATACAGCATACACCTCAAGTTTGAACCAAACTACAGCATTTTTCTGCAGAAATACAGTAATCCTCCCTTATCCTAAGTTTTGCTTTCTGTGGTTTCATTTACCCATGATCAAGTGTGGTCTGAAAATATTAAATGGAAAATTCCAGAAATAAACAATATATGAGTGTTAAAGTGTGTGTCATTCTGAATAATGTGATGAAATCTTGTATGATCCTGCTCAATCCTGTCAGAAACATGTATCATTCCTTTTGTCCAGCCTTCCCACACTGTCCATCCTACTTGCTCATTAGTCACTTAGAAGTCATTTTGGCTACCAAATGGTATTGCAATGCTTGTATTCTAGTAGCCCTTATTTTACTTAACATGTCCTCAAAGCACAAGACTAGTGATGGTGGCAATTCAGATATGCTAAAAAGAAGGCACAAAGTGCTTCTTCTAAGTGAAAAGGTGAAAGTTTTTGACTTAATAAGAAAAGAAAAATAGTCATGTACCGAGGATGCTAAGATACGCAGTAAGAGCAAATCTGTCCTCGGTAGCAACTCTGCAGGGCATATGATAAATCCAAGCATAGGCATTTTATCATGTGACCTCATCAGCATAAGAAGGGTGAGTACAGTACAATGAGAGATTTTGAAAGAGAGACTGTATTCATATGACTTTCATTATAGTATATTGTTATAATAGTTCGATTTTATTAGTTATTAATCTTTTACTGTGCCTAATTTATAAGTTAAATTTTATAATAACTATTTATGTATTTATGTATAGGCAAAAACATAGCATATATGGGATTTGGTACTATCTATGGTTTAAGACATCCACTGAGGTCTTGGAACACATCCCTTTAAGATAAAGGGAGAATATTTATTTGTTTTGGTGCCTAATTCTGGACTTTGAGCTTAAAAGAAGCAAACTCTACTATCAATATCACTTCTGCATTGAACAGGGGAGAAGAGAGGACTAACAAAAAAGAACAAATCAACTGTGTCACTCTTCAAATTCAGAAACAGAATCATGCACCATTTTTTTGTTTTTTGAGACGGAATTTCACTCTTGATGCCCAAGCTGGAGTGCAATGGTGCAATCTCGGCTCACCGCAACCTCTGCCTCCCAGATTCAAGTGATTCTCCTGCCTCAGCCTCCCGAGTAGCTGCGATTACAGGCATCCGCCACCACACCCAACTAATTCTGTATTTTTAGTAGAGACGGGGTTTCTCCACGTTGGTCAGGCTGGTCTGGAACACCTGACCTCAGGTGATCCACCCATCTCAGCCTCCCAAAGTGCTGGGATTACAGGCGTGAGCCCCTGTGTCCAGCCAGAATAATGCACCTCTTATGAAAGACTTCACAGTTTAGAAAGTAACCTAAGTTATATGGAGAGTGAATGATCCCTGACAGTCCTGTAGTTCATTAGAGGATTTTCCTGTTACTTACCTATGATGGTGAATAGGGAATATTGAATGATGATAGTGTCAGCTGAGTTCATTTTAGCAAGGTCAGGGTGATGGGTTTTTGGACTTGGGCTGTCTGGGAATGATCCATAGATCAGGGGGAATGTGTAATTAACATTGATACTTCCAGAGTTCCAGCCATTCACCAGAGATTACCTTGAACTTAGTGATTTCTTCCCCCTAAGAGAAAAACCACCTTTTACAAGGAATAAGCATTTTGCTCTTTTCTAGTGATAGGGGCATATAAGCTCTTGGGTCCCTGAGAAGAACAAAATAAACAACAGGCTAGTAGGGGAAAGGGGGAAAGAAAAAGGCTGGTCAGCTGCATCTCCTTGGGAATGTCAATTTTCTACATCTTAATTGTAAAATGAAGATGGTAGATGGCATTAATTCATGTTCATGCAATGTTGTTTAGGGATTACATATTTACGATATGTCAAAATCTGGGCTTAATATTGAAGATATAAAGGTTAAAAAACCCCACATATGACCCTTACCCTTGTGGAGGTGACAGTGGGGGAGATGAACATCAATCAACATACCCGAGAAGATTGTTATATTTTGGGTTCCTAAAAAAGCAGGCTCTGAGATGGAGGTTAGTTTGCAGGTTTGTCTTGTGACCACTACTTGTAGGAAGGAATGAAGGATAGGAAGCAGACTGAACAAGAAGTTGGACTGTGTTATTGTATTAGCCCAATCTCACACTGGCATAAAGAACTGCCCGAGACTGGGTCATTTATAAAGGAAAGAGGTTTAATTGACTCACAGTTCTGCATGGCTGGGGAGGCCTCAGGAAACTTACAATCATGGTGGAAGGCAAGGGGAAGCAAGACACCTGCCTCACAAGGTGGCAGGAGGGAGAATGAATGCAGGAGGAACTACAAACACTTATAAAAACATCAGATCTCGTGAGAACTCACTCATTACCATGAGAACAGCATGTGGGAAACTGCTCCCATGATTCAATTACTTTCACCTCATCTCTGCCTTGACAGGGTGGGTTATGGGGATTACAATTCAAGATCAGATTTTGGGTGGGGACACAGCCAAACCATATCAATTATCAGCAAAGTTTGTTTAGTATCAACAAGACCTCAGTCATCCTTATGAAGAAGTCTGGTCTGAGACTGCCTTCAGAGTTTTTCTGAGTTGGGCCATGTAGTCTGGACTTTCTATCCCAGTTATTAGGTGCAGGCTGAACCAGTTAGCAAAGTGGTTCTCTTCAGTCAAAGTATACACAAATATGGCTGATATTTGAGGGATGTCAGGGAGTAATTTTAATCCTAAAGGAGGATCTGAGCAGTTCATCAGAGTCTATGAATAGATGTGCAATTACGAACTGTGATAGGCACTATGAAGAAGGATTGTCCACCGCCATGGATGTGGATAGCCAGAGGATCTGACCTAGTCTGAGAAGTCAAGGAAGTCTTTCCTGAGGAAGTCATAATTAAGTCAAGATTTGAAAAAACCTAGTGCACTTCAGGGATCAAAGAGAAAGAAAAATATTTAGAAGACAGAGAGCCTAGAATGTGGAGAAAGTGAGCATGAAGTCATTAGCAGAGGCGAGACCATACCAGGCTTTGCAATCCAAGTTGAGAATTTTATTGCAGAAGTGGCAGGAAGTCACTGAAATATTCAGCATGGCAATAAGGGGGGTGGGTGTTGTTGAGGGGAGGGTAAAATAATCAGATTTACAATTTACAAATACTGATCTGGCTGCTGAGTTGAGGGGTGGAATTCTGGAAGGCAGAGTTGTTCTCTAAAACCTCCATCTAACTCTAAGTTTCTACAAGCTTTATTTCATTACTGACTTGAAAATGATCAGCTTGTCCCATAGAATATAGATTTCAAGGTGTGTAATATGGCTTTTGGGATACAATAAATGATGACTAAACATTTTATATGTATCAACTAATAATTCTACACAACCCATGAGGTATGTACTATAAGGTCTCATTTCATGAATAAATATACACATTATGAAGTATCATTATTCCTATTTTATGGGTGGATATATTGAGCCCTAAAAAGGTTATGTATGTCATCTAACTTTATGCAGCTAGTCAGTAATTCAAGCCCAGACAGCTTCACACAGACTCCTTCAATCAGACACAAAATGAAATAAAATATCATTTACATACATGTATTAGCAAATTATCATATACTTAATCAAGATTAACTAAAAAGCAGGCATTATCTGTTAAATGACAATAAGACAAAACCTGTTCTTCAACGTAACAAATATTATGTATTGTATTTTAAATGTGATTTGTGGTATATTTTTAATGATGAACTCAATAAAACATTTTTTCAGCTAATATTCAAAATGCAAAACATGTAATTTTAAGGGGTTTAGGGCTTACATATTACTGTTGTATTATTTGGAATAAATAACCTCATCTACTATAGTAAACATATCCCTAAATCATTCTGTTTTAACTTAATAAAAATGCATTTATAACCCATAAGCCCCCGTGACCACGTTTCTCATTGTTATATGCCTTTCCAGAGCCCAGAGACTAAGATGTCTTCCTTTATCAGGCTGTACCCTCCTTTATGATCCTCTGCCGCATTCTCTACACTTGTCCAACAGAAAGAGCAAGGTGGGAGCAAAGTCATGGAAGTGGCCTGCATCACTTTGTCCACTTGCCATTGACCGGAACTTAGTCCCATGGTCATATCCAGTGGAAAGGATACTAAGGAACACATAACTGTCAGCCCAAAAAGACAAGAAATGGATGTTGATGCCTGCATAACACAGTTTTCCATGAATATTAAAGATATTTACAAGTCAAAAAGTTTGGGTAATGTGCACCTACATTAAAGCAATAATTTTGTTCCTAATCCCATTTTATTTTTCTCTTGACACTCTTTGAGATATGGAAACGTTTAAATTTAACTTCTGTTTCAAAGTTTCATTTTGATTTTTTTTAATGTATTCTCCAGAACAACCACTAAATCCGTGGTCCAAACTATACCTAAAGTCCACAATGAAGAAATAACAGTTAAAAATTTGTCCATTATTTCATTCACAAAGCTGATTTTTTCCCTTAATTTCAGTAGGATTTCTACTTTGCTTAAAGTCATGATCTAAAAATTGCTTAGAATAAGTTTCTGGATATGTAATGAAAATGCACAGTTAAGAATTTGTCCATTATTCAATTCACAAAGCTGATTTTTTTCTTTGATTTTAGTAGGATTTCTACTTTGCTTAAAATCATGATCTAAAAATTGTTTAGAATAAGTTCCTGGATATGTATGTAATGAAAATGCACCTATATGCTCCAAATCTAGGGTTCAGGAATCAACTACAATATTACCATTGGTAATGTGGACAAAGATGAAGACAATGATGACAATTAGTAATCATGAGCAGTAAGCCTACAAAAATTATTACGGATTTCTTCAAAATTGCTTCAGACTCTTCTAATACAGATTTTCTAATCCCTACATTATTGTAAGATGTACAGTAATTAACCGTATGACTTAAAAAATAATTGCCAAATATCCTCCACTCTGAACTACCTTTGGAGTCTCCTTTCTCAAGACAGTCATAAAGCATACTTGAGAGTGAACAGCATGGTCCAGGGCTTTAAAGTCACCTAAGTGACAGCCAGTTAGTTGCAATCAGCACCACACAATCACAGCGTCCACAAGTTAACAAATGCATTTGTTTCTCAAATAGGAACACATTGAGCAGAAACTGAACTACTTTTTCAAGTCTGAGCCTGAGTTGAGGTTTCAATCTGAGTTAATAATGATAAGAATGAATGAAAATAAAAGTGGTATAAAGTGGAGGGTGGTTAGCTCTGACAACAGAAAACAATTCTTTCTTTCTTTCTTTCTTTATTATTATTATACTTTAAATTTTAGGGTACATGTGCACAATGTGCTGGTTAGTTACATATGTATACATGTGCCATGCTGGTGTGCTGCACCCACTAACTCGTCATCTAGCGTTAGGTATATCTCCCAATGCTATCCCTCCCCCCTCCCCCCACCCCACAACAGTCCCCAGAGTGTGATGTTCCCCTTCCTGTGTCCATGTGTTCTCATTGTTCAATTCCCACCTATGAGTGAGAATATGCAGTGTTTGGTTTTTTGTTCTTGCGATAGTTTACTGAGAATGATGATTTCCAATTTCATCCATGTCCCTACAAAGGACATGAACCCATCATTTTTTATGGCTGCATAGTATTCCATGGTGTATATGTGCCACATTTTCTTCATCCAGTCTATCATTGTTGGACATTTGGGTTGGTTCCAAGTCTTTGCTATTGTGAATAATGCCACAATAATCATACGTGTGCATGTGTCTTTATAGCAGCATGACTTATAGTCCTTTGGGTATATACCCAGTAATGGGATGGCTGGGTATATACAAGCAATGGGAAAAGGATTCCCTATTTAATAAATGGTGCTGGGAAAACTGGCTAGCCATATGTAGAAAGCTGAAACTGGATCCCTTCCTTACACCTTATACAAAAATTAATTCAAGATGGATTAAAGACATAAACGTTAGACCTAAAACCATAAAAACCCTACAAGACAACCTAGGCATTACCATTCAGGACATAGGCATGGGCAAGGACCTCATGTCTAAAACACCAAAAGCAATGGCAACAAAAGCCAAAATTGACAAATGGGATCTAATTAAACTAAAGAGCTTCTGCACAGCAAAAGAAACTACCATCAGAGTGAACAGGCAACCTACAGAATGGGAGAAAATTTTCACAACCTACTCATCTGACAAAGGGCTAATATCCAGAATCTACAATGAACTCAAACAAATTTACAAGAAAAAAACAAACAACCCCATCAAAAAGTGGGCAAAGGACATGAACAGACACTTCTCAAAAGAAGACATTTATGCAGCCAAAAGACACATGAAAAAATGCTCGCCATCACTGGCCATCAGAGAAATGCAAATCAAAACCACAATGAGATACCATCTCACACCAGTTAGAATGGCGATCATTAAAAAGTCAGGAAACAACAGGTGCTGGAGAGGATGTGGAGAAATAGGAACACTTTTACACTGTTGGTGGGACTGTAAACTAGTTCAACCATTGTGGAAGTCAGTGTGGCGATTCCTCAGGGATCTAGAACTAGAAATACCATTTGACCCAGCCATCCCATTACTGGGTATATACCCAAAGGACTATAAAACAATTCTTAATTCATGTCATTCAACAGTCTCTCCCAGTCCTAATTCTTTAATTCTCTGTGTCTTCCAGAGAAAGGAAGCACAAGATTTAGCCAGAATTCAGTGAGCATAAACTGTTTCCATGATGTTCAACAGTAAAACCTCTAAGAATAATAAAAGAAAGAGAAGGTGTCATCATCATGTTCATCATCATTATCACCTTCATCAAAGCAAACATTTACTGCTTGACTACTGTGTGCAGGGCAATGTATTAAAACTTTACATGTATTGATTTGTGTAATTGTCATTGTAACCCTGAGATTTCATGAGTTATTATATTAGTCAGGACTCTTCCAATTTCAATAAGGAAATTCCAAGTCAATGTAGCTTAATAGAGAAAAAGCAGAGAGAGAGAGAGCAGTTAGCAAATAATGAGAGATCAAGATACTGGGAAGGCAATATTCAAGCTATTATACTCAGAACACTTGTCTCACTCTTATGCGCGCTCTCTCTCTCTGTCTCCTTTTTGATCTGTCCTCATTCTCTTTCAAAAATATGACTCTTGTATGTGGCAGGGATAATAGACATCTACAGCTATAAGATATATGTACTCCTTCTTTCTCTAGCATAGAAGTGTCTAAAAAGAAAATTAACTTGCCTGGAGTCACATGTCCATTTTTTAATACCATAGGTAGTTTGGTGGAAGAATTTTTCTGATTGGTCGATTCTGGTTTCTATGGTTAACCTAAGTTAATTTATTGTTGGCCATGTCCAAATCATCTGGAGAAATATTAAAGAGGGCAGACAAAAAAATCCATGCTGTTCACAGCTAGGCTTTCCTATTTCACTACATTACATTAGAAGAAATTAAGCCCGGAGAGGTTAAAATAATTTTACTAATATAATTCATGTGTGTTAGGGTAGATTGATCCAGCTCTGACTGATTTCATGACTTATGATTTATTACTAAGCCAAATTACATTTCCAAAAAATGTCAGTTGGGCCAAAGTAGCAGCTGAACCTTCATGCTAGACATTTTCAATGAGACGGTGTACATTAACAAGCTTGAAGGAAACTTGTTTATTGTAGCTACATATTTTGAATCTTGACATCTAGTAAAGAAGGCTTAGACTTAAAGAAAATCAAGTTTAGGCTCGGTACAAGTCATTTCCATTCTGTGGGTATCTTTTTTCTCATATAAACCTCCTACCCAAATATATCATGTAGTTACATCAAGACTTAAATTATTGAACAAAGTATTTTGGAAAGCTTAATATGCCCTCATGACCACCGCCCCCCCCACCCCCGCCAAAAAAAGATAGTATAGTCGTTCCTTGGTATCAGTGGGGAATTGACTCTAGGAATCCCCATAAATAACAAAATCGGACGTGCTCAAGTTCCATATACAAAATGGCATAGTATTTGCATATAACCTATACACATTCTCCTATATACCTTAAATCAATTCTAGATTACTTATAATACCTAATATAATGCAAGTGTTATGTATATAATTGCTATACTGTTTTTGCGTTTTTTATTGTTGTATTACTTTTATTTTTTTCTGAATATTTTAAATCTAAGGTTGATTGAATCCATGAATGTGGAAATCATTCACAGGGATGGCCAACCGTATTACTTCATGTGCCTTCTATTTTGAAGTCTGCAATTGTTGTCTACTGACAGTTTCCAAAAATTTGAGGGTAAGAAATACAATGTCATTATGGTACTTTATAAACAGGAAAATTTTACTCTAATTTACTACTCAGTTCTTCTTCTTTAAGATGTCATTGTTGCTGTCTTCCTCCTCCTCTTTCTCCTTGGTCTCCTTCTATTTTCATTATTCTTATTAATATCTGATGAAGTTATCTTTGTTAACTAATCCTCTGGGTAGGAGACTTACAGGTTAAATTTCATGCTTAATGAAAGATTTTGTTTACATTCAAATTAGTAGTATTTTCCTTCCTATTAGATCTCTTCTGTTGACAGGGCATTTTCCTGGCTTTTCCATGCTAGGCATGGAATGCTAGCATGCATTCTTCTGTTACCTTCTCTCCAGAGTCTTTTTCTGTGCAACTTAAACAGTCCTTTCACTGTTTCTTATACCAAATCTCTCTTTATTCCTAGAGTTTCCAACTAACCACAGGCTGATTCCAGAGAAATTTGGACATTGATTTATTGTAAAGCCTTATCCACTGCTCTAAGGAGGCAAGGTAACAATGCTATATTTTTGAATAAATGGGTTAGAAAACCAAACCCACGTGTAGTAGGATGAAACAATGGGATTTATGCTACACCTCATTTATTCTGACAGTTGTAAAATTCCAAATCTGATTATGTGTGTTGATGCAGGCAGAGGGTAGGAAAAAGGAAAGACATGTTATTGTCAAACCAATTTTCATAGCATCTCAAAGATCATTTAATTTTGGCTGAGACTGCTGGTCATGCAGGGGATTCTGAGTGCTCTTCCCTGTCTTATACTGCAAGAAAATAACTTAATAAGAAGTGACCCATGGAACTCTACCTTTCCATTGGCCCCCATCCCTGAGACCACTTGATGACCTTTGGTTTTGAAGCAATGTTATCTTCTGGTGGACATTAATCTAAAAGGTGACCAGGGCACTGGAGTGGGAGACACTGGGGATCTTAATTTCCTTTTCATTAAGTTTCTGACTTTAGATTCAATATCAAGACAGAAAAACAGAGAGCTAACAGGGAGGGAAATATGGAAAATAAAGACAGCTCCTGAGTAGATAAATCAATGTATGGAGACAGAAGCATATTTTACAGAATTATGAATTAATCACCAAGGTACAAGAATCAGAAATGATTAATAGTGCTTGCATCTAAGGGTGAGACTGCATGTGGGAAGAAGCTGTGTGGAAAACCTTTGCTTTTTTTAGTGGGCTCACACACAAATACATACATGCACACACAGACACACATGAACACAGATATTCATTATATATGTATGACTTTTATAAAAACTATACTAGTGATTATTTAAAAAATAGGTCTAGACCAAAGAGGCTAAATTTGATATAGAATATGAAATAAGTCTAAAAATAGCACAAATATCTTTCATAAACAAACCACATAATATTCTTTGGTGAGATAAATGTTCGTGGAGGTGAATAAGGAGAGAGGTTATTAAATTTTCTAACAAATTTCTTTCAGAGACAGAGGACAAACAGATTATTTCCCAGAAACAAAGAGATTGAGAAGCTGACAGAGAAGAACAGAAGTACAGCAAGAAACAGGCACAAAGACAAACACTGAGGAAGAAGCAAATGTGAATGTGAAACAAAAAAAAAAAAAAAGGAGAGATTGTTTAGGCCAGGGGTGGTGGCTCACGCCAGTAATCCCAGCACTTTGGGAGGCCGAGGTGGGCAGATCACAAGGTCAGGACATCAAGACCATCCTGGCCAACATGGGGAAACCCTGTCTCCACTAACAATGCAAAATTAGCCGGGCGTGGTGGCTCATCCCTCTAATCCCAGCTACTTGGAAGGCTGAGGCAGGAGAATCCTTGAACTCGGGAGGTGGAGGTTGCAGTGAGCTGAGATCGCACCACTGCACTCCATCTTGGCAAAAGAACTAGACTCTGTCTCAAAAAAAAAAAAAAAAAAAAAAAAAGTTTAAATGTTTGACATTTTTTTTCTGGTAAGAATAAAGAGAATAGGCTGATAAGGAATAAAAGTAAAGTTTATTATTTTGTAGAAACAGGAATCAGTTCAGTAACAACATTTGATTCTCTACTATAATTTGTCAGCTTTTACACAGGTAAGGGCATAGACCCATGTGTGTTTGTGTGTGTGTATACTTGTGTTGGAAATATTATCTGTGGAAGTGTATACAGTTTGAAAGTGAAACTAGCCCAGATGAGCGATTTAGGAGTCCTCTAGATCATGGGTTCCCAACCCCTGAGCCACAAACCAGTCCTGGTCCCCGGCCTGTTAAAACCTGGCTGCACAGCAAGAGGTGAGCAGCAGGTGAGTGGGAATTACCACCTGAGCTCCTCTCAGATCAGTGGTGGCATGAGATTCTCATAGGAGTGCAAACTCTTGTGAACTGTGCATGTGAGGGATCTGGGGTATGCGCTTCTTATGAGAATCTAACTAATGCCTGGTGATCTGGGGTTTTTATCCACGAAACTGGTTCCTGTGGTGCCAAAAGGGTTGGGGGCCACTGCTCTAGATCCCTAGCTGCTCTGTTTAAGATTATAGTCATCAAGAAAGGAGATGCTTTCTATCCCTTTTTTGTTCTGAAAAAATGGCTTTGTGCCTGGCTTAAAAGGGTTTAGAGCACATTCATAGGCTTCTTTATAACATGATTCTTATTCAATGGAAAAATAAAAATCAGTAACGCAGTGCTGGTCAGCATAAACTCCTGGAGTGAAAAAGAAACACACATCTTGTAGATATTAGAGAACATATGAAAGTGGGAATTATTAATAAGGTACTTCGGTCTTGCTATTGGCTTGGAACTAATTAGATTATATTATCCACAATGAGAAAGTTTTCATTTTACACCTGTTTTGCGGAGCTGGTGATATCCCAGGGGCTTTTTTGCAGGGATAGCTTCTTATTTTCGAATTTCCCGATGCCCCTGGATCTGAATGATCTGAAGCTCCTTTTAGAACACACAAAGAGCCTTTAGTCTGAGGCTACTTTTAGAGTACACAAGGTTGTGATTGCTTTTCTGATGCTTTATAAGATACACCCAATCTGTTTGAAGCGGTTTAAGGAGCCTGTGTAGCACTGGCACAGACTGGAAAAGAAGTGTGGCTGGTTCTGTTCATGACACCCCAGTGCAGCTCCAGATGGGGGAGTCAAGGGTGTGGGGATCAACAAGAATATCAATGACTCCTTCCAAATTAAAAATGTATTAAAGCTAGAGACAGAATTGTTTTCTTATCTCTAACCCCTTTAAAACTCCCACAACAGTAGGCACAAAGTAGGCTAGCGATTATTAATATTTTCTGAGCTTCAGAAGCAAGGAGACGCTTGTAAATAGAACTTCATTGGTTTTGATTTAATGAATCTTGGGTGAAACTGAGGAATCTCAAGGTATAGATATCACTTAAGGTAAATCTGGTGCCTGGGAGCCACTTTTTGAGAACTACTGTAGTTAATGTTCTTAGATTCATTTTTCCGTACCTGGGCTCGCTTGTTGGCCTGTCCCTGTTCTTTCCGTTAGCTCTCTTCAGCTTCCTCCCCACTGCCTTAAACTGACTCTAGACGGAAAGAATACTCTCTAAGATTAAAAATGTCTGTCCATTTATCCCAGAAAGCGAGAGTCATGGAAGAAATAAGCCCAAACACAGAAAAAGAGACTTCATTTTCTCATTAGTATTCAACAGCAGTACATGTAGGAAGGTTTGACCTCTTTATTTTCATAGTTGAGAAATCTGGTATTCAGGGAACTCAAACGCCTGGGCCAAGATCCCACAGTTTAGAGTAAGTTGGGAAATGAATGACAGAGGCACTGGTAGAGATATAAGATTACAAGGGATGCAGAGGTCACCACGAACTGGAGGCTCCTGATTTTCATTTTAAGGGATCAACATTTACATAAAAATGGATCATTAGTCTTTTAGAGATGAAGGTTTGGCAAAAAGTGGATCATGCTACACAGCCTGGCTTTAAAAACACAAAGCGCAAGATCTTAGTTTCAGTTTACACAATGACAAGTAAAAGCCATGTAAAGTGTACAAATCTGAAATATAAGGGTCTGGTCTTATATTTACTAATACTTAGGTCATGTCTACCTTAAATGTGTCTGAGTGTTTATGACAGAGAGGGACAAAGAGAAAGAGAAAGAGAGAGAGAGACAGAGAGAGAGAGAGAGAGAGAGAAAGGGAGGCAGAGGGGAAGAGGAAATAATACAAATAATTATGTAATTGATGATAATCATTTTTAATCAACCGCGAGAGAGAGGGGGAAAGGGAGATTTCCAGAAAAGAGGTTTATCATAGTTTCAAGCAAAAAACAAACAAACAAACAAAAAACCCTCTGAGTTGAAGTTTATCAAAAGATGGCATCAGACATACAGCCTCCATAATTAAACCTGCTGCGTGTAACCCTTCCTTGAGAGAAGACAGGTATATTATGAGTTTCTCAGGTCATATGAAAAAACTCCATGTCATCCTAATTTCAAGCCTTGGTCAATCTTCAATGTGTTTTTTCCTTCTGCTAAAAATATATTTGCAATTTTATTCTGTGGGATCTACTTCCTGTCATTAATGGGTTGGAACAATGAAAGCACTTTGCCAAATATCTCAACTGTAAAATATAAATCATGTTTTATGCCATCAAGATGAGCAAAACATTTTTTCATAAATTTCCAGTTTCACCTATATGCAGTTTTGGCAAATATATAATTCCCAGGTAGCTTTGTGTAAACTGCTTGGCTCTGATGCTTTTTAATGACCTAAGTAATGTTTTGGAAGCAGCATCGCTATGTTTTATAAAACCAAGTTATTGATTGTCTAAGGACAATTTAAGATCAAGTTTGAAAGTCAGAGGGCCTTTGTGGCAGTATAAAATGAGGCTCTTATCTCTTCCAGCTGGAGAACAGAAAAAGACGTATTACAGTTTAAAGAGAGGGAAGCATCTATCAGAAGACACAGCACACTTTAAGGTTTGGCTATTTTCCAATCCCTTGTGCTGAGAGAACAGAAGACAAAGGAGTCATCTGTTTTGGAAGGACAATTAACCCCAAGCATGAGAAGGATGCAGTGTTGCTGTTACACAATGGGGACAGGGAAGAAGTGTTTAGATATATGTCACATAAGGAGGACAGGAAAGATCACTGAGAGTATCCATGCAGCAGTTCTCATACTGTCCTATCCAATTTTTATGGTACATTGACAAGTGCCTATGACCTGAGAAGCTCATGGTGATCTGGGCTCTGAAACCTCAGTGGGAGGATTTGGATTCACACAACCAGCTAAGCCATTTAGCCCAGTGGAGGTGTTAACAAAGTAACAGAAATCTAAATGTCCAATAGTAGAACATTGGGAAGGATTTAGAGTATCAGCTGCAGCCCTCAAACCAGTTCTAGCCACAGAGGCTACAGTTGGTCTTAATAATATATCTCTTGAAATTTCTCCAGGAAACGTCCCATCAAAATGTCAGAGACACTGTTTCTGATTAATCTGATAGTGCCAAGGGTAGAACTTAGTAGATGCTGTTGTATGTTGCCTACACCCCCTGCAGGATTAATTCTTTCATTGTCTTAGCTGCCAGGAACGTCACCTACTGAAAGGTCGCAGTTGCCTCCCTCCCCAAAAAATTGCTGGTGACTGATGGGAACTGACTCATATGAAGATAGACTCTTCTCCAGGGGAATTTCCTATCAATGATAGGCCAATATGCTTCCTTTGCTTCAATATGGGACATTTTTGAAAAGTCTTTCCAGCCTCAGACTCCCCAGTGGGATTGGCCAAGGCCTCTGTTACAACTACGACACTGTTCACCTTCTCTTTCCTTTTCCTCACTTTACAAATGTGGTTTCTTGGAAGACTTCCCAGAAAACTTCCTGAAGCAAATCTCAGCCACAGAGATGATTTCTTGGTCAACCTAATCTATGACAGTTCTTTTGATTTTTAATTTTTTTTTTCCAGAGCTCTCTGCTAGAAAACAGGGGAAGAAAAAAAAATCTACCTTTGACTCAGTTTTGAAAATGTAACAACTGACAATCATCCTCAACTCCTCCCTCTCCCACAATGTTGGTCTTACTCATCCAACCAATAAATAAACCTTCTCAGGGTGTTTGTAAAATCTTTCTCAAAACTATCTATGCTCCACTGATACTTACAATACCTTAGTTTTTCTGATACCCTAGTTTGAGTTATCATTATCTGCCTTCGCTAATTTTTTTTCTCTCTTACCCTTTTAAATGTATTCTTCCACTGTAGTGAGAGTGATTTTTCCAACACACAATGGGTAAAGAACCAAAGCCTTAGCTTTTTCCTAGAGATCCTGCATGCGCCTGCCCTGCTTGCATCTGGAGCCTCAGCAAAGACCTTCCTTACTTCTTCCAACTTGCTATGTGCCTTTGAATTTTTGGACCTTTATACATATTGTCTTCTCTGCATAAAGTTCGTCCTCCAATTCAACATATGTAAATACTAAATCTAAGTCCTCTCATCAAGGAAAATGGACTCTTATTCCAATAAATGACATTGTTTTAAGATAAAACAAAATAAAATTAACATATAGTTATATGCTGACATAATAGTTTTTACAAAATTTACCTAAGCATTTTTAGTCCTTTAAACTTTCCTTGTCATTTCTCAGAACCTCAATGTCAAAAACAATCTTTAAAGAAAATATTTAGGCTGAGTGCCGTGGCTCACACGTGTAATTCCAGCACACTGGGAGGCTGAGGCAAAAGGATTTCTTAAGTCCGGGAGTTTGAGACCAGCCTGGATAAGATAGCGAGAGCCTGTCTCCTCAAAAAATTAAAAAATCAGCCTGGCATGGTGACATGCACCTGTAGTCCCAGCTACTAAGGAGGCTGAGGCAGGATGATCCCTTGATCCTAGGAATTCCAGACCTGGGTGACAAAGTGAGACCCAGTCTCTAAAATAATAATAAAGAATTGATTTATATCACCTAAGAAATTCCTAATGCATTGTGTCGTGAAGATTTCAATGAAATTAGTCATTACTGTTAGTTCTATAATATCCCCTGGAATGTTGTGTCTTTATCAAAAGTAGATGTTGGCCTGCTATAATGTATGAAACTTTGTTCTAAAATCTGTTTTAAAAAACGGATAAAAGCCATTAATAAAATATACTCACTTTCACGTCCTCGACATGAAGGAAGATTCAAAATAAATGAGCAAGTAAAAGAACATTAATTAGCACATAATTAGCAATAGCAGAGTACAGTGCTCAATAATTTTTAAACAAATTGACTCTTGTACACGTTTGAGATGGAAGCATAGCCAAGTTCTCCTTGAGGTATGATTAATGTCACCCTACTATATAAATTCTCAAAACAACTCTCTTGTTAGAGAGGCAAAGTTTTATTTTATAAGGAACATCAATATCAGAATATAACTAACGTGTAACAGCAAGAAGGAAGGACATTTAAAGCATTACGTCTGCCTGTGAAGTGTAGAAATGCTGTGTGTTTCTGGAGATATAAAAACAAATATTTAAACCAGCAGCAATGATATAATCTCAATGAAGTCTAAAATTATTAGAAAATTCTATTAAGACACTACCATTGTTAGAAAACTCAAAATAAATCAATATTTGATTTTGAAAATTAGAAACCCTAGGTATGTGACAGCTAAATTTATAAAGAAGTATCTGTATCATCTTTCAGACACTGAGTAAATATTTAAACTTGACCTTTAGCAGCATATAAAATGTTCTTTGCAAAATCCCTTATAATTTTTAGCTAAGTACTATATGAATTGTTCTAGCCAGCAACATTTTACTTTTAGCTAGAAAGAGGCATCAAAAGAGTTGACAGTGACAAGGATAAAGGAATCTGAACCAGCAGGTGTCTAAGCACTGTCATCTCTTCAGCAAAGGACCTGGACTTTGCAATCAGGAGGATCTGGGATAAATCCTTCCATTTCTCCTTGCTGGCTGTACATTTTTGGCCAGTTACTTAACATTTCAAAGCCTCAGTAATCACATCTGTTAAAAAATAACACATGCTCATGGGGTTGTGAAGATGCAATAAGCATATAAAATGGAGAGACACATTCAAATATAAACAATGTGACCCCCAGGACCCACAATCTTGAGTCTTACCCTAGACTTACAGGGTCCAGTACACATGAATTGTGCCTAACTCTCAGCACAATTGTGAACATTATCATTTTAAAATTCTTTTTTAGAGACAGGGTCTCCCTATGCTGCCCAGGCTGGACTGGAACTTGAACTCTTGGGCTCAAGCTATCCTCCCACCTCAAACTCCTGAGTAACTGGGACTACAGGTATGTGCCATGCTACTCAGCAACATTGTAATTATTATAATAATAGTTGGAAGCAACTATAATTACTTAAAATAATGTTTTTGTTTTACATACAAATATTGGTCCAAAACTGGTCAAGATGACAAGTGATTGAATTTGGTTATTTCATACTCAGAAACTGAGAAAGGTTCAGGAGAAAGTCAGATGATTCTGGAGGTGAAGAGCAGGAAAGAAAGGAGAAGAGTATGTGTGAGACATTGAGTAAGAAATGCATTTTCTGCATTTCTTCTGACTAATGCATGACTTCTGACTAATGAAGTCAATATGCTGTAATAAGCCTGTGTTTTATGTTTTTAAATGTCATGCCCATACAACGAAATGCAGAAACCTAAAGGGCATCAGCAGTGTACACCCACTTATGGTAAAAAAGCTATGGTTATAGACCAGTATGGGGACCATTCCAAGTGTGCAGAGATGAGAAATTAGGCTGAAGAGAGGGACAAGGGGCCAGATCTCAAAGGGACTCATGGGTCACATCAAGGAGTTTGTATTATGGCCATAATCAGCAGGGAGCATTTTAATCAGGGCATGTTTTAGTCAAATTTTGTATAATGTGGCTCACGCTAGCAGTGGTGCGAAGCTTAGTTTGGCAAAGTGAGAGACAAAAGCAGGATAAATCATTTAAAACCCTCTAAGCTCCACTTTTCTCATCTGAAAAATGGGATAACAATTGCCGATTGCAACTCCCAAAGTTGAAAATGACAGAAAATTACATAATGTATAAGAAAGGATGCTGAAAGATGTAAAGTTCACTGAAGAATAAAGATCAATATGTTGAATATGTGATAATTTTGGAATGTATATCACATTTGATTACAGTAGGGATCATGAGCAAGTAGTTCTGGCCCAGAGGAAAATATTCAGTAGCAAATTAGTTGACCTCTTTCCATTTCCAGTTGCCTACCAACTCCACTGGTGACTCATGATAGAGGAGAATAATTATATGTAATTATATTGCTGTGACTAAATTGACAGTTCCCATACCCAAAAGCAATTCAAAGAGGGAAAAAGAAAAAAGAGTCTAGCCTGCACAATCACTGGGAGTCAAAGTTAAATCCATTGAATCATTTTGCAGAACTGTGCAAACAGATGACTAAATGATTGGCAGAGATTGCTAGAGAAGGGGAGCTCGCCCTGCTGGCTCCTTTCCATTGGCTTAGGTGGTTGCCATTTCTTCTTGACTAAATCTTAGTTCTGATGCCTTTCCTGATTCAGAGAAGTGAAGGTTCCTGTAGTTTCAGCCTGCTGAAACTCAAAGACATCAGTAATTTTAATTTCCATCTTTATTTAAACAAATGGAAAAACTGCTCTATTGCCAAATATATTACACCTTGCCAATTAATCCATTAGCAAGGCTCCGTAGCTGAATTTCCCATTAAGGAAAACAATTTTCTCACAATTCACTTTTGGATTGAGTGCTGATTACCCTTTTATCTAAATTTTAACTATACAAAGCTGAGAAGTTTGAAAACCAAATGTGAAAAGCAACAGTGTGTGATATAGATTTGTGCTGTCCTATACAGCAGCCATCAGCCACATCTGCCTCTTGGGCGTTTAAAATGTGGCTAGTCCAAATGGAGATGTGCTCTAAGTGTAAAATGCAAACTAAAACCTGAAACTTATTACAAATACAAAGATGTTAAATGTCTCAAATAATTTTAATATTATATGTTGAAATGACAATATTTTGGATATATAGTTTGAAATATATCATTAAAATTAAATTTACTTGTTTCTGTTTTTGTTGTAAAAAGTATCCACATATCTTAGTGTGAATTCTGAAAAATTTCACATTACATATGTACAGTGTATTTATGGCTTCCATATCCCCATGGGATAACACCAGTATAGACCTTCTATAGACATATGAGAAATGAAAGTAAAAACCATTGAATACATAGATGTATGCCAGGCTACTAGTTTACAATGAGGCAAGGACAAAAACAAGAACAAATCCAGACAGGGCAAAGCACAGGGGCAGGAGGAGTATGGCAGATGATTTGGGAGCTGACAAAATTCTGACTTCAGAAATATCAGCTAGAAAAAGAAGATTCACATGAGCATGGCAGGTCTCAGTGGGCAATATCAAAAGGGCAGATACTACTGTAAGTTTTACTTGTTTGGAACACATGATGCATGAATGCACAGTCTAGGACAGGAGCACCTTACTTGAGCTCAGTTTCATTCTTCCTGCTGAGAGTGAATATTTCTTGTAAAACTGAAATCTCATGCGTATTATTGGGCACTCTAATTTTTTTCAATCATTATAACATTATATCATGAACATTTTCATATGGCATAAAATTGCTTTCAAGGCTGCCATTTTTAATGGCTGTGTAATGGTCCATTAGATGGATATATTGTCATTTATACAGTTATTCTTATATAACTGGACATTTATTTTATTTTGGCTACAGAAAATACATTTACAGCTACAGAAAATACCACTCTGGCCAGCAATGTGGAGCCTCCATTGCCTTTTGTGAAAAATGGGCTTTTTGCAGATTAAATGAGATAGTTCATATTGTGGAAGGTATGGCATGTGGTAGAAGTTCCATGAAGTTCTTGTCACCTTCTTTATATAGAAGCATCAGTCATTTAAAAACTCGATAGACCCTCAAGAAGCCTTTTACTGATCTTACGTTGAGACAGCAGCAGCTTACTTAAGGTGAGCAGGTGAGCCTTGAAGAAGAATCCTCAACCTCTCTTGGTAACTTGACATAAACTCTCAAGGCTTCCTTTTCTTCTAAGTCATCTTCAACTTTATTTCTCTGCTGTGTCCACGTGTAATATGCACTCAAGTTCTGTTGATTTTGCTCTCCAGGTATGTTTTTTTATCTGCCCTGTTTTTGTATTCCTGTTTCAAATGGACTAGCTCATAAACTGGTCATCTCTAACATGAATTATTGCAATAATCCCTTCATGAGCCTAGACTGTGATGATTAAATGAGGTGAGGCATTTCTGAATGTTAGCACAGGCCTTGACACATAATTAGCGTTCATTATGAATTAGTCAATAATAGTGATATAAAAATAATAACAGTAATGAAAAAATTCAAAATGCAATATCTTATTATAACAAAGGATTACTAAGTGAATAATATATCTAAGGCAGAGAATAGTTACTATGGGAAACACTGAACCTTTGCTTTTCAGAAACATACACTGTATTTGGGGAGAGAAATAAGAATGCCAAGAGAAATTCCAAACAATTAAACAAATTACTTTAAACTAAGCAGATTTTTGCTCTAGTTCTGACATCAAGTCACATTTTAAGAAACTTTAGTATGACAACCCAAAATGATTGTAAGTTAATTTACATCAAGTTTGTTATCTCCTTATAAATATCAAAGTGAGTTCTCATTAAAACTACTCAGAAAAACATATTAAATATGTCTTTCTAAATCCCTCTTACACTTGTCTCTACATTCACTGTAGCATATCCTTAATATGTCTCTCATTTCCTTTATTTCACACTATTTTAAAAAATAGTTCGTTTTAACTCAACAGAAGACAAGCAGGTTCTTATGTTTTTTTTCCCTACCTCTTCTATCTCAGGCTCAGCAATTCACATCCTTGTGGCTTTTTAAATTTTTCTCTAGCTCCAGATTCTGCACTGTAAAAGAAAATTCAAGATCTGACATAGGAATCAATAACTGCTCCTTCAAAGAGGAAAGTAGGAAGGGGAGAGAAGATATTTTTAAGGCATACATTAATAAGTGAAAAATATAAAAAGTGTACAAATGATGCATGTTATTATAATTATAAACAAACTGTATGCTGAGGCTGCATGGAGGCCACCAGTAATTTTTGCACGTGAGGCATGGATGGATAAGGCAGGAGGGTAGGGTTAATCATTTGCTCCCCAAAATAAGAAGGAGGGCTTGGGCTGCATTCCCCTCAGGGAAGGCCATGCTTTTGAGTTATAAAATAAATGACACTTAGGCTGATAAAAACTAGGCTGAGAGGCTGAAGATAGCAGCAACAGAAATTGTCCATAAGTTAACAGATAGAGGTGTGACACGGCATGCTGGAAACAGAGTTCTCTAGAGCGGCCTTCAGACCCATTCCTGTTTGCCCTCTGTGATCAATCTGCCACAGAAATATGATGGAAACACCTAGTCTGTGTAAAATAAATGGGTTTGCAAAAATGTAATATGGAATTTGGCCGATGTTATGGCTTTACAGAAATGAGATGATTTGAGATGTACTGTGTGTACAACTTTGCCAAGCCTCTGAGATGCTTCTTTAGCCCTGGGGGGCAGAGCAGGGCTTAGCAGTTATGCCATGGACCTTTACAATGTCTCTACCAGGAGGTGGAGTTTTCTGATATGAGTGTTTATAAAAGGCTAAGGAAACTCTCAGTTTTGTTGGCTCAGAAAGGCCCCATTTTCCTTCCCTTGGAATGTAGGTGTCTCCCAAGTGCCGGGCAAATAATCGTTTATGGGGCTGACATGAATCGGTTTCTCCTCAATGCCTGACAAATAATTTCATATAGGACTGTGTCCTTCCCCGGTGTTTTTCTCACTTGAGGTGGTAGGGAAAGTTTTCTCTTAGGTTCATAAGGCCTGAAGGTACAAGTACAGAACTATGCCCAGTAATAGTTTCAGCTTTGTCAGGAAAAGCAGTCTGAAAGAGGAAAATAATTTACAAAAAGAAGAGAAGATGAGAGGAGAGGAGAAAATGGGTAAAATGAGTTACATCCTAGGGCAAGGCATGAGAGAAGGAGGGCAGAGCTTCCATCCCCTACCTGGGCATATCACCTTCCAGAAACCTCCCCATGTTCAGCTATCAGAAGTTCTACAAACCCTGTCCTCTGGGGCCTTTAAGAAAGAGTTCATTGGATAGGCATGGTTAACAACCATGTAGAAATAAGATCAGACAAAAAGGGTATGATCTAATTCTCAAAGACTGAGTGGAGAAAACCAGCACTACCTGTCCAGAGTCTTCTTAGCCTCTCTGTGTAGCATTCCTTCTTCCAGGAGATGGGGCAGGACCTTATATGTTTAGTTTCTAAGCCTTGTCTTGCAGAAAAGAAAGAAAGAAAAAAAAAGCAGGAGGTCAAATAGAGGGATTCTGTTTTCTGAGCCTTGCTTCTGAGACCTAAAACACTCCAATATATAACAAGGGCAACAGCAATTATAGACCAGGAACCATGGAGATACACCACATACACATGCATACACAAACATATATATATGTATGTATGTATGTATGTTTGACATAAACTCTCTATACACATATACACACATATACATATATGTATAAACACATACACACATATACATATGTGTATATAAATGTTTTTGCCATGGTTCTTGGCTCACAGGGAAAGGATCAATTTGACCACAGCATGGAAGTAAAGACCGAACCATTCTCCCACTGATGTTTCTATGAACGATACCATTCTCCCACTGATGTTTCTATGACCGATACTTTCCCATCCCTCTGATTCCAGCGCAAATGCTACTTCCTCCAAGGAGCCTTCCCTGATTCACCTATCTAATGTTCCCAGTAGCTCAACATCACATATTGGCTTTGTTGAATTTGTAGCACTCATGCCAGGTTCAATGATCTAAATTGCTGGTCCAGCGTTCAGCTGTGTCTCTCCCTCACTGGCCTGCAAGGTCTATAGCAACAGGTGTCTTGTTAATCTTGGATACCTCTGATTGCTGGTGCCCACCAAGGCACTTGCAAAAAGAGAGTTCTCATTAAATATCTGTTAAGATAATGAGTTGGGAAGTGAGAATAGAAAAAATCTGGAGTCTGAGAGTGAATGCCACAGAGTCCTAGGTTTATGCAGAAGATAATAAAGACCTGGGGGTAATTGTCAGAGCTGCGCTTTTAGGAGACTGACTCAGTTGGTGTGCAGGAGGAATAGAGTAGTCGAGGACTGGAAGAGCTGAGCTGAGCAATTAGGAGGCAACAGCAGATACCCAGGCAGAAGCTGATGCTTGCTGATTGAGTGAATTAGAGGAGAGATTCTCAGTTTTCCTAATCATAACAACAACAAAAGAATGATAAGTGCAACATGTCTACTTTTTCCTTTTCTCCACCTCTCATAGCTGGTTTTCCTGTAAGAGTCTCCCATCTTCTTCCAGATATTTTTCCAACCAGCATCTTTCATATGAATCTACAATGTTATCCCCTGTACCAGCCCCCTACAGGTAATAGCTTCAGAGAACACAATGGGAATGGCTGATTAGATAACGAAAGCACCAAGACCTACATTCCCTGGTTGTACAGGATTTGTGTTTCCCTGGGCCAGTTCAGGACACCCTTATCACCACCTATACAAACTTTCGCTAATCCAACAGGCCACATTTTTACTACCCTCACAGATTATGTTTGTTCAATTTGTGTTTCTCACAATTGTTATAAATATTTTCATATTGTATATGCAATATTGCAACTTTTTTTTTCTTCAAACATCTGGTTTGGGGATTTAGTTAAGTGATAGGTAGCTTTAATTACTCCATTACCATTGGCATAGAGCTTCCATTATGTGAGTATGTATCATTTATTTAACTATTTTTCCTACTAAAGAACATTTCATTTAGTTCTATTTTAGTTTGGTTTTGGTTTGGTATTTTGGTCTTACACACAATGTTACATTGAACATACTATATATCTTTCCTTGTATTTATATTAAGGAAACCTCTAAGAAATTCTAAACATTTCTTAGATTCCAAACAATTGCTGGGTCCAAAGTACGTTTACAAATATTCAACCATATCAAATACTATCTAACTATCCTCAAAGAGTGCTGTACCACTTACACAACTTTAAGCAGGATATAAAATCCTCTATTTTTTCCCATCTCCTTGTCAATCCCTTGAATTACAAGTCTTAAATATTTATATGTGTGTATTACAATAGGTATGCATTTTTCTTTTTGCATTTATTTCCAAATATTATCTTATAGTTGTTAGCCATTTGTGTTTCCTCCTCTGTGAATAACATGTTAATAATTTTGGCCTATTTTTCTACTAGCTTATGTGTGGTTTTGCTCTTTATTTGTAGGACTTTTAAGTAAATTTTGCATACAGTCTTCTCCCAACACTGTTATAAAGATTTTGCCCTCATTTTCTTGTTTCAGGACTTTAACACAAGCAGAATTTATTTCACATTTACCTCTTGCTTCTCTCCTCAGTCTCTGTACTTGAGTTCCCTCTATCCTTCCCTAACCTTATGTAATTCCTGACTCTGGGACAGCCTGAGCACCACTTTCTTCATGAAGTTTTCCTGGTGGCTCCATCCCTGCCTGGCTACACCCTCCCTGGAATTCTAAATTGCTTCTCAATGAATTAATGACAATTTTTGCTTAACACAAGAGTTGTAAACGCAGATGCCTGCAGCAACCATACAGGAAATCTAAGTAGATAAAGTGTGCCTGATTTAATACAATGGGTGGGGCAGGGGTTGGAGTCTGTGTTGAAATAGACACAATTTACTTCCGCTCAAAACGTCAGACATTGCTATGAGTGCATATGGTCCCAGCTTGGACAGAGCTGCTGATATTTTTGTTTTTCCTGTTAGGAATATAGATTTTTCATGTGAAACCTTCTGATTTTTAAATATTGCCAGAGAGCGCAAACATTTTTTAAAAGTATTATGTAGGTAAAATAAGTTGTATCTATTAGGCAGGATTTTACTTTCTGCCCTCAAACTCAAATTATTTCTAATAATGTAACAATTTGTAAACATAATTTGTTTTCCCAATTAAACCAGAATTCCTTTGTGCCTAGAAACACTCTTTTTGTATCTGCCACTGCATCTATTGTGGAAACAAAAGCCTGAAAATTCTCAATAAATCCTGACGGATTATTGATTGACAAGAGACTTTATAATCACTTATAAATGCACAGTCCTCCCCATAGCCAAATACTGAGGATGGTATCATGGGGGATTCCATAATGAGTCCAAATGACCAACAGTCTGTCTACCTACTTAGCATTTGTCATTCCAGCCAAACTTGCACATGTTCCCAACAGCCAGTTGTGTCCTTTACCCAGGCAGCTTCACCACTGCAGTTTCGTTTCTGTGCTGAGTCCTTGTCCTCAGAGTCAAGGCACCCTTGCACTCCCCAGCCAGCTATATGCAGGTGCCTGGTATTTATTTGACCAAAAACAGGATTGAGAAGCTTCAATTTGGTCTAGCAGTGCTCTCAAACCACCTGTACTTCTATCAAGCCCTTTGGAAAGCACAAACAAGTGGCTTTTGAACTTCTGGGGAAAAAAAGAAAAAATCACCTGGGACTTTTAGAAAATACTACATCCGCGATGTCCTCTACAGTCAAATATTCGGAAATACTAGAAGCTGTTACAAGGTAGGGTCTCAGACATCAGTATCTCTTAAAAAGCTTCCTAGATTATTCTAATGTGCATCTGGAATTGAGAACCACTGTATCTGCTAGATAACTAGGCCTTTGCTGTTTTCACTGGAAATATGCAACTTGCTTCACTTGTGTGTGACTTTATTTTTATCACAATTCAGTAGTGAGGATGATTTAATTAATTTATTTAGTGTAGCAATGGGCTGAACCTCTGCTTTCCTGCTCAAGAAGAAGATGATCCCTGAGAGTAACTTCTAAATCAGCAGCCTCCAGATTAACCCTCTGAAAACAACAAAGAATGTCCCCTCCCAGCCCACCTTCCTTCACTTCAACTAACACGTATCTCCTTTTCATTTACGGGCTGTGTAATTAATAAGCTATATCCCTGGTTTAATGTCCATATAAAATTTTCACATCCATTGCTTGTGTTTGACAGACAGAAAAAGAATATATGGGTATAATAAAGCAAGTACTTTATAAAAATTTAAATGCATGTTTTGGAGCATTCTTTACAGGGGAGAAAAGAGAGGAGGAAGTAGAAATGAAATTCAATTGTAACCTTGGAGAGAAAGTTAGAATCTAAATGAAGGGGAGAAAGAAATCTCAGATACTTAAAATGTGGGAGGCAAGGATACAATCGTATACACAGCTTACAGCTTTGTGAAAATAGGTTCTGACTCCTCCACAATTTGACCCTTGCCTACCTCATTGGATGGGCATATTTCTGGAGCAGGTCCCCTGATAATCTTGTTAGCAGGGATCCTTTCTGGGTTAGGTTGTCTGTGTGTCCCTGTGACACTTCCTCACTCCCAAATTCCTGCTGACACCCTTAAAGAATGTTCAGAGGTCTGAAGATTCAGACAGTGACCCATTTTTATTAGGCAAAAAAACACTACATTTAAAAACATTTCTCAGTACACCTGACATAGTAGGTGCTCAATAAATATTAGTTGAATGAATGAACATATTACTGTTCAATCACAAGGTGGATCTGAATGGGAAGCTCAAAGGACTTTTTCCCAATGAATAAGAACCCAAAGAACCAATGGAAAAGCTTCCTATGTCTCCAAATGTGTCAGCAAGGGCACATTTCTTGGAACAAATTCTTCTTGGGAAATCACCAAGAGTAGACAGATAGGGAATATAAGACTGTGTTTATCTGCATCACTTGCTGATATTTAACTCAGTAGGGAAGAAAATAAAAATAAAACAAATAAAAACTTAATATTGGTATTTTTCAGCTATTTCCATGCAGTAGCTAACACCATTTTAGGATTCCTAAATACGTTTTTTTTGAGTGATTGGAATGGTGTGGTGGCTTTGTCAAACTGACTCAATTAAACCATATTTCCAAGAATCCTGGTCCCTATATGTTCCTGGTTCATCTTATCACAAGAAAATAAGATTGTGGGCAAGACTGGAAAATAAGAGTAAAGCAATAGTCACGTGTACTCTAAAAAAGTCAATGTGGGTCAGGATCTGATACAGATTATGCACAATTGTTCAGATTTTTTGGTTCATCTTGTTGCCATGGGTAGCAGACCTGCCAATTGTTCTAGCTGAATGGAATCTATTTCTATTCTTTTGTAAATCCTAGGCCAGATGATTGGATGGTTCTGTGAGAAGACAGATCTCCAGCTCCTTTTGGAAGTCATCTGCAGCAGCGAGGTTGGAAGCTTGAAGACGACAAGAGGCCAACACAGGTTTCCGAGAGAGAGAGAGAAGTGCAAGTTCCAGCTCTTTTCTTAAATGATCCCATTTTACCTGTTCACCACAACTTCAAAAATAGCCATCAATCTTGACCACTTCTCTTGTGTCTTAAGGTTCATAATCAAAGGTAGAAGGAACAGAAAAACCAAGGCTGTCTGACTAGATCCCATAATTGCATGTGATCAAACTATTATAATGAATACATTATATTACATCATTCCCAGCAATTCTCTTTCTGGTTGAAGCCTGACTGATACAGAATTTAGTACTGGAAGTATTTCCAGAAGAAAAGAATTTAAGGATGAATTCTCAGAATTTATTATGGTTATCTGGGAATGGTTATCTGATATGATTAGTTTAAAGGCTCTAATTTAATCTGTTTCCAGTGGAAAATGAAACACCATTAGCCTATAACATGCAGTGGCCAAGTAGCCACTTAAATGATCACTTGTTGACACTTGTGATCAAATAACTACAGAAATGTTTGCTGCCATAGAATATTTTCGTGGAAATAAGGAATAAAATGTAGTTGGTTTATTGCTTTTGAATTCAATGGAGACCTTTAAATAAAATTATGAGCTCAGGGCTTTAAATTCCCAGTTCAAAGACTGCTTAAGAGACTCAGAAGCTTCTATGATTGAACTAAAATAAAACCTTATTACACTTAGCTGCAGGATTGAGATTTCTGAAAACAAAGTTCAAAGTCTAATAACAAATATGGCTAAATTATTATACAACACAAATTAAAATTTCTAATTGTCAGGGTCCTTTAGTCAATATTTAGGCATTAATTGGAGAGAAGTGAGACACTGAATTCAGGTTGTGAGTACATGGGAAGATATGAATAAAGCAGGAGAATTTGACTTGTAAATTCTGTTTAGCCTACCTTGACATTAGGAACAGTCTTTCTTTCTCTGAGTAGCACAGCCTGTCCATTGCCTGAAAAGCCTGTAAAGGCCTCCTATGAAGTAGATTTATTACAAGGATCTGATGGTTCTTTCCATTATATATACATGCTACTTCTTATTACTTCTTATTGCCTTAAAACCTATTATAAGACTCAAGTCTCAGTAGACCATGAGGGTAAGAAACAAAGTGTGACCCCTGGCAAAGGGCAATGCACATCAAATGCACTGCATTATTTTAAAAAATTATATACAAAGGCCGAGGAGGGTGGATCACTTGATGTTGGAGTTCGAGAGCAACCTGACCAACATGGAGAAACCCCGTCTATACTAAAAATACAAAAATTCGCTGGGCGTGGTAGTGGGCACCTGTAATCCCAGCTACTCGGAAGGCTAAGGCAGGAGAATCGCTTGAACCCAGGAGGCTGCAGTGAGCCGAGATTGTGCCATGGCACTCCAGCCCGGACAACAAAAGTGAACTACATCTCAAAAAAAAGAAAAGAAAAGAAAAGAAAATATAATATATGTTGAAGAGTATTCTGTATTGTTAAAATCCTGGATCAGGGTTGAAGTAATCTAATGAATAAATGTAGGCTCATTAAAGGGCTTTTATACTTTGCTTCATCAGTTGACAGAAATCTGGACCCCAAGATAACCTGTATTTAAAGAAATTCTAAATGTCATACCTACTTTAGTATACTACAAAAGGAGGTATTGAAAAGCTTGGAGAGGGGCTTTGGGGTCAGCTCAGATATGTAAATAACTCAGAGTAAGCATTCCATCCTTTCAATTAGGAAAGTTAGAAACATGTGAAAGCAAACACTTTTATTTGTCCCACCAGGTAAGTGAGGTTTCAGTACAAACTACTACCCCCAAATCTGGGAGAGGCACAGTGAAACACAGGACCTGAGATTTACTTAGCTGGAGCAGTGTTCACTAGATGCTGTAAGAGCATAAAACTAGAAATACCAATGAATTGCTGGTGGCCAAGTGTGGGCTACTGGGAGAACAAGCTACTGGCAGTTGCAGTCATTGGAGGGTACCTACATTTCTGCAGGCTTTTCTTCCAAGGACTCTACTACTCTCACACAGGGATAATTGAGAAAATCTGAAGACAGCCCCTCACTTGACCATAGCAGAAGAAAAAGAGGGGAAGAGTAACCATTGCGCAATCTGTGCAGAGCTTTCATTCTCTGGAACACTTAATCTCAGGAAGAAAATTTCTAGATGGCAGCAATGAAATCCCATCTGACTAAAGGGAAGAAACTTTGCTCTGCTTTGTTCTAGCCCTACTCTAACCTCTCTGATTTACATATAAAATAGAAGTTGTAATCTGTAGGAGAGAAGGCTTGAAGGACACAGACTGGGGACACTGGAGAATACTTACCATAAATGGGAAAGGATTATGGAGCATAGAGAGGAAAAGCTTTTTTTTTTCCCGACCCCCCTGGAGAAGGGACAGAAACAATGTAAAAGCCATGCCTCTGATACATGATCTAAGGTGCACTCCAAATACTGGAAATTAATCAAAAGAAAACCCTCACTACTTCCTCCATCCTCTAAATCCATGCTAATAAGACTCCAGTTAAAACAATAGTGGATTGTAACTGGGAAAACTTCAAGAGAAACAATATTCCTGAGAAGAAGCACAAAGAGAAGACCCAAAGCCAAGAAGAAAGAGAAGACAAGTCAATAGAGTCATTTTAAGATTTTGGTCCCCATGGCTGCAACAAATATCATACACAGCCTAATACTTAGCTCTGTAAATGTAAGTTCTCACACTGATGAATGCTAATTTGCCTCTATATATTGTGCTGTAAAACATTCCTGACTTTCAACTACAACAAAATTACAAGCCAAACAAAAAGACAAGAAAAAAATAGCCTCAAGTAAAGGATCAATAATCAGAATTAAGGACAGATATAACACAAACTAAAATTATCAGTCAGATATTTAAAATAAATGTTTAATATTTTAAAGGCACTAATGGAAAAGATATATAATATGCATGACCAGATGTATAACATGAGCAGAGAGATGGCCAATATCAGAAAAAAACACAAATAAATACTTGAAGTCTAAAACACTGTAACAGAAATGATGTCTACCTTACATGGATCATCAGTAGACTCAACACAACTTAGGAATGAATCAGTAAGTCTAAATATATGTCAATAGAAATTATCCAAACTTAAAGGCAAATAGAGAAAAAAATAACAAAAAAGAGCAGAATATCCAAAAACTTTGGAACATTATAAAACAGCATAACATGCATATAATTGAGAGAAGCAAAAAGAAAGATGGAACAAAAGAAATACTTGAAGTAATAATGGATGAACATTTTCTAAACTTAGTGACAGACAATAAATCATGAATTCAAGAAAGCCAGAGAATGCTCAGCAAGATGAATACAAGATAAAACAAAGTAAAACAAAGCAAAACAACAACAAAATACCTGGGCATTTTATATACCAATTATAGAAATCAAAAGATAACCAGAAAAATCTTAAAGGTAGCCATGGTGATAAAGGAGCACTTTAACTACAGAGAAAGATGAACAACAATTATAGCTGAGTTTCCAGCAGGTAACATGCAAATGAAAAGCCAGCAGAGTTAAACATTTGATGTGCCAAGAGGAAAAAAAAAAAAAAAAAAAAAAACTAAAGTGAAAACATAATGCTAAGCCAAAACTCTAGATCTAGTAAAATGTGCCTTCAACAGTGAAGAAAAAAATGTAGACTTTCCCTAACAAACAAAAACTGAGAAAATTAATCACTAGTGGTCCTGCAAGAATTTTTTTTAAAAAAGTTTTTCAGTTAGTAGAAAAATGGTAACTATCAAAAACTTGAAGATCATTCAGAAATCAATGGATGAAAATATAATCTTTCGTGTTTTATATTCTAATTGATCTAAAAGATAAATGTTTAAAGCCACAACAATAACACCATTAAAGTTTATGTGAAGTGTTCAAATACAGTTTACATGAAGTGATTAAAGTATATATAAAATGAAATAAATGACAGCAATGTCTCTGACACGGGAAGATGGAATTGGGAACATACTGCTGTAGGACATCTTCACTTCATATGAAGAAATATATTATTACATGAAGGTGAGCTTAGATCATTTTTAAATGTACATTATTATCAAAATGAAAAACTAAGAGAAGAATAAATAAGCCAATATAAAAATAAAATTGAATTTTTTTTAAATGCACACCCAGTAGAATGACAATATAAAGAAGAAACAAAAAAAAAGTTCATAAGGATACAGAACAACGTAAATTCTATTACATTACTGGTGAGAATATGAAACAGTACTGCCACTTTGAAAGACAGATTGGAAGTTTCTTACAAAACTAAACATAGTCTCAGCATGCAATCCAGCAATTATGCTTTTAGGTATTTACATAACCTTAAACTTTACGTCCACACAAAATCTGCACGTGAATGTTTATGGCATCTTTATTCATAATTGCCATAAGCTAGCATCCACCAGAATGTCCTTCAATAGGTTAATGAATAAAGAAACAAACAGTGGTACATCCATAGAATGGAATATTCATCAGGAACTGAAAGCCAATTCCATACTAACAGAATAAATTATTTTTAAAAACTGAAGGGGAAGACACAACTCTCCCATGCACAAGAATTCTAAATAATAGATGTTCAAAGATGTTCAAAGATTTCTAAAATAATAGAAATTCTAAAAATATGTTCAAGGAAGTGGGGTATAATTCCCTGCTCCTTAATTGTGGGCTGTGCATACTGACTTATTTCCAAAGCACAGTATGAAAACTGGAGTGAGTGGGGGAGGAGTAACTTTACAATACAGAAACCTGCTAAACACTACCTCAGTAAGGTGATCAAGGTTAACATTAACAGTGATAAGTCAGGTTAACAGTGTGCACCTTTTGCATCATGTGATTAGTATGGTACTTTATCTCTGAAATATGTTTTCTTGAAACACGTAACTATAGTCTAAGCATGAGAGAAATATACAAATCCAAATTGAGGAACATTCTACAAAATACCTGAACAGTACTCTTTAAAATTATCAAAATCACCAGAAACAAGAAAAGTTTTAGAAACTCTCACACATGAAAACAAAATGTAATATGGCATCCTGGACAGGATTCTGGAATGGAAAAGGATAGAAAACTAAAAAATCTGAATTAAAAATTGATTTGGCTTTTTAAAGTTAAGGCAGGAAAAGAGGGATGAAGAGAGAGAGAAAAAAATACAAGCATGTAGAAAACAGCAGATGGTGAATTTTAATCCAGTAATATATTAGTTTAAATCTGAATAGTCAAAACATACTAATTATAAGGCAGAGCTTGTCAGATTGGATTTTTTGAAAGGAAAAAAAAATGTAAAACCTCAGGTGGTTAAAAGTAAATGGATAGAGAAAAATATATGATGCTAGCATTTTTTTTTAAAAAAAGCTGGATTAACTATATTAATTTTAGACACTAGCCATTTGTTAGGTAAAATTAACAACCAATATGGATGGATAAAATGGAAGTTACATTTATTGCTATGGGTTAATATTCACTATGTACTATGTACAATGTTTCATATGATTATCTTATTTTCTTGACTACCTCATTAAGTAGGTAGAAATATTTTTCCAGTTTCATAGTTGAGAAAACCAATATCCAAGAAGTTAAATAAGTATTGAGCTTCTCTTAACAAGGAAGTAAGCAAAAGCCAGGATTCCAACTCATGTCATATGATTCTAGAGCCCATATGACTGTACAGTATAGAGTTTAATTATGTAGCCACAAAAGAGTTGATTATGATCATCAGCTGGTAACAAACCAATTGATAAATGTGAGGAAGCATAGACAAGGTATGACTAGAAATCTTAAGGACACTATCTTTTGAATTCCATAAACTAATCTCTTAGAACCAACACAAATGTATTCTGATTCCACAAGTTTAAATAGTTACTTAATGGGGAAAACAAGGGAGTGCATTGCTTAGTGACATCTTCATTATTATTATTTACAGATAGGTCTTGCTATGTTTCCCAGGCTGGACTTGGACTTCTGGGCCCAAAAGAGCCTCCTGCCTCAGCCCCCTGAGTAGCTGGAGCTACAGGCACATGTCCCAGAGCCCGTCATAGTGATTTTTAAGACATGAAAGATGGCCACCTCACAAAATTTTTGAGTGGACAACAGCACTGGAGATTGACAGTCTATACCTTTCATTTGATAGTTGAGTAAACCGGTGCCCAGAAATACGAAGTCATGTATCTAAGTCACAACTCAGGGACACAACCAGCATGAGATCCACATACTCCTCCTCTGAAGCTTATTCCACAAGCTGTTTTATATTCCTTTTGAATTACTTAAGCACATCTATTTAAAGTTTGAAAGACAGATTTGTTGATTTAGGTATTCTTTAGCCATTGTAGTCCCCAAAAATTCTGATCAACCAAATTTTTTCTTTGTATAAAATTAACGGGCGGCCGGGCGCGGTGGCTCACGCTTGTAATCCCAGCACTTTGGGAGGCCGAGGCGGGCGGATCACGAGGTCAGGAGATCGAGACCATCCTGGCTAACACGGTGAAACCCCGTCTCTACTAAAAATACAAAAAAATTAGCCGGGCGTGGTGGCGGGCGCCTGTAGTCCCAGCTACTCGGGAGGCTGAGGCAGGAGAATGGCGTGAACCCGGGAGGCGGAGCTTGCAGTGAGCCGAGATTGAGCCACTGCACTCCCGCCTGGGCCACAGAGCGAGACTCCGTCTCAAAAAAAAAAAAAAAAAAAAAAATTAACGGGCAAAAGTGCAATTATGTTATATGCACATATTGCATAGTGGTGATGTCTTGGCTTTTAGTGTATCTACCATTTTTTCAATAAACATAAAAACGATTTTTCTGTAAGAACCAAAAAGGACCCTTCCTTTGTCTCCCTACTCCACCATTGATAATGTGGAGAAAAGGCTTAACACATGCAGACGCACAATTTACCATGAATCTTCTACAATGTTTTCTGTCACTCTTCCCTGCTTTGGCTTCTCAGCAGAGTGATAGAGCCCTGTGGGAACAGGAAGACAGGCCAGGTGCCCTTGTGCTCTGATTTATGCTAATCTATTCAAGAAAGTTTGAAAAAAAAAAAAAAAAAAAGCAAATCAAACAAAGCATTTCATATTTAGAAATGCCAAACAAAACAATCACACACTTTTATGTTTCACACACCATGTGTGCCTTTAAATTGTGTTCTACTTGCATGTAAGTAAGGGAAACTGGGACATTGGCCCAGCTATCAAGGAGACCCAGCAGCCTTTTAATCTGACCAATACTTTTAGTTATCTCTTACACACCACACCCCTATGCTTATCTCCACTTACTGCTACCTGTTTTCAAAAGGCAACTTACTGATAGGAATTCTGCTTTTTGAAGCAACAATGCAAGATCTTCAGGCCCTAGGGATGAAGGAAAGCAAATGCCCAGTTATAACTTGGCTGAGCTTAAAAAAGCTAATCAGAAAGTGACCATTGCAGAATTGTTATCAAGATGACATGCCCTAGGAAGCACTGAAATAGGAACAGGAGAGAAAATTAGGACATGAGGCAACATGTAGAAGGAGGAGTCACCTTGAAGATTCTTCCATTCTGAATTTAGCACTTCAGACATTCTATGTCTCTGCATAGCCTGTCTCCAACTAAGATTTTTGGATTCTGCAGATTGAAATTGACTCAAAGCCTCTTTATTTCAGCTTCTCCTTTTATTTTTTTTTAAGTTCTGGGATACATGTGCAGGGTACGCAGGTTTGGTACATAGTACGTGTGGCATGGTTGTTTGCTGCACCTATCAACACATTACCTAGGTATTAAGACCAGCTGCTTTAGTTATCTTTCCTGATGCTCTTCCTCCCTCCACCCCTACAATAGGCCCCAGTGTTTGTTTTTTCCCTCCCTGTGTCCATGTGTTCTCATTGTTCAGCTCACACTTATAAGTGAGAACATGTGGTGTTTGGTTTTCTGTTCCTGTGTTACTTTGCTGAGGATAATGGCTTCCAGTTCCATCCATGTCCTCCCAAAGGACATGATCTCCTTCCTTTATATGACTGCAGAGTACCCCATGGTATGTATATATATATACACACCACATTTTCTTTATCCAGTCTATCACTGATGGGCATTTGGGTTGATTCTATATCTTTGCTATTCTGAATAGTGCTTCAGCTTCCTCTTTTTTAACCCCCTTCCTACTACATCCCCTTTAATCTGTTGTGCAGCCCAAGTTTAAAGAAACCAGGATGTTGAAAATGCCACATGACTCAGCAACTCATTTCTTCCTTCGATATTTGTAATAAAATTTCCTACTTCATGAACAGAAAACTAGTGAAATTCTCAACCAGTTAGCAAATGTGTAGACATGTCATTCTTCCTCATATTCAGAGTATAAACTAGAATAGTTAGGTGCTTTAAAATCTCTCTACATCTCTGTGTGTGTGTGTGTGTACTTTATTATTTACACGGAAAATTATTCAATATACATATACATATCTATATATATCATAACATCTATCTCTCTATATAGAGAGAGTATCAGGAAATGTATATTGAATGTAATATTTTGTGTAAATAATGTAATGAGCCCTAGTAGTAGTAAAATTAAAAGCTACCATTCATGAAAACTGACAGCATATGAAATATAAAAAAATGTCTCTAGACCCTTTGACTCTGTAAACACATCTCTGGTGATCATCCAAGGGAAATCAAAAGTAGGAAAACACAAATACACAGCAATATTCACATTAGGGTTATTTATAAAGGACCTACTGTTTTTGACAGTAAGACATTTATTTAATCTATTAAGCTAAATCCATTCAAACTTTCAGGTATTTTAAAATATGTTTAAATACTACTTAGCAGCCTAACATTTGGTTACGATATCTTCTCTTTTTTCAAAGAGCAGAATGCTTTAACAGCCTGAGTTTTTGGTTGCAAGAGCCAGAAGTCAACAATGGATAATTTTAACAAGAAACTCATAAAATAACAACATTGAGCAATTGAAAGAATTACAAGGAGAAACACAAGGAGGGCTGCAAAAGTAGGATTTGAGTTAACATAGCCAAAAACAAAAAAGTATTTCATAGCACACCACAGTACTGGAAAATACCATTGGTGAGCCTCTGAGAAAGACACCACAGCTTGCACTGCCGATGACACTGACCACAAAGCCTGGTGCTGCCCTGAGATTATTATGTAACTGCAGCTTTGGAAACCCCACTACAGCCATTGCTATCACCACTGCTACTCTCACCAGGGTGGATACTGGGCAGACCCTGTCCGTTCACATTACCAGCTTCAAATTCAGATTTGAGGTTTATGTATCTAGTAGTGCATGGATAAGCACCCTCAAGATAAAGAAAAAGAGGGACCTGGCATGTAATACAAGAGACTCTCTTATAAGGGCTTCTCCTTATAAGGGAAGGAGTCTTACTGTGCTTAATTTCTGAATTATAATTTATGAATTCGTAAGTTAGGCACAGGAAGACGTAATTCATTCAGGAATGTTTAGACCCAGATTAGACAAAAACAATGTCATGTGCCCACTAGAGACACAGAAATATATTAAACTATGGTTATAACTAAGCAAAACTCTTTGCATTAATACAAGGTTGCAATAAAATCATAATAGTAGCTGAGTTTACATTTAGCAATCTAGGTAATGTTTTCCTATTTCTCTAATGTTCTGTGTTATATCCTGATATGGTTTTAATGGTTTTGTCTCCTGCAAAACTCATGTTGAAACTTAATCCTCAATGCAATAGTGTTGGGAAATGGGACCTAATAGGAGGTGTCTGGTCATGAGGGCTTTGTCCTCAATAATGAATTAATGTCATTGTAAAAGGATGACACAGGCCCTAGTTTGCTTCTTTGTCCCTCTGCCTTATGTTACATGATGATGCAATAAGAAAGCCTTCACCAGATGCCAGTGCCTTGATCTTGGTATTCTCAGCCTCCAGAACCATGAGCCAATACATTTATGTTCATTATAAATTACTCAGTCTCGGGTACTGTAGTTTCTTCTCCCCCCTGGGGGATATATTCCGAGACCCCCAGTGCATGCTTGAAACCACAGTAGCACTGAACCGTTTGTATATTAATAGCATATTTTTTCATATACATAATACGTATGATGAAGTTTACTTTATGAATTAAGCATAGTAAGAGATTAGCAACAATAATAAAATAGGTCAATTATAACAATACACTGTGATAAAAGTTATGTGAAGGTACTTGTTCTCTTTCCCTCTCTTGTAAACCATCTTATTGTACTGTACTCACCTATTTTCAGACCGTGGTTGACCAAGGGTAACTGAAACCACAGAAAGCAAAACTGTGATAATGGAGAACTTCTGTAATCTGTTATAGAAGCACAAACAGATTCATATATACTCTTATTAAAAAAAAATATTTTCAAGTGTCCTTCCTCTCCTGAGTTAAAATTCAAGCTTCTGATGTCAGATTCTACCTTTTTCCTCCTTTTTAAATACAAACCTGACATTCCTTAGGGCAACTAGCATAGGGCTTAGAAAATGATGGGTATTTTGAAAAGTCCTGAAAAATAATGGAGAGAGAGACAGTCTGAGGGCAAGAGGAAAAAAAAATTAATGGATAAGCAATTGGATAATTCAGTGAACTAATGACTTTATTGGTTCTGGTAGAAATCTACCACAAGATCAGGGAAACTTTCTTCTTCTCATTTTCACTATCATTTTTATCAACATTATTTACTGCATAAAGCATCTGCCACAGTAAAGTCTGTGTCCATTTAATTGACATTATAATTTTTCTTAATTATAAAAATCTCACACACACACACACACACACACACTTCAATGAAACTGAGTAAATTACATCTGTTGTTAAGGACAAAGTAACATTAAGAAAAGCCTCAATTGTTTTGAGAAAACATTTTATCAATTTAATTGATATGCCTTTTTTTCAAAAAGCTAGGTAGAATGTGGTAAATGGATATACTAAGACAAGCAGGTACATAGATGTCATTCTTCCATGAACCATTGCTTGTTCTCCTTTCAGACACCAAGGCAGCAGACATGATCTCCCCAAGATCCAGTGATGGTCCAGAGTGAAAGGGGCTACAAAGGAATGGCTGCGGTTTGAGAACCTGAGTGCAAGGTGATTTTACCAGATGTCAGGAAAGAGAACATCAGCTGCTGTGCATAGTCTATGTAAATAAGAAAGTATCTTAAGTAGCATGCACTTATCCCACAGCATATCTTGATTATCCCTGAAATCCATAACTGCGCATGACTCTGTGAGGACTTGGATTCCTTATAATTTCCTTAGCCCTTGAATACCTGCAATTCAACTCCTGGGAGCATTCTTGCCAGCTCAACTGCCACATGTTTGGAAACACAGAAGAGCAGGCAAGAGGATAATTATGTGTTCTTCAAAGTCTGGAAAAGCCTCACTCTTGTGACTTAAATCCTGCTTGATATGCTCTCAGCAAGCTACTATCTTGACCTAGTAGTAATCACTTTTGAAAAGTAAGTAGCAAATATTCGTCCTGATACACACACACACACACACACACACACACACACGCACACACCCCTATATCTGTATCTTCAGGTTTTAAAAATCTTTTGCTTTGCTCATACACCCAGATGCTTTGAGAATGAAAGGAAATTTCCTTAAGTTTCCTCGTTTTACATCTTGAGTAAATTTTAAAAAAATGAATCATAATTCAAAGCAAAGCAAATTAATAGCTTTTAAATTATAAGTAAAATGTTATTCACATGCTGAGACACTGTCCATAAAATTAAGAGGCAGGTGTTTAATATGTTTTTTAATCTAAAAAGCAGGTATTGGAGAAAGAAAATAAGGTAACATAACACATACCAAGAACAAAGAAATTTAAATCTCTATCCATTAGAATGTTTTCAGCAACCAGTAACAGAAAACCTGACAAACTGTCACTTAAAGCACGAGAGCTTTCATAGTTTACATAAATAGAAGTCTGGATGAAAGTGGTTCCGAGTTTAATACAACAGCTCAACCACGTCATCCTAAGCATAAATTCCCTTTGCCCTTCTGGTTTGACAATCTCAGAGTATCAGATTTTCATTATCAGGAATGTATCTTCTTCATTCCGGTTCCAAACATGTTCAAAAAGGGAAAAAAAAATCCTCTGAAATAGAAATATAATAAAACAAAGTATTGCTGATAATTGTTTAATATTGTTATTATTATTTATGTACCAATGGAAATGATTGTGGCCTGAAGGTCAAAGTGATGCTCAGGAAAAGATATCCCCTTCCCTATTAAGAAGCCGCAAGAACAAAAAACCAAACACCGCATATTCTCACTCATAGGTGGGAATTGAACAATGAGATCACATGGACACAGGAAGGGGAACATCACACTCTGGGGACTGTTGTGGGGTGGGGGGAGGGGGAGGGATAGCATTGGGAGATATACCTAATGCTAGATAATGAGTTAGTTAGTGGGTGCAGCACACCAGCATGGCACATGTATACGTATGTAACTAACCTGCACAATGTGCACATGTACCCTAAAACTTAAAGTATAATAATTAAAAAAAAATAGAAAAAAAAAAAAAGAAGCCCAAACTTTACTGAAACCTGCATCTGTAACTGATTTTCCCCTCTGCTGCATTAGCCACTACAGGATCATTCGCTGTCTCTTGCTGCAAGGAAGCTGGGGAAGTGTATATATTGGCAAAGGCTAACAGAATCAGCATCTTTCTTTTCCCTTTCTTCACACCTCCTCACTCCCCCAAAATTGTTTTGCATTAGCAAGAAAAAAAAGTAGTACAGAGCAAGAATTCCTGCTGCAAAGGGATGGAGTATAATATGGGTCACTTTGTTCTTCCATTTAGACAAGCGCGATTCTGAAAATGATGCATGCAGAAAATTTTAGAATTGGGTAAAGTCCTTCTACAATGACTCTCTCAATATGTAAGGAGACCGTCCCCTCCTTATTTACCACTGTGATAATGACAGCATGAAAAGAAAGCATTGGAAACCAGCTTTTTCTCCAAAGGGGTTCAACAAAGGATTTGTCCAGCATGGTAGTCCAGAAGAAATAGTTCTTGTTGTCAGATAAATTTGAGGATTTTCAATACACACTAGTATATTAAAGAGTGATAAATATTATAGCTAAAAATAGGCGTAATGTCAAAAATGTTTTATATTATAACTACTAATGTGGAGAGGTTGGTGAGTCATGTATGTCTTTCCCCTCTAAGGAAAACAGGCAAGTTTCTGATTGGGCACTTAATATTCTCTAAGAAAAGATCTTCTAATGGTACCAAGGTTGTCTCAGCTCACTGTTAATAGTGCTGCTCATTTATGCTGTGTTTTCTTTACACTTTTCTTTCTTCAGACTAAACAAAGTATAAATTAGGCAGCAAGGAGTACGCAGTCTTACATTTATCCACCTAAGGGGGCTCAGACAGAAACAGATGAGTTTAAGCAGAGGCAAAACTGAAAATCAAGTTGAGTTCCATCTTGAATTGTCACATGGAAAAAAATGACATTTGGTGAGATCTCAAAAGATTATGAAAATTAAGAGATAGCAATACAAGTCATGTGTGTTTCAATTGTGGATTTCACTGAGTTGACTTTAAGCAGGAATGCTACACAAGTCCTCGTTCTGCAAACAATTTGCAAGAGAAAGAGAAGAAACAGAGAAGATACTCTCTCCTTAAAGAGACTAAAATTATACTCTTTTGTGCCTTCTATAACTTCCTGTATCTCTTTTTTCTTGACCAACTTCCACAAAGCGCTGTCATGAAACAATAGCCAAACAGAAGTCTAAAAACTCTTGATAGGCACCATGCTGTCCAAGGGATCAATAATATTGAACTTAACTCCCAGGATCTGGCATATTAAGAAACAAGAAATGTGTTATTTTATAAATATTCTGATGCCATCTTTAAAAATATATAACTCACTTAATTTTTTAATTGTCATAAAAGACACATAACTTAAAACTTATCATATAAACCATTTTTATGCATACAGTGCATTGGCATGAAGTACATTCACACTGTTGTGCAACCATTACCACTACCTATCTCCAAAACTCTTTTCATCTTGCAAAGCTGAAGCTGTATGATTAAACAAAATTTTCCTTTTCCCACCTGCTCCCAGCCTGTAGCAACCATCATTCTACTTTCTGTCTCTGAATTTGACTATTCTAAATACGATATGTAAGAGAAATCCTACAGTACATCCTTTTGTGACCAGTTTATTTCATGTAGCAAAATGTTTTAAATGTTTATCGTGTGTTAAAGTGTCTCTAATGTTACTTTTAAAGTCGAGTTTCCCCTTCTGTCATTTGCTGGCTTAGGAAGATAAAGATTAAAGTCAAGGCAGATCCATCAGCAAAACAGTGGGCTAATAAATGACCAATACGGAAATGTCAAATCCTCATGGGTTTTCAATACAACTCCCACAGAAATTTCTTCAAATGTCAGTGACTGCAAGGGAGATAATCTTTTGGATATTATTGTAATAGAAAGAGTTTTATGTACACTAACATACCAAACTCCTTTACCATGCCTGGAAATCTTCTCCACAAATAGTAAACTCAAGCCCAGTGAAGACCACCTCCATCTCAGAATCTAGCAGCATGTTATTTTAGTTTCTTTGAACAAGAAGGCTGATATAACTGAGTTTTACAGCTTAGTACCTATGTTTGGGCATTTTCACCTAAATCATTTAATGAATACTTCAATTCTAAGTGATTTGTCAAAATGCTTTTCTTGCCTCCTTTACCTGATAAGGGGCACCTATCATTGGGCTCTGCATGTCAGCTGGTGAGAACACACAAAGATGGGGAACACTGAGAAGGTTAGAAGTTGACTCTACTGCAGAAGTGACCAGAGTCCTTCCCAAATGGCCCCTCTCCCAAAGGATTCACACCAGCCTACCAACTTACTACTGTCCATCAAATATAGCAGGTAAGCGTCTGTCATTGGAATCCTCATTTTATTTCTTTCTCCTCACTGGAATTGCTCCCCTTTAACATCCAGTTGTTGCACACAACTTTCCCCATCCTTTGGCTCAGGGATGTTCAGAGGCTTATTTTAAAACATGCAGTTATTAAGTGATGATAGGTTTGGGATTTGAACACACATTTGACTGACTGGCACCAATGGCTATTCATATCCATTTAACTTTCTGTCCTAGTAAGAGGGGAGGTTGGGATTTTAACCTAAACAGTCCAAGGGTAGCATTCATGCCCTTAATCACTTTACCACTGTGACCTTTTAAAAAAACTCACTCAAGTTGTTGGTAACACTCTGGATAGTGAAATCACACCCTGTTACCACAGCCTACCCCTCTCAGAGTTGAATAACTAATACGTTTATTTGAGGAGGAGACAGACATTTGATAGAAGTTAGGAATAATCCTTTCAACTAAAAATTGTATAAGGATGTAATATCCTAATATAAGAGAAGGCTAATCAATGACTCCATTGCTAATTTCAAACACTGTTATAGGAATGAGGATGCTGTAATACTAGATTCAAAGCCTAATTAAACATGTAAGTCAAAGTTTTTACCACAGGCTTCCTCCTTCCTCCTCCTTTTCCCTGGATCTTACTGAATATTTGCTGGAGGCAGTTGAAGAGGTCCAGGATAAGGGAGGAAGAAGGCTGAGTGTGGTTGTAGCCTTATATAATTTGGAACTGAGTAAAAAATGTAGTTAAGGAAAACAGTATGGCAAGACTTGGATCCCATCAAGGGAAGTGGCTGAGTGAGGTTGTGGTCCACCAAGATTGGGGGCTAAGTGAGGCAGGTGTTTGACACATTGTGCCCTTAGGCATTCAGTGTGCAGCAAGAACCCATGTAAGTGAGATGGCTTCTCTGGTGAGGAGTTGGTCAGTGAATCACTAATACACAAGGATAATGTGCAAATAAGAAAATCAGTTATTGGGATAATGGAAGCCAGAATTCTCAGTGTCAGAGGAGGGAGTTACAAATAAAACATAGGGAGCCTAGAATGAACCATAAATTTTGGGGATTGAATTGACATTATTGATGCAAACTCATAATTTTCACTAATACAGGTAGATATAAAAATTAATATAGAAAATTTGTGTATGTGATATGCACACAGAGTATTTCTAGCTCTATTCATTGGAAGACCAGTGGCAAAAGGTATATCTAGCCCTCTAATTATTTCTAGATATTATTATTCATTAAAATGAACCAGAGCTCCTTGGAGAAAAGGATTTAACACTGGGACAATAAAAAGTATTATATATAACTGGAATATTTTATTGTATCAATCAGCAAGAAGTATTCACAGAATAATAGTAAAGTATCAAAAAGCCATCAACGTTAGCTTAAAAGAGGCTTCCACTGGTCAATTTGGATAATTTGAGTTTAAGAGTAAATAATAATATAAACAGATTACAAACCATTAAATAACATGAAAATCTATGAGTTCATATTGATGTAAAAAATACATGACTAAATAGGCCAGGCACAGTGGCTCACTCCTGTGATGCTATCACTTTGGGAGGCAAGATGGGCAGATCGCTTGAGCCCAGGAGTTTGAGACCAGCCTGGGCAACATGGTAAGACTCAGTGTCCACCAAAAATACAAAAAATTAGCCAGCTGTAGTGGCACCCACCTGTAGTCCCAGCTACTTGGGAAGCTGAGGTACGAGGATCAATTGAGCCTGTGGGGGCGGAGGTTGCAGTGAGCTGAGATTGTGCCACTGCACTGCAGCCTGGGTGACAGAGGGAGACCCTGTCTCAAAAATAAGTAAAAAAAAAAAAAAAAAAAAAAACTGTACTTCATATTAGAATGCCAAACAATAAATATAGGAGGAATTATGGTATTAGAAAAATATCCATTTGATAGCTTTCACAGTAATGACTGAAGCCAAAACTGATGGGAAAATTTAATGAGAAAAAAGATATTTAGCTAGTTTCAAAGTATATTCCCACAAGATATGTGTTAATTTCAAAAGGAAAATGTAAGAACTGTATAGAGGAGAAATCTGGTAGACACACCTGATCCAAACGGCACCAGTGTTAGCAGCACTAACAATGGGAGAAATCCATCTGGAGTGGTGCCAGGTAGGTTTCAACAAGAGCACAGTCTTATTTCTATGATTATTTTGGACAAAAATATATAACCTGGATCCAATTATTAAAACACCAAGACTAAATGTGAAGAAATAAATGACAAAATGCTTGTAATCTTAAAATAAAATCATGAAAGACAAAAAAAAAAAACCTGAGAAACTATCCCAAATATACTAAAAGAGATATGACACCTCTGTTAAATACATTATCCTGGACTGCATCATTTCTAAAAATAAGAATATTGGTAAAATTTGCCAAATTTTGAATAGAATTTGTGGATTAGATGGTTGTATTGTATTAATAGCAATTTGTTGGTTTTGAAGGTTTGCTAGGATAATGTCCTTTGATGTAAGAAATGCACACAAAGCATTCAGGGTAATGAAGCATCATTTTGGTAACTTATTCTTACATGGCTTGAAAATATTACACCTACATTTGTATACTTATGTATGGCATAGAGTAGTCCCTTTTATCAGTAAGAAATACCTTCCAAGCCCCCCAGTGGATGCTTGAAACCAGGGATTGTACCAAACCCTACACATACCATGCTTTTTTGATCTGATAACTGAAAGGGCTACTAAGTGAGTAACAGGCAGGTGCCATATACAACGTGGATACGCTGGACAAAGGCATGATTCACATCATGGGTGGGACACAGAGGGACTGCATCATGCTACTCAGAACAGTATACAATTTAAAACTTATGGATTGCTTATTTCTGGATTTTTTCATTTAATATTTTTGGCCTACAGTTGACCATGGATAACAAAAGGCAGAAAGCAAAAGCAAAACTATGGATAAGGGGTGTCGCCGGGGGATTAGTGCATTTAAATAATTATAAAAGGAAAGATAGTAAATGTCAAGAATTGCTAAATCTAGGTGCGAAGTATATGGATTTGAAAAAATTACTCTTGCAAATCTTCCATAACTTTGAAATTGTTTAAAATTAAAAAGTAATATAAAAGTTTTCAACAGTGCTACCATATTGATAATTGAAACCTTTCTCTCATGGAGAAAAACACTGCATGTCGTGGGGCAAAATACTTCAGGAATACAGCATTCTTGAATTTCTTCCTGACAAATCCCAGCTTCTTAGTACCAACCACTATTTTCTGAAAGACACCCAGATGGTAGGTGATACTTCATTAAGATAAAGCCCAATTTCTTTCCTTTCTTGATGAAGGTGGCAAAGCCACTACTCTGAGACTAACATGAGGTGGAGGCCATTTTCATTTATGTTCACTTTTTGGGGTTGCCAACTTCTGTATCTGAGGACTATAAACAGCTAGAATACAGAGTTAAGAAAATTGCTCAGAAATTTCATAAGGGATTTTGTACTGTTACTGCTACATGATTTAGCTATCTCAGCGGACACTGGCCTGGCAGGAAATTCCTTGCAAAGCTCTTAATTCTGCTGTAACTCTCTGGCATCACTTCATTTTAACTTCATAAATGTGTCTTAGCCAACCATGTATCTATTAATTAACCTTTAGAAAAATAAGATTCTCCAACTTTTTTAGTGACAATATTTGGAGTCAAACCTATCTTCCCAAGGCTATATTGAAATCTCTTTGGTCCAGTTTAACAACTGTGCTAAACCCCACTCATCCTATAAGCCTGACTAAAAACTCTTCAACACTTCAGAATAAATCCATCTCAAATTTCAACACCATTATTCTTTCTTGATTCTTGTCTTATGTGCCTCACTTTAGAGTTAATTATTTATATCTTAAGTTTTCTACTGAACTGAGACTACAAGCTTCTCAAAAGTGTATAGAGGTTTGCTCATCTCTGTGGGCTCTACCATGTTGAGAGAAGATATGATAAAGCATAACTCCTAATTCATTGCCTTCTTGTTTAATCAAGAGAAGAACCCAATGCTCAATAATTGAGAAGTTGTGAAGGATAGATTGTAAGGTGGCCTCCATGATCCTTACATCTCAGTAATTCACACACCTGTGTAATTCTCTTAAGTGTAGTCAAGACCTGTTAACTTGATTCTACCTAATAGAATGTGACAAACATGACAGGGAATACATAGGTATGTATTCTTACATGCATTATAAAGGATTAACTGTCCATCATAGTATCAGGTGTTCTCACTGGCTGGCTTTGAGGAAGTAGGCGGCCATGCTAGGGAGGCTTTGTCACAAGCAGATGAGGTTGGCTTCTGGCCAAAAGTCTAAAAAAAAAAAAAATGAGGCTCTCAGCATAACAGCCTGCAATAATTAAAAGCGCCTAAGAATTGTGAGAATGTGGAAGCAAATATTTTCCAATTGGAGCCTCAGATAAGATCACAGCCTCATCTGACACCAAGATTGCAATAAAAGGCTGTTAAAGTTGACACTTTTTTCCCCTTTCTACATTTCTTGTTACCTAATCTCCTTTATAAGATTATTTCAATCTATTTTCCTTTCCTCATTTCCCCTACCCCAAATAACAGTGAATCACAAAGGCCAGCTTCTTTATAAGCCTTGCTTTGCCATTGGAACTAACTTTTTAGGTATAATTTTGGAGATACGATGGAGAATCTCTCTGTCTCTCTCTTTTGAATATCAAGGACTCTATACTTTCAAAACACTTTTATGCTCAGCTATTTGTACACATTATATCGAAATTTTCCATTAATATCAGTACTATTACATGCTATGAATAGGCAGGAAAACCAGCATTAGAATTTTCAAGGTCTTAAGATTTGGCATGACTACAGAATAATATTTTAACCATAGTCACTTAATATAAAATGTCATGTGTTTCTACTTTTATCCATTCTTCAAAATAGTCTTTCCTATGGAATTTTTTTTAAAATTATACAAATAAATAAATTTATATGAATATTTCCTGGCACTATGTTAAAGGTCAAATTTATTTATTGTTATCAGTGTAACCCTAGCTTGATTTACCAATATAAAATTATGGAAGATTGCTTTTAAGTGGGTAATGATTTCGTTTTTCCTGGATGTATTTCTTCCTTTAATAAAACTAATGTTATTTTATTAAGGAGAAAAAAAAACACTTTTATGTAATGTAAACTCTATCTTTTGTCCTTGTCTACTTTTTTAGTTTGTCTATATGTTATGATTTCTGTCTTCAGAAAGGCAAAGTGACTCTCCTGGCCTAAGCCCAGCGTGTAGCAGAAAAAAAAGTCTTTCATAAATATTTTCTGGGTGAAAATTCAGTGACCAAGTGCCTTGAAATTACACAATGGTGTTGCCTAATCTACTCCCTGTTGTGGGGACAAAAAAAATAGTCCTAAAGTTAGTACCTAAGCTTTCCAGATTCACAGACATACATGTATATACACATATGCATATGCACGTGCATGTACATTACAAGAAGACAATTAACCAGAATGGCATGTTGGCAAACAGAAAACTACTGCCCTTTATTAATGCACCAGAAAATTCAGGAGACCCAGTTCCCTACTCAGCACAGCAAATTCAGACCCTTGATGTGTATTAAGCACTTTTCATGTCATAAAATCAGAAATGTAGACCAGTGGAACAAAATAGCCCAGAAATAAATCCACACATTTACGGTCAGGTGATTTTTGATAAAAGGTGCCGTGAAGGAACAATGGGGAAAGGATAGTCTTTTCAATAAATGGTGCTGGGAAGACTAGATATCCACATGCAGAAGAACTAAACTAGACCAGCCTGTCTCACTTTATACAAAAATCAACTCAAAATGGGATAGACTTAAATGTAAGATTTGAAATTGTAATGCTAATAGAAGAAACATAGGAAAAAAATTCCATGACATTGATTTTGGCATTGATTTTTCTTATATAACCCCAAAACACAGGCAAACAAAATGAAAATAGACAAATGGAATTATATCAAACTAAACAGCTTTGGCACAGCAAAAAAAAAAAAAAAAATTAACAGAATGAAGAGCAACCTATAGAATGGAAGAGAAAATAATTGAGAACCATACATCTGATAAAGGGTTAAAATATATAATGAATTTAACTCAATAGCTAGAAAATAAGTAACCCATTGGGCAACAAAACTGAAAACATTACTCAAAAGACGACATACAAATGGCCAAGTATATGAAAAAAAATTCAACAGCACATTATCAGGAAAACGTAAATAAAAATCACAATAAGTTATCACTGCATTCCTGTTAAAATGGCTATTATCAAAAAGATGAAAGATAACAAGTGCTGGCGAGGATGTGGAAAAAAGAGAACCTTGATACAATGTCGATGGGTATGTAAGCTAGTTGAGCCACTATAGATAACGGTATGAAGGTTTCTCAAAAATTAAAAATAGAATTACCATATAACCCAGGAATCTCACTATCAGATATATATCCAAAAGAAATGAAATCAGTATGTCAAAGAGATATATAAACTTCCATGTTCATTGCAGCATCATTCACAATAGACAAGGTATGAAATCCACCTAAGTGTCCGTCAGTGGATAAACAGATAAAGATAAATGTGGCATGTATGCACAAAGGGATGCTATTCAGGTTTAAAACATGAGGAAATCCTGCCATTTGTAATAACATGAATGAACCTAGAGGACATTAGTTTAATAAGCCGGGCAAAGAAATACAAATACTGCATGATCTCACATATGTGGAATCTAAAAAAAGTGAAACTCATAGAAGCAGAGAGTAGAATGGTGGTTACCAGGGGCTAGGATGGGAAAGTACTGGGGAGATGTTGGTCAAAGACTACATAATTTCAGTTAGATATGAGAAATAAGTGAAGAGATTTATTGTGTAGCATGGTGACCATATTTAATAACAATGTATTGTATTCTCAAAAATCATTGAGATTAAAGTGTAAAAAATACTATGTATGTAAGGTAATACATATGTGAATTAGCTTGAGTTAGCCATCCCACCATGTATACCTATTTCAAAACATAATACGTAATAAATGCATATAATTTTGTCAATTAAAAAAATAAATAATTTCTTAAAAAAAAAGCAATTGCTATAGGCTAAATGGTTTGTGCTGAGGTCCTCTTCTTCATGGATCTTGATCAAGGGACAGAGATGAGCTGGGAAAATTAGGAAGGATCACTTTTCCCTGTGACATTTTGCTCTATTGTATAAGGTCAGTGAGCCTGCCTCAACTATGGTGTTCAGACTTATCCTTGAGTCTCACGGCGCTGTGAGATTCTCTCCCTGATGTTATCAGAAAAAAAGACAGTATTAAGAATTGAAACAAGTCTTGTATTTCAGATAGAACCACATGTCTCTCTATGGTGAAGATAAAATGATATAATGTCATTATGGCTGGTAAACTATACAAGAGTAGACACATACAAAGATTGGTGTTAATGTTAATTAACATTTATGAGCACTGATTAGGTACTAGTACTATCCTGGACACATAATCCTATCCAGTTTATCTTTCCTAAAACATTATGAGAACAGTATTGTCAACATATTATACATGAGAAAACTGAGGCTCAGAGAAAATGGCAATTTAAACCATCCTCAGATTCAGTACATACCAGAGGCATGATTCACACTCATGTCTCTCTGGCTTCCAAATTCACATTACATAAATAGTCCATTTCTTCCTGCTCTTATCTGCCTTTGAGTTTATTCTTATATGTTAGGAAAAGCTATGTAATTTTTTTTAATATTCAGCAAGTTTTTAGTAATAAAGTCAGTATCACCCTGCCTACGTCTCCATGACAATTCATAAACTAAAACCATGACCATGAACATCTTATTGGTGTGCTGCCAAGAACAAACCTCATAACTTGCTAAGATGGAGGAGTCAGGACATATGAGGGAGCAGTAATGTTGACTAAGAAGATGCCAATTTTACAGACCCCCTTCTTGGACTGTAACGACACTCCCCTTAATGCTTTCCCGTTCCTCACCTTCCAAGGTGTACGAGTGAGGAAGGAATTAATATAAGCCACTGCGCCTGCCTCCTGAAAAGATTATGCTTATAAACTTCAGGCTGGGTCCTCATCAAAAAAAGAAATGGAGACCATGACTCACCTGAGAGGTCTCAGGAGCAGGTCTTAATGTATTTGTTTGAGAGACATAAAGTGTTCCAAGGAAATATTCTTTCCTGGCCAAAAGCTGCATTCTTTGAGATGAGATGATTATGCCTCTTTTAAGACATAAATGAAAGTATGTGCATGAGCACACCATGTACAAGCACCTCAATTTTAGCTTGGAAAAGAGATAGGACAGCCAAGCCTCATCTCCCAGAGTGTGAGTATAACAGAATCAGGCATGAAAGCCTGGAACTTGAGGGGCAAGGGGAATGTCTGAGTCTGACAAACTGAAATTCAAACTCTAGCTCATTTGTATATTAATAGTAAAATTGCAGAAAATTGCTTCTTCTCTCTGATTCTTCACTTCCCATCTATAAAAATAAGGATACAAAGTACCGGCCTCCTCATGATGTTTTCTTGAGTAATTTAGTTAAGTAAGAAAATGCATGTTAAAAAAGGAAAAACATTCAGTACAGTGCCTGGGACAGAATGAGCCCTCCACAAATGCTTTTCTTAGACTGTGTGAGTTCCTAGATTCTGAATGAAGAGATTGGCTTTCATAAGTGTGAAAGGAGGAAGTGAGAAAAGACTGATCCAAAGAAGTGGTCCAAAAGGGAAAATGTGATAAGGTACCAGTGTGCACATATTGAAGCTCAAGGAGAGGTAATTGTGTGCTAGCACATCTGGGCACTGCTTGGGCTAGAAGGGCAGGGAGATTCAACGTTGCTGCTGGGGGGACCCAGAGCCTTTTTGAACACTTCTGAGATTTTGAAGAAATAAAGTAAATTTTAAAAAGAATAAAAAGAAAGAAAAGGAGGATAGGAAGACAACAAAAGAAAGGAGCCCAGAAATATGCAAGACTTTATTCAGTCAACCATCAGTAACTGAGATACCATAAAAGGGAAATTAAAAAGAAAAGCCGACATGAAAGTATATCCAGGCTCAGCAAAAACTAATTGGTGACCATGCACAAGCTAAATACCTTCCTTGGGCCTCAATATTCAAACCATATTTCTATGGTGACTAGATGTTTTCTAAAATCTCTTGAAGCTCTGAATTTTTAAAGCTTTGGATCCAATCATAAGCCAAGCTTAATGATGACCATGGTTTTACTAAATACACAAATATATTTCATCAAATATATATCAAATAGTGTGGGACTGCAAGGAATATGTGTTCTCTAGCCAACTTCAATTATATACTATTTTTATATAGAAAAGTATTCAACACACTACTGAAGATAACTTGGTGATTGGAGACTGTCCGAGGGCAACCACTGTGTCCACAAGCTGAAGATGGCAGGGACTCAGGAAGGAAGAAGCCTGGGTCACTGAATCCACCCAAAGTAGAGTCACCTCCATCCAGAAACACTTGCATTGAATAAGGACAAAGTGGCTCCATTGAAAATTTAAGACTTGGCCAGTTCCACCTGGCTTCGTGCATGTTCTCACAGCTGAAATCTAGATCTTTCCTATAACTTCATTGCTGGGACCCTTTAGTCCTCTGTCCCTACTCCCCTGCCTGCATTGATCAAACACAAAGGGGACCTGGAGCCTATAGAAGATGGAGATCCCTGTGTCCTGTGCAGACAAGGTCAGACTTCCCTGAGGCAGAAGAAAACTTTAGATCAGGAGAATGAACCTCAACCAGGGATGCCCTCTACTGAAGTGGACCCCACCACTCTGCCCTGGCATGCTCGTGTTCAGGGCAGGGCTGAGGCATGGCACTGCTCTGGTCTTCTAGGTTTGCTGCAGTGCCAGGTACAGCCTAGAGTGGCCTGAGCTTCAGACTGATCTCTGGTTGTATTCAGCCCTTTCTGCTTCCCCAAATTTTCTATATCACTTGCTATTAATAGTTGTACACTGAATAGAGCAAAGTTAGACAGAACTGTTTTATTGAACAGGGCTGGCCACACTCTCCCTGGCCCGGCTGATGATCTGTCCTAGTGGCCAGGAACATGTTTACATTAGAAACGGACCATGCCACAGGGTTCTGTGTAGTATGGTTAATGTGAACTACGGGACACTGGCATTCAAAGGCAGAACTCCCTGCTCTTTCGACCGGGGAGGGCTGGCTGGCTGAGTGCCAAAAAAAAAAAAAAAAAATGTTCTCCAAACTATAAACTATTGCTGGAGCTTCTCTGGTATTCTGATTCCAGGTCTCTTTGGGTTTCCCTGGGAGATCCTGATAAGAACTGCTATGGTTTTTATAATAAACAGCTGACATATGTTAAGAAGGGGGAATGAGCTAGCCAAGATGTTTTCTGCCAAGGTTGAAGTATATTAAAATCAGGGAGAAGATTGGGCTAGTTACATAAGCCTTTGGAACCATAAAGCCTTCCACCTGTGGCAGAAGCCAGTCCTCTGAAGTTACAAACTGGAGGAGGGGGATGAGAAGGAGGAGTGAAAAGGAGAGGGGGCAGAAAAGGGAGAGGAGAAGGAGGACAGGAAGGGGGTGGGGGAGGGATCTTGTTCAATTAAGTGTGAATCTGGCCCATTGTGTCTTTCCCTGTGTCTGATATTTGTCTGAGGCACCATTCCCTTCATACTCATCAATTGACAACTAATACGATCTACTCTTCTCTCCTATGTTTGAAAGACAGGACAACAGATTTTTCTATTGTAATGTCGGCTTATTTTATATGTGTGTGTCTATATATCTCTACACACACATATATATTATCACGGGAATAAAGATTGAACACAACATTTTCTTCCTCTCCCTTTCCCACTCCTCCTTCCCTCCCTCCCTCCCCCTCATATGAATAATCGTAGAGGGCTCATTATAGTACAATTCAATACACAATAAAAACTCAGTTTTAGAGTCAGAAGAACTAGATGTAGGAGAGTTATCTAAAGCAGTCTCACTGGCCTTAACCGCTCCCTCATTCACACAGATGAAGAAAATGAGGCTGAGAAGGCAAATGGTTTCCAAGGACTATGGTCAGTCAACAACAGCTGTTACTGATCTCCAAATATCCTAGTCCTGCAATCACCCTCTCTTCCTCTTAGGAAGTCTGGAACCCCAATGAAAGGTGCCAGGGAATGAAACTGACACCTTTCCCCACATCAGCACCACCATCTGAACCACATGCCTCCTCATGAACAGATTTCAGTTATGTTAAAAATAACTTTCAAAAAATGCTTGTTGGATTCTTCTTTGACTTTGTTCCCTTCATCGCCCTTGCAGGATCCATTCTTGATCTTTGGAGCATAATAAACTCTGACCTGATGCCAACACTGACCACAGGGATTATGTGATCCTTTACAAAATTCCCTGGCAACTGTTATTTTATCATGTAATTCTGAAACAGGCAGTAAATGATGATCACTTTTTCTGGTTTTAGCGAGGGTTCATTCGTTCATTCTAGCAGACAAAAATCAAAGCCTGCAAAATGACCTTTTAGGCAAGCAAGTCTGTACCCTGAGGAGGGGGCAGATAAGTACACAAAGTATATAATGACAATCCTATTACCAGCAAGTGAAAGTTAATAGAGATGGTGGTATTTCAGGTTGACAACACTAAAAGCAGGTGCTAAGATGGAATTGGGCTTGAATAATATTTTTTAGGGATCAACACCTGTGAAAGGGAGGTTTTGAAAGCTGGTTAAAGCAGAAAGAACATCTGAATGGTGATTCAGGCTTCACAAACACCCTTTCACCCCAAAGAGAACTCTAAAGGCACATGGCCTATTTGAGTTTCCCCGCAGAGGTCTTTGCTATCCCCAGCAAGATCAGTCAGTATGGGCCATTGTGGAAAAGTATGCAGCTCACTCACTACAGCTGAGGCAGACTATGAAGGAGGTGGCAGCTCTAGACTGTCAGTAACAGCGTTTCTAGTGACCAAGCAACATGTTCTTCCCATAAGAAGGATTCGAAGCATCTCCCACAGCAGTTTTAAGGAAGGGTCAATCACACATCCAGAAATAAAACCAGGGCACCAGAGAGGGGGAGGAAGTTGAAGACAAAGATGGGACAGTGTGGGAGGAGAAAAATAAATGTGGTTTCGAATTCAAGAGTTAGGAAAAAGTACACAGTCTGGAAGGATAGTTTTCCTATTCAATACCAAATTTTTTGTTGTTAATACTACAAGCCTAAGTAGAAGGTGTCTTCTCTTAGATGCTGTGCAGAGATTTTAGTATTTTCTCTAAAGTATTTCCACACCTGTGCCTCATCTTTCTTACCACGTTCCCCTGTCATGAACCCACTTTTTTATGATTTCCCTTTAAGAAGGGACATGACATGGAGAGAGAGGCTCCTTGATTTGCCCACGTCTGTCAGTGAGTTGGTGAGAAACTTGGGCTTTAACCCAGACCTGTTGAGCCCCCATACTGAGAGTTTTAACTGAATCATGATGTGTTAGTCAGGGTTCTCTTAAAGGGACATAAGCAATAGGATATACATATATACATAAAAGGGAGTTTATTAAGTATTAACTTACATGATCACAAGGTCCCACAATAGGCTGTCTGCCAGCTGAGGAGCAAGAAGAGCCAGTCTGAGTCCCAAAACTGAAGAACTTGGAGCCTGATGTTCAAGGGTAGGAAGCATCCAGCATGGGAGAACCTACGTAGGCTGGAAAGCTAGGCCTACCTCCTTGCTTCACGTTTTTCTGCCTGCTTTATATTTGCTGGCAGCTGATTAGATTGTGCCCACCTGATTAAGGGTGGGTCTGCTTTCCCCAGCCTACTGACTCAAATGTTAATCTCTTTTGGCAACACCCTCACAGACACATCCAGGATCAATATTGCATCCTTTAATCCAAGGAAGTTGACATTCAGTATTAACCATCACAAGGCCACCCCTTGTCAACTTGAACCCACACACATCTCCAGAGATCATACATAATCTTCAAATAAAATAAAGACAATAATAAGGTCAGAATTCTGACCATGTAACATAATACAACTATCCTTGGTACAATTGGAAATGCACCAATCCCAAACCCAAATACTATTACATACAGTTAACAATACTTAAATGCTGATATGAAGTCAATAAATCTTATGTCACATGATAAACGAAAAGGAAATACAATGAAGATATTTTCTTAGTACAAGTGTATACATGCACAAACATGTTTTTAACAAAAGAAGGAGGCAATACTTGTGACAATTACAGCCCTCATTTCTGTAGCTGGTCATGTGGTCACAGCTGGTATTGATGACTACCTCCGTCTACTATCCATTCTGTATTCCCTTTGCCTTCAACAAGCACTTCAGCAGGTTGTGGATTTTTTTCCTGGTGGAGTGACCCAAACCTTCATTCCTGAGGGGTCTGGGTCTTTTGTAGTTCTGCCTGCATTGGGCTGTTGTAGTTTCTCATTGACCTTAATCACAGGGCATGGTAATACCAAGAGACACCCTAATGGATCTCCGGTATTCCATGCATACACTTCCTTGCCTCAGTTGTGGAGTAGCAGACTGTTTTTATCTTTATAGTCCTGGTCAATCACCCCAGCCAACACTGTAACTTCCTTCTTAGACTGTTGACTTAAAGGTAGGAGGAGCCCCAAGTGTCCAGGTGGTAATTTTAACTTTCAGTTTAATGGAATCATTGTTGTGCCTCCTGGTGGCAGCATTCCTCCCTCTGAAACTAAGACCTCTAGGCTAGCAGAATGTAATGTCGTGGGAACAGAAAGCCAAAATTTTGCTAGTGGATCACTAGGGGTGATGGTGACTGGTGCCACTTCCATTTCCACCCCTTGATTCCTGGACCCATGAATCCTGGCTATGGGAGAAACAGTACCATATATTGAATGTTGATTCAGAGCATACACAGCCTTCTGGAAAACTTTGCCCCAGCCCTGCAAAGTATTGTCACCTAGTTGGCATTGTAATTATCAAGATTTCAAAAGGCCATTCTACAGTTCTATCAATCCAGCTGCTTCAGGATAATGGGGAATGTGGTAAGACCAGTGAATTCCATGAGCATGAGACCACTGCCACACTTCTTTAGCTGTAAAGTGAGTGCCTTGGTCAGAGGCAATCACGTGTGGAAGACCATGATGGTGGATAAGGCATTCCATGAGTCCATGGATGGTAGTCTCGGCAGAAGCATTGCATGCAGGATAGGAAAACCCATATCCAGAGTAAGTGTCTATTCCAGTGAGGACAAACCTCTGCCCTTTCCATGATAGAAGAAGTCCAATATAATCAACTTGCCACCAGGTACCTGCTGATCACCCCGAGGAATGCTGTCATATCGAGGGCTCAGTGTCGGTCTCTGCTGCGGCAAATTGGGGTGGCTGGGGAAAAAGGCTAAGTAGTGCCCACAGAAGGGGTCATCATATCCACTTGATTATTAAAATCCTCCTCTGCTGAGGTCGCCTGTTGGTGAGCACTCACATGGGATACAAATATCTTCACATTTTTTGACCAGTCAGGGAGGTCCATCCACATACCTCTTCTCCAAATTTCTTTGTCTCCAATTTTCCAATCATGCTTCTTCCAAGTCCCTGACCATCCAGCCAAACCACTGGCTACAGCCCATGAGTCAGTATATAATCACACATCTGGCCATTTCTCCTTCCATGCCAAGTGCACAACCAGGTACAGTGCTCGAAGTTCTGCCCACTGGGAAGATTTCCCTTCACCTCTGTCCTTCGGGGATGTCCTAGAAAGGGGCTATAATGCTGCAGCTGTCCACTTCCATGTGGTGCCTGCATATCGTGCAGAACCATCTGTGAACCAGGCCCTAGCCAACTGATCATAGGGAACTCCCCATGAGGCCATCAGTGCAGGCTGGAGAAGAGAAGGCAGGGTGGAAAGAGTGGAGACCATGGGCATTTGAACCACTTTCTCATGTAACTTACTTGTGCCTTCAGGACCTGCTCGAGCCCAGTCACATATATTCCACTTCCACTCGATGATGGAATGCTGTTGTGCATGACCCACTTTATGGCTACATGGCTCAGAAAGCACTCAGTTCATGATAGGCAGTTCAGTTCACATGGTGACTTGGTGACCCATAGTCAAACATTCAGTTTCCACCAAAGCCCAGTAACAGGCCAAGAGCTGTCTCTCAAAAGGAGAGTAGTTATCTGCAGAAGATGGCAGGGGCTTGCTTCAAATTCCTAGAAGCCTCCACTGTGATTCACCTATGGGAGCCTGCCAATGGCTCTAAACAGCATCCTTGTCTGCCACTGACACCTCAAGCACCACTGGATCTTCTGGGTCATATGGCCCAAGTGGCAGAGCAGTTTGCACAGAGCAGGCAGTCTCAATCAGTTGCAGAGCCTTCTCCTGTTCTGGACTCCACTCCTGGTACCAAAATCTATATTAGTCAGGGTTCTCTTAGAGGGACAAAATTAATAGGATAGGATACACACACACACACACACACACACACACACACACACACACACACACACACACACACACATATATACATATATGAGTTTACTAAGTATTAACTTATAGGATCACAAGGTCCCACAATAGACTGTCTGCCAGCTGAGGAGCAAGAAGAGCCAGTCCAAGTCCCAAAACTGAAGTCTGGGTTTCTAGGGCAGGAAGCATCCAGCACCAGAGAATGATGTAGGCTGGAGGCCCATCTCATCACTTCACATTTTTCTGCCTGCTTTATATTCACTGGTGGCTGATTAGATGGTGTCCACCCAATTAAGGATGGGTCTGCGTTCCCCAGCCCACTGACTCAAATGTTAATCTCCCTTGGCAACATCCTCACAGACACACCCAGGATCAATATTGCATCTTTCAATCCAATCAAGTTGACACTTAATATTAACCATCACACATGATAAATGATCACCAACGTTAGTATCATAGCCATTTAGCCCATCTCTGATAGAACTAAGGCATGGTGTGAGGCAGAACATTGGCTTTGTGGCATTAATTCCAAATCTCTCATATACCCCAGACACCTTCTGTGGGGCAACCAACTGTGAATCTTCTCTTGCCTTCTGAACCAGCTTCATTTCACTGAACATGTATTGAGAAGCTACCATATGCAGGGTACAGTTTGTATTTCTTGTACTTCTCTTCTTTAATCTTCCCTCCTATCTAGCCCCATGATAACATTTCTGGTTCTTGTGAGAATGGCCCATGTTGGCTCCTTTGCAGGGAGTTAGGCCTTTTAACAGCTGTGCAAGTAGATATATCAGGATATTTTTCCACAGACACAGATGTTTTATTTATAGGGCCCCATTCACTTCTCATTAAGATGCTAGAGAGAGGAAGGAAGAGTTGAGAAAAGCCAGAAGACATTGTAGAAGAAAAAAAAAAGAAAAAAATTAGAATTAAAATGTGAGGGTGGAGGGGTGCAGAAATGCCCAGAAACATCCTCAATCAGCTCCATGAAAACAGGAACCATATCTGTTATGTCCCTCCCATCTTCTTAGTTCCTTGAACATCATCGGACAGATATCTGTCTTCTGGATAAATAAAGTTAAAAAGAACTAGGCACGATCAGAGTTTGGTGAAAAACAAAACAACTTCAACTGTATTAGTCTTTCATGCTGTGATAAAGACATACCCAAGGCTGGGTTATTTACAAAGAAAAAGAGGTTTAATGGACTCACAGTTCCATGTAGCTGGGAGGCCTCACAATCATAGTGGAAGGCAAAAGGCACGTCTTACATGGCAGAAGACAAGAGAGAATGAGAACCAAGTGAAAGGAGTTTCCCCTTCAAAAACCATCAGAACTCACAAGACTTATTCACTATTACTAGAACAGTATGGGGGAAACTGTCCCTGTGATTCAATTATTTCCTACCTGAATATCTCCTAATTGAAACTCCCTTTGGGGGAGTTCAAATCTCTCCCAAAAGATGTGGGAATTATGGGAGCTACAATTCAAGATGAGATTTGGGTGGGGACACAGCCAAACTATATCATCAACTAATTATTTTCTAGAAAATATAGACATTTTATACAACTATTTCCTCTTTTTTTAAAAAAAAAAAGGATCTAAGGTTTGAATTTAAAGTCAGGGATTGATGCACAGGAGATGTAGCTATAGGCAGCCAGGGCTGTGCACAGTAGGGGAGAAAGAAAAGTGGAAAGACATCCCAGTTGCTTTTTCACCGATTGGGTATGCCTTTTTCAATAAATCCTCATTTCCAGGGACAAGACTCTTCCAAGGGCCAAAAGCCTCAATAAAATTTGCATTTCCATATAGTTCTATTAAAAAATGAGCAAAATGTATTCTGTGGCCTAATTTTATTATTTTTTGTTTTATTTTTAAAGCACAATCAGCAATTTTAAAGACTGGGGCCTACAGTTGGATGCAATGTGAAGTCTTCTGAAGTTAATATGCTGAAAAGTGAATCATTAAACTTAATTTAACTACATCCAGTTGTGTTCTCCAGACCAAAGAATGGTTTTATTCTACTAATTATCCCATGGTTTTCATGGCTTGGGTTTCTTCCATGAGCCACTTCAGTATGAAAGCAGGCAACTAAGCACTCTATTCACAAAACAGGGAAACCTGAATTTGCCATCACTCATGTCAAATGGTCAATTAGGTTCCCAGACAGACCTCAGTGCCATGTGTTATGGTAATGAACAAAATAAGTATAAGATATTAGATCGTTACAGTATTCCATGCATTAACCTTCAAATTAACCCTGCATTAGACACTCACAACCTTTTCTAGGTTCAAATCTAATGTCACTTATTTTACCATGACTCATAATTACCAAAGTCAGCTTCCATCCAATGTGATTAGTTCCTTGGCCCTGGAGCCCACCAGTAGGTGGAACCTCTGTACCAACCAGTGACTTAGTGACAGATTGCTGGACTGTGACTCAGGAAGTATACAGAGGACCCTTTATTTCAGTGCCTCTCCAAATACTTGGCAATATTCATTCCCCTGCAGCTATTTACCAGCCACAAAATCTACAACTCCCTGTCCCATAATTTTCACTGAGCATTTCTTCCTGCCTCTCTTCTCTTCACGTTTTGTTAATTCAACTGATGGGTGTCGAGCATCTATCATATCCCAGCAGAAACTGTTCCAAGTGCAGGGGCAGAGTGACAGAAAGATATTCATAGTCCTTGGCTGTGTGGAGTTTATATTGCAGGAGGATAGGTGGAAAAGGAAGAGAAAGACATTCAAATAGAAAGAAGAAGATGGAGGAGGAAGAGGAAAAAGGGAGGAAGGGGGGAGGAGGAGAAATACAAATATTATATAATTTGTGACAATAATTTTTAATCAATTCCCATTTCTTACTTTAAGCTTCTTTAAATTTGTCATTTAATTAGTGACCATTATCAGCATTTACAAATGGTAGTTCAATAAATTCACTCAACATCCCTAAGAAGTGGTTACTGATCCCTTTTTATAGATGAGGAGACTGAATTTAAGTATATGATAAAATAATAATAACAACAACAGCAACAACAATATTAATGAAATCTAAGATATACTGATATATGCCAAGAATTTACTCACAGTTTTATTCAAGCTTATGATAATCCAATGAGGCACTATTATCCCCATTTTACAGTTGAAGAATGGAAGCTCTGAGAGTTCAGCCCTCTCCAGAGATTACAAAGCTATCAATTAAGAGAGCCAGAATATAAACCTAAATCAAACTCTCTCCAAAGTCTTTATTCTTAAGCACATATGAGAAAACTGAAGCCCAGAAAGGTTAGATCTTGCCCTATACTACACAAGTGGAAGAAGAGTTGAACCCACACCCAGATTCCAAAATCCATGTTCTCCCTCTTACCCATGAAAGATTACTCTTCTCCAAATTCTAGGCTACACTCTGAAGAAGTTCTTATTTTTTTCACTGCTACCCTGAATATCCCCCGTGTGGAGCCTTATCTCACAGGCAGAAAGTAGATAGTAGATACAGCAGAAGATATAGCTGCCACCTGCCTCAGTCCTCTCACACAAAGGGCAGGCAGCCTTTCCTCTCTCCTTTGCCAACTTCTGAGTCTCCTTGTCTCTGAGCCCCTCCTCATCTGCACAGCCTTCTTCCACTTTGGTGCATGACTGGGCACTTCCTACTCATAGCCCTTCAGTTCTTACCAGCTCCTGGGGCACCATATCCATCTGTGCTTGCATGTGCTGTTCTGGCAATGCTCCTAAATCTCGCGCGTGAGTGCGTGTGTGTGTGTGTGTGTGTGTGTATGAGTGTGTGCGTGCATGCTAATGAATCTGGAGCAAATTGTCACAGGCAAGACAACCAAGGACAAGGAGATAAGCATAAAGCGTGAAAGTGGCAGGTGATAGAAAAGGACACAAAGATGTATCACAGTGACAGAAGACAGGGAAGTCTTCAGAGCCAAGGGACAAGGGTCTTCAAGAAGCATAAGATGCTGAGGAATGGTTTCCTGTTCATTGTGCTAGGCACCATATTAATTACACCAGAAACTTTTTGTTTTGAACTTCTTTATTTATCCTGTAAGGAAAACACTTGTTTCCTATTATACAGAAGAAGAAAAAATATATGGAGTAGAAAGCAAAATTTCAAAGGTCACATAGTGAATAAGTGAAGGAGTCAGGGTTTAAAAATGTATTGCTACAACATTAAAACTTGTTTTCTATACTAAAATTTTCCACTGAGACAAATATGACAGAAGAGTTACTGAGATTGAAGAGTGAGTGAGGGCCTCCTTCATTGGTAACTCAGACATAGGTGATCCTATAAGTTACTATCCATGCTAGGATACTTTTGAGATGAAAGCAAGTACTCTTAATAACATGTGAAGACAACAGGTATGAAGGAGATGTTTAATCTCCCTACTAAGAGGGAACTGTTGACCGAAAAAGTAGTCCTAGTAGAACCCTGAGGTGGAAGGCAGATAGCAGTGGACTAAAGAGGTAAGAAGAGATGAAGAAAAGCAGAAAATGAGAGCAGATCATGTTACTTAAAAAATAATTTCTGGACACCAGAGGAACGATACTGAAAATTTTATGAGGGTGCTAGGTCTGGCTTAACTGTGAACTCGGTGATGGCAGAGACCATGTGCATTTCTTCATTGTTGTATCCCTAACACCTCCTACAAAGCCTGAAATCTAGAGGCACTTAATACATAAATTTTAACTAAATAACAGGGAGTCAGAAATTGCTCTTATATGGCAGAAGAATGCTGAGGATAATTGTAGGAAGAAGGGGTGAATATTATAAAGATGAGTTAAAAATAATAATGAGAGAGATGATAAATAAAATAGGAGGGATTATTGGTAAATGGCCTTAAGAGTTCAAGTGAGATAGGTGTTTCTATTTGAAGGAAAAAGGGTACATCTTTTTTATTTTTTTATTTTTGGAGATGGAGTTTCACTCTTATCGCCCAGGATTGAGTGCAATGGCGCGATCTCGGCTAACTGCAACCTCTGCCTCCCGGGTTCAAGCGATTCTCCTGCCTCAGCCTCCCGAGTAGCTGGGATTACAGGCATGCACCACCACGCTTGACTAATTTTTGTATTATTAGTAGAGACAGCGTTTCACCATGTTGGCCAGGCTGGTCTCAAACTCCTAACCTCAGGTGATCAAAGGGTAACTCTTTTTTTTAGTGAAGTAATAACATGATGCTATAATGACTGTATGACATACAGATAGGAGATAACTTTTCATCAGTGGTGAGGACTGAATGATAGCAATATACATGAAATATTTTCAGAAAATATGTACTGTGTGTACCTCATGCCTGGAACCCTAAACAAGCACCACCCAAAGAAGCTGAATCCTTTCCACTGAATACCTCCAGGGTGGTGGTTAACTAGCTATGTAGAGCCTAAGCAGACAAAATTTCCTTGGACTGGGTTTCTAGCAATATGGGTATTCCCTGCTTGGCCAGGACTTACTGAGAGCCCTTGAATAATCTGCTTCCCCTTGCAGCACCAAATGGGATTTTGAACCAGATAATAAGTTCCCACAGGACTGAAGGCCCTGTGCCAAGACAATGACCAAGTTTTCAGTAAAATGATAAAAATCAGAAAAAAAGAGTTCAGTTTTTCATGGGTCTAAATTTACTCCATTTAATAACTATTCCTATTCTGAATCATGTATTTCCCCATGTACATTTTTCTTTTTATGAAATCCATCTCTAACAGCTGGATGTCTGATTTCAGTGTTTCATATTTTAGGGACCTGACTTAAGAAATTTATTTCCCAAATTATATGCTTTCTTGAAATTTACCTGGATTTTACAACAGGTGGATCTGGAGCCCATTGAGCTAGAGCACCTGTAAGGTTCTGGGCTCTGTGATTTGCTTGACAAAACTTGAGATTCTGAACTTCCTTTGATGGCTGAGTTTTGAAAGGAGAAGAGGCTGCAGACTCTTACTGATGCCTATGGAAGTCCAGACAACCAAATAATTGATACTTCTTGATTGGGAGAGTGTGAATGAAGAGTTTTGGGGGATAAATATCCTCTCTAGATGTGTCCACCTCATAACAGTAATAAATTATTTATGTTTACCTACACAACATGCCAGAGAAAGTCCTCAAATGTCCATAAGGAACAACCTGAAAGTCTGTCCTGGGAATGGACATGTGACTCGCTAGGAGAAAATAAAAGAGACAGAGAATGAGGGAAAAGAGTAAAACAGTGTGAATTAAAGCTTGAGTCTATGAGTTCAGGCTTGGTGTGTCAGTTGAATTATGGAATGAGCAGGATAGCTTGAGGTCATCAAGAAGCAGGAAGATGCATGTACTAGATAGACAGATAATTATCCTAAATAAATTCCCTGAAGTAGATATAATTGGTTCAGGCTGGAAGCAAAAATAGTTTTTGTTGCTGCAAAACTAATTTTTGTGCTAGGTTTTGCTTTGGTCTTTAGCAGCTTATACATAGCACCTGGCTGTGGAAGCCATAGTGAGACAGAACCTTCAGGGGAAGAAAAAATTGAAACATTTCCCAGGATGCTGAGTTTAAGAGATGACTGTCTAATGAAGAAATGGAATCCATTATGGGATGTTTCATCAAGATATACTCAAATAGAGGACCTCGTGTATTCAGAGAAACTTCCCCAGGGGAGTTCAGTGACATATGCAATAAAGCCCCCTTTAAGAAAAGACACCATTGCAAAATTTTGCATTTTAAATAAGGTCAACTTTAGGCTTTTTTTTTAATGAATAGCTTGGGAAAAGAAGCAACTGCACTCCTTTAAATGGGTAGGTCTCCTTGTACAACTTAAATATGACACAATGTATACAGAACTTTGTTAGTCTGATCAGGCTGCCACAACAAAATACCACAGACTGGGTGGCTGAAACAAAAGACATTTATTTTCTCAGAGCTTTGGAGCTAGAAGATCAAGGTTCCAGCTGATTTGGTTTCTGATGAGGGCTCTCCCCCTGGCTTCCATACATGGAACAATGCAAGTGACCCACTTTCCACACCAGATGCCTTAGAAACAGCTTTCCAGGGATGGTACTGGATAATGCTGATTCATGCACACTCTCCTTCAGCTTGTTCCATAGTGATCAGTGCTACAGACTAGGAAATTATTTCTCACATATCTTGCAAAAAGAGAAGAATGGGCCATGCCAGAAAACAGACTGATGGGATCCGAGATATGGTACTAAACATACCTGCTGGAGGAGTGAGCAGCACAGAAACACAGCAGCAGAGCAGTGAGGTGGAAAGTAAGGTGAGACATAATGGTCCAGGTAGTGTCACCTCCACAGAGTACAGCAAAAAGAGTCTCTTTCACCATGTGAAATGAATATGAACTTGTGCCAGCTTAGGGTGAGAATAATATGGAAATTCAAGCAGACAACTGGCATCAAAATATGCAAATGTGGCTGGCTCCAGGGGTAGAACTTCAGGTAGGGCAAAGGTAAGAGGGAGAAAACTGATATTCAGTAAACATCTAATTTTTACAAGGCACGCTTTATAATCTATTGAATTTACTTTTCATAATACTACAAGACAGTATTTTAAACCATTTAAACTACTTTTAACAGATAAAACAAATGAGGTTGAGAGAAGCCAAAGAACCTGCCTGTATTAATCAGTTTCTCCAGAGAAACAGAAACAATAGAACAGAATAGAATATAGTAGAGTAGAATAGGATAGAATAGAATAGAATAGAGAATAGAATACAGTAGAGGATAACAGAATAATAGAGATTTATTGTGAGGGATTGCCTCACACAATTATAGAATTATAGAAGCTGAGAAGTCTTATGATCTGCAAGCTGGAGGCTGAGAAACATCCCTAGAACAATTCAGTTAAAACCCTACACTCCGAGAACCAGGGAGCCAATCATGTAAGTCTCAGTGAGTGGAAAGGTCTAAAACCAGGGACACTGACATCTGAGGGCAAAAGATGTCCCAGCTCAAGAAGAGAGCAACTTCACCCTTCCTCCACCTTTTTATTCTATTTAGGTCCTCAACAAATTGAATGATGCCTATTTGTGTTGGTGAGGGCAATCTTCTTTACTCAGTCTTCCTCTCCAAATGCTAACCTCTTCCAAAAACATCCTCATAGACACGTCCAGAAATAATATCTTACCAGCTATCTGGGCACCTCTTAACTAAGTCAAGCTGACACATAAAATTAACCATTATAGTCCCCAAAGTGACAGAACTGATTGATTAGTGGTAGGCTCAGGATTTGAATAAGGTTTCTGTGACTCCAAAGCCATTGTCTCTCCACTGGGAGACCAAGCACAAAACAAAAGCTGGAGATAAAACAGAAGCTCAATTCTCAGGCTTGAAAAATTAAGGCAAAGATGTTCCTAGAAGTGGTACACAAAGGGGAAAGAGAGATAGCAGAAAGGGTACTTGGTATCAATACAGTAATCACCTAGAGCCCTCTAAATCCTCTCAACCAGGGAAGGGTTTAGTCCTGAAGCCTGATGTGTGATTGCTCCTGGAGGTGGAAATCAAAGAGCTCAGTTTTCAGATTTGAGGAACTGAGGAGTGGAAAAAGAAGCCTCAGACACCCGTAGATATGGGGCAGGCTTACAGATAATGGCCATGACCATGGAACAAAGCAAATTTTTGATCCACTTGGGGACTGAATGCAGGACTTCAAACATAATTTGAGTTGAGCTTTAACTGAACTAATCAATCTGACTATCTGAGGCTGTAGTGTTCAAAACAATATGTGGAGAGGGCAAATAACTTGCAGGCCAGTGCAGGGGTCAGCATGCACATTATCCTCTTGACACAGCAGCATGGAGCTTTCATTAAAAGAAAAAAAAAAACCTCTAGTGGGATATTTGTAGCATGTTTGAAATTGAAGATTAATTCTCAGCACAGAGAATAATTTATGTCAGGCTTTGTCATACAAGAGACATAACTTGGAAAAATCAGGGAGAGTCACTAAGTTCTAGGAAGACAGAGTTCCTGAAGAACTGCTGGTGTGTGTATTTCCTATTATGGTGACAAGCCTGGGATTGAAATTGTGAGGATCTTCTAATCTGATGAAAAGATAAAATCCCTAGAAGAAAACCTAGGCCATACCATTCATGACATAGGCATGGGCAAGGACTTCATGTCTAAAACACCAAAAGCAATGGCAACAAAAGCCAAAATTGACAAATGGGATCTAATTAAACTGAAGAGCTTCTGCACAGCAAAAGAAACTACCATCAGAGTGAACAGGCAACCTACAGAATGGGAGAAAATTTTTGCAATCTACTCATCTGACAAAGGGCTAATATCCGGAATCTACAATGAACTCAAACAAATTTACAAGAAAAGAACAAACAACCCCATCAAAAAGTGGGCAAAGGATATGAACAGACACTTCTCAAAAGAAGACATTTATGCAGCCAAAAGACACATGAAAAAATGCTCATCATCACTGGCCATCAGAGAAATGCAAATCAAAACCACAATGAGATACCATCTCACACCAGTTAGAATGGCGATCATTAAAAAGTCAGGAAACAACAGGTGCTGGAGAGGATGTGAAGAAATAGGAACACTTTTACACTGTTGGTGGGACTGTAAACTAGTTCAACCATTGTGGAAGTCAGTGTGGCGATTCCTCAGGGATCTAGAACTAGAAATACCATTTGACCCAGCCATCCCATTACTGGGTATATAACCAAAGGATTACAAAACATGCTGCTATAAAGACACATGCACACGTATGTTTATTTGGCACTATTCACAATAGCAAAGACTTGGAACCAACCCAAATGTCCGACAATGATAGACTGGATTAAGAAAATGTGGCACATATACATGATTGAATACTATGCAGCCATAAAAAATGATGAGTTCATGTCCTTTGTAGGGACATGGACGAAACTGGAAACTATCATTCTCAGCAAACTATCGCAAGGACAAAAAACAAAACACCGCAAGTTCTCACTCATAGGTGGGAATTGAACAATGAGAACACATGGACACAGGAAGGGGAACATCACACTCTGGGGCCTGTTGTGGTGTGGGGGCAGGGGGGAGGGATAGCATTAGGAGATATAACTAATGTTAAATGATGATTTAATGGGTTCAGCACACCAACATGGCATATGTATACATATGTAACAAACCTGCATGTTGTGCACATGTCCCCTAAAACTTAAAGTATAATAAAAATAAATAAATAAATAATAATAATAATAATAATGAAAAGATCAGAGACACTAAAGGTAAGCTGTTCTCATAACAAAATAGAATTACAGGACAGTTTGGGGCAGCCTGAGCCAAGTGGTAAAGGATATGTCAATGCAACAGAGTGCTGGGACCCAACCAGGGAGACCCTAGAATTCTGTGAAAGGAGCAACCTTGCATGATACAACTTTCTGTTTCCTCCCCACTCAGCAGAGAACCTCTTTCTGAGGTGGCAAAATCAAACTTCCTTAATTTACTTCCCTTGTACATAGACCCTGGCCTGGACACACTGATCCCCGAGTCCCTACCACTCCAGCAACTAAGTGGAATCCACATGCCTGCCTTTAGTATCAATGGTGGGGAAGCAAGGGAGGGTCTTCCCCAGGAATTCAGGAATTGATAGATTGCAAGTCAGTTTGCGTTCTTAGATTTTTCTCCCTTGGCCTTCTCTAAAGAAAACCATTGGTAATTGCTGGATGCATAAATGACGTCTACAGAAACATGCTGTACCCAGCAATGTGGAGGTTAGTTGGAAAATTCCCCTGCTGGACTCCCTAGTAATGTTCTTTTATTTCTTAACAAATGACACTGCCAGCTGTTGAAACTTGAGGGTCTGATCTTGCAAGTTTTCTAATGATCTCCCTGAACACCTTTCCTTGAAAAATCTCTCTCTTGGCCAGAGGCATGTGCCCTTCACCACTGCATGCAAACATGCCACAGGCTTCTCTCACTCCCTGGAAAAGGAAAAAAATGATATGGAGAGAAAATTCTAATCAGAACCTGGACAGTTAAATCCCAATCCAGACACTCCAACCAACTAACTTTTGGACCTGTCAGTGTCTCACCTGTAGAATGGCCATGGCAATCCCCAGTCTACCAACCTCAGGATTGCAACATGGAGGCAAGGTGATCATTAAGGTGCTTCGGGAAACATAACACTTGCAGCTGACATTTATTTAGTGGAAACTTTATGTCACATATTTTTCTGAGCACTTTACATGTGTTGTCTCATAGGTATACACTATTATTACCCCACTTACCCATATGGAAACTGAAACAAAAAATAAGTTAAGTATTTACCAATGGTCACACAGTGAGTAGTGGCAGATAGAAGATTGGAAGATCTAGGCAGTGGGTTCCAGAGACCAAGGGCTTTACCTTGGTGTTCTCCAGCTATTGTGTTACCGCTGGTTAATATTGAGAAATTATCTCAAAAGGGAATCTCCATTTTCTACTCCCCACTTCCACCCTAAACATTCATATATAGCTACCATCAAGCTCCATATATCCACCAGACTCTCTTAAAAGCACTGCCTTTATTGTCCCTACTTTTCATGATTGCAACAAGACAACATTCAGATTCTACTCTGTACCAGTTGCACACAAAGCATCATAACCTCCTGAATCAAGGGATCTTCACATGGCTCCACATGGCTAGGAGAACTTACTCCATGTGGAAGGCTATGGAATGTTTCCTGCATCCCCAAACTCTGGTCAGAGAAGCTGAGTAAGAAGAACAGGCAGAGACAAAGGCATGCATGAATATGAGAGTAGGACTTAGGGGACAGACAAAGTTCAAATGGGTGAGGATGAGATACCATGATTGGCTTTTTAGCTGCCATATTCAAAGTTCTCATCATAGAAGTTCTCACTTTGGGTGGGCCTCAATACCAAAACTATTTACTTTGAAGCCCTTCACAAAAAACTTTTTTCCACTTCCCCCTGATTTAGAAGAGTTTAGTCCTTTGCAGATGTTAAAAAATTTGTGGCTGGGTGTGGTGGCTCATGCCTGTAATCCCAGCACTTTGGGAGGTCAAGGCAGGCGGATCACCTCAGGTTAGGAGTTCAAGACCAGCCTGGTCAACATGGTGAAACTCGGACTCTAATAAAAATACAAAAATTATCGGGGCATGGTAGTGGTTGCCTGTAATCCCAGCTAATCAGGAGGCTGAGACAAGAGAATTGCTTGAACCCAGGAGGTAGAGATTGCAGTCAGCCAAGACTGAGCCACTGTACTTCAGCCTGGATGACAGAGCAAGACTCGGTGTCAAAAAAATAAAAAATAAAAAATAAATAAACATAAAAATTAAAACAGTTAAAGATTATTTGTAGCCAAGTCAGAAATTTAAGATTGGGGATGCTGCTCTTCTTCCAAATCAAGTTGTAACTAAGAGACAACCATACCATTGCTCTTGCATTCCTTATAAACTTCTAGTAAAAGAACCAGTACTCAGGATTAAACCTATTTTACTCAACTCTTTTAAGGACATTATGAGACTGAGAATTTTAGCAAAATCCAAATTTTCCTCTAGGGAGTTTGCAGACCCTGAAGAAGCATAAAATGTAAAAATACAGTGAATTACTATAATTGCAGTGTTAAAATTCCTCCTGGCTGATCCAGCATCCTTTATGGGATGCTGAATTAAATACTAAGCTAGTTTAGCATTAGAGGCCTCTGGAGACTATTTTTCATTTTGTCAAACCTCACCTGCAACTGTGAAAGGAAGTCCAGATACGGAGGCTTTCACCTTTGTGACTCTTATGGTAAACAAAAGTGCCCTCTCAACTGGCTCAACATGAAGGCAGTTCAGCAATGAACATAGCTCAACAACGAACACTGGCATTTCTGCATCTTTAACCCCTATTTTATAAACATCCTTGGTGTTTTCCTACCAGTCTTATCAATAAATGATTATTTATTAAATATCTCCTATACGGCAGACCCTGTGAAATTTCTTGTATTATATAAGAGTTTCTATTATCTCTGGGGAGACTTTAAAAAATTTCATAATAATGAAAAGGAATGGTTGGTTAAGACTCAAAAGGAAAGTAAGTGCTACAGAAATGTAGAGGAGGGTGTTCCAACTGGAACAATCAGAAACAAATAAACAAAGAAAAATCTTTAAACACACGTGTGAGACTTGAACTAGACTCAAGAGGAATGATTCAGAATGATAATTAGATGGAGGTGGCCTTCTAAAAGGAGGATTAGAATTAAAGAATGTGCCTACTTATGTGACAGGCATCGGGGAATTTCAGGATTGGGTAAGCATTACCTTCTGTTGGAAAGTGTCCTGCATACACAGCCAGGAGACCAGGAATCAGAATGACACTGGGCTACATCTTTACTCCTGACCTCAATCTTCTCATCTGTTCCATGAGGAGGTTGGCTAGATGACACACATGATCCCTTCCAACTCCATAACACACTTTTGTTTGGACAACAACATTGCAGTCAGAACACAGAATATTCTGCCTTGAAAAATTCCTCTGCTGTGAGACAATACATAGTATGGTCAACGCATCTTTTCAAAGGTATCATGATGGGAATGACTGAATCTTCGTGGTCACCCTGACTCTTTCAGTTTTTACTGTGGCTGCTATTTGCTAATAACTCATTTGGTAAACATGCCCCCAGCGTCATGTGTAGTAGACCTTGGGGGATGGGAGGTAATTAGGCACCTTCTCAAGAAGGTTGCAATCTAAGGTGCCATAACCTGGAGCCTGTGGGCCAAATTCAGGTCAGGGATTATATTATCATGCAAGCCCGTATTTTAAAATGTTGATAAGTTACTGACAATTTCTCATCAAGGACAAAACAAAGCAAAAAACACCCTGTCTATCTAGCTGGAGAAGCATTGATTGGGAAGGGATTGTGGGAATGCTCTCACTGGCCCATGTTTCATGACTAGAAGGTTTCATTAGAAGGAGAAAGAACTTCCCAGAAATCAGTAATTGGTATGTCGAAGGAAAGTATCCCCATATCTGAACCCTTTGTGGAAACTCATTTCATTAGACATAAAACTTCATGAGGGTAAAGACAGCAAATCAAATAAATAAGACCCACCCGTTGGGGGTTACTGTCTAATTTTTATCTAGTGCCTGCTTTTTCTATCCAAAAGTTGTTCCATTCATTTAAAAGTGAGAAAGACCATTTATTTTGACCCACATTTTTATGACCCAGTCTTCCCCCGTGCTCTTGTAAATTTACATTTTTGTCTGGTATTTGCAATCTTTATGGTGCCATTTTTGCCTAGTTTATTTCTCTTGAATTTAAATGCCAAGGCAAAATAGGCTCCAGCAAAAAGCTCCAGGCACCAGGCACCTGGACATTTTTGTTTCTTGGGTTTTGCCAATTAAATCAAACTTACTCTGAGACTGCCTTGGGAAGAGACAGGCTTAATACCCTGGTTAGCAAACAGAGGAGTTACAGTCACACTTGACTTATAGTCTGTTTAAACTACAAATCAGCTTCAATTTGTGGTTTCTACTTCCTAAGAAATGGAAACCTTGGGGATATCATAGAGAACATAACTGTCAAGTCCCAGGACTCTAGACTTGCTGGGGTAAAGGGAGGAGGATAAGAGATGAATTATATAATTGCTGTATGTCCAATTATTCAAGAGAGTGCATTTATTTAAGCCCATTCTTATGGAACATGTTGGATGTACAAGCAACTCTGAACCAAAGACATCCAACAATTGATCTCTGGCGAAACATATACTGCAGGTCTGAAGAATTATTCCTGTTCTTCTGTGTCCTGGTTAAAAATTTTAACTTAAAACTATCTCGGAACCTTCATTCCACTCGCAAATCAAGTTGGAACTGAATTCTTGGAAGGAGCAAAGAAAGAAAAATTATCTCAGATAAGTTATTTTTAAACTTAGATTAAACGCATATTATTGATATAGGATAATGTTGCTGCGATTTTGCTGTCTATCATGGTTCTGAATGATGAATATACTCAATCGGCAGGACATAAATATATTTTATTCCTTGTGCTTCTAGAATTTTTGGACATTCCTAAAATATAGTGGTTGAAGGAAAACATATTGAACATAGTACTTCCTAGTACAACTAGCATACTATTTCAAAATCAGTTTATTCCATGGTTCCTGATTTTTGGACTTCAATAGATTATTTTATTTCACTTTCTGGGCCTCCAACTAGAGCAAGATGCAAACAGAGACAATTTTACTTAGGTGAATAACCAAAGTTATGTTTTGGTTTATTCATGTTTTAATGTAATCTAAATTAAAGATAGATTTTAAGGTTTAATTGAGTTAAATTAATAGGTTTATCTCATGAAATTGTTTATAGCCATTAAATGGGATGAGGTACGCCTACATGCATGGATAGGGAAACATGGCTAAGAAGTAACATCAAGTGAAAGTTCAAGCTGCATAAAAATGTGTAATATGATCAAGTTTGTGTAATCATTTGCTATATAGATAATTTAAATATATATATATATACACACACACACACATACATGTGTAATGTTTATCCATGAACAGAAAAATGTCAAGAAGGAGATATATATATGTATATATACACACAGTACTAGTCAGAGCTGGAATCTGATCAGGTAAAAGGTTGTTTTGCCATCACAGGCAGGAGAACCTTGGCTTCTGGCAGGAGGAGCGTCCCAGCCAGGAGTTTTCAGCTTTCTAAGGCATAATCCTCTGCAGCAGCAACATTATGTTGGTATTATTCTCAACAATTAAAATAATAATAAAAAGAAAATCATAGTTGTTGCCAAACAAAATTTATGGAAGTTTGGAGGTTCTTCTTAGATTAGGAAAACAAGCAACACCAAGAAAGGTAGATGGAAAAGAGGAAGAGGAGGGATGATGGAAGGGTCTGGAGATTGCCTGCCATGTTTCTGCCTTTTGCCAGAGCATGTTTTATTTTATTTATTGCTTTTTTCCTTTTTCACGAGTGCTGACCCAGACCATATTTCTAAAATGCAGAAGTGTCAGTCATGTTTGGAGATAGGTTTGTCTCTCCACTGAGGCACCAGTAGCCTCCTGGTAGCCCGTTTCCTTCCTGAGTACATTTCTGTAAGACAGGTGATATCAGGACAATGAGACTGCAGATGACACAGAGGGAGTTCACAGCATTCACCCTCACAGCTTTGTTTTCAAAAAGTCGCTGCAGGTGACACACTATGAACAACATCCTGATGCTGAAATCACCGGCATCAAGGAGCTAAGATCCCAGAGAAACACCTGACCTTGCTCTATAAGCTGGAAGAGTTTCCAGCTGGGAGAACCAGCTAGAGGAAAGAGCCAATGGCAGTGTTCTCCATTACTCTTCATCCTTCACCGGTATTTTTGTTTATTACCACTCAAAATGCTCAATCAGTCCCCAACTGAGAAAAATCCCTACCTTGAGGAGTACACAAATATTTTTGGATAAAGCAAGTGGCTTCCTCATATAAAGAGGTCTGGGTTTTTTAGCTTCATTTTTTCTGGAAGTAACTATTTTCTTGGTTCATGCCAATTTATTTTTATTTTTATTTTATTTATTTATTTGTTTATTTATTTATTTATTTATTTTGGAGACAGGGTCTCACTCTGTCACCCAGGCTGGAGTGCAATAGTGCGATCTTGGCTCACTTCAACCTCCGCCTCCTGGGTTCAAGCAACTTTTCTGCCTCTGGCCTCCCCAGTAACTGGGATTACAGGCACATGCACCACACCCAGCTAATTTTTGTATTTTTTTTTTTTTTTTGGTAGAGATGGGGTTTCACCAAGTTGGCCAGGCTGGTCTTAAACTGCAGACATCTGGTGATCTACCTGCCTCGGCCTCCCAAAGTGCTGGGATTACAGGCATGAGCCACCACACCTGGCCTTTGTAAAAAAATTTTTTCTAGGAATTTTGACCACCTGTGTCACTGTCATTTGAAATTAGTGTCTGCAGGACTCCTGCCTGTCTGTTAGGAGACAGCTTGTGTCTCCTCAGGTCAAGGCTATGGCTCTGATCTAACCTTGATCATCCGTGTGATCCTACAAACCTGCTCCAGGTCCCTCGGCCCCCTCACCTGGCACTCTGGGCATTTGCACACATACAAGAATAATCTCTGTTATACCAAGTTAAGCCTTGGCTACTGTCCCTTGCTTTTGGAAGGTTTTGACTTCCCCTGTGTGATTATCCTAGCTGATAAGAAAGTACTGATGCCACCTCTCTTTTCTGTGGGAGAACCGGCATACATACAGTGCAAGACTCTGCTTCTCAATTCCCAAATGCTTCATGCAACACAGCAAGATTAAAACACTCCCTCATATACAGTGCCAAGAAGCCTTAAATGACCACCTGACATTTTGTACAAAGTCACACATGGCTATTTTTGCTACATGTACTTCAATGGAGCTGTCCACAGGTACTTACTCTGCTTCACCTGATCACTTACCACTCTCAGCTGTAAAATGTGGCCATCCCATAATATCTGGGGAGAAAGATCCTCTCTGGATTATGTCCCAACAAACAGAAGATATACTCATCTTCATGTGATCTATTGCTTTTAATTGGTTGACTCGAACCTGTTAATTAAAGATGAGAATATTGTGGAGAATTTAGGATACCTCCATTACCCAACACAACCCTGCTCCCTCCTGTCTTTCCTTTAACCTCACTTCATGAGAGAATACAGCTCTATTATTGTATTCTCCATTGGAAACAAAGTTGGAAATTCAAACACTAGTATTTTCTTAACTTCAAAATGTACTAAGTGAGAAAGGAGAAGCAGATTATATGGCTTTTTACCAGAATCACCAAAAACTCATTTACCAGAGATGGACACCACTCAGTACTCAGCATTAGCACAGAGGACAGGAGTAAATGGAAACCAACAGAAGATGGCTCACCATTTACACGGGACACATGAGGGATGTGGTTAACACAGTTGGTTACATTAGCCACAGATACTGATCTGGGGTTACCAGGAAAACATGAAGAACATGTACAGAAGGTTACTGAACAAGGACCAACAAGAAAAATATCTACCTGTACTGAAGAGAAACCACAGTTCAAACACAGGCGTGCCTCAGCTCAGGGTGTCTGTGCTCACACATGCCAGTAGACTCTCTATTATATCAACCTTGGTTATTGGTTCCTGAGAGCTGTTCTGGGGTCAAACCTCCAGAATAATTTTTGTTTCTTCAAAAATCAAGCATACATTCTACCTTCATACTAACCACAGCTCCCCAAATGTAAGATCAGCTACCTACTGAGGAAGCATGATCCCTAGCCATGATGGTGTTCAGTGAGAGTGAGATGCTAGAGGCTCCCTGGTCCTGATGGTAATGAGTAGGAGGATCCATGCCTCAGTCATGGCTGCATTAGGTAAACTCTAACTCTACTGATACTTTCTCAGAGCTAATATCCCAAAGCAACAAAGCTGTGATTTAATACACACTCATAACAACATTATGACTATTTTCATCATTCATGTGAAGAAACTGAGGCTCACAGATATTAAATGACCTACTCTAAGTCATATGGATGATTAGTGGCAAAACCAGGGCCAGCCTAGGCCTGGTCAACTTCCAGCCCAATGCTTCATTCTCTGGTCTCCAAGCAAAAAGGCTACATGCCTAAAGCCTGGATGTCCATAAAATAAATCCCAAAAAAGACTACGGAAAGCAGCACTGGCCCAGTGCTGAAGAACAGACAGGGAGGGCTGGTGGCAACTTCCCCTGGGCCCTTGGATGCTATATCTGATTTTTCTTTCTGGGATCATGGCCTCACATTTCACCCAACATCATAATTTATCAGGAAGAAGACACTGCTGAGGTCACATCATAATCTTAAGGCCTTGGTCCCTGGAAGCTCCTCTCAGTTCAAACACTTCATGCAGTACCTTTTCTTAGTTTGGCTCTGTCTGAGGTAGGCTGGAAGCTGACACAGTGAGGGAAACGACTTGCTCTTCCACGCCAAATGGTTAAAGTGTTCATTCCATGAATTGGAAAATGAGCCTGGTGCAAAAGAAACTACCTATCTTAGGTTCTAGTTGGAGAGAAGTGTGTTGCATCCAAGCTATGTGGACCAAGAGGACACATGTACAGTATTTCTGCCAAAAAATTCACAGGGCCATAGTACTTATCAGGGAAAAGATTTTTTTCTTGTTTTTCTCCTCCTCCAGATTCTCCTTCCCCTTCTGCTCCTCCACATCTTTCTTCCTCCTTTACTCTTCCTTCATTTTTTCTTTTTGGCAGTTTGTCCCCTTCATACAGAGTATTTATAAAAATGTTTTAAAGCATTTTGCCCTGCCACACAAATAATCGTGAACAAATAAAACAAAACAAAATAAAACAAAACAAAATAAAACACCATGGGACAGATTACTGTAAATATTTTAAAAGGGGTCTGATATGCTTAGCCTTTGTATCCCCACCCAAATCTCATCTTGAATTATAATCCCCATTATCCCTGTAGTGCCCATGTGTCAAAGGAGAGACCAGGTAGAGGTAATTGAATCATGGAGGTGGTTTCCCCCATGCTGTTCTCGTGATAGTGAGTTCTCACATGATCTGATGGTTTTATATGGGGCTCTTCCCACTTCGCTCAGCACTTCTCCTTCCTGCCACCATGTGAAGGTGCATTGCTTACTCCTTTCTGTCTTCCATGATTGTAAATTTCTGGAGGCTTCCCTAGCCATGCTGAATTGTGAATCAGTTAAATCTCTTTCCTTTATAAATTACCCAGTCTCAGGCAGTTCTTTATAGCATGATGAAAATAAATGGACTGATACAGGGACTTAGTGAAGAGAGAGATGTCTTGGATATGAGCCAATAGTAGATTAGAACATATGGAAGATTTTGCCTTGGGTAAACTAATTTAAGGAACATGAAATCACACCAACTAAGACGTTATGAGTACCCTTTATGACAGACACTCTGCTAAATATTTTGCTTTTATCACTGCATGTCTTCCTGACAACAACTCTATGAAGTAGGTATGATTATTATGCGCACTTTGCAAAGAAGGATACCAAAGCACATTTAGCTATGTATTTGTCTAAGATTATATCACACGAAGCAGTGCTAGGTTTCAAACTCAAGCAATTTCAGTACAACCACACCACACTGAAGGTTATTTGGTTATTCGCCAAACAAGGCATTAGTGCTCAGAAGGAGAGTTATCTGATTTGCTCGAAATCAACCTGCAAATATGCGACATAGTCAGGATAAAACCCTAATCTCCTAAGTCTTGTCCGATGCTCTTTCCATAGCATAAAAATAAATCCCAGACACAAAACTCATGTTCTTCCAAAGTGCTGATTCATACACATGGGTCAGGGATGAGCTAAGAACCACAGATTTTCCCCACTGGCCATCATAAAAACTTCTTATTAAAGACACTGTCTTAAAGCACTTTTTGGATTAAAAACAATTCATAGAGATTCAACCTCAAAGCACCATGCACTTAGTGTGGTCCAGGATTTCCTTGTGCCAGGGGCTCTTACCTTTTACAACATCTTCAACATCTACTCAGGAAGTGGGTAGTACATATTCCTTTTTTACAGACGGAAAGAGAGGAGCTCACAGAAGTTAAGTGACTGATTGCAGGTCACAGAACTAGTACACAGCCACCAAGGCCTGGGGCCAGCTCTGCTCACTCCTGGTTCCAGATTCTCCTGTTCAATCTAGGACATATTAGAAACATGGTATGCCAGTTAAGAGAGTGTGTGTGAAGTTACCTCAAAAAGTAGAGTCTTTAGTTGGGAAACTGGTTTTGAAAGATTACAGGAGTTTTTATAATCTAGTGTAAATGCTATCCAGCAAACAGTCCTTAACCTCATCCCCATCACAGAATAGAAAGCTCTAGAATCAAGATAAAGACTAAAACCTGTTTAAACTTGAATCTCAACCACCTTGACCTTAACAGAAAGCTTTTGTAATTTCTACAAATGTCTTATCCTTTAATAATTAATTACATAGACCTCATAAACTGATAAGCCTGACTCCACACTAATGAGCTACTTTACTGACCTTCATATAATTTTACTGTTTCCTACAAACTGGTTTTACAAGAGTAGTGCTCTCCTTAAGAAAGCAAAGTGAGCTCTGAGGTTTTGCCTCCACCTCGCCTTCTGTAGGCTGTGGGGGGAAGAGGAAGTATACCAAAAATGCAAAATCAGGTCACCTGAAATATACCAACTCTTTCCAAAAAGGGTTCCAAAACTGTTTTTAAGTCAAAATAAGACCCTCTTTTAAAAGAGACAAAATTTAAAAAAATGAAACTGAGCGTAAACTGCAGAGGGTGGCACAGAGTGGTAGAAATGAACTTGGCCAGTCTCTGACATATAGACTCTTTGCTTTTAATGGGTAATTTGTTTCTTGGAAGATACTGTCCCTCAAGCTATCCTCTAGGCACTTGTAGCTGCAAGTCATGGTAAAACAAAACTGTTTTGGACAAAGAAGACTAGAGGTGAAAGCCAACTCCTGGTTTTGTGAAGCAGAGGGACTTACTGGCAGGGAGCCTGAAGACACTGTTTTGCTGTCATGTACAACACCTACACCCATGTTCCCTGCAAGGGGTATTTTTTTATATTTTGATATAATTTAGATTTGAACAAATGTTCATGAAATAACCTAAATGACTTTAATATTTTTAGTTGAGGCAATTACTATCAGTAATAGAAGTCCATCCACCCACTCAATGATAAAACTGTACTTTCCAAGTTCTCTTTTCTTACCTTTTTGCTCTTTCTCTCTCACTGGCTTTCATATCAAGACCCATTTCCAAACCTAAATTCTTCTACAATAACTTATCATGAAAGATGACTGTGAAAAAGCAAGATGTGGGAAAAAATTATGCAATTCAACAGGTCATCTATGCTTGTTCTCTCATTTATTTAACCAAACTCGAATAAATGAATCACTCTCTTCATAAGAGCGCAGGACAGTCACAGGAATGAGGAACAAACTGAGGGTTGATAGGCTGAAGTAGAAGCCATTAAAATGGCCCCCGTAAGCCCACTTTACTTAACCCAAAATAACTGCTCAGTGGGAAATAAGTGTTCATGTTAAACAGTGATTTGTGGGAACAGAAAACCATGGGTGGTATTTCAAAAGCATAGTGGAGTCGTACTGCAGCCTTGGTTCACTTTCTTGTACTGGGCAACTGAGTTGATGAGGTCCGTCTCATGTAGGGACAGAGCCTCAGAGACTGACCTAAGAAACATAGTTAAACTTAATTAATTCAGCTATTCTTACTTTTCTACTGTTCAAAGAACCAGCCAACTTATCTCCCCAACCAGATGGTGAGCTCAAGGGAAAGACTGCTAACATATATTTCTTTATGTCTCTATCAATATATGCCTAGATAAAATCAATGACCAAAACAAAATGTTGAAACTACTTTTTAAAAAAAGAGGCAAGCTAAATTATCTTGGGGACTGGGAACAAAGAACCAGGACTGCAAATCAGTTCCACATGTTTCTGGCAGTCTCAGGCTCTAGCCAAAGCTAGAGTTCATTCCTTCAGCCCTGACTCCATCAGATGTATCTAATTATGTTTCTAGGCTACAAGACAAAAAAGATGTACATTAGTTTCTCACTTTGAGAGATAGAGTGATAGAATAACAGAATGATTTTATTCTGCTAAAAAGAAAATGAGTCACAGATACTTTCATGTAAGAATACATTTTCTCAAACATTAAAAAGCACTTTCGAATGTGCTCCAATTTCCCCTTGTATGTCCAAGACAATGTCACTGAGTGGTTTGAGTAGTATCACAAAAGATTAAAGAAATAGAAAGAGATACATCATGCAAATATTAACTCAAGGGTACACATTAAAATAAGTTTAACTAATGAAATTAAAATGAAATAGTACATCAAAGTGCATTATGCTCCCACCCAAAATCACTTCACACACCATGGCATCACACGTACCACACTTGGAAAACACTGAGGTTCATGATTTCTAAAGGTCATTGGTTCTGAATTCTCAGGTTCTCTCACCTCTCAATAAGAATTTAGCTCAATGGACTTATTCAGGTAAAATGGCTGCTCTAATCTTTCTGGGAATTGTACTAACTAGACACTCTTTTCTGGGGTTTCAAAGACAAGGCCAGATACTGCACTAACTGAAAAGCTTATGGAAGCATTATCAGCTACCATAGGAGGACAGGAGGATGGGGAGTATAGAAGTGACCACAGAGGAGACACTGAATTTGAGGATGGCTTCACTCATGGCATAGCTGGCCCTTTCACTTTTCCCTTAGGAAGAGATCCGTGCATCAGGCTTTTGAATAGCTCATCACGGTGCTTGCAAAGACCACTGAATTTTGTATATGGCTGTCAGGCAAAGGCAACCAAGAGGAGGTATTATATAACTGCACTGCCCAATATGCTAGCCACTGACTACATATAGCTATTAATAATTAAATTCAAAATAATTAAAATTAAATAAAACTAAAACTGCAATTACTCTGTTGCACTAGTCAGATTTCAAATGATTAATAGCCATGGTGGCTAGAAGCTATTGTGCTGGCAGAGTAGAGGATATTTCCATCATTGCAGAAAGTTCTATTGAATGGATTTCTCTGTAGCCTCTATTGATAAATGGTCTGCAGAGGATCCACAGATTGGGAAAGAATCCAGTCACGTGAGAAGGTGTAGTCCAGCTAAAATTGCATGCATGCTCATGCACGCACACAAACACATATGACTTCTGGAGTCTGAGATCTCTATTTCTGTGATTATCAAAGTAGATCCAGAGTAAAAGTCAAGTATTATTTTCTTCCTCCCCAGTTGTTTCCCCAACTCCTGATCCCTTGCTTATATTTGTATTACCCAAAATTTGCTGTACCAAATAAGGTCGGATATGATAAGTAAGTTGCTGAGAATTATGGGCAGGTAGATTGTTTAGGAAATGTAAATAAAAAGGTTTTGTTTGTTTGTTTTGTTTTGACCTAAAACCTTTTTATCTTCCTTCTACTTTACTTGAAAGCAACAATGTCAATAAGTCTGAGAGCAACACTGCGCAGATCACCAACTCCATCCAAAAGCGTGAAAAATGGAAGATACAATCAACCAAGATTAGATGATAAATATTCATTGAGTATTTGGATTATTACAAGTATGTTTGGGTTCCTGTTATCAGTTCCCTTGACTTCAGGACAACTGCAGCCTCTAAGTTTAGAAGTCACTGTGCTAGGTAAACCCCAATATGCCTTCACTTTACACATGATGAAATTCAGGAAAGTTTGGTTCTTGCCATTATGTTAAGAACATTTAAAATCATTTAATTAAATAAATTCAGAGAAACTGTTATATGTGTTTTACAAAGCACATGTGACAATTATACAGTGAAATAGATTTTTTGCTTCCCAAGGGAGTTTTTAGCAGTGAATTAAAGAAATTGCCATCAACTGAATTCAGCAAATTGACTGCTTGTTCAGCCAGACACTACTATCCACAGCAGCAGTGTTGGGTTTCAGTAGAAGGATAAGAAGGTTAAGGGCACACTGTGTATAGACTCTCATGGAAAGTATTCTTCTGGAGCTTCATTGTCAATGACAATCCTGAAGGTTTCAAGCATCTATCATAGATCGAGCTTCCCCAGAGTTCATGTATCTATGTATTTACTGCTTACCAGGAAAAAGCTCATGTTACTAAGCATCTATTGTACCTCGATTATCAATGACAGATTTTAAAGTGGGTTATTAACAAAATAGTTAACTTTTATTGACCACATACTATATCTTAGGTTTTGTGCTAAATGTTTTATTTGAATGTCTCATTTTATCTTCACAACCACCCTAGAGACAGACACTATTATTCATCACATTTTAGACCCCAGAGAACTGAGACTTAGAAATACAGTTGACCTTCGAACAATGTTGGGGTTAGGGAAACCAATTGCCTGTATAGTTGAAAATACACATACAACTTTTGACTCTGTTAGGAAACAACAAGTGCTGGAGAGGATGTGGAGAAATAGGAACACTTTTACACTGTTGGTGGGACTGTAAACTAGTTCAACCATTGTGGAAGTCAGTGTGGCGATTCCTCAGGGATCTAGAACTAGAAATACCATTTGACCCAGCCATCCCATTACTGGGTATATACCCAAAGGACTATAAATCATGCTGCTGTAAAGACACATGCACACATATGTTTATTGCGGCATTATTCACAATAGCAAAGACTTGGAACCAACCCAAATGTCCAACAATGATAGACTGGATTAAGAAAATGTGGTACATGTACACCATGGAATACTATGCAGCCATAAAAAATGATGAGTTCATGTCCTTTGTAGGGACATGGATGAAATTGGAAATCATCATTCTCAGTAAACTACCGCAAGAACAAAAAACCAAACACCGCATATTCTCACTCATAGGTGGGAATTGAACAATGAGAACACATGGACACAGGAAGGGGAACATCACACTCTGGGGACTGTTGTGGGGTGGGGGGAGGGGGGAGGGATAGCATTGGGAGATATACCTAATGCTAGATGAAGAGTTAGTGGGTGCAGCACACCAGCATGGCACATGTATCCATATGTAACTAACCTGCACATTGTGCACATGTACCCTAAAACTTAAAGTATAATAATAAAAAAAAAAACACTTGACTCTCTGAAAATGTAACTATAAATAGTCTACTGTTGAATGGAAGCCTTACCAATAACAGTCAACTAGCACATATTTTGTATGTTATAATATTATATATATTATACTTTTACAATAAAGCCAGAGAAAAAATGTTATTAAGAAATTCATAGAAAAGATAAAATGTATTTACAGTGCTATATTGTATTTATTGATAATGTAAGTTCATGTATTCTGTTTATGATATGAATCACCTATCTGAAATGGCAGGAAACCACAGCTGCAGACTGCAATCTATGGTACACATCAAGCAATTCAACTTTTTTTTTTTGTAATGTTATGACTTTCATCAGTTTCTTGGGAGCTTTTCCAACAACACTAGTGGCACTTTGTATGGGTCCTATGGTGTTAGTCAAGGTTTATAGTGCTGCGCTAAACAGGATGAAAAATATGCGAGAATACAATTTGCTGGAAAGAGAAACTGCTCAGGTGGAGATGAAGAGCATCACAGGGCATTTTAAGCGGATAGTACCAACACTTGAACTCACTGCAACAGCAACAGAAGGTGGCTACAGAATTATTGCAGTAGTATAGTACGTACTACGGTTAATTTTATGTAGTTATAATTTAATACTTTATCTTTATGTTTGTTTACATTTCTCCCCACTGAGAATAGCATCATGCATGGTCTGTGTTTGCATGAAGAAGTTTTGATAAGTTTTGACTTTCTACAATAGATTTGTGTATATTTTATGGTGGTAAATGACAAAAACAGACTAGTATCTACGTATATTTTATATAATCAGGACATGTCTAACTTTTTCTTAATTTTTTCAGTATTTCTAGTCTACATGGTTCATCTGTAAGCTTTTTCAAGTCATTGCAAATCTCAAAAAAGTTCTAATATCTTTTTTTAAAAGTATCTGAATATAAGTGTACTCACACAGTTCAAACCTGTGTTGTTCAAGAGTCAACTATACTAAAAAATTTGTCCAGGATGACACTGTTAGTAAGAGCCTGAGCCAGAATATTAAACTAGGCTGTTTGATTCCTAAGTCTGAAATTTATATACTGTGTCATAAAATTATACTTGCTGATAATAGGGTAGCATAAATAGATACTTTAGTTTATCCAGTGTAGAGGGAAATGGAGTTAGTAATTTGATAATTAGAAATGTTCTACTCCTTTGAGATGGTAACCAAAGGGAGTTGTTTATGAGATAACAATGTATATCACTGAACCCATGGTTTTTGTTTGTTTGTTTCATCAGTAATTTGCTGAAGAGGCTCAACGATTCTAAGTGACCTCAAATTCCCTGGCCCACTAGACCAAGAGGAGACCCTTCAAGCTGCCTGTAATGCTTCACTCAGAGATTCAATATTTCTCCCTGAGCAGCTTCAAGCAATCATTTTTATTTCACTCAAATTACTCTAATAATAAAATAAGTTCTTTTTGATAAATTTTGTATTAATCTGTATACATGTCCTATAAACTGTATAAGTCTATGAAGATTAAAATATTGAAAGGTAATCGATTTAATTTGCATAACCACTGTCTTTTATTTGCATTTGTAAACTTTGCTGACTAGAGAGAACAGTATTCGGGAAACCAATAACACAATAAAATGGGCCACCAACCAACTTGACATAATGCACACACTCTACTGTGTACTTTGATTTGGGCTGCTTGACCAAAAAGATAATAAAATCATTCCTGTTCCCCTTTTTAAAAAACAGAAACATATTAAATAACGGTGGATAATAAAGATCACAGCCTAGATAATCAAATTCTACTATAAAGGAATGAATCAGTCACACATATACTTAAATATGAAGAAGTTAATGATGGACTTTTGGGGAAGCTTGACTTCTACATAATACACAAAGAGTGAAGTGAGATTAATACAATTATCCCTACAGTCCTCTCTTCTAAACAAGGTAGTTCTTAAACAAAGGCCCAGAAGCTCCTTTTGCAGGCAACTCTGGAAGAAAACACATGTGATTTTACTACATTGCAGATATATCTGTTTCTACATGTCTATGTATCTATGTATGTATTTATCTACATATATCATTTATTGATCCCTTAAACTATGCCAGATACTCTTTAGATCCCAGAAATATATTGATAAACAATACAGACTCAGATACCTGTCCTTATGGCAAGCATTTATTGTTTTTGTTTTTTATCTGTATTAGCTTGACAGAAGATGCTTATATCAAGTCAATACATATTTTCTATATAATGCTTCATACAAATATATTATGCAAAGACATATTCATGGGTTGTTTTTCAGTGTGAAAAATATCTTTTTTACTTTGATTTAAATAAAACCCACCCCAAATTTTAAATTTCAGGAATTTCTTTGCATAATATGCATATTAACAGTGGGGAAGACACTTCCTCAACTACCTAAGGGCAACGTTACATGTGAATGTGATATGTTATTTCAGCGACACTGACGGTACAGATCTATGCATCATCTCTGTTTCTCCAGGATATCCAGCGCACTTCACTTAGATGTCCTTGGTGCTCAACAGCTGCAACTTAAAAATCTGATACACTGATTCATACCTGGATGGCACTTCAGATCTGAAGTTCTAGCTTATCTTGATATTATAGAGAATAAAATTGATATCAAGAAATATGAATGCGTTATGATTACTTGGCTAATTAAATTTACATAGAGAATGAGAACTAGAACCTAAGAACTAGAGAACTAGAACGTCCTGTATTCCAGCAGAAAACACTTTCCTTTAATAAAGACAGTACCAATTATTAAGTACCCACCAAGCGTAAATGCTTTAGACATATATCTCACATGGTTGGCAAGCCAGGCAGGCACAATCAACATATTTCAAATAAGGAAATCAAAGAGACTTTCTGACCACTACATTGTTAATAAACAGGGATTCTAAGATTCAAAACTAGGTCTGTCTCCTACCAAATATTATGAATTTTCCACTACAGTGTCTTGCTTTCCTTGACACATTCCTTTTCATTGATGAATACTGCCAGAACACTAATTTTATTTAATTAGAAAAGAAAAAAAAATAGTCTTGCTGAAAAATACAAAAACAAAAAACCAAGTTTCATATATATATATTGTTTTTTTGTTTTGTTTTGTTTTGTTTTGTTTTGTTTTGTTTTGAGATGGAGAATCACCCTGTCACCCATGCTGGAGTGCAATGGCACGATCCTGGCTCACTACAACCTCTGCCTCCCAGGTTGAAATGATTCTCCTGCCTAGCCTCCCAAGTAGCTGAGATTACAAGCACATGCCACCATGTCCAGTTATTTTTTTTAATTTTTTTTTTTTTTTTTTTTTGGTAGAGATGGGGTTTTACCATGTTGGCCAGGCTGGTCTTGAACTTCTGATCTCATGATCCGCCCACCTCGGCCTCCCAAAATGCTGTGATTACAGGTATGAGCCACCACGCCTGGCCCCTATCTTCTTACTTTTAAAAAGTGGTAAAAAGATCTTTTCAAACATCAAATCAAGTGTTCATATCTGACCTCTCAACAGAATCGTATTTCCTTATTAACTCAGAGAAGTACTCTAACCCAGAAGAACCACAAATCCATTAAATGGTCTGCTGAATAACCTGAATGATCATCATGGGTTATCTTGGGCTCAAGGAATTGCCAGTTACAGATTCTAGCACTAAAAATAAAGAGATGAGTAGGTGAGAGGACCACTAATCACTACCTTAGGCAAGAAAGTGACATGACGGGCACATGTTTAAAGTCTTTCTTTTCTACAGAGAGATGAAATTACCAAACACCATCCACTGGAATTTACCCAACTAAATTATTTAAAATACAAGTTCTTTAATAGTCATTTTCCTATATCCTGCATCAAAGTCTGAAAGGCAAGATATTCCCTAGGCTTTGGTGAAAGATCAACTGGAGTTTATTTTTTTATCGTTTATACCTAATGTTATTTTTATTATTAATAGACTATAATTTTTAGAGCAGTGTTAGGTCCACAGCAGCATTGAGCTGAAAGGACAGAGAGTTCCCTGTGCCCTTTGCCCTGACACAGGCAGCCTCCCCCACTGTCAACATCCATACCGCCATGGGACATTTGTTACAGTCCATGAATCTACATTTACACATGATGATGACAAAAAATATTGCTTTCAATTCCTGCTACTGAATATTCTGTGGGTTTTGAGAAATGAATAATGACATGTATCCACCATTATACAACCATACAGAATACTTTCACTGCCCTAAAATCCTCTGTGTTCTGTATATTCATCCCTTCCTTCCACCTAACCCCTGACAACTACTTATCTTTTTACTGTTTTGCCTTTTCCAGAATGTGGTATAGTTGACACTATGCAGTATATAGCCTTTGCAGACTGGCGTCTTTCACTTAGCATTCAAGACCCTTCCATATATTTTATGGTTAGATAGCTCATTTAAAAAATCACTGGATAATATTACATTATATGGATTATGTAGATACAATGATACCATAGTTTATAAATATACTTATTGAAGGATACTTTGGTTGCTTCCAAATTTCTCAAATTATGATTAGAATTCCTAAAAGATTATGTAAAAGGTCCGGGTGCAGTGGCTTATGCCTGTAATCACAGCACTTTGGGAGGCTGAGGTGGGTGGATCACCTGAGGTTGGGAGTTCAAGACCTGCCTGACCAACATGGAGAAACCCCATCTCTACTAAAAATATGAAAACTAGCCAGGTGTGGTGGCGCATGCCTGTAATCCCAGCTACTCAGAAGGCTGAGGCAGGAGAATCGCTTGAACCTGGGAGGCAGAGGTTGCAGTGAGCTAAGATTGTGCCATTGCACTCCAGCCTGGGCAATAAGAGCGAAACTCCATCTCAAGAAAATAAAATAAGGTTTTATGTGCACGTATGTTTTCAGCTCATTTACATAAATGTTTCATTGGTATGATTGCTGGATCTTACAGTAAGAGTATCTTTAGTTCGTAAGAAACTTCCAATCTGTCTTACAAAATAACTACCATTTTGCATTCCCATCAGTTTTGGATGTACCACACCTTTGTTAGCATTTGGAAGTTGCCAGTGTTTGGGATTTTGGCTGTTCTAACAGGTGTGTAGTACAGTCCTGCCCACTGCTCTGTTCTTCACCTCCTCTGGTCTGAATGTTTGTGTCCCTCTCAGATTCATAGGTTGAAACCTAGTCACCAAGGTGATCGTACTGGGGACCTGGAAGGCTTTGGGAGATGATGAGGCCCTGACGTCAGAGCACTCACGGTGGGATTGGTGCTTTTAAAAAAGAAGCCCCAGAGAGCTGTTATACCCCTTTTTACCATGTGAGGACAAAGGGGAAAGATAGCTGCCTACTAACCAGGAAATGGGCCCTCGCCAGAGACAAAGTCTGCCAGTGCCTTGATCTCAGACTTTCCCACATCCAGAACTAGCAGAAATAAAGTTCTGTTGTTTATAAGCTACTCAGTTGATAGTATGTTGTTCCAGCAACCTGAACAGACCAAGTCAACTTCCTTGCCACATCACAGGTTTTCTAAACATCAGCTCTCTCTTCCATATAATGAGAATTATAATGCCTACTACATAAAATAGCTGAAATGAGATAATTTCATTTTTTCAGCTATTTGTTTTAAAAGATTAAAACAAATTCTTAAAGCTGGCCCAGGTTGAACCTCTAGTTTAACAGGAACATTGAGCTGATGGATGTCAACTCAAAAAAATGAGCTTCATGGAAAATGATCCAAGAGATGTGCTTTTTCATATAGATAGCACTAAAAATATAATAACATTAAGAGGATTCAAAGAAAAAAATTGGAGATGGCTCCTTTTGATAACCATTTCTCATAAATCATTGCCAATGAGAAACATCTGTTAACCTTCATCAAAAAAGTTTTATACACATTCACTCAATAAAATAAAATACACACACACGCAATGTACGTATGATATGTAATTTCCTATGAAACCAGACCAGAAAACGAGGGCTGGGGAAATTGAATATCTTTGCTTTTGAAGACTTGGGCAATAACTATTTTTCTCCACCCTTAATGTATATGTAAATACTGAAAAAGTAACCTGTCTGTGTGTGTCTATGTTGGGTACAATGTAGAGTAAAATATGTTAGGATACTCAAATTCTTAGCAATCACCACCTCTATATTTACTGCATTATTCTAGAATTCTGTGCCAGCCAGTCTCTAAGTTGTAACCCCAATAAGCTCCATTATACTTATAAGCAACCATGGATAGGCAAGGAGGGTAGAAGTTATTTGAAACAGTTCTTAATTGGTGTTACTTGTTAGCCAAATATATACTCTTCTCACTCTTCCAAGAAATAAACTAGATGAAAGAGATTGAATGCACAATTCATATTTTACAGCATAAATAATATCATTCATAAGTTATTTGCTTCATAGTCAGACAACTACATGCTTCTTTCGAAAATCCTCCTTTAAAGTCAGAAACTTTGAGTTAGTCAAAGCAGAAAGTTATTCAATCAGTTCAATAATATTTAAATTCAAATTGGAGGATTAATTATAGTGGCTACAACATGAAAACTCAACTAGGTAAGGTAGGAAGTGAGGGCAAAACCTTCAGTATCCAAAGGAAAATAATTTTTACTTCATTTATTTGATTACTCCAGAGTTAACTGCTATAAAATCACAGCCCATGTAATGAAGGCTGAATATTAGGGGGAATCCTGGGCACATTCTTATGAAATAAACTTCAGTACTAAATGCCTTATCATGGTTTGGCATAATGAAATCTATATCTGCGTACCAAGAATATTCATAAAATGCAAACTATTAATTTTGAATGTCCATGACTGTTATTATTAAAGATCTAGAAACAAGTACAACATGATAATGTGTACCTCTCCTGGAAAGTTTCTGGAAATTAAATGTCATATACAAACATCGTGAAAACTACTAAGCTGGATAACCATCGCATCTGACAAACAATAAAATTCTCAGTTTCTTAACTGAGTTTCCAATTTTTATTTCATTTTATTTTTATCCATCCTTACTTTTTATGGTCTCTTGCCTGCTTTATGACAATCTGGAGACCTTTTCACATTTGAAAATAAATGGTCTTGAGTCTTGAGCTACTGCCATCCAAGCTGCTGCCTTATTTTGAGGGCAAGTTAATTTCTAAGTTTAGCTTAAACAACAACAACAAAAAAAACTCCCTCAAATTCCGAACATATAGAATTTTCTAGAAACCCTAAAACTTTCCTGGGAAAGAGCCCAAATTATCAACGTTCACTTTTAACTATCTGCTTTGTTCCCAGCAGAATCCCAGCCTCAAACTCCAGTGCCAGCCTCCTGTAATGTAGTAATTTCTTCCCTCCCTCCGTAAAGGAAAGGCTAAGAGTTTTATTTTTCTTCTTGCAATAGGGGCGTGATGGGGGCATGGATGGAGGGTGTAGTTGTACTGGGATATCTGACCTACCTAGGACTGCTCACAGTGCACACACACACACACACACACACACACCCCTCCCTACACTGGGTCTTTTAGAAGATGCTGGAGTGCTGGAGTGCCCCGTCCGGAAATACACAGACAAGTTCTAAACTAACTAACTAACTAACTAACTAAATAAATAAATAAATAAATAAATAAATAAATAAATAAAAACAAAAAACTCCACAAGGAATACACTAAGGGCATGTATTGCAGATTACCTGTAAATTTAAACTTTTTAATGGTCGAACCCCAGATATTATATTTTAACCCCTTCCCCTTTTGGTCTGATCTTCAGCTTCACACATGGTGGCCAAGGAGTCGGGAAATAAGAGATTTGGAGAAAACTATTCAGCTGTCGGGTGTGTAGCATGAAGCAGTGAAGCCAGATCGCTCAGCAGATGAGGGAAGGTGCGCAGCACTTCCCAGTCCAGAAGCCCCACCCGCCCCCACATTCCAACAGACCAACCAACGGGCTTTGGAACGTTCCCCTTGTACCCAGCCACGTGGGAACCTCACAACTCCTGCTGTGCGGGCCAGACCATTGGACAGTTGCTGATTCTGTGCGAAGTGGCCTCCTCTCCTGCACCTGGTCGCGGTGGCGCGCCCCCATCTCCCGCTGAAACCCAGAACTTTCGGTTCAGCAGGGCTGGGAAGCAGCCGCCGGCGCCCACTTTTCCCACCGCGGGGGCGGAGAACAGCAGAGAGGGGTCCCAGACCGAAGGTGGCAGCGCGTGGCTCTGCGCTGGCGGCTGTGGGGGGCAGGCGCTCAGGACCCCAATTCCCTCCAAGTTGGGCCGCGGTGGGGGCGGGTGGAGGTGGCGCCGGGCAGCTGGCGGCCGCTCGCTGGGGCTGGGTTTGTGCCGAGCGCGAGTCTGGAAGGAGCGAGCCGCAGCCGCGCGGGGGTGGAGCCGAACTGAAGTCACTGGCTGAGCAGGCACGGGCGCTGGCGGGCACGCGGGAAGGAGGGCGGCCGATGCCAGGTCTCCGGGCGCTGGAGGCGCCGCCGGCGACCCCCCCCTAGGCCTCGCAGGCGCTGCCTCCGCCTATCCCCGCTGACCACTCTGCGCCCCCGCAGCCGCGGGTCTCCCTGCCTAGTCCGCGCACCCTGCCCGCGGGGGCGGTCGACCCGGGCTCCTGGAGGGTGGATATGTCGGAGTTGGGAAGGGGCTTTTCTTTGCCATCTGATTCCCAATGACTGGACACCTCTACCTGGCTTTTCACTCAGGCTCCGTGTTCTGGCCTGTGGGAAACCCTAGAAAGGTAGCCCTCAAAAATAATGTTGGATCCTTTGGGCCTATGTACACACAACATGCTCAAAAGATGATCTGAGGCAACAATTATCACTCTCTATGATCGATGAGGTTACAGCTGGTTAGTGGTGAAATCGGGTTCAAAACCAGTCTGATACATGATTATTTTACACTACTTCTCTTAACTTATAATAGTTACATGTATTGCAGCTATTTTGAATTGGAATAGCAATTTATTTGATCAAATCTTCAAACTAAGAATGCTATGCTAGTTTATGCTAAAGGAAAAATATCCATATTCTCAGTTGAACATTTTCCATTTTGAGGAGACATTGTTTTAGAATACAGCATAGTCTCTCTTCCTTTAATGCTTCTGTATTCATTCAGGTAAATATTACCCTCAGTTTTCTTCCTTCTCATTTTTAGGTTTTCCGCTTCCTTGATGGTTTCATGACTAGCAAAAACATGTCTCACCATTAGAACAGTGACTTATTAGCTCTCAAAATGCTACACCTCTTGATACCATTTGAGAAGGTATCTTCTATTTTAGATTGTTTTTGTAAAGAAACGAGAGAAAACTAGAGGAAGAGCAAAGATGCTGGTTCTTTTCACACCCTACCCAGGGAATGATGATACTGTCCTTTAAAATATTGCCACGCATCAACAAATTCTGGAAGGGGCCTGAAACCAATCATTGTAGCTCTGCTTAAATTCCAAACTACAGTGGCTTAAGAAGAGGGCTTAAGTTCTCCAATTTTATAAATATTTGACTAAGATCTTTAATCAATTTACAAGGAAGTTATAAAAGGTAAAACCACTTTATGAACAGCTTGAAAATAAAACATTACTTTCACACATTATATAACTCATCACAGTGTTAAATAGGTTCTGCACTTTTTTTTCCAAATTAGTAAATGTTACAGGTGCTCTGAAAGATAGGCGGGAAGAAGGAATTACCTGCATTCTTATAAGAAAATAAAATGCAAACAAACAAAACTCACAAAAAAACAAGCGTTTATATTTGTGTATACTAACCAATGTATACAGATACCTGTAAATCATTTTATATGTACCTGTATTTATATTATGCCACATGTGTGTTTATTAGGATGTCTCCAATTGTAATCCATAACCATATGTACTTTTCTAGTCTGCTTTCTTACTTATTGGTAATTCAAACCCCAACAGTGAGAAACCTGCAAACCATCATTTATCACTCATTTACTCATCTGTTTAATGCTGGTCTCCATGAATAGCTGTACCAAATTGTTAACTTGTAACCCCATGTGAAGTAACCTTACCAACTAGATTACAGGGTTTAAGTGCAATTCCTTTTTCCTTTAGTATAATAGGCTCCATTCATTTCCAAAAGTTATAGATTTTATATGTATATATATATATGTGTGTTTGTATACACACACATACATACATAATGTCAAGGATATATATGTATATATATATACACACACACACATACATATACTACATCCTTAACATAAACTTTTGTAAAGGAAATAAACTGCGTAAAATATAGACTACATATATTGTAAATTCAAATTCATGTGTTAATATCTTTAGCATTTTTATACATTTCACAATTTTAGCTATAAAGCCTCTCCTTTCAGTTGATCCATTTGGATTTATGTTTATCACTGGCTTAGTAGCAGAGACCCAGATCAGATAATGGAAATAACTTCAACCATGGTATTTTCTCACATTGCCAACTCAATGTGAGAGGACTTCGCTCCAGGTTTTAGATTTTCAGGGATCTCTTAACTTCAGTTAAAGTTAAACACAACAAATTGAACATTTGTTACCTACCATGCTAAATATTTCAAAGAATTAGGGTATGAATGAGCAAGAATAATTTCTGCTGTTATAGTACCAACAATCTACTGGTATGTGTGGTTCCCATACACATCAAAATGTGACATGTTCCAATATTTTAAACAAAATATTTGAAGAGCTAATAGGAAAGGGAGAAAAAAAGTCGTTTGAGAAATCATAAAAAGCACAATGATATAGGTATTGTTAGAAAGATAAACATCAAAACCTGGGTTGCTTTCATTTCTAAAAGATAATGACAGAAAGAAAATGAGTTATAATTGTATTTAATAGCATGATATATCTGAGAAACAATTAGACTACTTCAGTTTAATTGAGTATACATAAAAAAAAGAAATAGGCTCAGAAACTTATTAACATTTTTGGGTAATTGGAAAGTGCCTATAAATAAATTATTAGGCAAAACATTAGTCTTGTAATCCATACGACAATGATTAATATACAAGCAGATAAGACTGTTATACATAAAGCAACCTCTATATCATAGGATCCCACAACACAAACTATGAGTTCAGTGCTCTAGCTACATATTGATGCCATTAAAAATTCTACAGAGGAAGGAAACAGAATTTTATTAGTTTGCAAAAATAATGTTATAGACCTAGAATCAATAAGTTGCATGCTCAGGCATTTGTAGGAGTGAGAATTACGCTGTTATGGTTGCCTGAGATCAGAATTATACTTGGTAACTATACAGAGTTTGAAACTGGTAAGCCTAAGTGGCAATGGAACTGGCCACCAGGGCATCATCTTCTGAGATTCACACTCTACTAACCACCAGGATACACAACAAACTCAAATATGTGGAAACCCACAGAAATTATTTTCTCCATCATTTGATCTCTGTTATTTGCATAGTAAAGGTAATATCTTTGAGGCCTGAGAGCCAATACATGACATTGGCTGCACAATATCTGCTTAGAGCTGATTTGCAATGGACTTTTCTTTGAGAATAAATGTGTCAGTTTTGCAGTGATTGGCACAGAGTAAATGATCAGTAAATGAGAACTTAAAATTGTCCTCTGTTCACTATTTCACCCTTCTTACCATGGACCATGCTGTCTTTTTCCCTTATATCAGGGGGTCAGCAAACTACAACACTGGACCAGTATGTCCTATTACTTGTTTTTGTAAATAAACACAGTTTATTGTAACACAACTGTGTTCATTCATTAATGCATCACCTATGGTTACTTTTGTGCTACAATGGCAGAGTTAAGTGGTTGTGATGATAACTGAATGGTCTACTAGTCCATTCTCACACTGCTAATAAAGACATACAGAAAAATGGGTACTTATGAAGGAAAGAGGTTTTATTGACTCACAGTTCAGCATGCCTGGGGGAGTCTCAGGAAACTTACAAACATAGCAGAAGGGGAACCAGAAATGTCCTTCTTCATATGGTGGCAGCAAGGGGAAGTGGCAAGCAAAAGGGGGAAAAGCCTCTTATAAAACCATCAGATCTTGTGAGAGCCGACTCACTATCATGAGAACAGTAGCATGGGGTAACCACCCTCATGATTCAATTACAGCCCATCTGATTCCTCTCACAACATGTGAGGATTACGGGAAGTACAATTCTAGATGAGATTTGGGTAGGGACACAGTCAAACCATATCGCCCTCCTAAATCTCATGTCCTTGTATTTGAAAACTAATCATGCCTTCCCATAAGTACCCCCAAAGTCTTAACTCATTTCAGCATTAACTCAAAAGTCCACAGTCCTATGTCTCATCTGAGACAAGGCAAGTCCATTCTGCCTGTGAGACTGTAAAATCAAAAGCAAGTTAGTTACTTCCTAGATACAATGGAAATATAGACATTGGGTAAATATAGCTGTTCCACGTGGGAGAAATTGGCCAAAACAAACTGGCTACAGGCCCCATGCAAGTCTGAAATCTAGCAGTGTAGTCAAACCGTAAAGCTCCAAAATGATCTCCTTTGACTCTATGTCTCACATCCAGGTCATGCTAATGCCAAAGGTGGGTTCCCATGGCCTTGGGCAGCTCCACCTCTGTGGCTTTGCAGGGTATAGCCCCCCTACTGCTGCTTTCATAGACTGGCATTGAGTGTCTGTGGCTTTTCCAGGCACATTGTGCAAGCTGTCAGTGGATCTCCCATTCTGGGGTCTGGAGAACGGTGGCCCTCTTCTCAAAGCTCCACTAGGCAATACCCAAATGGGGACTCTGTGTGGGACCCTTGACTTCACATTTCCTTTCTGCACTGCCCTAGCAGAATTTCTCCATGAGTGCCCCACCCCTGCAGCAAACTTCTGCCTTGACATCCAGCCATTTCCATACATCTTCTGAAACCTAGGCGGAGGTTCCCAAATGACAATTCTTGACTTCTGTGTACTCACAGGCTTAACACCACGTGGAAGCTGCCAAAGCTTCGGGCTTGCACCCTCTGAAGCAATGGCCTGAGCTGTATGTTGGCTGCTTTTAGCCACAGCTGGAGTGGCTGGGACACAGGGCACCAAGTTCCAAGGCAAGGGGGCCCCTGGGCCTGGGCCTGCAAAACCATTTTTCCCTCCTAGGCCTCTTGGCCTGTGATGGGAGGCCCTGCTTTTTAAAGGACTCTGACTTGCCCAGGAGACATTTTTCCCATTGTCTTAGTGATTAACATTTGGCTCCTTGCTGCTTATGCAGACTTGTGCAGCTAATTTGAATTTCTCTCCAGAAAATGGGATTTTCTTTTCTATTGCATAGTAAGGCTGGAAATTTTCCAGACTTTTGTTTTGCTGCCTCTTGAATGCTTCACTGCTTAGAAATTTCTTCCCCCAGATACCCTAAATAATTTATCTTAAATTCAACATTCCACAGATCTCTAGGGCAGGGCCAAAATGCTGCCAATCTCTTTGAATAGCAACAGTAACCTTTACGCCAATTTCCAAGAAGTTCCCCATCTCCATCTGAGACCACCTCAGCCTGGACCTTATTGCACTATCAGCATTTTGGTCAAAACCATTCAACAAGTATCTAGGAAGTTCCAAACTTTTCTACATCTTCTGGTCTTCTGAGTTCTCTAAGTCTATAAGAAGTTCCAAATGTTCTCACATTTTCCTATCTTCTTCTGACCCCTGCAAACTGTCCTAACCTCTGCCTGTTATCCAGTTCCAAAGTTGCTTCCACATTTTCAGGTATCTTTACAGCAGCACCCCCTTACCCAGTACCAATTTACTGTATTAGCTTGTTCTCATGCTGCTAATAAAGACATACCTGAGACTGGGTAATTTATAAAGGAAAGAGGTTTAATCGACTCACAGTTCGGCATGTCTGGGAAGGCCGGGGGAAGCAAACGTGTCCTTCTTGACATGGCAGCAGCAAGAAGAAGTGCTAAGCAAAAGGGGGAATATCCCCTTATAAAACCATCAAATCTTGTGAGAACTCACTATCTTGAGAAGAGCAGCATGGGGTAACCACCACCATGATTCAATTACCTCCCTCCAGGTCCTTCCCACAACACATGGGAATAATGGGAACTACAGTTCTAGATGATATTTGGGTGGGAACACAGCCAAACCATGTCATCTACAAAGCCTAAAATATTTACTATCTGGTATTTTTTTTTAAGTTTGCTGACCTTTTCTTTATATCAACATGTTCAATGTTTGCCCATTGGTATAGCTCGATAATTACATTAAGTGTTGTCACTTCCACATTATAGTGAACTGCATGGTAGCAGAAACATCTTTTTTTTCTTTTTTGGCCCTTCATTATTTTATCTCTATCTAGTGCCTAGCACTGTACCTGGATTACAATTAGAAAGTTTCGTAAATCATTGTCATGAATTTATTTTCAGTAAACAATTGTCTACAAAATCTCTAAAAACAATTTGATAAATATGGAGATTATAGAAAGAGAAACAAAAAGAAAAAAATTATGGAATAATAAAAAAAGATGTAACAGAGACAATGTTATTTAAAGATAAAATGAATAAAACATAAAAGTAAGTAAACACAGTTTCAGTAATATACAAGAGAAGGGCTCCTGACATGTTCCAGTTTCAGCAATGCCTACCACTAAGTACTTGTTATGTCTCAGTAACTAAGAATTTATTGATGTAGCAGTGCTTTCACTGATATATCAAAACAGTAGGAGACTTGCTCAGAACTTTTGGAAATGCATCTTAAATAATATTTTATTCATTTAGCAAATAGGTTCTTATTAAAAATATCCTTTTATGAGATAGCCATATTCTGTAAAGAACAGCAGGAATGTAGAGAAAAAGATACAGCCAAAAAGACAGAATATGTTTGAATAGCTGCCAGAAAGTGTCACAGTCAAGAATTATCTCTGCTGTCTAAAAGGTGTGTAGAAAACACTTTCCAGAAGAAAAAAGGAAAACCTCCCAATAAAGAACTATTATTAAGAAAAGGTTTGTTTATACGGACATGATCACTTGAAAGCATCAATTTGAGTCTCTGTATCTATACTTCACTAAAATGTGGAGTAATATACTATGTGTCATCTATCTTAGACATGGCATTGTAAATATTTTATGGCTTAAAATTGTATGATGATTGCATGCATATGGGTTAGTATACATCTTAATAATACTTTACTGCAGCAAAATGAAAGTGTTTTCTTTAGCCAATTCTATCTCCTATATAGGACCAAGACTAAATCTGCCTCATGACACTAGAAAAGCCTGAGTCTTTCTTGGTCCCAAGGTCTCCAAATGTCATAAAAAACACAAAAGTTCTCAGCTCATGGCACAAATTAGTTTTTGTATTAAATAATACCACTATTCAGTATTTTAAATAGATAAGCAAATTGTGAAAGAGTTGGACTCAAATAATCACATTCAACAAACATGTTTGTTCTTTACTCCCTAATAGGCTCTCTAGTTCCCAACCACACTTAATACTTTAAAAAGTCATTGTGGTCTATTAGCCTTATGGTAAAGGAGATGCAACTGCAGTAGGTGATATGGGAAGGGGCATGTTGAGGATTCAGTTGGGAAGATTAGAGAAGGCCACATGACTGATGGCCCTGAAAGTCATGATAAAGATTTGCCCTTTATTCTGTGTTCCAAAGAGAAACTACCAGACATACTGGAATATAAAGTCTTCCTTATCCCCTGACACCAAAGTTAAAGTGAACACTAGTCTAGGAGGAAGCCGAGAGTGAGATAAAATCCAGGCGGTTTCAAAGCCCTCTTCCCTGCATCTCTCAGTCTGTAACAACCAATTTCAGTTGTTCCCCATAGGAGAGCAGAATCAATAACTGTGTTTAAGTGAAGACCGCCATACATATGTATTTGGGGCTGTGTGATAAAAACCACATTATTCTTAGAAATGAAGCTGTGTGAGGAAAGGACATGTTTTCTCTGGTCCCTGGCTCCTCATACTATCGTTGACATATGACAAGAAAAACATGGAGATTAAGACTGGGCTTTGGAATCAAAACCTCCTTGGTTTCCTTCCCAGCTCTCTACTTACTATGTGTTCTTAACTTCTCTGTGTCTCCGATTCTTTATGTTTACAAGAGGATTTTGTAAAGTTGCCCATGAGATTCGAGATTATCCATGCAATGTGCTTTGCCACTTAACTCCAATCTCTGTGCATAATAAATTCTCAACTCTTATTTTAAATGTACAGTTGTTGATTAACATCTCAATATTAATAGTTTCCATTGATCCTTTCAGAGTGGCAATCAAATATGTTCTCAAAAATTGACAAGTTCTGTGTAGAGAGCATATAGCTGTGGGGCTAATGATGAATTCCCATAAGACAGAAACTTTCTTTGCTCACATGAAGTGACCTTGGACTGTTAGTGACAAGATAGGGCTCTTTGAGTTTGATGACCTACAGGAAGCCTGCTCTTCCAGGCAGGAGTGTCAGTACTCATTTCTCACACATTTTATGAAGTGCATCTGGTATGTGGCAGTTATGATCTAATTGTTATTTTCAGCTTAATAATTAAAAATCTGCAGGGATCAAAATACCAGGTTACATTCATTTGAAGACAGCCACCTTAGGAGAGATTATAGCAGACTCTCTCCTTGAAATGATTCCTCATTTTGCCCAAATGGTCAGTACAGTATTTTTGACCACAGCTACTCTAAGCAGCTGAGGATAATGTTGACATGTGGCCTTCACTGTGTCATAACATTTTTGGAGTATCCTAAAAATACAGGGCTGAACCACGAAGCAGCTTCTCAATGTGGAGATAGGAGAGCACATCGAAGACAAAGCATATCAAAGTCCGGTAATCTAGACAGACAAGGCCAGTTAACTGCCACAGTTAAAATCCAAAACATGGGAACATTGTTAAAATGGGATGTTTGGTACAAAAAGGATAGTCAGAGTTTGTGTAACTCTTGGAGAAAAATAACAAATTTTGTTTTCTCATAATTTACTCAAAGATTTATATTACTTTACACTCTCCACAGGCTATGTAAATGCATGTATCATAGTTGGAATAACACCTTAGTTAAAATTCAGTTCAATTGTTTTCTTTGTTCCCTTTTCCCTACCACTAAAAAAGAATCCAATGCACTTGAAGAACCTCTATTTATGGACATTCACTTGTCACCTGCAACTCAAAAGGAAATGACTTTTGCAAATACTAAGTCAGAGTGTATTATAACTGGGCCAAATGTCTATGGATACCATTTCCCTGCTGCATTAAAAGAAAAGCACACTGCTCTTCACCTAAGGGCCTGAACATGTTATTCCCCCTATGCAGATCTGCCGGGTTTTCATGTTTTCGCTCAAGTCCCACCTATTCCATTTAAACTTCTGCAACAGTCCTTGTTCATACAGATCTACAATTCCATTCCATGCCTGAAGGTCAGAGAACCAAGAGACCCAATAGTGTAAGTCCTGGCTTGAATCCAAAGGACCAAGAACCAGGAGCACCAATATCCAAGGGCAGGAGAAGATGGATGTCCCAGCTCAAGCAGAGAGAACCAATTTTCCCTTTCTTCACCTTTCTGTTTTATCTGAGCCCTCAATATTGAATGATTCCCACCTACATCGGTGAGGGTGATCTTCTTTACTCAGTGTACCAACACAAATGCTAATCTTTTCTATAAACACCTTTATAGACACACCCAGAAGTAAAGTTTTACCAGATATCTGGACATCGCTTAGATCAGTTAGGTTGACACAAAAAATTAACCCTCACTCCTGGAACAACCACATTGGTTCCACATTAGGAACCAACAAATTGAGGATGTCAGAATCATCCTACTATTGCTGACCTGCTAAGCCTCCAATTATTGTGGATGAAATATAGCCTATTTCATTTAAGGCAATATGTTGGTAGACTAGACTCGACTCTATACTAATACTTAACTTATTTCATAAAAAAGTTATTCAACATGCTCTACATATTATTCAGTTTTTGATGCTTTTTTCCTATTCCTTGGTCCCCAAACTCTCACTTGCTGTTATCCTTAATCCTTAGTTCACCCTACATATAAAAATGTTAACTTATTATTTGTTGGTGGCCAACATCAAAATGTCTCTATAACTTTGTTATGCTCTTCCTACATTCTGCAATGTCATACTCTTGTTTTTCTCTTTAATTACTGTCCTTCTTTTAATGACAACTTTAAGTGTACATCTTCCAAGAAGTCTACCATATCATTGCAAGAGAATGAATGCATTTTCTTGACCTCTTTCTGTGTCTGTAATAATCTTTATATCTATGTCAACTTTTGTTGCTCTGCTGTATCCAATTTCTTTATCTATCAGTGTGCGGGAGTCTGAAACTAATGACTCTGATTCAATATGGTGATACCTACAACCTAAATCAAGGTTGTTTGAATCGTCTTTGGTTGTTTTATGTCTAGAAGCCTGATTGCCTTCAAATTATAAGGATCCAAAAGGAAATGCATACTTTATAATAATCTTGAAATCTCCTAAGTGTTTACTTCTCTGTTTCTCCTATTATTCTTGTTGAATTGAATTGGAATAGCATTCACTACACAAAGAATGATTCGTTTCATTACATTAAGCAACACATGCTTTGTGCAGACAGATTGAATTATAGGAATAAAAAAGATATATAATTATACCTCCAGAAAGTTTTGAAAACAAAATAAGTGACATAAATACGCATACTCTAGTGTTGGCACACAATAGGTACTCAATAAATACTTGATTATCTTCCTTTTCATGAGGGAATTGAAGTGAAAACTTGAAGAAGTTTTAAATTGTCATTGTTTTGTTCCAGCTCATAATAATCCAGCTGCATTCCTGATCTAGTAATGATTACTCATGAATCTGACCCAAAAAGTTTAAGGAAGGCATCATTGTTATCAGCAACAAACATAATAAATTAGAAGATCCTCTAAGTAACCATCTAATTATATAAGTATTTTCTTTCAGATTGGGAGGTCACCTGATTAAATTTGGGTACATTTTAAAAGACGGAGAACATTTTCCAAGTTAATATACTACTATCAAATATAATACCCTAAGAAAGCAAATGTTTCCATTTGAACCCAAAGCCTATGTTCCAGTCTAAAGCCAATGAGACAGGAAGAATTCACATTACTCAGAGGAGGGTAAGCCTTTTGTTCTATTCAGGCCTTTTGACTGATTGTATGAGGCTCACCCACATTAAAGGTGGGCAATATGATTACTCTGCCCATGAATTTAATGTTAATTTCACTTCAATACAGCCTCACAAAAATATCCAGAATAATGTTTGACCAAATACCTGACCACCCTATAGCCCAGCCAAGTTGACACATAAAATTAACCATCAAAATCACCACTACCACCACCATCATCATTATCATCAAAATAATAAAAATACTATTAGAATATACATTCTGAGACACACTGTTATTGGAAACGGCTGTAATTTGTTTATTGATTTAATGACAAGAGAAGACTTACTTACTAGTGTTACATTTACAAGCACATAGTATCTTTTCTCAGAAGGATTCTGCAGTGTGGGGCTTAAATATCAAAGTGTTGTATAAATGTCGCCTGGTTTGTTTACAGATATGGGGCTTAGGAAACTTCAATGCATATTATGGCCACTCCATTTCTTACAAAAAATGTCAAAACAAGAAGAATGGAGAAGACTTGCTTTCTTGTTTTTTTTGTTTTTTGTTTTCTAAAATGTAAGTCAACTTGCAGTTTTATTTTATTACTCCATCCTATTTCATATATTTGACTACTTACTCCTCTACAAAAGTCATATTGATTTAATTTGGCAGAAGACAAACTTCCTAGCCCCGACTCCCTTTGTTCTGCTTTTAAATGTAACAGGAGACCAAATTAAACAAAATGTCATTTCCCATGCATTTATTTCCTTTTTGTAATAAAATGAATAGTGAGGGTCAATTATGTGTCGACCCTTGTTCTGATGCTGACACTGTAATAATAAACAAGACAGACATGAAATTTCTGTCCTTATAGACCCTACATTACAATCAAGTAGAAGTTTCATAACAGCATTATTGTGACAACATGCCCACCCCAATTTTGAGTTTCTCATGGGTATGTGGTTCCCAACCACTTCCTAATGTTCAATTCCAGCACCACATACCTATTAGTCTGCTCCAACTGCCATTACAAAATTCCATAGATGAGGGGGATTAGACAACAGAAAGATATTTCTCACAGTTCTGGAGACTGGGAATACAAAATCTAGCTGCTGGCAAGATAGGTTGATTCTAAGGACTCTTTTTTCACCTGGAAGGCACCTGCTGTCTCACTGTGGGCTCACATGACCTCTTCTCCTTGTGCCACATGAGGAGTAAGAGAAAGACAGCAAGCTCCTTATGGTCTGTTCTTATAAGGGCATTAATCCCATTATGAGGTCCCTACCCTAATCCTAATTACCTCCCAATGGCACCATATCAAAAAACCATCAAATTGGGAATTAGTGCTTCAACATATACATTTTAGGGGAAAGCAAACATTCAGTCCATAGCAACTTATTTCATGAAATATTTCCTGATGCCTGTGGAAATAAATTAGAGTCTCCCTGCAAAACACCTCTCTATGTCCATAGCTAATTTCTCCCAAAGAGATTGTAAATTTTTGTAGGTTTTTGTAGGATTATAATGAATTATTTTTTCTGACACACTAAAAACCCCAGCAGGGACTCACATGTATTAGATATTCAATAAATATTTACTGAATGAAAGATTTTTTAAAAATCTCTCAGCAGGACCAGCCTTAGATGATTAAGAATTCTCTCTTCTATCCAGACTCATCACACATTTCACCACATTGGCATCAGCCTCATAGTTTCCCAAAAGAATCAGGATGTCATGATCTCTATTTGGACTGCATTATTTGTATTGTCTTTTGGGCTCTTAAATATATGCTGGCTTCTTCCCCGTCTGCTGTCTAATATCTCGAACTAAAAATCTTAGTCCTAAACTGACCCTTAAAACCGTCTTTCTCAGTAGTTCTGAAACCTGGATATCTAAGAACAGTCATCATATTCCAGAGATTCTAATTCAATTATTTTGCTGAAACTTCAACCTCACTTTATTGAATTTATACAGCCAGGTTTAGGTATCAGAAATCTTAAACAACTTTCCTGTATTATACATATAAGAAAATGCATTATCTATTACAGTGAAGAAACACAAGGTCAGAGATATCAAGTAACTTGTGAGGTGGAGGCTGGTTGGGGGATCACTCAGCTCATCTATTCATTAAACCAAGTCTCCTGGTCTATATTGCCTTTTGATAAATTCATGCACTCTTTCTTTTCATGTTATCAAGTAATGAAATCCTCAGTCAATACTCTCTGATGGCCTCACCACATACATATTCACTATCTCTCAAGAGAAGAAACACACGGTTTTCTGAACTTGCTGCAAATTTCATTAAATGCATCAAACACTCTTTGATTTGAGGAACAGCAAATATTACCATGACAGAACTTAATGCCATTTTACAGTACAGAAGCACCCACTAGTCCAGATTCTAAACAAGCTGGTCATAATCCGGACCTCAGAATAACCACATGGAACATCTCCACAAGGACAAACGTGTTGGATTTCCTTTCTCTCAGGATGGCTGCATGTTAAATAATATAATCCATATAAAACCCTAAGTATAATGCTCATGAGTTTTTTTAAGGTTGTTCAATTAATAGTAACAATAACTATTATTGCAAGATACTTTCACTTTTTCTATGACAATGACCAGTGATGCCTGTCTCCTGATGGGAAGCAAAGTAAATGCACAATGCCCATGTGGGGACAAAAAACACTTTCGCTTCAAGGTTCTGAGACACTGTACTAGGGACTTTAAATTTCATTTAACTTTCACATTAAATTAATGTACTATGCTTTATTTTCTTTAGTTTATAGACGAAAACACATCAGCTCAGAGAGGTTAAGTACCATACTCAATACAATATTGTTACAATATTTTCTGGACAGTGTCAGATTAAGTGCATGGGCATTGATAGGTTGGCTGTGTCTGCACCCAAATCTCATCTTGAGTTGTAGTTCCCATAATCCCCACATGTCTTGGGAAAGACTGAGGGGAAAGTAATTGAATCACAAGGGTGGTTACCCTCATGCTACCATTCTCATGATAGTGAGTAAGTTCTCACGAGACCTGATGGTTTCATAAGGGGCTTTCCCCCTATTGCTCGGCAGTTCTTCTTGCTGATAAGTAATGAGGAGCCAAATGCTAACTGCCAAGACAATGGGGAAAATGTCTCTAGGGAGTCAGAGACCTTTTCAGCAGCCTCTCCCATCACAGGCCCAGTGGCCTAGAAGAGAAAAATGGTTTCCTAGGTGGGGTCAAGGGCCCCTTTGTTGTGTGCAGCCTCGGGCTTGGTGCTCTACATCCCAGCGGCTCCAACCATAGCTAAAAGGAGCCAAGGTACAGCTCGGGACGTGGCTTCAGAGGGTGCAAGCCCCAGACTTGGCAGCTTCCACATGGTCTTGAGCCTGCAGGTACAGAGAAGTCAAAAATTGAAGTTTGGGAACCTCCACCTAGATTTCAGAGAATGTATGGAAAGGCCTAGATGTCCAGGCAGAAGTTTGCTGCAGGGACAGGGCCCTCATGGAGGAACCTCTGCTAAGGCAGTGCAGAAGGGTAATGTGGGGTTGGAGTCCCCACAGAGAGTCTCTGCTGGGGCACTGCCCAGTGGAGTTGTGAGAAGTGGGCCACCACCCTCCAGAACCCAGAATGGTAGATCCACCAACAGCTTGCACTGTGTACCTGCAATAGCCGCAGACACTCAAAGCCAGCCCCTGAAAGCAGCCAGGAGGGGGTGCTGTATTATGCAAAGCCACAGCTGTGGAGCTTCCCAAGGCCATGGTAGCCCACTTCTTTCATCAGCATGACCTGGATGTGGGACATGGAGTCAAATGAAAACATTTTGGAGCTTTAAAATTTGACTGCCCTGCTGGATTTTGGAATTGTATGGGGCCTGTAACCCCTTTGTTTTGGCCAATTTCTCCCATGTGGAATGGCTGTATTTACCCAATGCCAGTATCCCCACTGTATCTAGGAAGTAACTAAATTGCTTTTGATTTTACAGGCTCATAGGCAGAAGGGACTTGCCTTGTTTCTGATGAGATTTTTGACTTGGACTTTTGGGTTAATTCTGGAATGGGTTAAGTCTTTGGGGGAATGTTGGGAAGGGATGATTGTGTTTTGAAATGTGAGGACATGAGATTTTGGAGAGGTCAGGGGTGGAATTTTATGGTTTGGCTGTGTTTCCACCCAAATCTCATCTTGAATTGTAGTTCCTACAATCCCCATGTGTCATGGGAGGACCAGGTGGAAATAATTGAATCACGAGGGTGGGTTTCCTCCATCCTGTTCTCATGGTAGTTAGTTAGTTCTCATGATATCTGAATGGTTTTATAAGGGGCTTTCCCCTTCACTGGGCTTTCATTCTCTCTCCTGCCCCCTGTGAAGAGGTATGTTTTGCCATGATTGTAAGTTTCCTGTGGCCTCCCCAGCCATGTGGAACTGTAAGCCAATTAAGCCTCTTTTCTTTATAAATTTCCCAGTCTTGGAGTCTTGGGTATTTCCTTACATCATCATGAGAATGGACGGATACAGCATCTAATTGATAATAGGAAGTTAAGGGTATCACTGCCACAACCCTGACCTTTTCAGACAAAAATGGCAACTTGCAATAATCATGATCTATAATGATATGAAGGCTTCTCAGTTTCTATATACTTGAGTAGCAGCATTTATACCTTAAACTTTCTTTGTCAGTGTGGGCTGCTATAACAAAATACCATAGATTAGGTGGCCTAAATAAGAAACATTTATTTCTCACAGTTCTGGTGGCTGGAGATCCAAAATCGAGGTGCCAGCAGGGTCAGGTTCTGGGAGGGTCTTCTTTCTGCTTTGCAGACAGTCATAGTCTTGCTGCATCTTCAGCAAGAAGAGATAATCTAGAGAGAGATAATCTCTTTGGTGTCTCCTTTTAGAAGGGCAATAATCCCATTCATGATGGTTCAAATCTTCATGAGCTAATCATCCCCCAAAGGCCCCACTTCCAAATTCTATTGCGTTGGGAATTAGAACATCAATGTACAAATTTTTGAGGGACACAAGCATTCAATCCATAGCATAAACCCTCTGTGAAAACCAGACTAGCTGCTTGGCATCTTTGCCTCTGACTACACTGAACTCGCTACCTGGAGTGCCTTCATTTGTTCTCTGGCAATGTGAATATTCCTCAGACCTAAGGCCCAATTTGAGCCACTTCTCTGCAATGCGATGCATAGATTTCCTTATTTTAGCTCTCCCTGAATTTGTATTTCATGGTTAATCGTCTGCACCATGCAGCCACTAAGTTTATCTAGCATGGGTGTTTTGTTAGATACTTTTTGGTTGAAAGTGACATATATCATTTAAAATATCTTAATCAAGTGAGGAAAATGTAATAGAAGAACAAAAAGATTTCTCTGGAATCTTAAACAGGTCACAGAGCTGGGCCTTGAGAAGGACTTGAGCCAGGATTTGGAAGACTAATGCAGACATAGATGCTATTTACCCTCACTCCCTCTCTTTTCTTCTTGGAGCTCACCTCTGCTGTAGTAATCTCTGGATCCCTGGTTTCAGTACCATCAAACTTATCATGGACAGTGAGTGATAGGCTACTATTGAATAATACAGATTGATCCAGACCTTTTAAACTTATCTGACTATAGCCCATCTAGATAATTGTTCCTTGCAAGCCCCAAACCAATATACACATATTATACACATATTTTCTTTTCTTTTCTTTTCTTTGTTTGTTTATTTTTTTGAGACGGACTCTTATTCTGTCACCCAGGCTGGAGTACAGTGGTGCGATCTCGGCTCGCTGCCACCTCTGCCTCCCAGGTTCAAGCGATTCTCCTCCCTCAGCCTCCCAGGAAGCTGGGATTACAGGCATGCATCACCACATCCAGCTAATTTTTTGGATATTAGTAGAGAAGTGTTTCACCATGTTGGCTAGGCTGGTCTCGAACTCCTGGCCTCAAGTGATCTACCTGCCTCAGCCTCTCAAAATGCTGGGATTACAGGCATGAGCCACCATGCCCAGCCCAACAATATACACATATTCTCTCCATTTTCATGTTTCATAGCTCTTCAATTCTTTGTGACAAAGCTTTTTGTTTCTGGTATGAGATTAAAACAGTTAATATTTATAAAAATAATTAGATAGTGTCTAAAACATTGTAATCGTAGCCCAAATGTTTGTTAAATTCACTGGCAAGCATGCTCTATTTTAAGCATTTTATTTCATTTTTTCATTTTTTTAATTGAAATTTTTTTTTATTTCAATAGGTTTTTTGGGGAAGAGATGGTGTTTGGTTTCATGAATAAGTTTTAATAGTAATTTCTGAGATTTTGGTGAACTCATCACCCAAGCAGTGTACACTGTACCCAATATGTAGTCTTTTCTTCCACCCCATCCTTTCCCCTGAGTCCCCAAAGTCCAATATATCATTCGTATGCCTTTGAGTCCTCATAGCTTAGCTCCCACATAAGAGTGAGAACATATATTGTTTGGTTGTCCATTCCTGTGTTACTTCATTTAGAATAATAGTCTCCAATTCCATCCAGGTTGCTGTGAATGCCATTATTTTGTTCCTTTTTTGGCTGAGTAGCATTCCATGGGGTGTGTGTGTGTGTATTTATATATATAAAATAATGTTTTATATATATATATATATTACATTCTATCTACTTGTTGATTGATGGGCATTTGGGCTAGTTCTATATTTTTGCAACTGCAAATTGTGCTGTTATAACCATGGGTGTGCAAATATCTTTTTTTGTATAATGACTTCTTTTCCTTTGGGTAGATACCTGGTAGTGGGATTGATGGGTCAAAGAGTAGATCTACTTTTAGTTCTTTAAAGAATCACCACACCATTTTCCGTAGTGGTTGTGCTAGTTGTGCTAGTTTCCCACCAGAAGGTAAAAATGTTCCCTTTTCAACCCATCCCCATCAACATTTATTATTTTTTTGTTTTTTTGATTATGGCCATTCTTGCTGGAGTGAGGTTCTATTGCATTGCGGTTTTGATTTGTATTTCCCTGATAATTAGTGATGTTGAGCATTTTTTCATATGCTTATTGGTCATTTGTGTATCTTCTTTTGATAATTGTCTATTCATGTCCTTAGCCCACTTTTTGATGGGATTGTTTTTTGTTTGTTTGTTTGTTTGTTTGCTTTTCTAGCTGATTTGTTTGAGATCTTTGCAGATTCTGGATATTAGTCCTTTGTCAGATGTATAGATTTTGAAGATTTTCTCCCACTCTATGGGTTGTCTGTTAATTCTACTGATTATTTCTTTTGCTGTGCAGAAGCTTTTTAGTTTAATTAAGTCTCATCTATTTATCTTTTTTTTGTTGTTGCATTTGCTTTTACGTTCTTGCTCATGAAGTCTTTGCATTTGCTTTTAGGTTCTTGCTCATGAAGTCTTTGCCTAAGCCAATGACTAGAAGGGTTTTTTCTGATATTTTCTAGAATCTTTATGGTTTCAGGTCTTAGATTTAAGACCTGTCCATCTTGAATTGATTTTTGTGTAAGGTGAAAGATGAAGATCCAGCTTCATTCTTTTACATGTGGCTTGTCAATTATTCCAGCACCATTTGTGGAATAGGGTGTCCTTTCCCCACTTTATGCTTTTGTTTGCTTTGTCTAAGATCAGTTGGCTATAAGTATTTGTCTTTATTTCTAGGATCTCTATTCTGTTCCATTGATCTATGTGCCTATTTTTATATCAGTACGATGCTCTTTTGGTGACTGTGGCCTTATAGTACAGTTTGAAGTCAGATAATGTGATGCCTCCAGATTTGTTATTTTTGCTTAGTCCTGCTTCGGCTATGCAGGGTTTTTTGGTTCCATATGAATTTTATAATAGTTTTTTTCTAATTTATTCCACTGTGGTCTGAAAGAATACTTGATATAATTCAATATTCTTAAATTTATTGAGACTTGTTTTGTGGCCTATCATATGGTCTCTCTTGGAGAATGTTCCATGTACTGATGAATAGAATGTATATTTTGCAGTTGTTAGGTAGAATGTTCTGTAAATATCTGTTAGGTTCATTTGTTCTAGGGTACAGTTTAAGTCAATATCTTTGTTGACTTTCTGTCTTGATGACCTGTCTAGTGCTGTCAGTGCAGTATTGAAGTCCCCCACCATTATTGTGTTGCCATCTATCTCATTTCTTAGGTCTAGTAGTAATTGTTTTATAAATAAGGGGGCTCCAGTGTTAGGTGCATATATATTTAGAATTGTTATATTTTCCTGTTGGACAAGGCCTTTTATCATTACATAATGTCCCTCTTTGTCTTTTTTTTTAACTGCTGTTGCTTTGAAGTTTGTTTTGTCTGATATAAGAATAGCTACTAGGGCTTGCTTTTCATGTACATTTGCATGGAATATCTTTTGTCACACCTTTATCTTAAGTTTCTGTTAGTCTTTATGTGTTAGATGTGTCTCCTGAAGACACCAGAAACATGGTTGGTGAATCCTTATCCATTCTGCCACTCTGTATCTTTTAAGTGGAGCATTTAGGCCATTTACATTCCATGTTAGTATTAAGATGTGAGGTACTATTCTATTCATCATGCTGTTGGTTGCGAGAATACCTTGTTTTTGTTTTGTTTTGTTTTTCATTGTGTCATTGTTACATAGGTCCTGTGAGATTTATGCTTGAAGAGATTCTGCTTTGTGTATTTTGAGGGTTTATTTCAAGAGTTAGAGCTCCTTTAGCAGTTCCCGTAGTGCTGGTTTGATAGTGGTGAATTCTCTGAACATTTGTTTGTCTGGAAAAGACTGTATCTTTCCTTCATTTATGAAGCTTAGTATCACTGGACACAAAATTCTTGGCTTATAATTGTTTTGTTTAAGGAGGCTAAAAATAGAACCCCAGTCCCTTCTAGCTTGTAGGGTTCCTGCTGAGAAATCTGCTGTTAATCTGATAGGTTTTCCTTTATAGGTTACCTGATGTTTTGGTCTCACAGCTCTTAAGATTATTTCCTTCATCTTGACTTTGGATAACCTGATGACTGCATACCTAGGCAATTATCTTTTACGATGAAGACCAGAGACAAAAAGAGTCTCGTTACTCTGAGAAGGAGACAGACTTGTGCTAAGAAGCACACACTTAGGAACATGGAATTGAAGTTGGTCTTGAAATCCCAAGCAACTTTTTTTTTCCCCCAAAGGCAAGTCTAGTAATGGCCTCAGGTACTAGGTGGTTCTCTCATCATGTACCATGTAAACACTTTTATTAAATACTTACTTGCAGTTTTATAATATATTCATTTGTAATAGCAAGCATGATGTTTTGTCAATGCTCTTAAGACATTCTGCAAATCTCAAATGACTGCAAAAATAATGAAACTGAGTTTTTAAACATATATGCCAGAATTTATGCATATATGGTATAAATTTTGTTGTTTTCATATGTAAAATAAGAGTATAATACTTACTCTTTAGAGGCTGCATTTTATGCAAAGCCTTTAGTTTTAGGTTTATATAACAAATCTCTTAGTTAACCATAGTTTTAAAGATTACTGTCTTTATAAAGTACTCCATTCCTGGGGCCTAAGAACAGTTAATTTATATTTTAAGAAGTTCCACTAACAAAACAAACTACTTGTGTTACTTCACTACATGCTTCTGCCTGCCCCTTCCCAAATTATTCCATTCTCCCTCTGAAGCCCTTTCTATCAACTGTCTTCTAACTTATTTGAATGCAGCTTGCCTGCAATTATAAAGTTTTCCAAACTTTATAATTTCCTTCTCAGAATGTAAGGCCCAGTCATGCACGGTGGCTCATGTCTGTAATCCCAGCACTTTGGGAGGCCAAGGCAGGTGGATCACCTGAGGTCAGGAGTTTGAGACAAGCCTGACCAACATGGTGAAACCCTGTGACTACTAAAAATACAAAATCAGCCAGGCCCGTGGTGGCACATGCCTGTGTTCCCAGCTACTTGGGAGGCTAAGGAGGCGAATCACTTGAACCCAGGGGTGGAGGTTGCAGTGAGCCGAGATTGCACCACTGCACTCCAGCCTGGGCACTAAGAGCAAAATTCTGTCTCAAAAAAAAAAAAAAAAAAAAAAAAAAAAGTAAGTTCCAGTTTTGTGCCTGTAGGACTAGTCCTGCCCTCTAAGTTGAAAGTTGAATGAAATGTATCTTCACAATTAATTCCAGAGTCTTAATACTTACCTCTAATCAAAATTTAGAGCATGCCAACTATTCTTTGCCTATTTCAATACCATCAATCCCCTTGCACTCAATGTACATGACAGATTCTAAATTGAGAAACATCTAGATGGAGAAAACATGAGCCCTGTAACACGTCTGTCATGGCTGAGACATCGTTGCTAAAAACTGTATCAGCTAATAATCATCAGACGATGCAAGGGCAGGATGTGAAGCCACTTAAGAGGAACAGAATGTGCCATTTTATATTCTCATTTTCACCAGTAGTAAATAAGGCAGCAGATTTCAGCCTGTATTGCAAACAAGGAACAGTGAAAGAAGAAAAATAGATCTTATGGTTTTTAAATAAAAGACTATGTTACCCCTCATTCCTCTTTTTGGTACCACTGCCATGCCCCCTTTTAAAGATTTTATTTATTTATTTATTTATTTATTTATTGAAATGTCCTTAATTTTAATTTGGCCCAACTATTGAGACAGGAATACTAGAGGTCAAGTCATCAGGACAATTGAAGGCTGACAGTATAAAAGCAGGAGAAAAATGTTTTGACCTTTCCTGCCTTAAAATTCTCTAATTAGGAAGCTTAGAATTCCAGGCCCAGAGATGGCCTAGTTTTAACTGGGTTAGAGTTATAGATAGATGTAGGAGTATGGGGATACACTCCTGCACTGTGCCCTTAAGTCATAAGTAGTGTTGGTGGTGGTGGTGGAGAAAATGGTTGATTAACACATGACTAATCATCAGAGAAAGGTAAATCAAAGCCACAGTGATTTACCACCTCACTCCTGTTAAAATGGCTATTATCAAAAAGATAAAAGATAATGACTATTGGTGAGGATGTGAAGAAAAAGGAGCACCTGCACACGGTGGGAATATAATTAGTAAAGCCACTATGAAAAACACTATGAGCATTCCTCAAAAAATTGAAAATAAAACTATCAATTGATCCAGCAATCTTACTACTTTCTATCTATTCAAATGAAATGAAATCAGTAGTTAAAGAGATATCTGTACTCTCATGTTCATTGCAGCACTATTCATAATAGCCAAGATACAGAATCAACTTAAGTGACTGTCAACTGATGAATGGATAAAAAAAAAACCTGTGGTGGGGTATGTGTATGCGTACATATTATACACATACTTACATACAATGAAATAAGCCAGGCACATACAGACAAATAGCAAATGATCTCACTCATACATGACTCTAAAGAAGGTAATTTCATAGAAAGCAGAATGATGGTTACCAGAGGCTTGGTTGTATAGGGGAGAGAGAGGTTTGGAGAGATGTATTTCTTTTTTTTTTTTTTTAATTTTATTATTATTACACTTTAAGTTTTAGGGTACATGTGCGCAATGTGCAGGTTTGTTACATATGTATACATGTGTCATGTTGGTGTCCTGCACCCATTAACTCGTCATTTAACATTAGGTGTATCTCCTAATGTTATCCCTCCCCCCTCCCCCTACCCCACAACAGTCCCGGGAGTGTGATGTTCCCCTTCCTGTGTCCATGTGTTCTCATTGTTCAATTCCCACCTATGAGTGAGAACATGCGGTGTTTGGTTTTTTGTCCTTGCGATAGTTTGCTGAGAATTATAAATCATGCTGCTATAAAGACACATGCACACATATGTTTATTGCAGCACTATTCACACTAGCAAAGACTTGGAACCAACCCAAATGTCCAACAACGATAGACTGGATTAAGAAAATGTGGCACATATACACCATGGAATACTATGCAGCCATAAAAAATGATGAGTTTATGTCCTTTGTAGGGACATGGATGAAACTGGAGAGATGTATTTCAAAGTATAAATAATTACAATTAGAGAGAAGAAAAAAGTTCAAGAAATCTACTGTATAGCATGTGACTATAGTTAACAATGATATATTGTATTCTTGAAAAGTGCTAAGACAGTGGATGTTAAATGTTTTCACCACACAAATATGGCAACTGTGAGGTAATGTATTTGTTAATTATCTAGATTTAAATATTCCACTATATATATATATATATATATATATATATATATATATATATACATACTTCAAAATATTATGCTGTACATAATTAATACAATTTTACCCATCAAATTAATAAATAAATAAATTTGGAAACAAAAAAAGAAATCAGTACTGAAGCAGACTTTTCATTTTGGAAATGTTCAATGGGCCTAGTTTGGAAGGGCAAATGTTGGAAGACTCTATTGCTTTCTCTACACAGGCAAACTAGTGAAAAGAATGAGAAACTAGGAAGAGAAATTGAGCCCCAGTTTCCTTGTGTGATATCACTGAAGCTACAAATGTTGTCTCTCATTGCATCAGTGGCAAGATTTTTACAGTAATAAGCAACTGGTCACTGTGTTAGGTCTGTCCGTCTGGAAGGGGACAGAGGCTAATCTATTTTCCTACCCATGATGCAGAAAGATGACCTGTGAGAGCTCAACTGCAGCAACTCAAATCTCCTCAGTCCCTAACAATTCAAACCATCCTAAATAAATCCACAACCTAAGCAAAATTCACGTTCTTTATATTCAACTATAGTTCCAAAACAAGGTTTTTTTAGCCCCCACTTTCAAACAGGTTGTTCCATTTCTGTATGGAAAATCAATAATATTCATGGTTCTCAACCCAATCTTTAAAATTATCAAAGCATCAAAAATAACACCAACAACTTTGAACAAGAGATTGTTCCCCCAGCCAGCCTCATAAACATGATTAAAGGTCTGAGCTGATGAGTTAATTATTGTTCAAATGTTACTCACTCATAAATTTATACTAAACCAATCTGGGCTCAACAATGATAATGTTTTGACTGTAAATTCACCTTCCTTCATTATTATAGCCTTGGCTTTGTTGCATATTATTAGAGCAAGTTAGCTGGTTTTCCTTTCCTTGGGGATGAGAGCAGAGAGATAAACTGCCAAACAAAACCAGATTTTAGAGGGCAGTCTATCACAGCTTCTATGAAGTCAGAAAGTTTATTAAGCTTAAATGTTCAGTACAATAGTTGAAACCCATGTTAAATTGATGAACTTTTGTTTTAGTTGCATTCAATTACTCTTGTGATATTAATTCCAAGATCATAGATGTTGCAATTTGCTATTGAAATGGCATTTTATCCCCTAAGAAATGTGATTTGGAATTAAGAATATCAAAGACAATTTATTCTGAGCTCACATTTAAGAGAGGAGCAGTTGGTTGGGTGTAACTCATACCCATTTTTCCCTCAAAAAGACACATATTTTTTCCTCCTATCTTCCATAATAATCTAGTCTAAATATTATTATTTGATAAGTTAAATTAAGGATACTCTGGAATTATACAGATTAATAATTCTGAATGCGATAATCATCATTCACTGATAAAATTATTTTCTTCCTGGCCACTCTGCCTCCAATTCATTACCCCAAGAATAAGAATTATTCTAAAACGTTTAACAAACATTATTTTCCACATGTTGTTTTCCTTTTTAGTAATATACTCGAATTATATCTCAATATGCATACCAGTTAGTCTACATGTTTGCTATAGTAATAAGCTGTTGGGAAAAAAAAGTGTGGATAGAACTTTTACTCATTATTTCAATTATCTTTGTCATAGTAATTATGGTTATATAATTACTAGACTGGCTTTTGAAACTTGAACAACGTTTTCTATTTTAAAAAAGTTCTTTAGAGCTGAAGATTAAATGGTATTTTATGACAAACATTATAATGATCTTATCAAGTTCTAGGATTAAAAGCAGCACCAATAGTACACTAGCTCTTGCATTCCTGGAAATAATTAGCCAGCATTTCTTTTTTGCATTCCATTCTCTCAAATTTAAAAGTGGCCTGGATTACTTCTAGAGGCCAAGGAAAAAGTCATCTCAGTTTGAAGCCATTGGCCAACATAAAAATCACAGAATGCTTTAAATCAGAATAACTACCTGACCTCTAGGAAAAAAAAAAAGATGTGAGATGCAGCCTCAGATAATTGAGTTCACCCAAGCATTGCTTTTTTAAATAAAGGGAAAAACTCCAGGTTAAAGGACTATCTCATGGCATCTCAAGGCCAAGTATCTGTTGAGCATTACATGTGACACCTATGTTTTACAGAAAATAAGGTACTAATGCCAGAATACCACCTCACCAACACACTGCCTTTAAGAGATAAATTCCACAACAGACAAGTAATTAATCTTAACAAAAATATGTATACCTTTGTCCTTGAAACTGGTTATTCATATGTTTTTGGCGTTACATGCCAAATTAAACACATTGAAGCAGACTCCCCAAATAAACTTTCATCCAATATAACATTAGTTTATATTGATAGAGCAATATGTTAGTCTAATACTTCAAATTATATGAATAGAATCTTCTTTGATGGCCAAAAATGTTCATATATCAATAAAACAATTTTTTGAATACAAAATATAACAACAGAGGAAATGTGACATATTACTGGCCCATGATCTACTAGAACAAAAACAACCAAAATTTTACTCCTCCTTAAAGGCTATTACAGTACTAGAAAAATTATAAAAACAATTTTTCCAGGGCTCTGAAAATTAACCAAAGGCTTTCAACAATCTGAGTAATCTTTTTTCAAGAAAAATACCTGTCTCATTTTTAACAAAATATTTTAAGACACATAAAGAAACAGAAAAATATGTCCCATATATGTGAATGAAAACAAATAAATAGAAACTATCCCTGAGGAACCTCATATGTTGGAGTTATTGGACAAAACTTTAAATCTGCTCTCCAAAGAACTGAAGAAAGAAATGTCTAAAAACTAAAGGTAAACATGAGAATGATGTTTTACCAAACAGAGAAAATTGATAAAAGAGAGAAATGATTTAAAAAAAAAGAACGAAATAGATTCTGGAGTTTAAAAGTACAATAACTAAGATTTTTAAAAATTACAGAAAATTTGAGCTGGCTGAAGAAAAAAAATAACAAATGTGAAGACAGGTCAATTGAGATTATCCATTCTGTTAAATAGAAAGGAAAAAACAGAAGAACGAAGAAAAATTAAGAGAAACTCAGGACACCATCAAACATCGCAACACTTGTATAATAGACATATTAAAAGGAGAGAAGAGAGGAAAAAAGAAAATAAATCAGGAAATAATTGCTGACAACTTTCCAAAGTTGAAGGAAAACAATATTTTGCACATCTGAGAAGCTCAACACTCTTTAAACAGAATAAACTCAAAGGTGGTTACACGAGAGACATCATCATCAAATTGCTCAGAAGAAAGACAAAGAGAGAATTTTGAAAGCAGAAAGAACAAACCGACTTATTACATACTAGGTCCTCAATGAAATTAACAAGCTGCAATATTAGAAATCATTAGGGCCAGAAGGCAGTGGGATGACATGTTTAAAGTGCTATTAATAAAATAAAATTATTGTAAACCAAAAGTTTTATATCTAATATAACTATCTTTAAAAAATAATGGCAAAATTAATAAATTCCCAGATGATAATGGTTTAGACCTGTGTCCTCGCCCAACTCTTATCTTGAATTGTAATTTCCATGTGTGGAGGGAGGGACTTGTAATCCCCATGTGTTGAGGGAGGGAGGTGATTGGATCATGAGGGCGGTTTTCCCCATGCTGTTCTCATGATAGTGAGTGAGTTCTCATGAGATCTGATAGTTTTATAAGTGTTTGGAAGTTACTACTCTATTCCTCTCTCTCTCTCATTCTCTCTCTCACCTGCTGCCATGTTAAGATGTGCCTGCTTCACCTTCCACCATGATTGTAAGTTTCCTGAGGCCTCCTCAGCCATGCAGAACTGTGAGTCAATTAAACCTCTTTTCTTTATAAATAACCCAGTCTCATGCATTTCTTTATAGCAGTGTGAGAACAGACTAATGCACCAGATAAACATAAACTGAGTCATATGTCACCAACAGATATGGTCTATAAGAAATTCTAAAAGCATCTTTTAAGCTGAATTGAAGGAACAGTAGACAGTAACTCAAATCCACATGAAAAATAAACACTATTAGTAAAGGTAAGTGTATTGGTAAATATAATAAATGTTATGATGTATTTTTGTTTGTTTCTTCTGATTTAAAAGACAGTTGAATACAGAAAAGATATAATTATGTGCAGATGGATTTCTAATTTATGAAGATGTAATTTGTATGACAGGAATAGTACCAAAAAAAAGGAGGGAATAAAGCTATACTGAAGAAAATTATTTGTATGCAATTGAAATTAATTTTAGTATTTCAATTTAAATTGTTTTAGGTATGAATTTATTTGAAATTTCTAATATAAACACAATAAATGGAAAATTATAGTAAAGAAAAAGGCAAGGGAATTAAAATGGTACATTAGAAAATACATATTTGTTATAAGTAAAAAAAAAAAGAGGAATGAAGAAGAAAACTATGAGAAAGTCAAAAGAATAAGGCAAAAATAATTCCAACCACACAAATAATATTACTTTTTAATGTATTAAAAATCAATCAAAAGTTAGAGATTGACAGATTTGATTTTTTTAAGTTCCACCAATATGCTATATAAAGGAAACACACCTTAGGTTAAGAAACAAAAAGCCGGACAGCCACGATAGCTCACACCTGTAATCCCAGCACTTTGGGAGGCTGAGGCAGGCAGATCGCTTGAGCTCAGGAGTTTGAGACCAGCCTGAGAAAGGTGGCAAAACCCCATTTCTACAAAAAAATACAAAAATTAGCCAGGAGTGGTGGTGTGTGCCTGTAGTCCCAGCTACTTGGGCAGCTGAGGTGGGAGGATCACTTCAGCTAGGGACATGGAGGCTGCAGTGAGCTGAGATCGTGTCACTGCACTCCAGCCTGGGTGACAGAGAGAGACCCTGTCTTAAAAAACAAACATTTGAAGTTGTTTGTTTGAAAAACAAACAAACAAAAAAGGATTTGAAGTCAATGGGTGGAAAATAAAATTTAAAACATAAAATAAAAATGGCAACCTATTAGGATAGTTACTTCAGTTTGTAAGAGAACTGAATGAAGTATATATGTTAATAACAAACTACTGTGTAAGAAAAAAAATGATTCCAGAGACAAAGCAGACATTTTATAATGATTAAAAAGTCACTACATCCATAAGATATAGAAATTATAAGCAAATAAAAACCTAACAAAAGAGCCCTTAAATGCATTATGCAGAAACTGCCTGAATTAAAGAGATTATGAGAAATACAAAATTTAGCAATAATAGTTGGAGACTTCAACATCTGCTTTCAATAATAATCAAAATTACTAGGCAAAAGATAAACAAGGACCTAGATGACTTGAACAACAAGACCAATGAGACCTAACAGTCATAGAAAAATTTACCCAATAGCAGTAGAATAAATATTCATCTCAATGGCACATGAAACATGATCCAGAATACACAATATGATAGGCCATAAAAGAACCTCAATAAATTTAAAAAAATAGAAATTATATGTATTTATTCTCTGACCATGTTACAATGAGGTTAAAAATCAATAACGAGAAAATTTGGAATAGTCACAAATATGTGAAAATTAAACAACACATTTCTAAATAACTAATAACTCAAAGAAGAAATCAAAGAGAAATTAGAAAAATAGTTCAAGATAAATGAAAATTAAGACACTACATAATAAAATTTATGAAATGCTGCAACATCACTGCTTGGGGGAAAGTTATAGTGGTAAATGCCTATATTAAAAAAAGATTTAGATAACACAGTTTTCCACCTTAAAAAATTAAGAAGAGAAGTGAAACTCACAGAAATTGAAAGAAATGATAACTAAAGCTGAAATAAATACAGTGCAAGCTCCCCCTCTTCCTTTTATAGCACCTTAAACTTTCCAGGTGATTCCAGTGTGTACACAGCATGATGAACCATTTGCTATACAAGACCTATCCTGTGAATAAGGTTAACCCTAACTATTCAAAGCCCATGGGCCAAAAGCCTACTCAGAGAAGGATGATCATTTGGGAAAAAAAAAAAAGTTATGCTACCATTTTACCACATTAAAAGTTGAATATAAAAATACTGTATATCTACTGTTTTAAGGTGAACAAATTTTGACTCCTTCTTCTTGGTATACATATGCAAAATGGTGGAATATGGAATATGGAATATGCAAAATGGTGCATATTCCACCATTTTGGGGGCATGGGAACGGTAAGATCTCCCACAGACTCTTACGGATAAATGGTTCAAGAAATCAAATAGCCAGAGTTGAGCTTGAGCCCGGAAAACAAATTGGTGTCACATTTGACTTGCTCTCAAGAAGTTACAGTCTTTATACTTGACATTAGATGATGAAAAATACTTTGCTACAAGTTATGCCTGATGAATTGTCTTCTCTCACAGAATTGTCTGTGAATTCACATCATCCTCATTTTCTCTTCAATAAGGATACATTTGTAATATCAACCAATGTGTTTTTATGAAGCAAATGTCATTCTCAGCTTCATGATCAAATACATTAAGACATCAACCCCATGCCCAAGCATAATAGCATGTCACAGCAAAATGAAGCAGAATGAAAAAAAAAAATGTTTAGCCTTAAAATAAGATAGAGAGACCTGCTTGCATTTTTCAGGAAGAAGGAACACTAGCAAAGTTCTGCACCACGAGTAATGAATATTTTTTGGCTTTAGAAAGAGGCTTCAGATTTATTTTAACACACATTTAACTTCGCCAACATCTTTACCAGCTCTGACAGGTAGCTCAGCAGAGTTGACGAACTCTCTGTACTTACTCTCAGAGTAAGAGGGTGACGAGGAACTTCACAGATTCGCACAACCATGTGATCCTTTAATCTTTTCTCCTTACTGTGCTTTGACCTCTTCACCAAAGAATGTATAAAGGGGAAATAAAACTGTACCAGAGGGAACCTCAATGCAGAGCTTTTCCATCCCATAAAAATGCATGGAACAAAATATACAGTAAATGCTTAAACTGTGAGAATCAGAATAACTGAAGGTGAAGTCATGGCAGAGGTGATTTAGATTCACTGAGTTGACTAATGAAAAAAATGTAAAACAAAAAAATGAAGGCAATGACTCAAAGTTACAAGTATTTATCACTTTGCCAATTTGTTTGTGGAAGACAGTAGGCTCTCCTCCCAACTCCAAGTTAGCACAAATCAAAGACTGACCCTGAGGAATGTTGCACACAACCATTTGAAAAAGAAAAAAGAGAGAAAGAAAGAAAGAGAGAGAGAGAGAGAGAAAGAAAGGAAGGAAAGGAAAGGAAAGGAAAGGAAAGGAAAGGAAAGGAAAGGAAAGGAAAGGAAAGGAAAGGAGTTTTTTTAAAAAAGGAAAAAACCACCTTCTAAATAAAATTGAAAGATTAAAAAGAATAGACCTCTCTCAGTCTTGGTACTCTGTCAGCCTTGGTAATCTGACTGCAGTGATGACTATCTATTCCTTGTTCTAGGCATAGAATTAGAGAATAAAGATGTTGTAACAGAGAGGATTATGGGATGACTCTTCTCAAGAACCACAGTTACTGTTTATGAGACAAAATGTCCAAGTGGCTGTGGTCTCAGGCCTGGTAAGCACAGACTCAGAGACTTGCCACTTGAAAGAAAAATTAACAAATAAATGCCTGTAAAATTAGCAGCCAGGGCACTGGGAGAGGCACAAGTGTCAAGTCTATGCAAATGGGTGGTTTTTTTATTTTATTTTATTTTATTTTATTTATTTATGTATTTATTTCTTATTATTATACTTTAAATTTTAGGGTACATGCACACAATGTGCAGGTTAGTTACATATGTATACATGTGACATGCTGGCATGCTGCACCCACTAACTCATCATCTAGCATTAGGCATACCTCCCATTGCCATCCCTCCCCCCTCCCCCCACCCCACAACAGTCCCCAGAGTGTGATGTTCCCCTTCCTGTGTCCATGTGTTCTCATTGTTCAATTCCCACCTATGAGTGAGAATATGTGGTGTTTGGTTTTTTGTTCCTGTGATAGTTTACTGAGAATGATGATTTCCAGTTTCATCCATGTCCCTACAAAGGACATGAACTCATCATTTTTTATGGCTGCATAGTATTCCATCGTGTATATGTGCCACATTTTCTTAATCCAGTCTATCATTGTTGGACATTTGGGTTGGTTCCAAGTCTTTGCTATTGTGAATAATGCCACAATAAACATACGTGTGCATGTGTCTTTATAGCGGTATGATTTATAGTCCTTTGGGTATATACCCAGTAATGGGATGGCTGGGTCAAATGGTATTTCTAGTTCTAGATCCCTGAGGAATCGCCACACTGACTTCCACAATGGTTGAACTAGTTTACAGTCCCACCAACAGTGTCACAGTGTACCAATGACTTTCTTCACAGAATTGGAAAAAACTACTTTAAAGTTCATATGGAACCAAAAAAGAGCCCGCTTCGTCAAGTCAATCCTAAGTCAAAAGAACAAAGCTGGAGGCATCACACTACCTGACTTCAAACTATACTACAAGGCTACAGTAACCAAAACAGCATGGTACTGGTACCAAAACAGAGATATAGATCAATGGAACAGAACAGAGCCCTCAGAAATAACACCGCATATCTACAACTATCTGATCTTTGACAAACCTGAGAAAAACAAGCAATGGGGAAAGGATTCCTTATTTAATAAATGGTGCTGGGAAAACTGGCTAGCCATATGTAGAAAGCTGAAACTGGATCCCTTCCTTACACCTTATACAAAAATCAATTCAAGATGGATTAAAGACTTAAACATTAGACCTAAAACCATAAAAACCCTAGAAGAAAACCTAGGCATTACCATTCAGGACATAGGCATGGGCAAGGACTTCATGTCTAAAACGCCAAAAGCAATGGCAACAAAAGCCAAAATTGACAAATGGGATCTAATTAAACTAAAGAGCTTCTGCACAGCAAAATAAATTACCATCAGAGTGAACAGGCAACCTACAAAATGGGAGAAAATTTTCGCAACCTACTCATCTGACAAAGGGCTAATATCCAGAATCTACAATGAACTCAAACAAATGTACAAGAAAAAAACAAACAACCCCATCAAAAGGTGGGCAAAGGACATGAACAGACACTTCTCAAAAGAAGACATTTATGCAGCCAAAAAGCACATGAAAAAATGCTCACCATCACTGGCCAACAGAGAAATGAAAATCAAATCCACAATGAGATACCATCTCACACCAGTTAGAACGGCAATCGTTAAAAAGTCAGGAAACAACAGGTGCTGGAGAGGATGTGGAGAAATAGCAACACTTTTACACTGTTGGTCTAGTTCAACCATTGTGGAAGTCAGTGTGGGTGTTTTAATATTAGATTAGAAAGTTAAATTATTATGTGTCCAAAGGTGACATATATGATGATAATATGAAATAACAATATGAAATACATTAAAATATTTTTTCAATGAAGAAAAAATGGGAATTATGTGAATTTTAAAAATATAAATTTCTTGACAAAAATAAGTGGACATTTAACCTTTTCTTCCCCTTTTGTTTATATCTAGCACCCAGATGAGTGCATCATAATAAGGAACTCTCAATCATATTGTATAATCAAGTGTTTTCTAAACATAACACAGTGTTCTAAGACTGCTTTCATAACTGTTAGCACATTCATTTACCACCTGTTGCAGTCTATTTAGTGTTGCCATAAAAGCATACCTAAGGCTGGGTAATTTATAAAGAAAAGAGGTTTACTTGGCTCACAGTTCTGCAGGCTGTGCAGGAAGCATGGTGCTAGCATCTGCTCAGCTTCTGATGAGGGCCTCAGGCTGCTTCTACTCACAGAGGAAAGTGAAGGAGAGCCAGTGTGTGCAGAGATCACATGGCAGGAGAGAAAGCAAGTGAGGAGTTCACTGGGCCTTTATAACAACCAGCTCTCACAGGAACTAATAAAATGAGAACTTGCTAACTCTCCTACCTCCATAAGAGAGGGTATTAACTTATGCATGAGGAATCCACTTCCATGACACAAACCTCCCATTAGGCCCTCTCATTAGACCTCACATCCGACACTGGGGATGAAATTTAAACCTGAGATTTGGAGGGGGCAAACTTCCAAGCTATAACACCACCTCAATATTCTTTGTTAAATTGCTTAAAAATATCCCTGATTCATAACTTAGAGGTGTGTTATTCAGGATGTCATGAGTTTGATGCTCTATTTATGCTTTCTAAGTTTTTATTTATTTTTCCTAAATTCATGTACTTACTTGAATATATCTACACCAGCTATCATTTCCTTGTGGGTTTCATTGTTGACCCACTCTTTGCACTGGGAAAACACCACTCTTGTGTTTCCATTTGTGTTGTGTCTTAAAGCTCTAGCATTATGCTCCCAAAATAAGAATACAATAAGATGGTGTTGATTGACTTTCTGGATTACTTCCGGTGCTACCCCTTATCCTTGCTCTAACTTTGGTTCTGCCTAGTCAGGCCAAATTCCACACCACTAACTTTATAGTCAGACTCTTTCTCTCTACCCACCCTTATGGGCTGATGTCTCCACTGAGCAATTTACCTGAATTTGTATTTGCCACATCTCATCTTGACTGTGAGCTCCAACTACTCATTTTACTCCTCGACCTTGCTCATCATGGCAGTGCAAATGGGAGTGAGATACATATGGCTCACAATACAGCACGAACTATGAAAGCCATCTGGGCACTCACACTTGCTGGCAGCCAGAGACAGGGCTTGAAAATAAGACTTAAGTTTAAGAGAGTGATTTTCAGAAAGATGCCTAACTCAAGGATTGGATTTAGCATCTGAAAAGATGAAGGTATCAGCACTTGCTTGATAGGGTTGATGTGAGATTGAGCAACTGAGCAAATGTGCTAACGTACTTATTACAGTGCTAGTTATAGGGAAAAATAAACAATAAATAATAACAGTATGTGCTGTTATTACTAAGATGTTAACTGTATTTAATATTACTCTTATACCTGTATTTAGATTACTCTTATAACAGAGTGACTAAACGAATCCTAGATAGTCTTTATATTAATGCTTTCTGGAATACCTAAAGGAGTTACCTGCTGGCTTGCCCCATCCTGCCTTCTGATCATATTTGGGGTTTACATTTGTTGGTTATGGCTGGAGACAGAAGTTTTTTGTTTGTATTGTAATAAAAAGGCAGTCCTTTTTATTAAAATCTGGAAGAACACAGTACGAACAATAAAGGAAGAAGCAGTTTTTAGAATTTTTTTTTTTATTATTCTGAGCTAAACTTGCTTAACAGATACCTGCAACTCAGGAAATACAGCCAGTATCTGCCTGAAGAGATACCACCGAGTAAATGAGGAACCAGATCCTACTGACAAAGGAAGACTTTGGAGATGACAAAGACAGAATTGGGTCTGTCAGAGCAGCATGCATGGTGAACACTAAGAATCTGAGCACTAAAAGGCTACCGAGAGAAGGAATTAAGATCTTCCTGAAAACACCTGTTTTTCCTCCCACACTGTGCTCACATAATTCAAAGCATTGATTCTTATCTCACTCATTTGTATCTATTACTTCTTATTATCTGTGTTGTCAGGATTTTGAGGACTTTGATAATTCTTTGGCTTTTAGGTCGTTTTGCTCTTCTTACACCTAATAAACTATGGGTCATTTTTACCCTCATGTTATACCTTCTCAGAGCAGTGCATGTCCTAGTGTACTGTGGTCTGGGGAAGGAGAGGAACATGAAGCTGATAAATGTTAAGATCAGAGAGTCCTGCAAAGTAAGTAGGCAGAATGGACAGATATTATTCTAGTGTGATCAGGTAAAAGGATAATTCCTTCAAATTGAAATCATTACAGTCTTAGAGAATTTGCATGCGAATTTGTTCGTGAATGAGAAACTGCAAGAGAGTAGATAAGCAACACTGTGTGTTATCTGTTTTTGTAATTTAGACTGGCATATATAGAGGCAGAACAGAATGCAGGTAATCAAGGGAGTAAGTATTTAGCAGATAAAATGAATCATCTGACTGTTACTAGAGGTTGAGGTCCCCAAAAAGGCTTGAAAAGAAAAGAATAGTAGAATGAAAAGAGTCTCTGAAATCAATAGATCTAGGTTTGTATTACTGTCTGCCATTTCCTAGGTGTGAAACAAGAAGCCAATTTAGTTGTGTTTCTGAGCCATGGTTTCTTCATCAGCAAAATGTGGTTAGTATTAATATACAAATTGAAGGTCAAAGAATGAAATATTTGTAGAAGTGCTTCATAAACTACAAACACTAGGTACATAGTAGAGATAGTTTATAAAATAACAGTTTTGTTGTTGTTGCTGTTGAAATTTTGGAGAGGTTTATGGTTTTGATGATGTCAACAAAGAAAGCCCCAATGTAGCAATGCTCCTATTCACACTTTTTTAAGTTAGGCAACACTTTTGTAATAATTTTCAAGGAGGATATATAAACAAAAACAAAAGCAAACAAGAAAACCAATCTTAGTAAAATTGCCATAAACTTAGAATGGGAAAAAAATCTGTATGGAGGTGGAAGCTTTGCTTTTGGTCAACAAAGATGATATTTAGACATTTCAAGATATGATGAATAAACAAGCAATTTTACCACGAAATTTTAGTAAGACCTACTGTTCTGTTTTCAGGGAATTTTCCTTTTGTTCACAGTATAAGGAGCAGACCAAGAATAAGACCACAGATTGCCCAGGAGTGGTGGCTCACGTCAGTAATCCAAGCAGTTTGGGTAGCCAAGGTGGGAGGGTTGCTTGGACCCAGGAATTTGAGACCAGCCTGGGTAACATAGTGAGAAGCTGTCTCTAAAAAAATAAAAATAACAGAATTTGCTGGGCATGGTGGTGCACACCTTTAGCCCCATCTACTTGGAGGCTGAAATGGGAGAACGGCTTGAGCCTGGGAGGTCAAGGCTGCAGGAAGCCATGATCATGCCAATGCACTCCAGCCTGGGTGCCAGAGTAAAAGACCCTGTCTCAAAAAAAATAAAAATAAAAATAAAAAAGTACCACAGATCCTGCCACACCAAAGTCAGAATTTTACCTATGGGATCAAAGTAGGTATTTGAAGGAAAGCTTCCTAAATATCACCTACTTTTCTTTTGTTCTAGTTCCTGATTAATTTTGTCAAAGAACATAAGTGAAACTTGCTGACTAATACAACTGATTTCAGCTGAAGTTAAAAATATTCAGTCTAGAGAAACTTGGATTTTCTGTTTAAAGTTTTTATAGTGATTATTTTCTTTATTCCAGTTTAGCTGGAGCTGGGGACTTTTTGGTAGCCCATCATGGAATTATTTTTTCCAGCTGATTTTAAATAAATCAGGTGATTGGTCTCTTATAATTCCAGGTGGGAAACCATTCACTAAGATGAGGGAGTTATATGTTAGGCAATCTTTCTTGTTATATTATAGCTGGATTCAATTTCTTGATACAAACTCTCCTTTTCTCAATTTATTTCCATAAATAAATTAAAACTAAATTTAAAAAAGAAAAATATTGATTTGGAGGTGGAACTGTTTATCGCCAGTAGGAAAGTTTAGAAGTAGGAAGTGCCAGGGTATGTTTTAAAAAGTAAAACAAAAGGAATATTGAAGAAAATATGACCGTGAATATGAATAAGAATAGATCTGAGGAGGCAGCAATGATCCAGAAGCGATAGCAGATTTTCTCCCTTATTCAGGGCTCTCTCAGCTGAAATGTGTCTTTAGACATTGATTTTGGTAATTGCTATCACGTTCGTAAATTCTCAGCCAGCTTACTTAAAATTGATCCATATAAAAAAATCCCATTGCTATCCTTTTAAACTGTATAAACAAAGTTTGAACAAGATCCCAGAAGTGGGGCAATTGGGGAGGTGGCTGGAGAAAGTGGTCTGACTCTCCTCCACATGGTACAGAGTTGTTACTTTGCTGCAGAAAGAAACCTATTCATCCCCTACCCCTAATTCCCGAGATCACAGCTTTAAGGCTATTAGTTTCCAAACCCTGAATCCTCAGAGCAATGATTTCTCAACCTCACAACAAGTGGGCAGACAGGCAGCTCAAAAGAGGACTCTGCAAATCTCCAAAGAAGAAAGAGAACAAAATGTTTCCCCATTCTACATGTCAGGGTAGTCAACAGCAAAGATTCCAGATGGATGTTGCAAGTTAAATAACAGCAACAGATGCAATTCTAAGGTTCTTTGGGAAACGAACTGAAAAGAAGAGAAACGTTAACGTATTACTTCCTTCATGCCACCTAAAAGTAGTCACATTTCATAATTCTCAAACTATCTACAGTTACTAGACCCACGAACAAATTCTAGCTCTGTTTAACACACTTCAAGGGCTTACAGTGCTCTTGAGATAAAATACAGAATCCTTAACATGATAAACCACAGCCCACCTGATCTGGCTCTTGTTCATCTCTCCAGCCTCCTTTGGGCTTGTCCTACCTGCATTCTGTCCACATGGGCCATCATTCATGTTCTCATATGTGTCCACATACATACAATATGTGGTCTTCATGGTTCAAGGGACTTCATATTCTTTAATTTCCTTAAATTTTACTACCCTGCTCTCCCTAATTTTGCTAATTAACTCCTACTCACTTGCTAGATCCTAGTATATATATATATATTTTTTTTTATTTTCCAGGAAACACTTCCTGTCCACCTCCATTCCTAGACTAAGTTAGTTCTCCTTTCTCATCCTCAAACTTTCTCTTCATGGCAGTTTTAATTAAACACATATTCACACAAGTAAATATGTCTTCCCAACTAAAGTGTAAACTCTAAAAGAACAGGAAGATTGTCTCTTTTGTGCACTGCTGTATCTCTGGAACTCAGAGCAGTGAGTGGTATGCAGTGCTTATGCTACATATTTTTGTTGAATAAATGACTCGTATGTTGCTTAAAACAGGCACATCATATCAACATGTGAGGCACTGGGAATGACTAAATGGAAACTACTCAAATTCAGAGATCTCTATGTAGCTTTACTAAACATTTGGTCTATTACCACTTACCTCCGTAACGTAAATTTTTAAAAAAAAATTCAATTGAAAACTAATTTTTGCACTTCTTTAATCAATAAAAATGTTCTAAGGGTCTTACAAGTGCCTTCTAATAAATTCCAAATTTTGGTGGTTCTAAGATGGCTGAATAGGAACAGCTCCAGTCTATAGCTCCCAGCATGAGCGACGCAGAAGACCGGTGATTTCTGCATTTCCAGCTCAGGTACTGGGTTCATCTCACTGGTGCTTGTTGGAGAGTGGGTGCAGGACAGTGGGTGCAGCCCACTGAGCATGAGCCGAAGCAGGGCAAGGCATCGCCAGACCCAGGAAGTGCAAGGGGTTAGGAAATTCCCTTTCCTAGCCAAGGGAAGTTGTGACAGATGGCACTGGGAAAATTGGGTCACTCCCACCCTAATATTGCACTTTTCCAATGGTCTTAGCAAATGGCACACCAGGAGATTATATCCCGCACCTGGCTTAGAGGGTCCTACGCCCATGGAGCCTCGCTCATTGCTAGCACAGCAGTCTGAGATTGAACTGCAAGGCAGCAGTGAGGCTGGGGGAGGGGAGCCCACCATTGCTGAGGCTTGAGTAGGTAAACAAAGCGGTCTGGAAGCTTGAACTGGGTGGAGCCCATCGCAGCTCAAGGAGGCCTGCCTGCATCTGTAGACTCCACCTCTGGGAGGAGAGCATAGCTGAACAAAAGGCAGCAGAAACCTCTGCAGACTTAAATGTCCCTGTCTGACAGCTTTGAAGAGAGTAGAGGTTCTTCCAACACAGAGTTTAAGATCTGAGAATGGACAGACTGCCTCCTCAAGTGGGTCCCTCACCCCTGAGTACCCTAACTGAGAGACACCCCCCAGTAGGGGCAGACTGACATCTCACACGGCAGGGTACCCCTCTGAGATGAAGCTTACAGAGGAACAATCAGGCAGCAACATTTGCTGTTCAGCAATATTCACTGTTCTGTAGCCTCCGCTGCTGATACCCAGGCAAACAGGGTCTGGAGTGGACCTCCAGCAAACTCCAACAGACCTGCAGCTGAGGGTCCTGTTAGAAGGAAAACTAACAAACAGAAAGGACATCCACACCAAAACCCCATCTGTACGTCACCATCATCAAAGACCAAAGGTAGATAAAACCACAAAGACGGGGAAAAAACAGAGCAGAAAAGCTAAAAATTCTAAAAATCAGAGCGCCCCTCCCCCTCCAAAGGAATGCAGCTCCTCCCCAGCAACAGAACAAAGCTGGACAGAGAACAACTTTGACAAGTTGAGAGAAGGCTTCAGATGATCAAACTTCTCTGAGGTAAAGGAGGAAGTTTGAACCCATCACAAAGAAGCTAAAAACTTTGAAAAAAGATTAGACGAATGGCTTACTAGAATAAACAGTGTAGAGAAGTCCTTAAATGACCTGATGGAGCTGAAAACCATGGCACGAGTACTACGTGATGCATGCACAAGCTTCAGTAGCTGATTCGATCAACTGGAAGAAAGGGTATCAGTGATTGAAGATCAAATTAATGAAATGAAGCAAGAAGAGAAGATCAGAGAAAAAAGAGTAAAAAGAAATGGACAAAGCCTCCAAGAAATGTGGGACTACATGAAAAGACGAAATCTACGTCTGATTGGTGTACCTGAAAATGATGGGGAGAATGGAACCAAGTTGGAAAATACTCTGCAGGATATTATCCAGGAGAACTTCCCCAACCTAGCAAGGCAGGCCATCATTCAAATTCAGGAAATACAGAGAATGCCACAAAGATACTCCTCGAGAAGAGCAACTCCAAGACACATAATTGTCAGATTCACCAAAGTTGAAATGAAGGAAAAAATGTTAAGGGCAGCCAGAGACAAAAGTTGGGTTACCCCCAAAGGGAAGCCCATCAGACAAACAGAGGATCTCTCAGCAGAAACTCTACAAGCCAGAAGAGAGTGGGGGCCAATATCCAACATTCTTAAAGAAAAGAATTTTCAACCCAGAGTTTCATATCCAACCAAACTAAGCTTCATAAGTGAAGGAGAAATAAAATCCTTTACAGACAAGCAAATGCTGAGAGATTTTGTCACCACCAGGCCTACCCTACAAGAGCTCCTGAAGGAAGCACTAAACATGGAAAGGAACAACCGGTACCAGCCACTGCAAAAACATGCCAAATTGTAAAGACCATCAATGCTAGGAAGAAACTGCATCAACTAATGAGCAAAATAACCAGCTAACATCATAATGAAAGGATCAAATTCAAACATAACAATATTAAACTTAAATGTAAATGGGCTAAATGCTCCAACAAAAAGACACAGACTGGCAAACTGGATAAAGAGTCAAGACCCATCAGGTGCTGTATTCAGGAGACCCATCTCATGTGCAGAGACACAAATAGGCTCAAAATAAAGGGATGGAGGAAGATCTACCAAGCAAATGGAAAACAAAATAAGGCAGGGGTTGCAATCCTAGTCTCTGATAAAACAGACTTTAAACCAACAAATATCAAGAGACAAAAAAGGCCATTACATAATGGTAAAGGGATCAATTCAACAAGAAGAGCTAGCTCTCCTAAATATATATGCACCCAATACAGGAGCATCCAGATTCATAAAGCAAGTCCTTAGAGACCTACAAAGAGACTTAGACTCCCACACAATAGGAGACTTTAACACCCCACTGTCAACATTAGACATATCAATGAGACAGAAAGTTAACAAGGATATCCAGGAATTGAACTCAGCTCTGCACCAAGCGGACCTAATAGACATCTACAGAACTCTGCACCCCAAATCAACAGAATATGCATTCTTCTCAGCACCACATCACACTTATTCCAAAATTGACCACATAGTTGGAAGTAAAGCACTCTTCAGCAAATGTAGAAGAACAGAAATTATAACAAACTGTCTCTCAGACCACAGTGCAAACAAATTAGAACTCAGAATTAAGAAACTCACTCAAAACCACTCAAATACTTGGAAACTGAACAACCTGCCTCTGAATGACTACTGGGAACATAACAAAACGAAGGCAGAAATAAATATGTTCTTTGAAACCAATGAGAACAAAGACACAACATACCAGAATCTCTGGGAAACATTTAAAGCAGTGTGTAGAGGGAAATTTATAGCACTAAATGCCCACAAGAGAAAGCAGGAAAGATCTAAAATTGACACCCTAACATCACAATTCAAAGTACTAGAGAAGCAAGAGCAAACACATTCCAAAGCTAGCAGAAGGCAAGAAATAACTAAGGTCTGAGCAGAACTGAAGGAGACAGAGATACAAAAAACCCTTCAAAAAATCAATGAATCCAAGACCTGGTTTTTTGAAAAGATCAACAAAATTGATAGAGCGCTAGCAAGACCAATAAAAAAGAAAAGCGAGAAGAATCAAATAGATGCGATAAAAAATGTAAAGGGGATAACAGCACTGATCCCACAGAAATACAAACTAGCATCGGAGAATACTATAAACACCTCTATGCAAATAACCTAGAAAATGTAGGAGAAACGGATAAATTCCTTGACACTAACACCCTCCCAAGCCTAAAGCAGGAAGAAGTTGAATCCCTGAATAGACCAATAACAGGCTCTGAAATTGAGGCAATAATTAATAGCCTACCAACTAAAAAAAGGCCAGGACCAGATGGATTCACAGCCGAATTCTACCAGAAGTACAAGCAGGAGCTTATACCATTCCTTCTGAAACTATTCCAATCAATAGAAACAGAGGGAATCCTCCCTAACTCATTTTATGAGTCCAGCATCATCCTGATACCAAAGCCTGGCAGAGATACAATAAAAAAAGAGAATTCTAGACAAATATACCTGATGAACATTGATGCAAAAATCCTCAATAAAATACTGGCAAACCGAATCCAGCAGCACATCAAAAAGCTTATCCACCATGATCAAGTGGGCTTCATCCCTCGAATGCAAGCCTGGTTCAACATACACAAATCAATAAATGTAATCCAGCATATAAACAGAACCAAAGACAAAAACCACGATTATCTCAATAGATGCAGAAAAGGCCTTTGACAAAATTCAACAGCCCTTCATGCTAAAAACTCTCAATAAATTCGGTGTTGATGGGATGTATCTCAAAATAATAAGAGCTATTTATGACAAACCCACAGCCAATATCATACTGAATGGGCAAAAACTGGAAGCATTCCCTTTGAAAACTGGCACAAGACGGGGATGCCCTGTCTCACCACTCCTATTCAACACAGTGTTGGAAGTTCTGGCCAGGGCAATTAGGCAAGAGAAAGAAATAAAGGGTATTCAATTAGGAAAAGAGGAAGTCAAATTGTCCGTTTGCAGATGACATGATTGTATATTTAGAAAACCCCATGATCTCAGCCCAAAATCTCCTTATGCTGATAAGCAACTTCAGCAAAGTCTCAGGATACAAAATCAATGTGCAAAAATCACAAGCATTCTTATACACCAATAACAGACAAACAGAGAGCCAAATCATGAGTGAACTCCCATTCACAATTGCTTCAAAGAGAATAAAATACCTAGGAATCCAACTTACAAGGAACGTGAAGGATCTCTTCAAGGAGAACTACAAACCACTGCTCAACAAAATAAAAGAGGACACAAACAAATGGAAGAACATTCCATGCTCATGGATAGGAAGAATCAATATTGTGAAAATGGCCATACTGCCCAAGGTAATTTGTACATTCAATGCTATCCCCATCAAGCTACCAATGACTTTCTTCACAGAATTGGAAAAAACTACTTTAAAGTTCATATGGAACCAAAAAAGAGCCCACATTGCCAAGTCAATCCTAAGCCAAAAGAACAAAGCTGGAAGCATCACGCTACCTGACTTCAAACTATATTACAAGGCTACAGTAACCAAAACAGCATGGTACTGCTACCAAAACAGAGATATACACCAATGGAACAGAACAGAGCCCTCAGAAATAATACCACACATCTAAAACCATCTGATCTTTGACAAACCTGAGAAAAACAAGCAATGGGGAAAGGATTCCCTATTTAATCAATGGTGCTGGGAAAACTGGCTAGCCATATGTAGAAAGCTGAAACTGGATCCCTTCCTTACACCTTATACAAAAATCAATTCAAGATGGATTGAAGAGTTAAAACGTTAGACCTAAAACCATAAAACCCCTAGAAGAAAACCTAGGCATTACCATTCAGGACATAGGCATGGGCAAGGACTTCATGTCTAAAACACCAAAAGCAATGGCAACAAAAGCCAAAATTGACAAATGGGATCTAATTAAACTAAAGAGCTTCTGCACAGCAAAATAAACTACCATCAGAGTGAACAGGCAACCTACAGAATGGGAGGAAATTTTTGCAATCTACTCATCTGATAAAGGGCTAATATCCAGAATCTACAAATAACTCAAACAAATTGACAAGAAAAAAACAACCCCATCAAAAAGTGGGCAAAGGATATGAACAGACACTTCTCTAAAGAAAACATTATGCAGCCAACAGACACAGGAAAAAATGTTCATCATCACTGGCCATCACAGAAATGCAAATAAAAACTACAATGAGATACCATCTCACACCCATTAGAATGGCAATCATTAAAAAGTCAGGAAACAGCAGGTGCTGGGGAGGATGTGGAGAAATAGGAACACCTTTACACTGTTTGTGAGACTGTAAACTAGTTCAACCATTGTGGAAGTCAGTGTGGTGATTCCTCTAGGATCTAGAACTAGAAATACCATTTGACCCAGCCATCCCATTACTGGGTATATACCCAAAGGATTATAAATCATGCTGCTATAAAGACACATGCACACGTATGTTTATCATGGCACTCTTCACAATAGCAAAGACTTGGAACCAACCCAAATGTCCATCAATGATAGACTGGATTAACAAAATGTGGCACATATACACCATGGAATACTATACAGCCATAAAAAAGGATGAGTTCATGTCCTTTTAGAGACATGGATGCAGCTGGAGACCATCATTCTCAGCAAACTATGGCAAGGATAAAAAACCAAACACTGCATGTTCTCACTCACAGGTGGGAATTGAACAATGAGGACACTTGGACACAGGAAGGGGAACATCACACAGGGGGCCTGTCGTGGGGTGTGGGCAGGGGGGAGGGATAGCATTAGGAGATATAGCTAATGTAAATGACGAGTTAATGGGTGCAGCACACCAATATGGCACATGTATACATATGTAACAAACCTGCACATTGTGCACATGTACCCTAGAACTTAAAGTATAATAAAAAAAATAAAAAATAAATTCCAAATTTTGTGATACCATCTGTTTAGAAATACATCCCAATTCATGCACATAGCACATCCCTAACTAATATTGCAATAGTTACTATTTTCTAGAGTGTTCAGACCATTTTCTTCCTCAGCTTTCCCTGGATTCTGTGTGTTTGTGTTGTGTGTACAACACATTTCATACATACACACTCACATACATAAATATTTGGAAATGTATATACAGCTATTCAAAGTGTAAAACTCACAGAGCAGTGATGTGTGTCTCTGATAACATTTTGTTCCCTGTAGCCAATATACTGTTAGACACTGCTTACATGAATACTTAGGAGTAACAAACCATAACAATTTAAGAGATTCTCAAATAACATTTTTCCTTTATATAACTTGTTTTTAACTGCGATATTTAGATTCAAGCTTAAATCTGAATTGCAGGAATGAAGACATTTCTTGATATTGCACAGGTAGGCAGAAATCATCAATCATTCAGAAGCTATATTATTCAGTCATAAATAAATGGAACTGATGAATAGAGAATACCATGATTGTGAGTGTCCCTGTTTCATTACAATGAACAATATGACTGCTTTTGAGTGAAAGAGGTCTGGTCCTGAGGCACTCATAGGTGTATAAACATTGGGAGGAATGAAAGTAAAGGAATTATAATAATGCCCTGAGAGGAAAACACAGGAGCTTAGGAAACATATAGGCATGATGGTAACTATTATCATTGTCTTAAAATTAATTTGGTGAAGAGTTTCTCCTACAAACTAGAGTAGACAGGTGAATACACAAGGAAGAAGAATTAGAAACAGAAGCTTCCCAACTTTTGTAAATATTCTGAGTCAAACTTAAATTTCAGCAGTAGATGACAGCACAATGACCTAAATTTAACAGCCTAGTTCAAGACCCAATGAGTTCAGGAGGAAATGGTCTGAAAAAGGGAGAGTCAGACTGGGTCCAGGTAGTCTGGGTGACTTGAAACATGTCTCACCTCCCGCAGGATGTCTTCTCTCTCCACTTCATCCCCAAGTGCCTATGGTCTTTTCTCTCTTGGAGTTTAACCACTCTGTCAATTGTCCTCACAAGATCTTGAGGTTTGGTAGCAGTGGATAGCTACAATGGATGAAATTATTTCACTGGGAACTAATGAAATGTAAACTTTGGTCTCTAAATTTCTATTTGCATTTATAAAATTGTGCTTAAATTGCACAGTCTGTTTGGGCAAGGTGGCTCATGCCTGTAAACCCGGCACTTGGGAGGCCAAGGTGAGAGGATTGCTTGAGCCCAGGAGTTTGAGAACAGCCTGGGCTCTATAGTGAGACCTTGTTACCACATAAAAATTAAAACATTAGCTGAGCGTGATGGCATGCACCTGTAGTCCCAGCAACTTGGGAGGCTGAGGTGAAAGGATCCGTTGAGCCTCGAAGACAGAGGCTGCAGCGAGCTGAGATCATGCCACTGCATTCCAGCCTGGGCCAGAGAGCAAGACCCTGTCTCAAATAAAAAAAAAAAAAGAAAGAAACAAAAAGAAAAAGAAAAATATTTTGGCTTCACCAAACTCGGAGCCCCCCTTCCCTATTCACATATAAAAGCTTATCTCATAGCAGCAGCAGGGAATATGAAACTATACCAATGAAAGTGTTCCCTTGCTTTCTGTCTTTAATCCTGGGCTCACAATTCTTTCTAATGTGTTTGGAAAAAACACAAAGAGAAAATCAGAGGGCAGAATCCTCAACTTCTTAGAATGATTTTGCCTATTCAAATATGAGAGATTATTAGAAGCACACGTTAAAATTCTTTAGAGAAGCTGTAAAAATAATATCTATACAATTCCATAAATCATGGTAAAACTACTGGACCCTACTCTCAGGGGAAACAATTAGGTAGAAAAATTAGAAGATGTAGAAATTCTGAAAGTCAGTTGAAGAACAAACAGGTGATTTTCCAGCCAAGGTTACTGGGTGTTTTAAACAGGAAGTAAAGCAAAATGTTTTAAATTACTGGCCTTGTTGTAACTTAGCAGTCAGAACAATCTAAAACAGGAGTTGTTTTTTGTTGTTTTTGTTGTTGTTTGGTTCATTGGTTGGTTGGTTGGTTGGTTGATTTTTGTTTAAAATAAATAGTTGATAAAAGGAGCTAACAAATTGTGTAAAGCCATTAAGAGCACCAAGATAGTAAACTGAAGGTGAAAACCATCAGTATTAAATGGAGAGATGAGGCAAGAGCAAGCGGCTTCCTGAGTGCTCAGTGAGATGCTGTGGTTATTAATGCTGGAAGCGGAATACTTCAAAAATGTTTCAACTTAACAAAATGTGTGACCGTGGATTCAAAAGGGCTGCCTGTTGCATGCCAGTTATTGATTCCTGAAATTATGAGTCTGTCACTTAACCCCCATTCCAACCCATCCTCACACATTACCCCTCATTTACCTTTATCTGAGGCGCTCATTTATCAAATAATACCAAATTATCAAATAATAATTTACACTATGGTAACACTTGGTTGAAAAAACAACCTGTATCCACAGTTGTTCTCACAACCTGCATGCACTTATTTTTTTCCACAAGTTCATGTATTTCTTTTAAAATAAATTAGGATATATTGGGTGCTTGTGTTTTCTATTTTCCCTACATGTTTGGAAGATCTGTAATAATAAAAAAAACTAGCTATTCAATTTCTTTACTGCCTTCAAAAATTAATTCAATCTGTTGAGCATGAATTACCTTATGATCCCCTTTTGTATTGTTCTATCAATGTGATCTGTATCTCATGATGTTCAATTTTTCCACTGCACACACAGACCCAGTCTAAATAAATGCTGGCTGACTAACTTTCTGCTCACCTCTTGCTGCTCAGATCTTTCTTAAAGAAAGGTTTTGCCATTCAGTTCCAAGGAGCACTATTGGAGCTAAGAGCCTCTAGGTGTTAGAACCTGTGGGAACTACCTGAGCTTTTGAGTCAAGGTCATGGACTTTCAGGTAGCCTCCCGCCAGTGACTGCACAGGAAGAACTTACTAGGGCTTTGCCATTTCTGCTCATGTGGGACTCCTCCATTGGCATGTCTTTGTCCTGGAGTTCCCCATTGGCATATCTTTGTCCTGGAGTTCCCCATTAGCTTGGTTGAAGCCTCAGAGCTGCATAATTGTCTGAAGTTCCCCTTGCTCCATCCTACTTTCTCCACTTTTATCTTAATCAGGCATGGACCCCCAACAAACCTATTACACTGTTAACTTTGTCTCAACATCCTCTCCCTGAAGAATTTAACAAATACACTTTCTAATTACAACACTCTGAAGGAGGATACAAAATTTAAACACATACTTAGGGGTATCCTGGAAGCTAAATGATTGGTGACATACGGGATGATGGTTCTAATTCATACACGTATCTGTAAATATGTCTATGTGTAATTATTTGTATCTCTATTAAGATAGACATAAATTCATATGGAGGTCTCTAACTCTAATCCATGACCACATGGCTCATTCTCATTGCTTCTCCTTGATTATCTGTAAACTCTGACTTCACAATAAGAAAGCTGCTGCCACAATCCACCATCCATGGGCCTAATTGTTCAATTTCAGCATACATGAATAGCCCTATCAGAATAGTTAACCAGTATCCCCTCTAAAGGGTTTATCAACTAGAAGCTAAATGATTAGTGACATATGGGATGATGATTCTAATGTATACATATATCTATAAATATGTCTATGTGTAATTACTTGTACCTGTATTAAAGTAAACATGAATTTATATGGAGGTCTCTAACTGTAATCCATGACCACGTGGGTCATTCTCATTGCCTCTCCTTCATTATCTGTAAACTCTGACATCACAATAAGAAAGCTGCTCTCACAATCCACCATTCATTTACTTAATTGTTCGATTTCAGCACACATGAATAGCCCTATCAGAACAGTTAACCAATATCCCCTCTAAAGGGGTTATCAACTAGAGTGCAATGTTTACAGATGGTTCCTTTTGGCTTTAGCTAGTCTTAAGGATTTCACTCATAACTAGGGTTACCTAGGTCATTACCATTTTCCCTCATCCCCTTCAGTAAGGTTGTTTCATATATTTTGATATCATGTTTTATCACAATTTTCCATTCATCCTGGGATTTTCTGACCTAATAAGTGATGCAGCACTCTTTGTGCAATAAAGTTCTGTGGGCTTTGACAAACATGTAGTGTTAATTATCCAAAATTACACTGTCATATAGAATAATTTCACCACCATAGAAAAAATCTTGTCCTTCACTTAGCCTGCCTCCTCCCTACACTATGCTTAGACATGTGGCAATCACTGATTTCTTTTTAGTCTTTTTGTTATTTGCTTTTTTTTCAGAATATCATATAATTGGAATTACATACTATGTAGCTTTCTGAGACTAGCTTTGTTTACTTAATTGTATATATTAAAGATTTATCCAGGTACTTCTGCAGCTTAATAGCTCATTTCTTTTTATTAGTGAATAAAATCCCATTGTATAGATGTACCACAGCTTGTTCACTCACTTATTACAGAACACCTTTTTTGCTTCCATTTTCTGGTAATTGTAAATAAGGTGCTATTAACATTGTATACAGGTTTTTGTAAGGACATAAATTTTCAAATCAGTTGGCTTAATACCTAGAAGTGTGATTGCTGAATCATATAGCTTTGTAGAGAATTGTAGAGCTGTCCTCTAAAGTAGTTGTATAATTTTGAACTCCTATAGCAAAGAAACAGAACTGCTGCTGTACATCCTTGCCAGTAATTGGTAGTATCTTTTTTGTATTTGGCATGTTAATAAATGTGTATTGATATCTCACAGCTGTTCTAATTTTAAATTTCCTAATGATAAACAATGTTGAGCATCTCTTCATATAGTTATTTGCCATTTTCTGTCTTTTGTGGTGAAATGATTCTTCAGATCCTTTACCCACTTTTTGGTATTTTTAAAATTGAGATAAAAATTCACATAATTAACTCCTTCAAAATGTATAATTTAGTGGCATTTAGTACATTCACAATTCTGTGCAACCATCACTTTTATCTCGTTCTGAAACACTCTCATTATCTCAACAGGAATCTCCTCTCTTTCTCCTCTCCCCACTTCCTAGCAACCACTGGTCTGCTTTCTGTGATAAGGATTTACCTGTTTTGTATATCTCATATCAGTGGAATCATGCAGTATGTACTCTTTTGTTTCTGGCTTCTTTCACTTACCATAATATTTTAGGTTCATCAACATCGTAGAGTATATCAACACTTAATTACATTTTATGTCTGAATAATACTTGTTTTATTAATATACCACATATTGTCGATTCATTCATTAGTTTGTAGACATTTGTGTTGTTTCTACCTTTTGGCTAATGTAAGTAATGCTGCTGTGACCATTCATGTACAAGATTTTGTTTAAATACCTGTTTTAATTCATTGGATAGATTCTGTGGAGTAGAATTGCTAAGCCAAATGGCAAGTCTATGTAATTTTTTGACGAACTGCCAAATTCCTCAGCACAGAAGCTACACCATTTGACATTTTCATTACTCATGTATGGAGGATCTAATTTCTCCATATCCTGAACAACATTTGTTATTTCTTATTTTGTTGTTGTTATGTTTTGTTTTTGTTTTTTGATGACATTCTAGTGAAAGTGAATGGCATCTCATGGGGCTCTGATTTATATTTTCCTAGTAATATTGAGCATCGTTCATATTCTTGTTAGTTATTTGTATATTTTCTTTGGAGAAATGTCTATCAAAATTATTTGCTTATTTTTGAACTGGGTTGTTTTTTGTTGCAGAGTTGTAGGAGTTCTATATATAGTCTGGATATTAATCCCTTGTCATATGTATGATTTGGAAATATTTCCTTCTAGTCTGTAGGATGTCTTTGGTTGTGTTGATACTGTCCTTTCAGGCACACATCTTGCTAATTTTGATGAGGTTGAATGTATTTACTTGTTCTTTTGATGCTATGCTTTTTATGTCACAACTAAGAATCCAGTGCCAAAGCCAACCTGTATAATTGGAATGTTTATTTACTTATTAGTAAGTTTTAAGCATTTTTATTTATTTTGAATACAAGTCCTCTATTAGATGTCTATTTTGAAAATATTTATTTCAGACTGTGTATTGTCTTTTGATTTTTTAACAATGCATTCAGCAGAGCTTATTTAAATTAAGTCTAATTCATCAATTTTTTTCATGTATTGTGCTTTTGATGTTGTATCTTAAAATTTATTGTCAAACCTAACATCACCTACATTTTCTTATTTTTTGTTTCTACAAGTTTTCTATTTCTAGACTCTATTCTGTTCCATTGATCTATGTTCCTTGAAAGGAATATTGAAAGTTCAAAATATACTTGCTAGGTATTTTCTTCGTCTTTTAAGTTGTGTATGTCAATTTTTCTTTATTTATTTTGAAACTATGTTGTCAGATAGGTATGCATTTTTTATTTTTTGTTTTCATGGAGAAATAGACATTTCATGGCATTATGAAATATCTATTTTTCCATTACTTTGGTTTTCAACAGTTCTTCTGCGAGGAACTCAGTGTGGCTCTGTTTTTATTTATTCTGTTTGTGGCTTTCTAAGATTCCCAAATCTATGGGTTAATGTCTTTCATCAATGATACTTTGCCTCATTTTCTCTTTCTTCTTTTGTGACTTCAGTTACATGTATGGTAGAATGTTTGGTATTGTCTCAATATTCTATGATGCTCTGTTCATTTTTCTATCTCTCTTTGTATCATTTTTATTGATCCATTTTAGCTTTCACTGTTCTCAAATTTTTCTGTGTACAATCTGCTTTCAAACATATCCAATGGATTCAATATTTTAACTTTTATAACTTTAATTTTAAAACCCTCATTTGATTGATTTTAAATTTAAATTTATCAGATTAAAGTTCCTTAATTTCTTCAACATATTTATAGTAGTTATTTTAAAATCCACATATGCTAATTCACATGTCTGGCTCATATGTCTATTGGTAACTATTGACTTTTTCCATATAGATTACATTTTACCATTCCTATTAATTCCTGCTTCTGAAAATTGTATTAGAATTTATATATTAAAGATATCATTTCTTCTATGCAACACACAGGTGTACCTATGTATTATCCATGTACTTTTCTTAAAAGCACTTAAATTATTAGCAGATCCTTTTAATACTGCTAAAGATTAGGTTTTGACTTTGCCAGGGAACGTCTATTTTAGTATTCTTCTTTCTACTAAGGAATAGCCTTTACTATTAGGTTATGAACGTTATTCTCAGGAGGATGTCTCACTGAGATCTCAACTTTAAATAAAAACTCCAGCTATCTCCAGGTATCTCCAAATCTAACATCTATTTTCAGCTCTCAAACCCTCGTGTATGTTCTGCTAGAACTTGTGCAATCTCATCCTGCCCACACGAAATCTAAGATTTAGCCAATAATTAATGTGCCAGCCCAAAGCAAATTTTACATACTTCTCTAAAGTATTCTACCTTGCAAATTACAGTTACCTTAACATCTCTGAAGTCTGCTATGTTTCTTCCATGAAGTGAAAATTCAGCTCTCTGTTGTTACTCTAGTTTTCTACACATTTGAGAAATATCCCTAGGAAACCTGAGTTGAATGTGGAACTCAGTCATATACAATATAGCCAAATTATATATGCTGTGGTCTGAGAATCAGTGTTTTTTGGTAAACTCCCCAGTAATTCTAATGGCAGCAAAAGTGAGCAACCGGTGCCATAAAAGACATTGCTACTTGTTGAGAAGTAGACATAAACTCTGGCTTTCTATCGTTGGAAATGTACATAGCTGAACGAGCATATTGAATATCTTAACATAATTCCATTTTAAGGAAATAAAAGATACTATCTTAATACCATAAGCTATGCATAGTTTGTTTACATTGATAATAGAGAATGGGGACTTGAAGGAGAAAGTTGGAAGGCTCAGACCAAAGAGAGAATAAAGAGGGTTTTGAGGATGTATTAGTCTGTTTCCACACTGCTATAAAGAACCCCCTGAGACTGGGTAATCTATAAAGGAAAGAGAGGTTTAATTAATCCACATTTCAGCATGGCTGGGGAGGCCTCAGGGGGAAGGTGAAGGGGATGCAAGGCACCTTCTTCACAAGGCGACACGAGAGAGAAGTGCTAAGTGAAGTATAAACCATCAGATCTCATGAGAACTCACTCAGTATCATGAGAACAGCACTGAGGAGACTGCCATCCTTTCCCATGGGGAGAGACCAAGTGGAGGTAATTGAATGATGGAGGCAATTTGGATGTCCAGGCAGAAGTTTGCTGCAGGGGCAGAGCCCTCATAGAGAGCCTCTGCTAGGGCTGTGTGGAAGGGAAAAGTGGGGTAGGAGCCCCAACACAGAGTCCCTACTGGGGCATTGCCTAGCAGAGCTGTGAGAAGAGGGCCACCATCCTCCAGACCCCAGAATAGTAGATCCAACCACAGCTTGCACCATGCACCTGGAAAAGCTGAAGACACTCAATGCCAGCCATGAATGTAGCCAGAATGGGGGCTGTACCCTGCAAAGTCACAGGGGGAGAGTTGCCCAAGACAGAGGGAACCTACCACTTGCATCAGTGTGACCTAGATGTGAGACATGAAGTCAAAGGAGATCATTTCAGAGCTTTAAGATTTGATTACCCTGCTGAATTTTTGATTTGTGGCCCCTTAGTTTTGTCCAATTTCTCCCATTTGGAACAGGTGTATTTATCTAACAGCTGTACTCCCATTGTGTCTAGGAAGTAACTAACTTACTTTTGATTTTACTGACTCATAGGCAGAGGGATTTGCCTTGTCTAAGATGAGACTTTGGACTTGAACTTTTGGGTTAATGCTGGAATGAATTAAGACTTTTGGGGACTGTTGGGAAAGTATGATTGGTTTGGAAATGTAACAAGAACATGAGATTTGGGAGGGCCCAGGGACAGCAGAATAATATGATCAGGCTTTCTGTCCCCACCCCAGTCTCATCTTCAATTGTAATCCCCATAATCCCCACATGTCAAGGGAAGACCATGTGGAGTTAATTGAAACATGGTGGCAGTTTCCCCCATGCTGTTCTCATGATAGTGAGCTAGTTCTCATGAAATCTGATGGTTTTATAAGGGGTTCTGCCCCCTTTGCTTGGCACTTCTCCCTCATGATGCCTTGCTTCCCCTTTGCCTTCCAACATGATTGTAAGTTTCTTGAGGCCTCCCAAACCATGGAGAATTGTGAGTCAATTAAACTTCTTTCCTTTCTAAATTACCCAGTCTTGGGCTTTTCTTTATAACAGTGTGGGAACACACTAATATAGATGGTGAATGAGACAGGAGACCTACAGCAACTAAGATAAGAAATAATAAAAAAAAAAATGCTAGCAGATCCACCAGTGTCTTTCATGAGGAAAGATATCATAAAATGTGAGGAGACCTGATCGATTAGAGGGAGCTTCTTATGGAGGAATTTAGAAGGAAACTGTGGGTGTTTATACAAACCTCTTGTGCTTGAGGAAACATTTAGAATGAGCTGGGCAGTAATGGTTGACTGGGAAAAGAAACATGCTGGAAAAATAACAACCACCCAGGAGAAGACAAAGCAGAAGGCAGGATCCCAAATGGATAAGGAAAAAAGATGAGGTAGGAATGTAGGTTAAGCCAAAGCAAAAAGAAGAGATCTGCAGAGTTATCTAACAAGTCAATTTGCAGCATTCAAAATGCCTTTTTATGTGCTTATGTAAGTGTAGTTAATGCACAGGAATGACAGCCTGTTTAAAATGTTCTTAGTTAGAGCTAACCATCATGGGTTAATAGTGACCAAAAGGAGGAAGACCTTCAGAATTATGAGAACACCATGAGAATCACAGAAACTTGGAGTTAGGAATAAGTGTCATGGGTAGGTATGAAGAAAGCTTTCTCTGAAAGACAACCAAGTTGTAGGAGCTTGAGACTCCCTAATGAATCTACAAACAGGGAAGAAAAGGAGGCATTCTATAACACAGTTTTGAGAAAGACTGTAAAACAACATCTTTGGAGAGAATTAAGGGAGAGTATTTCCAGTTGCTCGTATTAGACTGTCTTTTATTTGGTGGTCAAGGAGCCAACTTTTAAGACCTGTGGGCCAGGCAAACTGAGACCCCCAAATCTGCTGCCATCAGGTCAGAACAATCAGAGGGAGCTCAGGTCAATGTGTCAGGAAATGTATGCCACGCTGTCATGATGTCTGGGATTTTTCATTTTTATAAATTAGAAGAGACAGAATAAATGCATTTCTGAGAGCTCCTGAGCACTTTAAAAATAAAAATGACATCAGATTTTAGACAAGGTGCTGGACAACTGGTTATTACAGAAACAGTCTGATTCCAGATTTCAACTTTTTGTATCTTAGCCTTTTTTTTAAAAAGGAATCATTCTTTTACTTTCCTTTATATCCATCCTGTCTTTTCTATTTTTCTGAGTTTCTTTCTTTTCCTTCAGTCTCTTTACTGCTCTTTTTCCTTATTCTATGAGAGAAATAGAGGTTGGATAGTGTTGGGGCTCAGAAAACAATACCACAAAATGAAGGCCTCAGAAACAGTTTCTCTTTGACCTTCTTCTGCCCTCCTGTCTCTCTCTCTCCTTATTCTCCTCCAAGGAAACCCACAGAAACTGAAATTCCTCTTTCTCAAGGTGGATCATGGAAGCCAGAGCCTCTTTTCCCCAAAGCCAGCCACAAAGCTTAACAACATTACTCAAACCTTCCACAGCTATTTTGTGTAACAGCTAGCCATTAACAAATTTAAAAACCTCATCCCAGAAGGGTCTAGCCACAAACCCAGGAAGAGAGAAATGCCACACGGAGAAGCCAAGAAGGATATGAACAGACAGGCCTTGCGGGGCTTCCCCACTCAGTCTATTTCCACTGACTGCATGGCTGTCCCTGCTTCAACAAACGTAAGCATCAAATCAGATCACTTCTCTGCTGTCTTTGAGGTCTTCAATCTGGAGGCTCTTGTGGCATGTAAAGCTATGATTCAAATGAATTTGCTATGCTTTTATTTTGTTAGCTTGTCTTTATTTTAGGGGTGTTGGCCATGACCCTCCTCTGTCTGCTTTCCTCCCCTACAATAGCCAAATGCTCCTTATGTGTTCCACAGACCCCTGGATATCCATCAAATTCAAATATCCTAACCTTCTAGATGAATACCTGGCCACAAGCGCAGGACTCATTAACTCACATTTGCATCCTCATTATCTAAATGAACAGTTTAGAGCTTCTCTCTCAGCCCTATCCCTGAAAGGTGAACCTCTTCTGCCCTCACATCTCTTTCTCTCTCTTCACCCTCCCTCCCTCTCTCTCTCTCTCTCACACACACACACACTAACCTGCTTTCTTGAACGCCAGTTTTTCGGGGCCTGTCGAGCATCCACAGGCCAGGTGTCCTTGGCCTAGACCATTCTGTTTACCAGGAGGGGCTGGGAAAGAGGCCAAGGACTCACTTTAATAGGAAGGATGTATTTTCTAGTGATTTATCACTTCCTCCATAAATTCAGGAAACGTGTCTCTGCTGAGCTAATGATTTATTAAGAAGACTTTCAAGCAGTAAATCCTCTCTCTTCCCATTCTCTGGGCAGTAATGGCAATGTTCAAGTCTCAGAGAAATAGGAGCCTGACCTTCGCAGAGGTGACAACCTTTCTAAAAAGCAGTTACACTTGCTAAAGTCACAGTGGGAGGCCTTGAGAAGAGCCAGCAATCCGTTTCGAAGTCGTGACTCTCACCTCTAATGGAGCAATATGTTCTAGATGAACAGGCTGGGATCCAGGGACAGAGCAACAGCTCCTTAGAGTAACTAGGCCAGGTATTAATTTTTCCCTGTCAGCTCCAAACCAGTTTTTCTTTTTCCTGCTTTGTGATAGCAGAGCTGAATTCTGCAGAATGCATTTTCATTTATTTTTAAACAAACAACACCTGTATAACCCTTCAACCAGCTTCCCTAAATAGTTATCATCTTATATAACCAGATCATAATTACAAAGGCTGAGAGAGATTAACATCTATACAATGCTACTAAATTCTCCACCTATCTTATTTATATTTTGAATTAAGGCAGAGGCTCTCCCTAACCTCTCTGCATCCCATAAGATAAAGTAAACATAGAGTCAAATAGAGGAAGAAGTTAACTCTCTAAATATCTCCCTAACCTCTCTCCATCTGTACTGTAATGCATACCTTGGCATACCATGGGAGTCCCTCCTTCAGAACTTAGTCACCATTCCTTTTGCTTGCAGAAGTTTTTCCTGGTACTTGCTTCCATATGAGCTTTTCCCCAGCAGTTGTTCGAAGCTGACAGGGCTGCCTCATCCAATTTCAAGCTCCTCCCCAGGCATAACCCATATTTTATGACTGGTGAATGTATGATACAAAAGCTAAACATCCTTGTTTTAATTTGAAACATCTCTTACAGGCCACCAAGGTAAAATGGAGAGACACTGAAAGTCATTTTTTCTCCAGCACAATTTTCCCAGTGGCACTCACCTCCTAAAGGAATATCACATTACATGATAAAGAGAAACACCTCTGGCTGCTGCTGTTGTATTTATTTTTCACAGCAGGAATCAACATTTAGTTATTTACTGTGTAGGGAGACTAACGCATCTGTCATAGCATGGTAGTGAATATTTATTTTAATTTATTAATCATTAACAATTCTTAAGCCATTCATCACAGTATTGTTAATATATTTTGTTCCTTTGAGGCAAGATACCCAGAGGTAGTATGTCACCCCCTGGAATTCCATTGCTATTTCTGGTGTCAATAAAATGTATTGCTAAGCATAAAAATGAAATATTATCTAAGATTGTTTATTGTGTTAAAGACTACTAAATTAGGAAAGTAAAATTGTCTGGATCGTAGAAGGTTGATTTTCCTTGTTAAGTGTAGACTGAAATTCTCTTCTTCTTTTTACTGGGATATTTTTTTCAAATGGCAAAAGATTTAGTTGGCCATTCAAAATTTATTGCATAACAGATGGCGCTCAAATATTGTTCTGGTAGGACTTTATTGTTTTACAAAATTACATGTAAGTAAGGCCAGTTGGCACTCTTTCAGCATAAAATTGACATGTGTTTACTCAGATACATTCACGCTTATACTTTGAGTGACTTACTTGGCAAGAAAATAATTTCACACAACATATATGGGTTGAACATTGTGACCCTCTACACAAAAACAACAAAGTATATCTCAGTATTTATAAGATGACCTGCATTAAACAGTGGTTAGCTTTTCTTTGCTTTATTAGGAAAACATTAATTTATTCCAAAATTACTGGGTAATTGACATGTGTATTTCTGATATATAAATACACAAGGATCTATAGGGACAGAAATGGAAAAGCATCTTCTCATTTTTTAAAACATTAATACTATAGGTTTCTATTTTCAAGGTACTGCTTATATTAATTTTACTTGTATGAGTTATATTTCTTAATCAGTTTCAAATTTATCCCTTGTTTGTCTTGTTTGTTCATCTATAAGCTCTGACAGAGGTTGATCATAAGTTGGTAGACCACTATGCAATGTCAGATATGTTAGTTCCTTGGAACTTATCTTGTTGATATGCTTCCCAATTCTATTGGTTGCAAAATTCATTCTGAGTTGCCTAAGGTCATACAACTAATTGGACTCAGAGTAGAAATTAAAATTCAGTTCTTTAGTGTACTAGCTTTTCTTGCTGTTATTTACTAAGAAGTTTAAGTAAGAGTAGTTAACCATTTACTTTTATTAAAAATGCTAAGAATCTACTGTGTGTCAGGCACTTGGGATGTAGAAATTTATTAGATAAGCATAATGTTTTAACTCTCATTATTTATAATATAATGTATGGGACACTAAAATATAAACTAACTGTGTTGGGAATCTATCTCATGGTCTTTCGCAAAATCTTGATACGATCCAGTGGTATTTTAGTAGAGTCATTTAAGGGGCAGTGTAAAGAAGGTACTTGAAGAGCCAGAGTGAAATCACACAGAAAAGTAAGAGATCACAGTGGTATAAATGCAAATAGTGATAGGTTGGTTCCACAAGGAAACAAATTCTGATAAAGAGACACACGTGGTTTACTGCAGGGCTTGGGTAAGGGAAGTCATCTTGGGCAGAGGGAGATGTTGAACTATGATGCTGCTAAATCAGAGGTTTCAATGCATTCTACAGGGCTGAAAATGGCCTGTTAGAGATGTTTCAAGTTAAAACAAGAATGTTTAGCCTTTGTACCATACATTGACCAGTCACACGATATCGGCTGTGCCTGGGGAGGCGCTTGAAATTGGATGAGACAGTATCTGTCAGCTGAGAGCAACTGCTGGGGAGAAGCTAGCACCAGGTAAAACTTCTGAAATCAAAAGTAATGTTGACTGAGTTCTGAAGGAAAGACTTGCATGGTTGACTGAGTTCTGAAGGAAAGACTTGCAAGTTATATACTACAGTAGAGATGGAGAGAGGATTGGGAGATATTTAGAGACTTGACTTCTTCCTCTACCTGACTCTATTTTTACTTTATCTTATGTAAAATGGAGACTTACTGAGCACAAGACAAATACTCTTCCACTACCCTCTCCTTTCACACGCATCATGTGGATTCTGTGTGTGCTAATCAAACCTCACAAGCATGTGACCACTTACCTCACTATGTACCCTCCCTCTTCCTTTTTTCCTCCCTCTTTTCTTTCCTACCTGCTTTTTTCCTCTCTAAATGCTGAAATACTGAAGACTTCAAAGCTCTCTTTACAAAAAGTGGAGGCCACAGATCCTACTGTGACTTGTGTCTCTTTTTCCTGGGCCCATCCTCAACCATGGTAAAATAAACTTCTAAATTGATTGAGACCTGTCTCAAATACTTTTTGTTTCACAGTATTCAACAATGTTTAGTGCTACCCAGAGCTTGAGGAAAATAGAATTAAGAAAATCCAATTGGAACTTAACAATAGGGAAGTGATTTCTGACCACAGAATGGAGATAGGATAAAAAAATTAATGGAAACTGATTTAATGGGGACCACAACAGTGTGTCACTCTTTTAAATATTTTCTCTATGAAGGGATATGAGAAACATGTCAGGGGCTGGAGAGAAATAGGAGACCCATGGAGGGTTTTTTTTTAATTAGTTTTAATTTTTAAAGAGTATTTGAACATTTAGGAAAGAGTGAAGCATGAACAAGGAACCAAGGTCTCTTAACAGGGGGCTGGATCAGAGTGCAACACACAACGGAGTGGTTAGATTTAAGAGGAGAAAAGACACAATTTTCCTTTTAACAGAAGAGAAATTTGAGACAATACAAACCAATGGTGGTCAGTTTATAGTTAGTAAGTTAGTGAAAGTAATGAGGCCTAGAATCTAAGGTCAAGAGAAAAGTCAGATGGGGCTGATAGGGAAAAACCGCAGGCTGAGAATTTAACATTCAAAGTCTTTCTAACACAGTCTTTCTGCACCTCAACCATACCAGTAGTTGGTGTCTTTCTTTTCTTTGAAATCTTTAAAATGTATTGAATAAATTGAGTAAATGAGTAAATATGAGTTTTAGTAAAACATAATAAAGGACTCTAAAAGGAGCTAAAATCTTGATTTTATGAATGAAGTATCCAAGGTTCAGAGAGGCTTCTGTGACTGACCTAATATCATACAAATGGTAAATTGTAAAATATACTGGGAATATAAAATATTCTGGGAAAATGATAAGAAGCCCAAAATTGCCTGCATCCAATCTTAGGAAAACAACACACACACACACACACACACACACACACACACACGCACACACACACACACAACAACAACAACAACTAAGTAAATGAATGGGGAAGGAAACTATAATTAAACCAAAAATAAAATTCTAAGCCCCGCAATCAATTGTATGAACCTCCTCTCTTGACCAAGAAGATGCCAAAGAAACCTGAAAAATTAGTTCGGGCCATGACTAGAAGGGGTGATAAGAAGTGCCTCACTATACCCTCCTCCCTTTGGAATTTAGACGTAACTGACCAACATTAACGTTAAAATAGATGTCATAAGACTGACAAAATAGACTCTTCATAACAATCAGATACTAACCTCCAACCTGAGTGTGTTATACAGTCAAATGACAGATAGCAGGCCCTGAAGGAAATCAAAGCCTTTTACCCCAAAATATACTTCTTTGATAATGTTTGGAATTGCCCTGCAAAGCCATCTCTTGTGGGTAACATTTGCATTCTGTAGATTATCTCCTTCCCTTACTGGGTTTAAGAAATTAAAATCTTTATGCCAAAGTATATATCTTTGACATATTTTGGAATGGCCCCTCAATGCCATCTTTTGTGGGGGAAATTTGCATTCTGTTGATGATCTCCTTCCCTTACTAGGTTAAGGAAATTAATTTATCCCAAAATATATTTCTTTGACATATTTTGAGATTACTACCATTTCGCCAACAGGCAGAAGTGGCTTTGCAAAACTGTCTTAAGCGGAGAAAATTTGCACTTGTAGAGAATCTCCATTAATGCAACCCCTTCCCCTTTCTATGCCTTTCCCTGATCCAGAAAAGACTGAGAGTCGGACACCTTTAAAAATCTGAAAATAAACATTTACCATCTACTCTCTCTGAAGGAACGTTTTGAAGGAATGTTCATCTACACAGCAAGGCCATCTTTGCTAGCTAAGCTTCTTACTTTCTCTTTTAACCTCTCTTGCCACTAAACCTGATTTATCTATTTCTGGTCATGCTCTGAGTCTGCATAATTTACTGGCCTCAGGATAGTATATAAGTTTCTGAAACTCATTGGGAAGTTGGGTCTTTATTCTGAAGGCTCACATGGCTCACATGTACACATGTTAAATAAATTTGTATGCCTATTCTCCTATTAATCAATCTGCCTCATGTCAGTGATTTTTAGTGGACCTTTAGGGAGCTAAGACCCTATGGACCCCGCAAGGTCTTTTCCAGAAAGTCTGACACCTTTTAAGATCTGATAAGAGACACGTGCATCTATTCTCTCTGGAGTCTGCTACTTAGAGTCATCACCTACATAACAAGAATCGGTCACTACAACCCTCTTTATCTTAACTCAAGCATTTCTTTCTGCTGACTTCAACTCTTTAGGCAAAGCTAACCTTTTTCAACCAATTGCCCATAATAAAATGTTTGAATCCACCTATCACCTGGAAACCTATTTTGAGATATCTTGCCTTTCGGGGCCAAATCAATGTTTACTTTACATGTATTAATATGTGTCTTTGTAACTTCTGTCTCCCTAAAATGTATAAAACCACATTGTAACCCAATCACCTTGGGCACATGTTCTCAGGACCTCCTGAGGCTATGTGATGGGCATGGTCACTAATATCCGGCTCAGATGAAACATCCTCAAATATTTTACAGAGTTTGGCTTTTTTCATCAATAATAAGAAAGTCAAAGATTCAGATGTAGAAGAAAATACAGCTTAAGAAGGAGGATATTACTCACAAGGGTTTATGGAAGGGGAAATATAAATTAAAGTAAGAGGTTTAATTTCTCTCCTGAATATAAAGGAAGAAAGTTTTCCTTCCTTCATTTCTTAAGGCATTTACTTCAGAAAACTCTTAAGTTGTTTTCTGTCTCTTTGAAAAGCAAGTAAGTCTTTTTAAACCCTAAATAAGTCTCTTGCCAGGTTTAAGACTTAAGCATTTCTTTCCAAAAACACGGGGGCTATCTCTTTGAAATGTAATTATCAAGATAGCACTTTTATCTCCCAGTGATTGTAGGAAGGTAGCAACCTTCACAGATGCCTTGTCCTAAGTTGCAAAAATGCTTCTTGTCATAAAGATATTATAAGTTTATTTTTCCTCTGGATAAAGCGAAACAGCAAATACAGGTGCTCACCAGGTGAACTACGTGTGACAAATGGTGCTGTTCAGTTTGATTACTTGAGGACTAGTTATTGTTTATCTTGAGAACATACATGTAATGCATTGTATCTGCTTGGCAGTATAAAAATGTAGATTTCTTTCAGTCTACAACTTCTAGCACATTGCTTGTGATGCAATTAAGTTCTGATTCAATGCTCATTTAATAATAAAATTGGTTTCTTTCTCTTCTACCTTTTCAAAGAGGTTTTCTGGGTGGGGGAAAGACTTAATTATATTTTCTCAACATTTACAACTATGTAACGGCAAACAAAAAACTTCAAGATGAACTTAAAGACAAGAGGAAATGATGTCAGAACTAAATGAAGGGGAATAGTCCAGATAGACCTAAGTTTGAAAATTCAGTACCAAGGCAGAAGTAATAAATTAATTAGAAAAACATGGAACAAAATAGTTATCTTGAAAAAACTCAAATACTAGGATATAGAGAGAAACAGAGATTATAAAATTAGGAAGCAAATAAAAAAATTCATGTAAGAAAATTTGTTGTTTGTGGAAAAAAAAGTTCAATAAATAATTTGTTTAAAAATATAAAAATATATTTCTAAAATTAATTTTTAAAACCTGAATATTTAAAGGGACATACAGTATACCATAAAAAAAGACATAAAATACTAAATTCTAACTCATATACCAGTTAAGCTACAGAACTACAAGAATAAGAAAACAATTCTCCCAGGAAAGCAGAAAAATTATATGTTTTAAATTAGACTGGTTTCAGACTTTCCTGCATCAAAATTTAAAGTCAAAAGATAAATGATTAGTATCTAAAGTTTGTCAATCAAAGAAAGAATTTAGGAATGAAGAAACTGTGATTTTTTTTTAAATGGAAAGTGGTAGTAAGAAGTTAATCCATGCGAATTTAGAGTCAGTATTACTATAAAATTATCTCAAAATAATAAGAGCTATTTATGACAAACCCATAGCCAATATCATACTAAATGGGCAAAAGCTGGAAGCATTCCCTTGAAAAAACAGCACAAGACAAGGATGCCCTCTCTCACCACTTCTATTCAACATAGTATTGGAAGTTCTGGCCAGAGCAATCAGGCAAGAGAAAGAAATAAAGGGTATTCAAATAGGAACAGAGGAAGTCAAATTGTCTATGTTTGCAGATGACATGATTGTATATTCAGAAAACCCCATCATCTCAGCCCAAAAACTCCATAAGCTGACAAAAAACTTCGGCAAAGTCTCAGGATAAAAAATCAATATGCAAAAATCACAAACATTCCTATACACCAATAATAGACAGCCAAATCATGAGTGAACTCCCATTCACAATTGCTACAAAGAAAATAAAATACCAAGGAATACAACTTACAAGGGATGTGAAGGACCTCTTCAAGAACTACAAACCACTGCTCAAGAATAAGAGAGGACACAAACAAATGGAAAAACAAATGCTCATGGACAGGAAGAATCAATATTGTGAAAATGGCCACACTGCCAAAAGTGATTAACAGATTCAATGCTATTTCCATCAAGCTACCCTTGACTTTCTTCACAGAACTAGAAAGAAACTGCTTTAAATTTCATACAGAACTAAAAAGGAGCCCGTATAGCCACAAGAATCCTAAGCAAAAAGAACACAGCTGAAGGCATCATGCTACCTGACTTCAAACAATACTATAAGGCTACAGTAACCAAAACTGCGTGGTACTGGTACCAAAACAGAGATATAGACCAATGGAACAGAACAGAGGCCTCAGAAATAACACCACACATCTACAACTATCTGATCTTTGACAAACCTGACAAAACAAGCAATGGGGAAAGATTCCCTATTTCATAAATGGTGCTGGGAAAACTGGCTAGCCATGTGGAGAAAACAGAAACTGGACACCTTCCTGACACCTTATACAAAAATTAACTCAAGATGGATTAAAGACTTAAACATAAAACCTAAAACCATAAAAACCCTAGAAGAAAACCTAGGCAATACCATTTGGGACATAGGCATGGGCAAAGACCTCATGAATAAAACACCAAAAGCAATTGCAACAAAAGCCAAAATTGATAAATGGGATCCAATTAAAATTATGAGCTTGCTCACCAAAAGAAACTATCAACAGAGCGAACAGGCAACCTACAGAATGGGAGAAAATTTTTGCAATCTATCCATCTGACAAAGGGCTAAAATCCAGAATCTACAAGGAACTTAAACAAATTTATGAGAAAGAAACAAACAACTTCATCACAAAGCAGGCAAATGATATGAACAGACACTTCTCAAAAGAAAACATTTATGTGGCCAACAAACATATGAAAAACAGCTTATCATCTTTGGTCATTAGAGAAATGAAAATCCAAACCATAATGAGATACCATCTCACTCCAGCTAGCATGGCAATCATTAGAGTGTGGAAACAAGAGATGCTGGCAAGGATGCAGAGAAATAGGGACACTTTTACACGGTTGGTGGGAGTGTAAATGAGTTCAACCATTGTGGAAGACAGTGTGGTGATTCCCCAAGGATCTAGAACCAGAAATACCATTTGACCCAGCAATCCCATTACTGGGTATATACCCAAAGGATTATAACTCATTCTACTACAAAGACTCATCCACCCATGTCTTTATTGAGGCACTATTCACAATAGAAAAGACTAGGAACCAACCCAAATGCCCATTAGTGATAGACTGGATAAAGAGAATGTGGCACATATACACCAAGGAATACTATGCAGCCATAAAAAAGAATGAGTTCATGTCCTTTGCAGGGACATGGATGAAGTTGAAAACCATCATGCTCAGCAAACTAACATAGGAACAGAAAACCAAACACCGCATGTTCTCACTCATAAGCGGGAGCTGAACAACGAGAACATGTGGACACAGGGAATGGAACATCACATACGAGGGACTGTCATGGGGTGGGGGAAAGGGGAGGGAGAGCATTAGGACAAATACCTAATGCATGCAGAGCTTAATACCTAGATGTCAGGTTGATAGGTGCAGCAAACCACCATGGCACATATCCACCTATGTTACAAACTTGCATGTTCAGCACATGTATCCCAGAACTTAAAAAAAAAAAAAAAAGTTATGGTTATATAACAAAATGTCAAAAACCTTGTCAGTGTAAAAATATTAACATAACTATGAAAAATCAGGAAATAGAGAAAAGGGATTTTAGCAGCTAGTGTGAAAAGCTGCCCTTAAAAGAGTATTTTAGGAAATGGTACATCTTATGACAAGATAACATTTATTTGAATTTCAGCCATCACTACAGTTTGTTCTCCTTATAAGTTAAGTAAATTTATATTTAAAACATTTTATTACATTTTTAATAAAATGTGATCTCATTCTTAGAATTTTTAATAAATGTGGATCTACCTATATGCACACTTAAATACTTAGAGAGTTATGTGGATTCGTGCTCACTTAATATAAACATTAGTTTATTTTAAGTTGCAATTTCATTTTGATATTTTTCATCATTATTTGAAATCTTGGTTTTGGAAGGAGCATACAACATTTAACAAAAAGAAAATTAAGCACTAATAAATAGATGAGATTTTACATTGGTTAATTCTAGAGTTAAAATACAGAATACTATTCATTTTTAAATATATCACACATAACTAAATTCTCCCTTAAGTATGTCTTTCACCATCTGCAATCCTAGATACTTTCCAGAGGTTCTCATTGTTATCATTTTGATATTCCCCCTTCCACATTCATTTCTATACATATAAATGCATGCATGTATTTGCATATTCAGTATTACTTTAGGGTTTACTTAATTATTTCAAATTGCTTATATTCTACAATTTTCTGTTTTCATTCAATATTAAGTTTTAGAAATCTTTTCACACCATTATGTAATGATGATATATCCACATTATAGAATATTTCACATAATGATTTATTTAGCTATTTTCTTATATTTTCTAATTTCAGTATTTCCTATTCTTTTCTATTACAAGAAATGCTACAATGAGCATCATTGTAAATATTTTCTTAGAGCTTCAGATTCTGAAGAATGACAAGCTGTCAGTCTGACTCCCTCTGCACTCTTTAAGATGCAATGGAGGTCTGTTCCAAGATGGTCAAATAGGAACAGCTCTGGTCTGCAGCTCCTAGCAGGATCGATGCAGAAGACGGGTGATTTCTGCATTTCTAACTGAGGTACCTGGTTCATTTCATTGGAACTGGTTGGAAAGTGCGTGCAGCCCTTGGAGGGCAAGCTGAAGCAGAGCAGGACATCACCTCACCCGGGAAGCGTATGGGGTTGGGGGGTTTTCCCTTTCCTAGCAAAGGGAAGCCATGACAGACTGTATCAGGAAAATTGGGACATGCCACATAAACATTGCACTTTTCCAAGGGTCTTAGCAAATGGCACACCAGGAGATTATATCCAGTGCCTGACTCAGTGGGTCCCACACCCACGGAGCCTTGCTCGCTGCTAGTCCCAGATCGAACTGTGAGGCCGCAAGCCTGGCTGGGGGAGGGGCATCTGCCATTGCTGAGGCTTCAGTAGGGAAACAAAGTGGCCTGTAAGCTCGAACTGGGTGTAGGCCACCGCAGCTCAATGAGGCCCACCTGCCTCTGTAGACTCCACCTCTGGGGGCAGGGCATAGCAGAACAAAAGGCAGAAGAAACTTCTGCAGACTTAAATGCCCCTGTCTGAAAGCTTTGAAGAGAACAGTGGTTCTCCCAGCACGGTGTTTGAGCTCTAAGAATGGACAGACCGCCTCCTCAAGTGGGTCCCTGACCTCCATGTAGCCTAACTTGGAGACACCTCCCAGTAGGGGCCATCTGACACCTCATATGGCCGGGTGCCCCTCTAAGACGAAGCTTCCAGAGGAAGGGTCAGGCAGCAATATTTGCTATGCTGCAATATTTGCTGTTCTGCAGCCTCTGCTGGTCATACCCAGGAAAACAGGGTCTGGAGTGGACCTCCAGCAAACTCCAACAGGCCTGCAGCTGAGAGACCTGACTGTTAGAAGGAAAACTAACAAACAGAAAGGAATAGCATCAACATCAACAAAAAGGACATGCACACCAAAACCCCATCTGTCACCATCATCAAAAACCAAAGGTAGGTAAAACCACAAAGATGGGAGAAACCAGAGCAGAAAAGCTGAAAATTCTAAAAACCAGAGCGCCCTTTCTCCTCCAAACGTTCACAGCTCCTTGCCAGCAACAGAACAAATCAGGATGGAGAATGACTTTGATGAGTTGACAGAAGTAGGCTTCAAAAAGTTGGTAATAACAAACTTCTTCAAGCTAAAGGAGGATGTTTGAACCCATCCAAAGGAAGCTAAAAAGGCTTCAGTAGGTAAACAAAGCGGCCTGGAAGGTTGAACTGGGTGGAGCCCACCGCAGCTCAATGAGGCATGCCTGCCTTGAAAAAAGATTAGACGAATGGCTAACTAGAATAAACAGTGTAGAGAAGACATTAAATGACCTGATGGAGCTGAAAACCATGGCACGAGAACTATGTGATGCATGCACAAGTTTCAGTAGCCGATTCAATCATCTGGAAGAAAAGGTATCAGTGATTGAAGATCAAATTAATGAAATGAGGTGAGAAGAGAAGTTTAGAGGAAAAAAAAGTAAAATGAAAAGAACAAAGCCTCCAAGAAATATGGGACTATGTGAAAATATCAAATCTACGTTTCATTGGTATACCTGAAAGTGACAGGGAGAATAGAACCAAGCTGGAAAATACTCTTCAGGATATTATCCAGAACTTCCCCAACATAGCGAGGCTGGCCAACATTCAAATTCAGGAAATATGGAGAACAACACAAAGATACTCCTCTAGAAAAGCAACCCCAAGACACATAATTGTCAGATTCACCAAGGTTGAAATGAAGGAAAAAATGTTAAGGGCAACCAGAGAGAAAGGTCAGGTTACCCACAAAGGGAAGCCCATCAGACTAACAGCAGATCTCTTGGCAGAAACCCTACAAGCCAGAAGAGAGTGGGGGCCAATATTCAACATTCTTAAAGAAAAGAATTTTCAACCCAGAATTTCATATCCAGCCAAACTAAGCTTCATAAGTGAAGGAGAAATAAAATCCTTTACAGACAAGCAAATGCTGAGAGATTTTGTCGCCACCAGGCCTGACCTACAAGAGCTCCTGAAGGAAGCACTAAACATGGGAAGGAAGCACTAGACATGGGAAGGAAACACTAAACATGGAAAGGAACAACCGGTACCAGCCACTGCAAAAACATGCCAAATTGTAAAGACCATTGATGCTGGGAAGAAATGCATCAACTAATGGGCAAAATAACCAGCTAACATCATAATGACAGGATCAAATTCAAACATAACCATATTAAACTTAAATGTAAATGGGCTAAATGCCCCTATTAAAAGACAGAGGCTGGCAAATTGGATAAAAAGTCAAGACCCATCCTTGTGCTGTATTCAGGAGCCCCATCTCATGTGCAAAGACACACATAGGCTCATAATAAAGGGATGGAGGAAGATCTACCAAGAAAATGGAAAGCAAAAAAAAAAAAAAAAAAAAAAGCAGGGGTTGCAATCCAAGCCTCTGCTAAAACAGACTTTAAACCAACAAAGATCAAAAGAGACAAAGAAGGCCATTACATAATGGTAAAGGGATCAATTCAACAAAAAGAGCAAACTATCCTAAATACATATGCACCCAATACAGGAGCACACAGACTCATAAAGTCCTGAGAGACCTACAAAGAGACTTAGACTCCCACACAATAATAGTGGGAGACTTTAACACCTCACTGTCAATATTAGACAGATCAACGAGAGAGAAAGTTAACAAGAATATCCAGGACTTGAACTCAACTCTGCACCACGCCGACCTAACAGACATCTACAGAACTCTCCAGCCCTAATCAACAGAATATACATTCTTCTCAGCACCACATTGTACTTATTCCAAAACTGACCACATAGTTGGAAGTAAAGCACTCCTCAGCAAATGTAAAAGAACAGAAATCACAGCAGACTGTCTCTCAGACCACAGTGCAATCAAATAAGAACTCAGGATTAAGAAACTCACTCAAAACTGCTCAACTATATGGAAACTGAACAACTTGCTCCTGAATGACTACTGGGTAAATAATCAAATGAAGGCAGAAATACAGATGTTCTTTGAAACCAGTGAGAACAAAGACACAATGTACCAGAATCTCCAGGACACATTTAAAGCAGTGTGTAGAAGGAAATTTATAGCACTAAATGCCCACAAGAGAAAGCAGGAAAGATCTAAAATTGACACCCTAACATCACAATTCAAAGAACTAGAGAAGCAAGAGCAACACATTCCAAAGCTAGCAGAAGGCAAGAAATAACTAATATCAGAGCAGAACTGAAGGAAATAGAGCCACAAAAAGCCCTTCAAAAAATCAATGAATCCAGGAGCGGGTTTTTTCAAAAGATCAACAAAATTGATAGACTGCTAGCAAGACCAATGAAGAAGAAAAGAGAGAAGAATCAAATAGATGCAATAAAAAATGATAAAGGGAATATCACCACCATTCCCATAGAAATTCAAACTACCATCAGAGAATACTAGAAACACCTCTACGCAAATAAACTAGAAAATCCTGAAGAAATCGATAAATTCCTGGACACATACACCCTCCCAAGACTAAACCAGGAAGAAGTTGAATCTCTCAATAGACCAGTAACAGACTCTGAAATTGAGGCAATAATTAATAGCTTACCCACCAAAAAAAGTCCAGGACCAGATGAATTCAAAGCAGAATTCTACCAAAATTACAAAGAGGCGGTGGTATCATTCCTTCTGAAACTATTTCAATCAAAAGAAAAGAGGTAATCCTCCCTAACTCATTTTATGAGGACAATATCATCCTGATACCAAAGCTTGGCAGAGACAAAACAAAAAAAGAGAATTTTAGGCCAATATCCCTGATGAACATCAAGGCAAAAATCCTCAATAAAATACTGGCAAACCGAATAGAGCAGTACATCAAAAAGCTTATCCAACAAGATCAGGTTGGCTTCATCCCTGGATTGCAAGGCCGGTTCAACATATGCAAATCAGTAAACGTAATCCAGCATATAAACAGAACCAAAGACAAAAACCACATGATTATCTCAATAGATGCAGAAAAGGCCTTTGACAAAATTCAACAGCCCTTCATGCTAAAAACTCTCAATAAACTAGGTATGGATGGAACGTATCTCAAAATAATAAGAGCTATGTATGACAAACCCACAGCCAGTATTATACTGAATGGGCAAAAAGTGGAAGCATTCCCTTTGAAAACTGGCACAAGACAGGGATGCCCTCTCTCACCACTCCTATTCAACACAGTGTTGGAAGTTCTGGCCAGGGCAATCAGGCAAGAGAAAGAAATAAAGGGTATTCAATTAGGAAAAGAGGAAGTCAAATTGTCCCTGTTTGCAGATGACATGATTGTATATTTAGAAAACCCCATCGTCTCAGCCCCAAATCTCCTTAAGCTGATAAGCAACTTGAGCAAAGTCTTAGGATACAAATTCAATGTGCAAAAATCACTAGCATTCTTATACACCAATAACAGACAGAGAACAGACAAATCATGAGTGAACTCCCATTCACAATTGCTACAAAGAGAATACAATACCTAGGACTCCAACTTACAAGGATGTGAAGGACCGCTTCAAGGAGAACTACAAACCACTGCTCGATGAAATAAAAGAGGATACAAACCAATGGAAGAATATTCCATGTTTATAGATAGGAATAATCAATATTGTGAAAATGGTCATACTACCCAAGGTAATTTATAGATTCAATGCCATCCCCATGAAGCTACCAATGACATTCTTCACAGAATTGGAAAAAACTACTTTAAAGTTCATATATAACCAAAAAAGAGCCCACATTGCCAAGACACTGCTAAGCAAAAAGAACAAAGCTGAAGGCATCACGCTTCCTCACTTCAAACTATATAACAAAGCTACAGTAACCAAAACAGCATGGTACTGGTACCAAAACAGAGATATAGGACCAATGGAACAGAACAGAGGCCTCAGAAATAACACCAAACATCTACAATCATCTGATATTTGACAAACCTGACAAAAACAAGCAATGGGGAAAGGATTCCCTATTTAATACATGGTGCTGGGAAAACTGGCCAGCCATATGTAGAAAGCTGAAACTGGATCCCTTCCTTAAACCTTATGCAAAAATTAATTCAAGATGGATTAAAGACTTTAATGTTAGACCTAAAACCATAAAAACCCTAGAAGAAAACCTAGGCAATACCATTCAGGACATAGGCATGGGCAAGGACTTCGTGACTAGAACACCAAAAGCAATGGCAACAAAAGCCAAAATAAACAAATGGGATCTAATTAAACTAAAGAGCTTCTGCATAGCAAAACAACCTACCATCAGAGTGAACCAGCAACCTACAGAATGGGAGAAAATTTTTGCAATCTACCCGTCTGACAAACAGCTAATATCCAGAATCTACAAATTAATCTGAACAAGAATGGTTTATCAGGACTTTAGTTTGGGGTCTTAAACTGTCTATTTTAAGTATACAAGACTATCTTATAGGTTTCATGAGAAAAGGATCATATATTTAGGTTTTTTTCACTTCAAGTCTATAGATAGATAGATAGTAGGGAGAGGGATAAGAGAAAAACAAACAATGAAAAAAAAAAAAAAAAGCAGTTCCCAAAGACTTATTTAGATGAAAATGACATGTCAGGAAAATCTTGGCTGTGATGGTCTTTAAGTATTAAAGTATAGGGAGTTGTGGAATACAAAGCTAATGGTCAAGGAGCTCTTTCTTACACAGTAAAGAAGTCGGTTTATTTTCTGAAACTAAAGAAATAAAAATCACTGGGCTAATCTTATTTATTTCATGCCAACTACTCCCCGCTTCTGTGCCAGTCCAAATTGCAGGCATAAGATGGATGTACAGAAGTCAAAATCCAGTTTCAGTTTAGAATCTCCCAGACTTGGATAGGATGAGATCACAATTTCTCCCTGTCCCTTATGTGCTCTGCAAATTCCCACTGTATGAAAACATCAGCTGTCCTTTTTCCCTTTCTTACCATCTGATCTCTGCAGAGGCCAGTACCTCTTTTTCTTCAGCACTTCAGATAAAGAGAGATATCCCCCAATTCTTTAAAAATCTTAAAAAGCATATGGATTCCCATTGTTCTCTGCCTATGCTCCCTACTGTTCCTGTTTTCATGCTAGTGAATTCTATACTGTGTTGCTTCCCTCTCCATAGGAAACTGAGGTTGTGCACACATAATATATCTAAAAGCCATCAATACTGAGGCCATGGTATCGACAAGGATACCCAGAAGAGCACATTTTTGGGAACAGAAGATTAATTCACTTTTTAATTATTATTTCCTCCTAGGATATTGAATGAAGTGGAGGCCTGAGACCACTGGTTCTCCTCCTTGAATGCTACCTGCAGGCCCACTCTGAACAAAGGCTGCTTGAGTGTGAGGGCAGGTGTGGTGCCTTGTCTCTACCAGCACCACAATGATTCTCAGATATTCTCCCAGAAACTGTCATCAACTAAGATTTCTTACATGATGAGATTGATGAGATCGACAGATGAAGGGCACCCAGCACCCATCCTTACGCACTTATCTACTTACACTCAAAGAAAGATACATATAACTTGTTTTACTTCTGCTCATGTAATGAGCCTTAGCCAAAATATTTGTTAATAATAAAATGTATAATTTCCAAATGCCCTGGATGACATTGTACTTGCTGAATATTATTTAAAATTACTCTTCAGGGGGAAAAAAAGCTTTAATAATTTATGCTTTCTTGGCTATTTTAATTTTCTTTTTATTGCATTTTGGCAGGGCATACTAAGTATAAATTGAATAAAATGAGACATCACACATTGAGTATTAATTACCACACTATTAAGAGATCTTGCTGCTTTGTATTCTGAGCTAAACAATGAGAAACTATGAAGAAGTGGAATTTTAAAAATTGCTAGCTATTTTTCCTCTTCTCAGAACATAAGTCATATACATGTTACAAAGTATTTTCCTTTTCATTTTCACATTTTACGTTAATTCTACTAAGGAGAGGAACTGTTGGCTTGAATAAGGCAAAAACTAGACCTGAAGATGTTGTACAGTAGATCAGATGATTCTAGGACAGACTATTTCAAGGACTCAGAAAAAAAAAATATATGGGAGTTGAAGATAGAAATTCCTTCAGAAGCCAGAGTCTAGGGAAATAATTAAGGCTGAAGATGCCATTCTTGCTCAAATAATAAAATAAATCAGAAGATATCCTGAAAGCCAGGAAGCTGGGAAACTCTCACAACATAAATTTCACACCATCTGAAGAGAAGGCCCCAGGAAACTCGAAGCAGTGGAGGACATAGGGCTGGGTGGCCCTGGGTGAGAAAGTGTGTTTGGGTATAAGGGTATTACTCTGGTGGACCCTGGGAGGGCTGCCAGACCTTAGAAAGAGTATATGTTGTGTCTTGGGCATCACTTTTTCTAGGAACAAATTTTCAATTTGACCTGGAGACCTTCATACTGGGTATCCATCCTCTTGAAAGGAATACCCTCGGAGTCCTTCCATAGAAGCCAGCTTGGTGACTTCATTGCAGAGAAAAAGAATTGCTTGACTACCAATGCTGAAAATGTTCATGGCACAGCCAGAGAATGATTGGCCAAAAATGAGATGGAGACCAAGCAGAAGCTAAGTGGTAGGAAAGAAGACAGAATAAAACAATAGACTCCCATCCTTAGACACATACAACCAGGTCCAGGTTCCACCACTTTACATGTACCTGTGATCACTCACAATATTGGAATATTGAACTCCCTTGAGAGTAGGAAACAGAAAAAAATCTCTACTATCTATTTCAACTTTCTTTTTAAAAATATTGTACTAGAGGTGCCAACAAGTGAAATAAAACAAGAAAATAATAATTCTCTACTAAGTAGGAAAAAAATGAAATGAAATTACAATTTGAAATTACAATTATCACACTATGGTAGAAAGTTCCTTATCTAGGAAACCTAAAGTAATCTGCAGGCAAAGTATTAATATTAATTGGTCTATTTGTCAAAGTCACTGAATACATGGTTAACTAAATATTTCACACCTGACTCTATATACACAACTAGAAAATAGAGTTATAAATGGCACTCTTTATAATAGCATCAAAGAAATTGCAAATGCTGTGATTTCCAAAAGCATTAAAAATCATCAAACATCTAGAAATATGTAATTATATATATGTGTATATATATATATATATATATATATCTCATAAGGTATGTAACAGTTCTACGTTATAACAAAAAAAACTAAAAATATCATTGAAAGAACCTGAAAAACACAAAGGAAACACATGAAATGGAGGGCTACAAAATGTTTATGGCTTAAATGATTCCATTTGTACAGATACAATTTCTCCCTGAATTAATCTGTAAATTCAGTACATATCAGTAGTTTGTGTGTGTGTGTGCATGCATTAGTCACTGTAGAAATTAACAAGTTAATTCTAAAATTCAAATATAAATTTAATAATCCAAGATTACCAAAGGCAAGGTTGAAGCAGCAAAAGAAGAAAGCTGAAGAATGTACAGGATCAAATAGCAATAGTACTTCAAATCTGTGGTAAATATGTCATAATGTTGGCCCAAGGATAGGTAACAACCAATGACACAGAATCTAGAAAGCAGCTACACCTGTAACTCCACTGAGAGTCATGGAGAAGATGAACTGTAGTATAATGAGGAAAAGATCTCCATTAGGTATATATTTGATATAAAATATATCTAGATCCCTATTTCACTTCATACACAAAATCAGTTTCAAAGACGGTCAAATTTAAAAATGAATGGAAAGGCAGTAAAAACATTTATAGAAAAATAATGGAGGATATCATTTTGATATACATAAAGATACTTAACAGTACATAAAATCTGTAACAAGAAAAACTGAAGAATAAAAATTTACTAAAATGAAAAGAATATATTGTCCTCACAAGACACTAATAAGAGTGAAAAGGGAAACTATAGGCTAGCAGAACATAGTGACAAAAATATTAAGTTGGTGCAAAAGTAATTACATTTTTGTATGACTTTCAATGGCAAAAACTGCAATGACAAAGGCACTGTATTCGGAAAACATTAAGAACATCTACAAGTCAATAAGAAAAGGTCACAGAACCCAAGTGAAAAATGGACAAGTCTTGGCTCTTCACAAGAAACAGATAACAAAATGTGGCCAGGGCCAGTGGCTCATGCCTGTAACCCCAGCACTTTGGGACGCTGAGGTGAAAGGATTGCTGGAGTCCAGGAGTTCAAGAGAAGCCTGGGCAACATAGCGAGACCCCGTCTTTACAAAAAAAAAATAAACAAATTAGCCAAGTTTGGTGGTGCATGCCTGTAGCTCCAGCTACTCAGGAGGCTGAGGTGGGAGGATCATTTGAGCCCTGGAGGTCAAGGCTACAGTGAGCTATGATCACACCACTGCTCTCCAACCTGGGTGACAGAGCAAGACCCTGTCTCAAGAAAAGAAGAAAAAAAGAAAGAGAATCCCAAGATAGTTAATAAATATGTGAAAAGATGTTAAGTTCTTTAGATATAATGGAAACACATATTAAACCTGGTTTACTTGAAAAGATAAACACCAGCTACTGATTATAAAATACCAGCTGAGAGTGTGAATAAACCAAAGGCTTTATACACACCGTAGCTGAGTTAAACTGGCACTGCCACATTGGAACATTATTCAGGATGATTTAACAGAGCTGAGCAATGGACTATCCTAAGACTCAGAAAGTCCACCCTTCGACATATGCACATCTGAAATGTTAACTAAAATGCAATATTTTTATAGCCCCTTCCCTCCAAAAAACAAAAACAAATAGAAACTACCCATATGTCCATCGGCATTACAATGAATATATTAATACATACCCAGGATATTCCTACAATGCCATTACTTTATAGCAAAGGAATTATTGAATGGATATACTTAACGTAATGTTTAAGAAAGAAACCAGGCACAATAAATACTGTTATTTCTACTTGTATAAAAGTACAAAAACAGGTGAAACTATTTTTTTTCTATTAAAGAAGTAGAACAATGGTAAATCTCACGGGCATGGTAGAGACTGGGAATTGGTAATATTCTGGAAGCTGACTGTATAGGTGTGCTGTGTTTGTAAATATTTATCAAGCTGTAAACTTAAGATGTATGTGTTCTTCTCTGATTATAGTATACATTGACAAAAGTTAAAAGAAAAGGCACCAGGAAGTATTTGACACAGTGGTTTATGTCATGGACTCTGAAGACAGATTGCCTGGGTTTCACTGCTGACTTCACTGCTACTGCTTACCAGTTGTGTAACCTTGGGAAAGTTTCTTAGTGACTTAGTTTCATCACCTATAAAGTGGGAATCAAAAGAGTTGCCTGAGCACATGAATCTTCCCTTAAGTTGTAGAGCTCTTAAGGAATTTGATTTTCACAGAAATAGACATAAAAGGGGCCAAAAAACATCATCAGCCTCTTTACAGAAATCAAGCCCAGATAGCTCTCACTTGTATGAAGCAGAGGAAAGAGAAAACACAAAGAAATTAAGGCTAATGGGGAATCATGTAGATCAGGAAAAAGAACATTATTGGAAAGGTTACTAAAATAATATGATCTAATACGAATTTTAGGAATTATGAGTACACATGGCTTAAAAAAATTGAAATCCAAAAGAAGAAAAGGTATAACAAGATAAAAGGAAAGATGTGTGTGTGGGTAAAGTACACAAGTAACAAAAGACTAGTAGGAAATGGATAAATTAGCATTGGAGGCACTGAAGAGCAGCATTGATGCTGCAGAAGATTAGGAACAAATGATACAATTTCAGTTTCCTCAATATAGGAAGATTAAAAAACTGATTAGAATAATGAATACAAAGATGGAAAGTGTATGGCAGAGACAACACACATGCTGTCCTGGAACAACAACAACAACAAAAACTAAATGAATCAAAAGCAACAACCAAAAGTGTAAACTAAAATAAAGTAAAACAACACTTTCTTGAGTTAAAAAATATAACAAAATAAATGGGCATCATTACAACCAATTCAATAAAAATTATAAAATAAATCTAAAGAACAGAAAATGTTGCAAATATCTCAGAAGATATGTCTTACTCAGCACAGTGTCAAGTACATTAGAAAGTGTTTAATAACTTTCTGTTGAATGAATATTATTTATTCATTATTAACTGCATGTGATACAAAGATGAGTAAAAATCTTCTCTAAACATGTCTGAAATCTGCTAAGTCAGGAGTACCATTCACTTTACCATAGAAGTACAAATAGCACAGTCCAAAAGTCAAAATTGGATCTGATTCTTTTTTCTTTTCATTTTTTAAAAATTGTGGCAAAACACATATAAACTACAATTTTCTATCTTAACCATCTTTTAGTGTACAGTTTAGTCATACTAAGTCCCTTCATATTGTTGTGCAAATATCACCACAATTCATCTCCAGAGCTCTTTTCAACTGGAAAACTGAAATTCTATATTCATTGAACAATAACTCCCGATTTCCCCATTCCCATAGCCCTGGAAAGCTACCATTCTACTTTCTGTCTCTGTAGGGTCCAGTCCTACAGGACCTGTGGGTTTTTCTCTTCGTGTATGGAGACGAGAGATCATAGAAATAAAGACACAAGACAAAGAGATAGAAGAAAAGACAGCTGGGCCCGGGGGACCACTACCACCAAGGCACGGAGGCCGGTAGTGGCCCCGAATGCCTGGCCGCGCTGTTATTTATTGTATACAAGGCAAGAGGGTAAGGAATGTGAGTTATCTCCAATGATGGGTAAGGTCATGCGAGTCACGTGTCTACCAGACAGGGGTCCCTTCCCTATTTGGTAGCCAAGGTGGAGAGAGGGGACAGCTTACATCATTATTTCTTTTATGTATTTCTCGGAAAGATCAAATACTTTAATACTTTCACTAATTCTGCTACTACTATCTAGAAGGCAGAGCCAGGTGTACAGGGCAGAACATGAAAGTGGACCAGGAGCGTGACCGCTGAAGCACAGCATCACAGAGACACGTTTAGGCCTCCGGATGGCTGTGGGTGGGCCTGACCGATGTCAGGCCTTCCACAAGAAGTGATGGAGCAGATTCTTCTGTAACTCCCCCGGGGAAAGGGAGACTCCCTTTCCCAGTCTGCTAAGTAACGGGTGCCTTCCCAGGCACTGGTGCTATCCCTAGACCAAGGTCCGCTAAGTAGCAGGTGCCTTCTCGGGCACTGGTGTTACCGCTAGACCAGGGAGCCCTCTAGTGGCCCTGCCCGGGCATAACAGAGGGCTCACACTCATCTTCTGGTCACTTCTCACCGTGTCCCTTCACCTCCTATCTCTGCATGGCCTGGTTTTTCCTAGGTTATAATTGTAGAAGAAATATTACTATAATATTGGAGTAAAGAGTAATGCTACAAACTAATTATTAATAATATTCATAATCATATCTATAATCTATTTCTAGTATAACTATTCTGATTCTATATATTTTATTATACTGGAACAGCTTGTGCCTTCGGTCTCTTGCCTCGGCACCTGGGTGGCTTGCTACCCACAGTCTCTATGAATTTGATTACTCTAAATACCTCACACAAGTGGAATCATACAGCATTTGTCCTTTAGTGCCAGCTCATTTCACATAGAATAATGTCCTTAAGGTTCATCCATCTTGTAAACATGCCAGAATTTCCTTCCTTTAAAGCTAAATAATATTCCATTGGATGTACCATATTTTACTTATTCATCCATCTGTCAATGGACACTTGGTTTGATTCTACGTATTAGCTAATGTTACTGTGAATATAATTCTACAAATATCTCTTCAAAATATCTCTTCAAATTCTTTTGAGTATATACCTTCAACTGGAACTCCTGGATTTTATGTTAATTCTATTTTTAATTTTTTGAGGAACTATCATACTGCCTTCCACGGTGGTTGTACCATTTTATATTCCTACCAACGATGCACAAGTATTGTAATTTGTTCACCTCCTCACCAACACTTTTTATCTGTTTTTGTTTCGGATAGCAGCCGTTCTAATGGGTGCGAGAGGGTATCCCATTGTAGTTTTGATTTCTACTTCCCTAATGATTAGGGATGTTCCCTAATCATGTGCCTAATGTCCCTAATACTTGATCCTTTGTATATCTTCTTTGGAGAAATGTCTACTCAAGTATCTTCCTCATTTATAAATTTTATTTTGTTTTTGTTCTTGGGTTTTAGGAATTCTCAACATAAAGATGTGCCCTGTGCTTCACTTTCTTCTAAGACTTTTATCACTTCTGATCTTATATTTAGGTCTTACATTAATTTTGAGTTAATTTTTATATATGGTGTTAATTACGGGTCCAATTTTATTCTTTTTCACTTGGATGTTTTTTTTTTTTTTTGATGTTTGCTTTTTTAAAAATTTAATTGTGCTGCTGGTTTTCTCTGTGCTGATGATGAACTTGAGGTATAAATTTGAGGCTGTTTAGGTCTTTGCTGAGCCTGCACCTTTCCTTGAGCAATTGTGGTGGCTTTCTAATTTCTGCACATATGTGGTTGCTTTTTAATATCTTAATCTTTAACAATGTCTGACTCTCATAAAGGAAAAAAGAGAACATGAAGTGAAAATGAAAATCACTGGCCCTGTAAACCTCCAGGAAGTCACTTCAGCCAGAGGGGAGGGGCTTGCAACAATCAACAAATGGGGGCAGGTGCAACAGACAATGGATGCCCTCCTCTATGACTGTGAGGAGTAGGGAGTGGGAGGCTGGGGAGGCGGTGGCTACAGATAGACAGGTAGTTGCTACTGCACTGAGAGCTGCAATTGAACAAAATTAATCACAATATACAACTAAAATCTTCTGGAAGTTGAAAGCCTTTAATAGTTCTAAATATTTACATCAAACAGATTCTTCCACTGTAATTTTTATGTAGGTGAGTAGATGGATTCCTGGTGCTTCCTACTCTACCATCTTCTCATAATCCTTTCTCTGGATATCATTCTTTATGATGACACTTATTTAGTGATTTAGCTTTTCAAGTCACCAAAGTCCTGTATCTCTCATGTAGTTTTCATAGGTAAGAAAGAGAAACTAACAACAATATTAACGAAAACACTAAAAAGAATAATAATAGAAAACTCTTCACCAAGAGCTTATTGTGTTCTAGGCATTGTGATACACACTTTACATAATAGAGATGCTCTTTGACTTATGATGGACTTATGTCCTGATAAATCCACTGTAAAGTTGAAAAATTGTAAGTCAAAACATGGTATGTCAGAGACCAACTGTACTGAAAACAACCTATAAGATGAATAGCACCAGGAGACTCATTTTACACATGAAAAAGTGAGAAGTAGAGAAAATAAAGGAATATCACAAGGACATAGAGCTAGCAAATGGTGGACCACTCCATGGAACATGGACATCTATCTACCTAGAAAGCTTATGAAATATGCATTAGGTTCCTCTTGGTGCAGTACTGGGAAGAGTGTTGGTTCTCAGTTACTGGCAGATGGTGGCAGTACTAGTAACACTGGTTCTAGCAGTACCTGCAACTAATGGATATGTCACCTAAGTGTTGCAGTGGCCCAGCCTCATCAGCTAGCAGCATTTATGACCCTATTACCTTATGGAATAGAAAAATTCACAATTACCATATAGGAAAACAAATTCACTTTATTCTTTTCTTTTTGCTTATTTGAAGCAAAAGGGTCCTCTTCCTTGATTTTTTTTTTTTTTTTTTTTTTTTTTTTTTTGAGACAAGGCCTTGCACTGTCTCCCAGGCTGAAGGGCAGTGATGCAATCACAGCTGCAGCCCCTACTTCCTGGGCTCAAGCAATCCTTCCACCTCAGTCTCCCTAGGACCAGAGGAGCAAGGAGCATGCTCAGCGTGCTTTTTTTTTTTTTTTTTTTTTTTTATGTAGAGCCAAGGTCTTGAAGATCTTGCCATATTGCCCAGGCTGGTCTCATACTCCTAGGCTCAAGTGATCCTCTTACCTTGGCCCCCCAAATTGTTGAGATTACAGGTATGAGCCAGAGAGTCTGGCCTCTTCTGTGATGCTTTTTACTTACTTTCCAGCAGCGAATAATCCTCTTTGAAGATCTTACTTTTCACTTTATTCTTTTCATATATGTTGAACATTTTTCATTTACTCATGGGGAAAACACCGAGTATATGCTATTAGACACACTATTCCTCAAATGTTTCTACTCTTAATAATTTCTGTACATATATTTATATATTTACATTTTCTTAGGAAAAATCCCCTTGGATATAAGCCCCTTATGCTTGAATCTTAGTAAAAACAGTATTAAGAAGAAAGAGATTAGTGTCCTATGGAATTTGGAGCAATAATCTCAAAGTCTTACAGATCTCAGACACCCAACTGACACTTAAGTTGATTAGTTATAGAAAAGCTTTTAGAAAATACATTTTAAGGCCTTTCTCTCTAACGATGGTCAGACTGGACAATGTTGAGCCTGAAATATCCCTCCTTCCAAGGGGGAACTTGAGAGGAAGAATTACAGTTTTTCACAACCGTAAAAGAAGGCTGAATCTGTTTTAATTCACATAACTGGTTACACATGAAGAGGAAATTACTCTCTGAAATCCCAGTATAAAAAATATATGGAAATTGGCTGGGCATGGTGGCTCAGGCCTGTAATCCCAGCACTTTGGGAGGCCAAGGTGGGCAGATCACCTGAAGTCTGGAGTTACAGACCAGTCTGGCCAACATGGTGAAACCCCGTCTCTACTGAAAATACAAAAACTAGCGGGGCGTGGTGGCGTGCGCCTGTAATCCCAGCTACTTGGGAAGCTGAGGCAGGAGAATCGCTTGAACTCAAGAGGCAGAGATGGCAGTGAGCTGAGATCATGCCACAGCACTCCAGCCTGGGCAACACAGTGAGACTCCATCTAAAAAAATAATACATATATTATTATTTTTATATAAATAACATAATTATATATATTATATATAATATATAATATATTTTACATATATAATATTATATATTATATATATAATATATATTATATTGTATAATATATAATTATATAATATATATAATTATATATAATATAATATATATAATAATATATATAATTATATATAATAATATATAATTATATATATTATTATATAATTATATATATATACACACATATATATTTAAATATGTTTCTAAAAATTTTATACGGCTTAAAATTATACTGACAAAACCAACTGCAGCCACTGTTAAACTAATGACATTATCTCATAGATAATTTACTCTAAATAGCTCAGTAATGTGAATGGATAAATCATATATCATTATAGATCGTGATTTCTTTCAATGAATTATACCTTCTGGAATCTTATTGCTTTGCAGATCCAGTAAAACTGTCAATTAAAATAAGACATTGAAATAGGCTCTGGGCCAAAACCTAAACCCTGAATTTGAGGACTGAGTGAACATATTTAGATTTTTCCACTTTCTGTGAATTCTTGGTTTCAAGCATCTTTCTTCTGCACATAGCAACTAACTTTGTAAAGATATCCAGTGATGTAAGTGACTTTAAAAATTTCTTCAAACTTTCATTCCCCTTAATGTGAACTGTCGTTTTCTGACATGTTGCTGCCAACCAAGACTCTTAACATTGCTCCCTGTCCTCTACAGTGGTTTATCTCTCTCTGAAGTTTAATATGTAATAGATGTTTAACGGAAAATCAAGACTTAATAAGCATTCAGTTCTTGGGAAGCTATAATAGAAAGTGAAGCATGCATCCCAGCTCCAGATAACCTTACAATCTTTTTATTGTTTCTGAACTATTTGAGAAAACAATTCTCTAATTGCATCATTTTATTTAATTTTTTCTTATGACTAAGATCTTTTCACCAAAAATGGGACAAATTTTAGTGAGGCAATTCTATTCTCCATTGTTCACCTAATTATTCCCTTTGTTTGATTTGGTTATAATTTGAGAAATAGCCCAAGACCTTCTAGGATTTTACAAATTTGTACTTAAATTTTACAAAATTATTTACAAAATTAATCACATAGTATATAGTAGATCAGGTTCTAACCCAGGTCTTCTAATGATCTTTCTTTAAGTTGTAGCTCCCAATCAACATTAGACCTTATGCTGATTTCATCATGAGTGTTGTCCTGGCAGACAGAGAAGATATTTATTTGTCCTCAGGATTCATCTTGTTTTCCAGCACACAGTTGGGCACATTCACAGTTTATGTTTGGTGAACAAAAGTATGGTTTTTGTTCAATATTGCCTTGTGACTATAGAGTTGCATTAGACTAGCTAAATTTAAAGGACTTAGAACATGTAATAGACACAGCCTGCAATAGTGGAATCAGAGCAAGTCTTTTTGTTTAAATTGTATTTTCGTGTATGTGTTTGTTTTCAATTATTCCCTGTCCTACAAAAATAAATGAACATTTAAATAAAAATACAATATTATACTTACTGCTTGTAATTTGGCATTACAATAGACAATCATGTAGGATAGGAAGCTCTGTGCTGTAGGAATAAAGAGAACCAAATTCCTGGCTCAGATATGGCACAAACAAATTGTGAGACATTACAGTTTAACCAAGATAGGTCTCCCATTAATTACCTCATATGAAATATGACAAGTTTGTATAAAGCAATCTGTTCTCCTTTAATAACATGAGATCTCTGAAACACAATTTAATACACGCATGTATTATTAAAACATTTATATTTATTGGAATAATGGTGTAAGTAAAGCTCTCGTCTAGTGTTTTGTATTCCGAAAGTCAAATACGAATTTAATGCAAGAGTCACATCATTCCTGCCATAAACAATACCTGAACACTTTCCATTTTGCTTTACTATTAGGTACATTTCTGTTATTATCATTATGCAGGCTACAAAATATTGTAATGTATTACTCCCACCTTTTTGGGTAAAATTCTTTTCAGTGACCTTCCCCATCCTCTTCTCTTGCTCAGTTTCTGGTATTATCCATTGACCAGAGGTATGGCCTAAATAAATCACTGCCTTAGTTTTTTTCTTTAGTAAAATTATGTTTCTTTTAGTCCTGTCCTTTCAAAATATAACGTATTGTTTGTGAAAATCAACATGACCAAAGAAATCTATCGACCAAAATTCAAGAAATGCCCAAAATGCATCTGCTTTCAAATGGAGCCATCATATTAGCATTCTAAAGGCTCTGAGAAGCCTGCAAAAGAGAAGTCTGATTCATTCTAATTAACCCAGTGTATCCTATACACACTTATTCATGAAATCACTTATTTCTGGGTAACAGCAATTAATAAAACTCCTGAGATATAATCATATTAGCTATATTTAAATGATAATTGGGTCATTTTGGGAAACCTCAGAGTAGATGTTCTCCTAGGTCTCTTTTAAGGTCAAATATATTATTAACTCTTAAAGAATAATTCTCAAGGGGTATTAAATATATGGTAAAGTTGCAATTGGAACTTAGAAATTTTGAATTGAAGTTTATAAATTTATACCCTAGGATACTCTTCTCTGCTTTTCTCCATGATCATATTATTGAACTAGTATATAAACTAATATGATAGAGGTAGAGATGATACATAGCCTTTTATAAGTTAGATTCAAGTAGCAGACAATAACATAGGAACACCAAGCTAAAAATCAAGTAACTGGTCCCACATTTCACAAGCGGGCTTGAAATTGGCCACTGGGGACTTGAAATATCTCTATGCTTTAATTTATATTAAAATAATATATTTTTATTGGAATTAAAATATCTCTACATTTTATTTTTCTGAAAAATAGCATCAATAGAACAATATAAAATGAATAGGTAGACACACACCGAACAAAAATCGCCCTTGCTACACAACTTGAACCATGGTATAAAATGTTTGAAATAATCTAGGCAAGTGGGAGCACTTGCCAACTTAACACATTTTGCCTTGTCCTGGAAAGAAAAGCAAAGTATCTAATAAACAGATGTGTGCCTGCAGTGTTGGTTTTACTTTACTGCCTACATTTTTTCTATTTTTAGTCAAGTTTCCAGGAGATAGGTGATGTGTACGTTGTTGCCTAAAAGAGATTTACTGTAGACATAGTCAATTCCATTATTAAATAATTATTGGTAATACTAGTTTCCAGTTTGCTATATAAGAAGCTTGAAGTCATCATTTATTTTAACAATAAGTAAAAGCCAAAAAAGCTGAAAAATTAACATCTCTTCTTATAATTGTCACAGTGGTGATAAAACAGGGCAAACTGTTGCCTCAAAAATTGGAGACAGGCTGGATACGGAGAATCACAACTTAACAGAGCAGAAACCCATGAGCAGAAACTGCCACAGACACCAGTGATGGGGTAGGAAAATCCAAACTGTAACTGAAAATTTTCTGGAGGCTCAGTGTGAACGTGTCTGAGAGCTAAAAACTCCAGAAGAACCCTCACACGTTTATGAGTTTTACCTTTGACATCTCTACCATGTTCCCACAGGGAAGATTGAGAAAAATCCTCTCATGCTTCCAGAAGGAGAAGAAAAATAACTATTTTGGAATACTCCAGAGCATTCCATTTTTCTTAATAAAGTATGTCCTCAAAATAAATTATTTTACTGGAGCCTAGCCTATATTGGTTTTATCAGGGCACAACTGAGCTGGAGGAAGAGAAATACCCAGCTCCAGCCCCAGCTAGCTATCTCACCTAAAGGAAGTGGAGTTGGGGGTTACTCAGATGTGCTTGTGAAGTTCACAGTCCAAGAATCACAGGCTTACTCACTAAAAGACTGAGACCCAATCATAGGATTATAGAACATTCCACCTTCTCCCATATCTTACTGCCATATTAATAAAGGCCTATTTAATACAGTTCCTCTTGCACACTACATCATGCCCAGTTAACAAGAAAAAATATTGCAAGTAATACTAAAAGAGAAAAAGTACAGTTTCAAGAAACTAAGCAAGCATCCAGGATCTGAGTAAGATATGAGAAGAATGTTAGCATTATCAGACAAGAAATAAAGCATTTACAAACTATAATTACTATGCTCTGGGCTCTCATAAACAAAGTAGAAAACATATGAGAACACAAGGATAATGTAAATGAAGAGGTGGAAATTATGAGAAAGAATAGATAAAAAATGCAGGAGCTCAAAAAGAACAAAAAATAAATTAAGATTGTCTTAATGGGTCATTAATATACCAGACACAACTGAGTAAATTATCTCTGAATCTGAGGGTATGTCAAAATAAACCTCCAAAACTAAAACGCAAAGAGAAAAAAAGAATAAAAAAATGGAAAAAAAAATTCAAGAAATGTGAAACCACCATAAAATGTATAAGATACACATTATGGGAATATGAGAAGTAGAAGATAGAAAAAGACAGAAGAAATATTTGAAGCAATAATGACTGAGAATTTTACTAAATTAATGTCAGACACATTAATGCCATTAAATTAATGTTAACCACAGATCCAGGAAGGCCAGGGAACAGGAAGCAGAAAACAAATGCCAAAAAATCTACATCTATGCGTATCAATATTAAAAATGGAGAAACTAAAAGATAAACTTGAAAGAAATGGGAAAATGTCTTATAGAGAGAGAAGTAAAGATAATAATTACATCAGATGATTTGTCCTCAGAAACTATGAAAGCAAAAAGAGAATAAAGTAAAATATTTGAAGTGTTAAAAAAAAACTCACCTAGAATTGTGTATTCCTGAAAATTATCCTTTGAAAATGAAGAACAAATAAAGTCTTTTTTCAGACAAACAAAAATTGAGAGAACTTACTTGTCAGTAGATTTGTCTTGTAAGAAATGTTAAAATAAGATTTCAGAGTGAAGGAAAATGATATAGGTCATAAATTCAGATCTACATTTTAAAGGAAGAGCATTAGAGAAGTAATAAATGAAGATAAAATAAAAACTTTTATTTCTTATTCTTAACTGATGTAATAGATAATAACTGTTTGTTATTACCAGAGGCTGGGAAGGGAAGGGTAGTGGAGGGTTGGAAAGGGGAGGTGGGGAAGGTTATTTTGTAAAAAAAAATAGAAACAATGAATAAAACCTACTATTTTATAGTACAATAGTGTGAATATAGTCAATAATAACTGTATAGTTTTTAAATAATGTAATTGGATTGTTTGTAACTCAAAGAATAAATGCTTGAGGGGATGGACACCCAATTCTTCATGATGTGATTACTTCACATTGCATGCCTGTATCAAAATATCTCATGTGCCCCATAAATATATATAACTACAACGTAGCCACAAAATGTTTTTAAAAACATTTTAAAAAGAAAAAAAGTCACAGACACCCTAACAAATGCAGCTTTAAGCTTATAATTATGTTTCATTTCAGCACTTTCAACTAAATAAAATTCAATCATAACTAAAAAAAAAAAAAGGTGTGTTCATACACACACACTTATGTATAAAGTGAAATAAACAACGTCAATTAAACCAAAAGCAGGAAGGAATAATTAGAAATATTTTGTTATTACAAGGTACTTGGCATTACCCATGAAGTGGTATAGTGCCATTTGAAAGCAGACCTGGCTTAGTTGTAAAAGTATATTGCAGATTCTAGGACAAAAACTGAAACATAAAAAAAAATAATAATATTATCATTGATATGTTAAGAAAGGAGAGAAAATGTAATCATAAAATTCTCAACTAAAATTACAAAGGGCAGGAAAAGAGTGAAATATAAAAGTAGAAACAAAAATCAAGGGCAATGAATAGAAATCAGTAACATATATAGTAGATATTAATGCAACTATATCAGTAACCATTTAAATGGTTTAAGTATATCAATTAAAAGACACAGACTGTCAGATTGGATCTACAAAACAAACATCAACTATACCTTTGCTGATATGGTTTGGCTCTGTGTCCCCACCCAATTCTCATCTTGAATTGTAAATTCCCACTAGCCTCATGTGTCAAAGAAGAAGCCCTGTAGAAGGTAATTAAATCATGGGATGGTTTCCTCCATGCTCTTCTTGTGGTAATGAGTGAAACTCAGGAGGTGTGATGGTTTTATAAACATCTAGCATCTCCCCTGCTTGCACTCATTCTCTCTCCTGCTGCCCTGTGAAGAGGTGCCTTCCACCATGACTGTAAGTTTCCTGAGACCTCCCCAGCCATGCAGAACTGTGTTTCATTTAAACCTCTTTTCTTTATAAATTACCCAGTCTTGAGTATTTCTTCATAGCAGCATGAGAATGGACTAATACAGTAAATTGGTATCAAGGTAGTGGGGCACTGCTGTAGAGATACCGGGAAATGTGGGAGCAACTTTGGAATTGGGTAAAAGGCAGAGGTTGGAACAGTTTAGATGGCTCAGAAGAAGACAGGAATATGTGGGAAAGCTTGGAAATTCACAGAAACTTGTTGGATGCTTTTGACCAAAATGCTAATAGTGATATGAACAATGAAGTCCAGGCTGAGGTGGTCTCAGATGGAGATGAGGAACTTCTTGGGAACTGGAGAAAAGGTGACTCTTGCTATGCTTTAACAAAGATGGTGGCAGTATTTTTCCCCTGCCCTAGAGATCTGTGGAATTTTAACTTGATTGACATGATTTAGAGTATCTGGCAGAAGAAATTTCTAAGCTGCAAAACATTCAAGGGGAAGCAGAGCATAAAAGTTAAGAAAATGTGCAGCCTAATGATGCAATAGAAAAGAAAAACCCATTTTCTGTGAAGAAATTCAAGCCAGCTGCAGAAATTTGTGTAAGTAACAAGGTGTCAAATGTTAGTCACCAAGAAAATGGGGGAAATGTCTCCAGGACATGTCAGAGGCCTTCACAGCAGCCCCTCCATCACAGGCCTGGAGGCCTATTAGGGAAAAATGTTTTGTGGGATGGGCCCAGGGCCCACCTACTCTATGCAGCCTCAGGACATGGTGCACCGCTTCTCAGCTGCTTCAGCTCCAGCTGTGGCTAAAAGGAGCCAAGGTACACCTGGGGCCATTGCTTCAGAGGGTGCAAGCCCCAAGCCTTGGCAGCTTACACGTGGCGTTGGGTCTGTGGGTTAACATAAGTCAAGAATTAAGGTTGGGGAACCTCCACATAGATTCAGAGAATGTATGAAAACTCCTGGATGTCCAGGCAGAAATTTGCTGCAGAGGTGGAGCTCTCATGGAGAACCTCTGCTAGGGCGCTGCAGAAGGGAAACATGGAGTCAGAGCCCCCACAGAGGCTCCACTGGGGCACTGCCTAGTTGAGCTGTGAGAAGAGGGCCACCATCCTCCAGACCCCAGAATGGTAGATTCACCAACAGCTTACACCATGCACCTGGAAGAGCCACAGGCACTCAATACCAGCCTGTGAAAGCTGGAATGGGGTAAAAGGCAGAGGTTGGAACAGTTTAGAGGGCTTGGAAGAGGACAGGAAGATATGGGAGGGGGCTGTACACTGTAAAGTCACAGGGGCAAACCTACCCAAGGTCATGGGAGCCCACCTCTTACATCAGCATGTCCTGGATGTAAGAGGTCAAAGGAGATCATTTTGGAACTTTAACGTTTAACAACTGCCCTATTGTATTTCAGACTTGCATGGGGCCTGTAACCCCTTTGTTTTGGCCAATTTCTCCCATCTGAAACGGGTGTATTTACCCAATGCCTGTGCCCCCATTGTATCTTGGAAATAACTCGCTTTTTATTTTACAGGCTTTTAGGCAGAAAGGACTTGCCTTGTCTCAGATGAGACTTTGGACTTGAACTTTTGGGTTAATTCTGGAATGAGTTAAACTTTGTGGGACTATTGGAAGGGCATGATTGTGTTTTCAATTGTGAGGACATGAGATTTGAGAGGAGCCAGGGGCAGAATGATATGGTTTGACTCTGTGTCCTTACCCAATTCTAACCTTGAATTATAATCCCCACATGTCAACGGCAGTACCAGATGGAGGAAACTGAATCATTGGGTCAGTTTCCCCCATCCTGTTCCTGTGATAATGAGTAAGTCTCATGAGATCCGATGGTTTTAAAAGCATCTAGCATTTCCCCTGCTTGCACTGATTCGCTTTCCTGCTGCCCTGTGAAGAATGTACCTTCTGCCATGAATGTAAGTTTTTCTGAGGCTCCCCCAGTCATGAAGAATTGTGAGTCAATTAAACCTCTTTTCTTTATAAATTACCCACTGTCGGGTATTTCTTCAAAGCAGCCTGAGAACAGATCAATACACTTGTCTACACAAAACCAACTTAAAATATGAAGACACATATAGATTAAAAGGAAAGGGAGGGAGAAAAATATAACATGCTAACACTAATCAAAAGGAAAGTGGAGCAGTTATATTAATTTTGGAAAGAGCAAACTTCAGAATAAGGAAAGTTATCAGAAATAAAGAGGGGCATTACCCAGTGATAAATGGGTTAATTCTCCAAGAAGACATAACAGTCCTCAGTGAGTATTTGTCTAACAGCAAAGCATCAAAATACATCAGGCAAAAACTGATAGAACTGCAGGAAGAGACCGATAATGTACTATTATACTTGGAGACATCAAACCTCTATATTAGACATGGATCCAGCAAGCAGAAAATTAGTAAGATTACAGTATACCTTAGTAGTACCCTCAATCAACTGGATGTAATCGACATCTGTATATTACCCCGAAACAACAAATTCCATATTCTTCTCAAGCTCACATGGAACATTCTACAAGGTAGATCACGTTCTGGGTTGTAAAATACATATTAGCAAATTTTAAAATACAGTAATTATACAATGTTTGCTTTCAGACCACAATAAAATTAATCTAAAAATTAATAACAAAGATAGCTGGAAAATCCCCAAATACTCGGAGATCAAACAACACACTTACAAATAACACATAAGCCAAGGAAGAGAAGCTTTAAAAATATTTTGAGCTAAATAAAAATATAACTGATTAGAATTTGTGTGAAGCAGTAAAAAACAGAATAGAGGAAAGATCGAAAATCAATACTCTAAATTTTCACCTTAGGAAATTAGAAAAATAAGAATTAAATCCAGAGTAAGCAGAGAAAAAAGTAATGAATAACAGAACAGCAATAAATGAAAATAAAAACTGGAAATCAATAGGGCAAATCAGCAAAATCTAAAGCTGATTCTTTCGAAAGATCAATAAAATTGATAAGCCTCTAGCTAGGCTAAATGAGAAAAAAAAGATATAAATTACCAATATCAGAAAGGAAAGAAGAGACATCACTGTAGATCCCATGGATATTAAAATATAATAAAGGAATACAATGAACCGCTCAATGCTCACAACTTTGATAGCCTACATTAAATAGATTAATTCCTTGAAAGACACAGTCTGCCAAAACTCATACAAGAAGCAGACAGTCTTAATAAGTCTGTTAAAGAGATTAAATCAAAGATTAATAAACTTCCCAAACAGAAAGCATCAGTCCCAAATGGTTACACCTGATGAAAAACAAAGGTAAAAGATATAACCAGACTAAACAGACACCTCACCAAAGATGTAAAAATGGAAATTAAGCATATGAAAAAAGATCCATGTCATATGATTTTGCAAACTAAAACAACAATGAGATACTACTAAATACCTATTAAAACAGCCAAAATCCAACATAATGCCACCACTAAATGCTGATGAGCATTTTGGAGCAAAAGGAACTCTCATTTATTGCTCACAGGAATGCAAAATGGTTTAGCCACTTTGGAAAATAGTTTGGCAGTTTCTCACAGAACTAAATGTAGTCTTGGCAATTTTGAAGAATACAATACATTATTAATAAACTATAGCCACCATGTATTACAATAGATCTCTCAAACTTATTTCTTCTACCATAATAAAATGATAAATATGTGAGATAATGCATATGTTAATTAGCTAGATTTAGTGGTCCATAATGTATACATACTTAATAATGTCATGTCGTATGTGATAAATATGTTATTTGTCAAATAAAACAAATAAATAAAAATTAAAAAAACACAAAAACTAAACAGAGATTTACCATATAATTTAGCAATGATGGCTTTTGGTATTTACTCAAGTTGAAAAACAATATGTCCACACAAAAACCTGAACATGGACGTTTATAATAGCTTTATCCATAATTTTCCAATATTTGGAGGACACTAAGATGTCCTTTTGTAGGTGAATGAATAAATAAACTGTGGTACATCCAGGTAATAGAATATTATTCAGCACTCAAAAGATACTAGCTATCAAGCCACGAGAAGATATCGAAGAACCTTAAATACATATTATTAAGTCAATCTGAAAAGGCTTCCTACTGTTTCATTCCAACTATGACATTCTAGAAAAGGCAAAACTATGGAAACAGGAAAAAAATTCAGTGATTGTTATGGTTAAGGGAGAGAAGAACAGACAAAGCATACAGGATTTTTAGGGCAGTGAAATTACTGTGTATGACACTCTAATGGTGGATAGATACATGTTGTTATACATTTGTCAAAACTCATAGAATGTAACAGCGTCAAAAGTGAACCCTAATATAAACTATGACCATGATAATTAGGTGTCACAGAAGTTTCATTGATTATAACAAATATACAACTCTGGTGCAGAATGTTGATAATGTAGAAGAAGACATATGTAGGAACAGCAGGTATGTGGGGACTCTCTGTACTTTCTACTCGTCTATTTTTGAAACAGGTTCTCACTCTATTGCCCAGGCTGGAGTGCAATGACATAATCTCGGCTCACTGCAGCTTCAACTTCCAGGGCTCAAGTGATACTCCCACCTCAGCCTCCAGAGTAGCTGGGACTACAGGTGCACACCACCACAGCAGGATAATTTTTTTTTTAATTTTGTGTAGAGACAGGGTCTCACTCAGTTGCCCAGGCTAGTCTGAAACTCCTAGGCTCAGGCAATCCTCCTGCCTCAGCCTCGCAAGTTACTAGGATTACAGGTATCAGCTGCTGTGCCCAGCCATCCACTCAATTTTGCTGTGAACCTACAACTGCGCTAAAAAATAAACTCTCTTTTCAACAAAATATTGAATACTTTGGATATTAGTAAATGCTCAAACTTCTCTGCAGGTTTAATTCTCTCAACTGAAATGTAAGCTTTTTAAAGAAAAGGATGATGGCTTATAAATTTTTTATTTCTTTTTAAGACTCTAGCTGTGGTCCTCATTCAAAGTAGAAGCAGCACAAATATTCACTAAATTAATGAACATATGTATAGATCTATAAGTGGGTAAAGCCAAAATTGATATTCACAAGTTTTTTAACTTTCTTAAAAATATCTGCAATACAAAAAGGCAGAATGACTAATATAATAAAACACTGAACCTGCTACCAGACTCACATATTGGATACTGTGCACCTCACTCTGTTTACATTTGCCTCTCTCCCGCTCAGTGGTAACTGCTGTGCCTCTGATATTTATCATCCCCAGTTCCCAAGCACCTGTTTATATCTTTCCTACTCATGTACAAATTCTTACACAACATATAATTTTACCATTGTGTATATTTAAACTGTAAAAATAGTATTTTATTCACAGTCTCTGAAACTTGCTTTTAAACCATAAGTATGTTTGTATGATAAATTCATGTTGAGGCATGGTATCCTAATATCTTCATTTCCACTACTTGTAGCATGCATTTTTATAAATATACAATATTTTTTTCTTTCTTGTGTTGATAGGAATTTATTTCCAGTTTTTGTATTACAGCTGTGCTGTAATGAACATTTGTATACATGTCTCTGAGGGCATACATGAGCCGGTTGCTGTAGGTCATGTCTAGGAGGGGAAATGCTGGGTCATAGCCTGCGCGTATCTTCAATTTTATTAAGGTTTTCCAGACAGCTATCCAAACTGGTTCTACAATTTATACTTTTATGAATCTTCATTTTTAAAACTATGGTTTCCCAACACTTAACTCTTGGCCTTTAGGCACTGACATTTATGTGAGGATACTTTTTGCTGTCAACCTTGCTCAAGAGGCTGTTTCTCAAATCTCCCAATTCACTTTTGTGTTTGCTCAAGAGTCACGACTCAGGTATACCATTATTTGAATCAATTCCTCTGCCTCTGCTGTGATTTCATCATGTGAAGCCACTGGAGTCGTTTTCTGTCCAAAGTCTATGAATTCCTTTTTCCTAATCCTCAATTTTTTAGAGCATTTTCATTTTAAACACAGCTTCTACTATAATTGAAAGTTTGGCTTAATGGCAAATAAAGGACTGCATTTATCTAAATGTGATCTATTTTAATAGGACAGATTGCCAGATGATTCACATGCTCTGGTCTCCTTGTATTTTGACAAGCTTAATATACTGTTTCATTGTGCTGTGGATTAATAGCACCACAGGGCAATAATATGGCTACTGAGATTTTAAGGTCTGGATAACTATAGGCTTCAGTGAATGCCCCATAACTGAAATGTATTAAATATCTAATGCCTCAGAGCACAGTTTAATAAAACAAGCTGGACTGTGAAGTATTCAGTCCATATTTCAAAGGGAAGCCTATGTTAAGTGATCATTTAAATAAGGATTTACTACCAAAAAGAGCCCATTCTGATTTGACACTGAGATTACCACTGGTATTTTTTTTTGTCCTAATTTACTTTTCACCTTATATTTCCTTTAGAAACTGGTAGTCCCTACAAATGTGAGTCAGGATCAGGATTTAGGAGGCAAGATAGAGAGGTAGGTAGGTAGGCAGGTGGATTGGTGGGTGGGTGGGTAGATAGATAGATAGATAGATAGATAGATAGATATCAAAATATATACTTTTATCTGGTCTTTTTTTCAACAAGAATTTGAGGTGGATACTAGATTTTGTTTTACTGTGAATATTTTGTTAGAAAGTTAAGTATATGATAAATGTAGAAAAGTACACAAATAGTAAGTAAACAACCTGAATTTTCCATCAAAATGAATACAATCATTTGATCAGCATCTGGATCAAAAAGCAAAACATTACAAAATCCTGGAAGCCTTCTTCAGTCTTCTTCCAAACATTCCCTCTACCAAGATAACTACTAAGTCACATTTTAGTTTGTCAATTATAAACCAAACACTTTTTAAAATGTTAGACCAAAAAGTTATTTATGACATCAGCGAGGCCAAAAGAAGAAAAGGATTAACTTAGGGTTACAAAAGAAAGAAAAGAAGAATTAAAGATAGACTTAGGCATCTTGATGTCCTGTCCATTGTCCATTCTATTACTTTTTACAGCTGCTCACCTAACATTCAATTTCATTTAAATGTGGCATGACATTCAGTAACAAATTGCATGTTGTCACATTACCTTTCCATGACAGAGGCTGACACTGTCTGCTCTGGTTGAGTATCTTGTGCCCCAGGCCACTCTCTGGAATCTAGTAGCTGCAGCCTTCAGCTATTAACTTCCTTAGGATTCATCCTACTTTTTTTAGCAGAGGTCATGCTATTTACGAGGTAACCTCTGCCAGTTACTGAGAAAGTGACAGCTAAGGGTAGGCTTTATTTGGCTGGTCCCCAGCCAATGACTAAGGAATTATTGAGCTCCAGCCAATGACCAAATAAGGTTATAGCTAATTTCACCCAATATAGAATTCCTCTAACAAATAACCTTCACTCTACAGTATCCTGTTAGGTTGGGTGACTCTTGGTTAGGCTGTCATGATGGTCTGAACCTTCCCTTGCCAAAACCGCCCCTTCCCACATTTTCTCTGCATAGCTAATACTCCTTAATAAAAATGTTAGCCTCTTAACTCTGCTCAAAATATGCCATTTGGAGATCCTAACTTGCAAAAACATCTAATATATCCTGATTGTCTAACTTTAAGTCCAAAGCCTTTTTTTGTGATGCCAGTCCCTAAACATTCTGGTTAATTGAGGTTTCAGTGTAGTGTGCTTCAGTATAAAGAGCTTGAAATTTCAGATTCTCATATATTTGTGTTTTATTTTCAGTTTCACTATGTGCCTGCTACTGTAGGCTAGTTCCCTTTGCTCTCCAATAATTGTGTTATCTATTAAATTAGAAGAATAATATTTATTATGTATGTCAAAGTGTGATCATTAGGATACATGAGATGGCACAAATCATTTAGCCCAGTACCCAACACTGAAATATCCTAATAAATTAAAGTCACTCCCATCTATTTTGTGATCATTCTCATTCTAAAATATTTCAAACATAGTTACGACCACTATTCTCTATTTTAGCACTTATGTTATTTGTGACAAGATTATTGTCAATCTAAACCTAGATGGTACTTTTATAATCATCCAATGCAAAGGACAGTTTCTCATCCCTAGAGGAAGGATCAGATGATAGAAAGACAGGGGTATTTTATGTTAAGGAAATAGTATACATATTTGCTGCTTTTGGAAGTATCAAAGAGGAAAATTCTCACAAGAATTTTCAACACAATCCAAGCTCAGCTAGCAAGACTCCAGAAGCAGAGTACTAATTTTTATAATGTCTCTGATGTTTCATTTAGCTTTTGGCCAATAAGACTAGATACAAGGCCACCAGCTGATTCATTCATGTTAAACTGAATGCAAATACACACACACACACACACACACACACACAAACACACACACACACACGATACAGGCACATTAGCACTCTACAGGAAACCAAAACCCCAACCAGAGAGCCTAATCAATATAATATTTCCATATTGGCTATCAATTCTGTCTCATCCGTGCTAAGGAGATCAAAGTCTAAAGTAAATTAAAGCTCATTAGCCCAACTCAATTCTCTTCCCCATCCCTAGTTATTTAAGAATAAATTAGAGTATACATCAAATAAAACAATGCATTTCTCAACTGTCTCAGAATTTTGATAATTTTTAAGTTGATGCTATGTAGACCCTAGTTGTGAAAATAAGAATACATTCATCACTTACTAGTGATTATTATACTCAGAACATGTAAAATAAAATTCTAGAAAGTAAAATAGAAAGAGGTGACCAAGATTTTTACTTGGTCAAAGGAAAGCTCCAAGTTTTATAGAATAGAAATAACCCTCACACTGGATTTGTTTTTTGTGCCTATAAGACATTTTAAATAGAAGCACACAAAGTTTAGGAGAAAGTTCAAATGATCTGGACTGTTATTAGTACTGCATTAAAACTCGAGATTTAGCTGGAACTCCTCCTCTTTCCCTCTTTTCCCATCACTCAAATCAAGTTTTCTTGAGGTTCATCCATGTGCCAGACACTGACAGGTTCTGCAACCTGCCCAGCTTGAATTTACTTCTACCTTGTTCAATCACCACTCAAAACCAGTCTCAACCCTTGCCTGGGCTATTCTTCTAGCTGGACTCTAACTTATACTCTTGCACATCTCTAATTATTCTTCACAGGGCAGCAAGAATTATCTTTCCCATCATAAATCTGATCATGGTAGAGAAGGCTGTACTCTAAATCCGTTAATGATCTCCCAGAGAACAGCTATGGTCATTGCTTTGAGCTAGATCCTGGATACAAGATGCAGGGAATATATGATCTATCCCAGTCCTTACAGTGCTTAGACTACCATTTAATAATACCACACCTCTGATCTCTAAGTTCTAGCTAGAAGAAAATAAGTAAATAAATAAAAGCAAGAAAAAGAATTATTGTAAGATGTCTACATTGGAAAAAATGGTGAAAATAATAACTCATTGTATATGAGTTGATAATCTACATAGAAAAATCACCTGAAAGCTATAAGAATAAAAGAATAACTATAAAACTAATACGTGGCTGGGTGCAGTGACTCATGCCTGTAATCCCAGCACTTTGGAAGGCCGAGGTGGGTGGATCACGAGGTCAGGAGATCGAGACCATCCTGGCCAACATGGTGAAACCCTGTCTCTACTAAAATACAAAACATTAGCCAGGCGTGGTGCTCCACGCCTGTAGTCCCAGCTGCTTGGGGGGCTGAAGCAGGGGAATCACTTGAACCCGAGAGGCGGAGCTTGCAGAAGCAAGATACACATACAAAAACAAATTTTATTTCAATATACTATCAATTAACAATAAAAATGAGAATACCCTTTTCAACGGCATCATAATATAAAATATTTAGTGGTAAATATGACAAACTTATGCAGGAATTGTACATTGAAACGTATGAAACATTGTTGAGAAGAATTAAAGAAAATCTAAATAAACAAAAATGTGTACATACCAGTGGATCAGAAGGCTTGATATTGTTGCAATGTCTGTTAGCCTCAAGTTGACTGATAAACTCAATACTATTCCAATAAAAATTCCTACAGTTTTTCTTCTACAAATTGATGAGATGAGTCTAAAATTATAGAAGAGTTGAAATGACTTTGGAAAATGAAATGCAAAGTTAGAGGACTTACTTTACTTGACTTCAAAATTTGTTTTAAAACTGAAATATTCTAGAAAATGTAGAACTGAAATAAAGATGAATAAGTAAATCAAAGCGAAAGAAGAGAAAATTTAGAAATAGACACATACACTTATTTTCACTAATAGTGAAAAGGAAATTAAATGGAGAAATGATAGTCTCTTCCACATGATGCTGGACAAAATAGATATCTTTATGCAAAAAATTAATTTAAGTTCATGCCTAATAACATTTGCAAAAAATAATTCAAAATAGATTATAGCCTTAAATACAAACCCTAAAACTAAAACACTGTTTCAGGAAAATATAGGAGAAAATTTCTGTGATCGTGTACCAGAAAAAAATTTCTTAGATATTACCCTAAAATATAATCCATAAAGGAAAAAAATTAAAAATTGGGTTTCATCAAAATATAGAGCTTCTCCTCTGTAAGTGATATTGTTAAAAGCATGAAAAAGTATCCACACACTATATGAAATAATTTCAAATCACATCTATGATAAATAACTTGTATCCAGAATAAAGAAAGAATTATCAAAACTCAATAATAATAAATAATTAAATAAAAATGGGCAAAAAATTGAGCTAATACTACACCAAATATATATTGACGGCAAAGAGATGCATAAATACATGTTTAACACCTTTAGTCATTAGGGAAATGTAGTTTAAAATCACGATGTAATACTACTACTCACCTATTAAAATGTCAAAGTCAAGGGGAGAGAGAAAGGAAGGAAAGAAGTTGAAGGGAAGGGAAGGGAAGGGAAGGGAAGGGAAGAAGTGAAGGGAAGGGAGGGGACGGGAAGGGGAAGGGGAAGGGGAAGGGGAAGGGAGATACCAAGTATCGATTAAAACATGGTGAAACCAGAATCCTCATAGACTATTGGCAGGAATGTAAAATGGTGCAAACTATTAGAAAACCAGTTTCATATTTCTTAAAACATTACACAGACACCTACCATATTACCCAGCTATCTAAGCCCAGATGATTTACATGAGAGAAATGAAAGCATACAATTGCTTGTATATAAAACTTCGCAGCAGCATTATTTGTAGTTGTCTCAAAATGATAATGACCTAAACGCCCTAAATATCAAATTCTACTAAGCACCGAAATAGAATCAACCATAGATACATGCAATAACATGGACGAATCTCAAAATAACTATGCTGAATGAAAGAAGCCTTACCAAAAAGGACACTGTTGTATGATGTTATTTATATAAACCTCCATAAAATGTAAATTAATCCATTGTGACAGAAAGCGTATTAGTGGTTTCCTAGAAAATAGGGAGGGGGGCGGTGAGGGCAAGACTGAGCAATGTCAAATGGGCATGAGGAAACTTTTGGGAGTGATATATGTGTGGATAATCGTAATGATGGTTTCACAAGTGTAAATCTATGCCAAAATTATTAACTTGTGCATTTAAAGATATGCCATGTTTTATGTGTCAATCATACATCAACAAGGTTGTTAATAACCTATCATAAAGTGTATGTGACTGTTGCTGGAAGGAAAATTCTCTCTTCCTTAAAAAAATTGCAATGTACTGATGGCAGCCGCAGACCATCTGGAGCGGCCGCTGCTATCATGCCCCTGCTGCCTTCCGGGAGGGTGTGGGGAGGAGAAAGACAGTCCCCCTGCAGCCCGCCTCCCTGGGGGCTGCCATGATGAAGGTGGCGGGTTGTCCACCGACAGGGGAGCAGTGCAGTCAGGCAGAGACAGGCCCCAGGAGGAGCTAGGCTGGGGCGGTGCAGTTTGTACACAGAGCCTGAGAACATACCCGGGATGTGGAGCAGGGGCCGTGATTACGGGGCCCTGGGCAGGAAGTGGGACAGGCGCCCACTTCGGGGACCTAGTCAGCGGCGCAGCCACTGCACCCACTCTGCCAAAGGCTTCCAGTTCCTGCGCCTCTGCGTGGGGGTAACCTGGGGCTGACTCCGCAGGGTCCAGCCGTGGAGCCTGACAGTCCCAGAGGCCTGCGATCTGCTCCTGGAGGTGCCCCCCAGTCAGGGCCACAATCTGGGCAAGTGGGAGCCTGGGCAGCCCCTGAGCTCTGAGGCCATGGAGGAAGCTCGCAGAGACGTCACCCCTGGCCTAGACATCGGGCGGGCCCAGCAAGGACCTGGAGCCCTTGCCCAGGCTGCGAGAAGGTGCAGCTCCGTCCTCCCAGGCGCAGCTGCAGCCACCTTAGTTGGGGACCCAGGCCTCCCTGTGCTCTTGGGGGCGGGCAGCCGGCAGCAGCCTGGACGCCATGGATGGCGGCAAGAGGTATACAGAACTCTGGACCCGCCGAATGAGGAGGCTAAAAGAGCTTAACACAAACAGAGCTGAAACATGCCCGTTGCTCCCCACGTTGCCGGCAAAGAGAAAGAGAGAAGAGCTGCGGCCCTTCGGGGAGCCCAGACCTGGGAGTTGCCAGAGAGCCAGGGCTGTGACTCCCTCTTTGGGACCCTGAAGTTCCTGGCATCTCCAAGCTTCCAGGCACCGCCGCATTCCCTGGTGCCAGCTAGGGAAGCTGCTTGCAGTGCGCCTTGCCCATCTGCAGCCTTGCAGAGAACCAGTTCCCATGCCGACGTGTGCAGCTGCCCGCCCCAAGGCAGCAGCTGGTGTGTCTTATTGAGCAGTGGCTGGACCCCATGCTCGTTCATACAACCCTTGCTGCTCCACTCCTGACTTGCAGTCTCCCTTGGAGGCGTGGGATCCAGGCCAGTAGCATGAGCTGAGCACGGTCTGTCAGGCCCAGTGAGTGGAACGAGTCCAGCAGGCCCAGAAGCAAAACTCAGGCAAAGGTGCCACCGGCCACAGATTTCCTGCCATAAAGACGACACCCCAAAGATCCCATAGCAGTACTCCTAAACCTTTCCAGTGTGTTTTTGACTCTCTGGATTCCAAGAGTTAATAAGTGCCACTGTATTAACTGTGTCTTTTATTTTCTATGTTCTAATGCTTTCACATCTGAGGCTCTGTTGCCATCTGGAGGAAATGGCCCTTTCAGGGTTATCCAATTCCTAGTATAGTAAACAACTCTCCGGGTAAGCAAAATTTTCAGATGCAATCCTACCAATTCAGAGCAAACACCCTCAACCTCCTCCATTCTCAGGGTCTCATCCTCTGAGCCACTATCCACCTGCTGTAATCACCCCAGGGCCAGATACTTGACTACTGGGCAAGGGACAGTTCCTGTACCTCCAAGCTCACTAAAATTATTCAAACTAGCCAGTCTTAAACATGCATACCCTGCCTCATTGTTTCTTCCTGTACAAACCATAATAAAGACTCTAATACACTATGCCCCGCTCTCTTATTCACTCTGACACCTGGCAGAACCCAGTGCTTTCCTGTGTCCCCTCCCTGTCCTCTTCCCCAGTGACAAGGCAACATGGAATGCCTCCTCCCCTCGGGAAATGTGAGCAACAAATTATCTTCTCAGTGGCAGCCAGCTCCTGACCTATAGTCATTACCAAAATATCTACATAAACCATGATATTTAAATATTAATAAAACCCATTAAAAGTCACCTTAGTTATGCTGTCTCCTTCTTCACTCTGTTGCCCCACTGCGTGTCTAAAATATTTACAGTTTCATTCACTATGGGAAACCTGTCTAGTTATGTCATTTCATAAATTAAAATGTCCTTTAAAACAACAATTTCTAAATTATTAATTTGATATTTGGTGATAAAGCAACATCTGTTTAATGTATTAAGTGATTTTTATGGAAAAGCCAAATTTTTTGACAATAATTATGCTATCAAAGAATACATGGTTCCTTTCTCTTGGAGCCATTTATAAACCTTGGTTTTGGTTTCACATCTATTTCAAGACGGCAAAATTTACTTTTTCTCTAACCACACCATAGCAGTCTGTTTTATGAAAAACATATTGTTGGTACCACTTTTCAGAAGTATGTAAAATTTATAACATTGCTTATTAGGAAATTAAGTATACAATTATTTTAATAATTAGATGACAAGGGGAGGGTCAGAGAAAAATCAGGTGTTTGAAACTCTAAGGTCGTGTCTAGTTATTTAAAAATATGTAACAATTGGTAATTTGTTTGCTAGTTAAAAGGGGAAAAATGTACCCCATTCGAAATAATTATTTTCTATTTCCCTGCTCAGTGAAACTATTCTGAAAATGTGAAGTTTGACCTTTGTGTGCATGTAAATTTCTAGGATTTGCATTGTCATAACTTAATATATAGAGCATGTGTTATTCATCCTAGATGGCTGTTGGAATATCTGTGAGTGTCCTCCCCTTATAACCAGGCAACTTAACACATAAATCATTAGAGACCCATGATGATCTAATGCTTAGCGCCAGCACTTAGAATCCGCACTCACATGTCTCCTTGGCCCTGATATTTGTGTCATTGTATGATGATCTGGCTGGTCTGCATCTTCTCTAATTCCCCAAATGTTCATTTTTGTTCACACCTATTTAATAGAATTTCATGAGCACCTATGGTGTACCTGTTTGGTGTTAGATTCAGGGGGCAATACGTAGGGAACATATGATCTGTCCCACTTCTCAGGATGCTTAGACCAACACTGGAATATTGAAACTTGTGTTAATAAAAAAATTAAGAGCAAGACATAACTTTCTCTAATTAGATTCCAACTTGAATATAATTACATGTATTAGTACATGATTTGGTAAAGCCCAAGAACAGAGAGCACAGTGTTCAGCATCAACATTCCTGCATCCGAATCCTGGTTTTATCACACGCTACCCGTACAGTCTCAGATCAGTTAGTTCACTACCATCTCCCTCTCTGTCATATTAAGATTTTATTAACAATGGCATAGGCTATCATGAAGATTAAATGCAATAATCTATGTACACTGCTCAGCATAGTGCCTAGTTAGTAAGTATCTAAGTCTTGCTCAAAAGCCAGAGTTCCACACATAACGTTGTCATTGACAAAAGGGGGCCATTAAAAGAGGATGCCACTGTATTTGAAATGAGGTTAGCCCACAGAAGATGGAAGCCAGATAGCTGAGAGGAGATTCAAAACACAGTCAAGGGGGAGAGTTGATATCAGACCTACAGTAAGAATGATGATATTTCCTTTGACTAGGAGGTAAAATGAACCGAAAAATTAACAATTCATAATTGTTTTGAATAATTTGAAGGTGGAGCACAAATCTGTCAAAGTAGGAAGGCGGAACTAAAATCATGAGCCATGTCAGAATGTTGGGGGACAAGTTTATGTGGAGATGGCTCCCTGGTACAGGATTGGATTGTTATGTTAGGAAGCCAGGCAGAATTAAATGGGAGGCGGACATGAGTTTGTTTCAGGGAAATAAAATCCACATTATTGTGTGTATTGTTTAGATAATATTATGAGTAATATAGTCAGTTCTCACCCATACATTCTAAGAAAAAAAAATAGAGTTTTACATACAAATGGTAGTAAAACTTATGGGAAGTTGACCACATTAGAACAAACTGAAAGACCTAATGACATTATACAGAACTTTTATAGGGAATAAAGGAGGCCTAGCTTGTGGTACAATGCTTGCATAAAGCAGATGCTTAATAAAAATAGAGTTAGACATAAAGTAATAATAATAATTGGGAAACGGTTATAATAACAGCAGATAACAAATCTTTGAAAGTAAGTGAAAGATGAAACTAACACTGTCAAAGTTGAGATTCTGCTTGCAAGGTAATTGTCCCTCTTATTAGAGTCACTAGAAATAGGAAAAAATTACTGTACCTGAGGTCTTTTTTTTTTTTAAGAAAAGGAAAAGAAAGTCATTTGTTATAGTGACAAGGACTTAACTCTGCATTAGAGAGTTCCCAGCCTCCGCACCTGTATTAGCATAATATAAGGTCTGTTATTTATAACTGAAGAAATGATGAAGCCAGGGTTCTTTTGCTTTTGTTCAAGCTGCAGAAAGCTGCAGGGAAGCCTTATCCCCAACCTAACAACAAGCGCAAGCAGGACAGTCAATAAAATCTTACATTTGGGGGCACAAGAGAGAGCTGAATTCACAAAGCACATTAACGAACTGGACCCCCAAGGGTAATAATTTCTCCAATCCCTACCCTAGGAAGAGATGTTAGATAAACATCACTTTGCCTTTGGCAGAGAACGAGGACTAAGAGATAGCTATTATAAAAGTGGGTGAAAATTTTAAAAAGATACCAATTTCAAAGCTCCTTTTCTTCTTTCTCTAATTGGCTTTCCCAAAACAATTATGAATATAGACCATAGTCTACACTTATTTTTTGTCCAGTTATTTTATGTTATGTCACATTCCAAAATGGCTTCCTGAGTGAAGGAACAATGTCTTCTTTTACATCTTGTCTATTCTTAGACTATCTAGTTCAGACTGTATATTTCTAAAATACTCTCACCAGTCCATTTAATTAAGAGAACATTCATCATTACGTGTTTGTTTTCTTTTATCTCCTAAAAGGAATATGGATTCCAAAGTAGACTAGACATGGGTTTATTCTGTTTACATTTACTCTGTGTCCCTAGACAAGGAATAAAATGAGCAATTTAATTATTCTCCTTAAAAATTGGCATAATATACACTGCATAATAGAGTTTTGAAGTTTTAATTAAACATACAATGAATCAAATGCAGTATTTGATATATGATAGGGCTTTATCCTAGCACCTGCTTCAAAAATATAGTCAATGACTACAAAAACAGTTAGTTATTCAACCACTCCTTTTCTCTCTTTTCCTTTGCAGAGATTACAGGCTTTTCATGGCATATTTTCCCCAAAGGACCTAGGAAAGAAAATCTTAGACTCATCTCAACACAGAGGTTCATGCAGTATCTACCAACTACGAAGAGCTCATGAGAAACTTATAACCTCTTTGATAACTCTGGTCTAATTGGTGTAATCAGGAAGCAAATAAATTATTACAATGCAGTGAACTGAAAGCTAGAAATGCATAAAAGATAATATTTAGTACAGAGTGGAAAAAAGTTAAAGAGGTCAAGAATGGATTCCCAAATTAGTAATATTTAACATGAGGTTCAAGATTATGGCAAGTTCAATTAAATGAAGATGATTCTATATATTTATAGGAGTGAAACGCACATGAGTAAAACTGAGATAAAACTGTAGAGTCAAACAAAACCCAGATAATAAATATCCTTTAAACAATGACAAAAATTTCAAATTTATGCCACTGAATTTTAAGCAAGGTAGTGGATCAAATTTGTGCTAAAGAAAAAAAAACTAACTGTAATGTAAATATACAATGTATTACCTGGGAGCAACTTGAAGCAGCAAGACCAGTTCAAAACTTATTGCAGTAGTTTAGATAGCAGGTGGAATATATCTTCCACAGTGGGATTAGGAAGAACAAGTAAGGCAATTATCACTGAGAAAATGAAGAAATTGGTAACGTTTAGAAAACTGAGAAGAGGAATTTGAGTTAGTAACTGATTAACTTGGGTGATCAGGGGATGGAAGAATGTGTGAGTTTAAGGCTTTTATCATTGGAAGAGAGAATAATGCCACTTGATGAGATAGGAAGCACTAGATAAATTGAATATATGTTGGAATAGAAAATATATTCTGCTAAAATTATTTTCTATTGAAGATTACTCTGTGATCTTTTTGAATATTTCTGACAGTCAGGTAGTGTCATCTGTGTGTAGTTCAGAAGAAGACATGAATAAGTTTTTAGCTTTGGAATTCGTTAAGCATAGACTACAAGGAAAACAACGATGCCAGGCATGGTGGTTCGTGCCTGAAATTCCAGTGATTTGGGAGGCTGAGACAGGAGTATCACTTGACCCTGGGGGTTGATATCAGCCTGCACAATATGGTGAGACCCTGTCTCTCTCTCTCTCTCTCTCTATATATATATATATATTTTTTTTTTTTGGTCTTGTTTTGCTTTTTTAAACTAGCCAGGCATGTTGGTGAATGCCTGTACCATCATCTACTCCAGAGGCTCAGGTGAGAATATATATATTACATATATATAAAATATATGTATTTATATATTTTATATATAATATATATTATTATATATAATATATATAATATAATATATATAATATATAATATATTATATTATATAATATATTATATAATATATTATATATAATATAATATATTATATATGTAATAAGATATATTATATATAATAACATAATATAATATATATTATATTATATATTATATTATGTTATAATATATATAATATATTATTATATATAATATAATATATTATATTATATTAATATTTATATATTATATATATATTTGAAATATATATTTCAAATATATATTTATATTATATATATTTATATATATTTATATATTTCTATGTATATTATATATATTATTAACATATATTATATATTATTAACATATATGTATATTATATAGTATATTATATATATTATAATATATATAATATAATATATATAATATGTAAATAATATATATAATATACATATAAATAATATATATAATATACATAGAAACATGCAATATAACAAAATGGAATCACAAGGAAAGAGAATGTCTGAAAATACTTATAGCTAGTAAAGAGATTCAATCAGTAGTCAAAAACCTTCCAACAAAGAAAAGCACAAGGCCTGTCTTCACTGAAGAATTCTATCAAATATTCTTAAAAGAATGAATGCCAAGCCTTTTCAAATTCTTGCAATAATTGAATTAGATGGTATACTTCCAAATTCATTATATGAAGCCAGTATTACCCTGATACCAAAGTCAGATAAAGATACTGCATGAAAAGAAGGCTACAGTTTAATATTTCTCATGAATATATGTCAAAATTGTTAAGAAAATACTAGCAAATACTATATATATAGTATTTATAAACATATACATACACACGTATATTTATAAATAGAATATAATGTGTATATGTAGAATTATATGGAGAATATTATATATAGAGAATTATATAGAATTTGTACATATTTATATATGTATATGAGAGTGTAAATATATGCATATATAAAGAGAAAAGCAAATAAAAGAAAAAAGAAAGAAAATAACAAATATTTGTGAGGATGTGGAAAATTGGAACCCAGTGCACTGTTGGTGGCAATGTAAAATGGAGTAGGTGCTATGTAAAACAGTATGGAGGCTCCTCAAAAATTAAAAATAGAACCACCTTACGATTTAGTAACCCCATTTCTGGATATTTATTGAAAACATTTCAAATAAGGATCTCCAAGAGATACTTGCACTTATGTTTTTATTGCAGCATCATTTATAATTTACCATAAAAACAGTAAAAACAGATTGTTTTAGGCAGTAAAAACCTAAATATATGCTGATGGATGAATGGAATAAAAAATGTTTATATATATATATATATATATATATATATATATATATATATATATATAAAAATGATTAATGATCCCATTTGCCTGAAATATATGTTATGTATATGTTATCCACATATAACATATACAGATGTTATATATGTCATTTGTGTTTTATATGTTATATGTTATATATGTTTCTACAGATAAAACACACACACAAGGGAATATTATTCAGCCTTATAAAAGAAGGAAATCTGTCACATGCTACATCATGAATGAATCTTGAGGATATCATGCTAAGCAAGATAAACCAGTGACAGAAAAATGAACACTGTAAGACTCCACTTTTATGAGCTATCCTGAATAGTCAAACTCATCAAAGCTAAAAATAGAATGGTGGTTGCCAGGGACTAGGGAGAGGTAATTGCATGGTTGATGTTCAATGTGTACACATTTTCAGTCATGCAAGATGAAAATGATTTAGAGATATGCTGTACAACAATGTGCATATTGTTAACCATACTGTACTGTACGCTTAAATATTTAAGTGGAAAGATTTTGCATTATATTTTTTACCATAATAAAAAAAACTGTGCCATAAGTAACAATTTTAAAACTGGCAATTGGACAAGCAGTAGGAGGGGGAATACATCCAGGCAAATGGAATCACTTGAAAACAAGCAGAGGAAAGGAAAAACAGAGTGTATTAGATATTTCTCAAGCATTTACTAGAAATAGGAACTTAAAATGATTGACTTGTTGATTACATGATTGATTTGTAAACTCAATTACACTTCAAAAACAAAATCTTCACAATATAAATACTACCTTCTCCATCTGCCACCATAAGCAAAAATATCTCTCAGTTTATATTAACTCTGTTCATTCCCCTAAAAAGAGTTCTGAAAACTTGCTACTAAAAACGCCATTCTGTGTTTGCCTCCATCAATGTTAACCACATTTTTTCAAGCAGTAACAGTGATTTATTACATGCAAGTGCTGCACAACTCATTTGTCTTAAATGTGATGTTACTATTTCAAGGTCTATATTTGGATTATATTAATTATTTTCAAGTATTGTAAAATAGCATTTTATAATGGTATCTTTCTAATTCTGTATCAATTCCTAACAGTGACTTTTGCAATGTTATACTTTGCCTAAATGGTTCCAGAAACAGAGCGCACTTGTTCAGCAATAGATCTTTTTGAAATCATGATTATATGTTCAATTGCTTCTATTAATAACAGAATCTTTCTTCTTGATTAGAAGATACTTGTCCTCCCTCTTTTGCTGCTAACATGATTATCATATAGCGTGAGAATATGCATTCAAATCAGGCTGTCAGTCATAGGTGTTGGATTCTATAAAATAGAAGTTGCCATTTGGCGCTCAGGGGATCAAATCTGGTTTATAGGTGAGCTTTGTATGTCTTGCACAAAGGTATCCTGCATATTATTTTATTTTTAGAAAGTGGCTAATATTTTAAAATCAGAAGATTCAAATAAAAATCTCTATTTCTTGTCCTTTGTTTAAAAAGAGAAAGAAAGAAAAATTCAGAAATTCTGAGTCTACATTTGTCTCTGTTAACAGTGAGCTGTACCTGAAAATAGGGCTATCCCTTCAGAGTGTACTTTCCAGTTTGCACAATCCCCACTACTCCCAATTATTTCTCAACTATGAACTCAAAAGATGGTTGTCCTATATAGCAATTGCACTTAAATTCTCAGTAGTTTTAAAAGCAAAGAAAACTATTTATTCAGTTCATGTCTCTAGCAGAAGTGGGACCATTAAGCTAAACCAAGAGAATAAGATATTTAACTGTAAATTGTTGAATAAATGAATGAATAATAAAGAACTTGTAATTTTTTATAGAAATAAGACCATGCCTGTTTTCCATAGAAGACTATGCCATAATTGTTTATAGAAGTAAAGACTAAGCCTATGTATTTCATTATGCAAACCAGGAGCAAATATGTGGTAGGGAAAAAAAATCCTGGATCATAAATTTGTAAGGACTCAAGAGAGGAAAAATAATGCCATTTATACAGAAGTGTTATTTAGGTATTGAAAACCCATTCAAGTTTCATGAAATTATAAAGATCTGAGATACCACAGAAAGCAGCTATCAACAATGGAGGTGAGAAACAATGAGAAGAGATTAGAAACTCGGAAACTTGGAGTTCACAGGAAAGAAAAATCAAACCTGTGAAAATAAGAGGTTATTGCTTGGCGAATGTTGGTAACACTAATCTAAGAGAAGCCCCATTTGTTTGGGACCCAGAATTCTGAAGAAAGGGTGCTGTTAGACTGGTACTAGACTCTCTGAGGTACATGAGGAGGATGGTTCTGCAATTGTAAAAACCTTAACGTGGAATCAACAAGTAGTACTAGAATAAACTGCTGCTGCAAACGTGACCTTTGCTAGGGTCTTCCTTATAGGATAGGAAGCCCAAAAGAACAATAAATGAAATGCTAACAGGAGGCAAACAGAGGAAATATCTTCCTTTCTCCAGCTTTCTGGCTGCCTAATAATGTGACCTATTGGTAGAATTTAACAAAGAGCATCTAGCAAACCAGAAATGTAGTGGACATCTAGCTTCTAGCAACATAGAATAACAAACATAAGGATGGATTTGAAGCTAGGAGACAAGAGCTTAAAAATCAGCACAGTTACCTAAGTAGCCATTTAGGTACTAGAGTGTTTGGGTCTACAAAGTTATTTCATATGTTTATGTCATTTAATACATTTGGTCTCTACATAGTGGCCATGATAGAGTCCATTTTCCACATGAGGAAACTGTGGTATATAGTATAATACTTACATAGCAAAAGTCATATGGATCACAGAGTCAACATTAGAACTTAGAAATTTTGTCTACTCCTCCATTGCTCGAGCAACTGCAATGTGCAAATCCAGTAGGTAACCAGACTCCTAAGGCTAATTCATTCCATGAATCCCAATGTACACAGCAATAGAAAATCAGATGTTTGAAATTCTCACTGCTTCAATTGCAAATGATAGCCATTTGTTTGCTGATAGTTTTTTATTAAATTCATAAGAAGAAAAAATAAAAGCATGTCCAGCTGAAGTTATGGTATATCCAAAACCAATTGACTTTAATTTCCCCTGAAACATCAGCTATCTGTCTATTAAAAATCCTGGAAGAAGGCAATTCAGTTTAGCATCTTAAAGAGAAAACCTGTCATGAAGATAAGAGGTATCCTCCTTCCTACACCTCTGCCAGGAGCATTGACTGTGCTCTATTTGAAATATTATTTTCCTTACTCTGTCACTACCATGCAAGGTGAATTACTGTGACTTAGAAAAAAATGTGCATCACTCCCTCAAGTGATGGCATTCCTTAGTGGCATCTTTCAACAAACAAACAAAAAATGGTCTAACTGCCACACATATTTGTGATGACTGCAAGGTTAACGGCAACCTTCAGAGCTTTGCAGTTGCTCTGTGTATAACTCAAACAATTCTAACTGGCAATCTGTTTTCCACAGAACACTAGCCAGGCAGGTAATTGACACATGCATTTTTGGGGAGGGAGGCAGGACATTTTGATAATTAAGTTTAATAAGCATTTATTATGTTTTAACTGCTGGACTTACAAATACCTTTAATATTCTAATGCACAAGATGGAGCTGCATGTAGGGTGATAATATTCTCTAAATTTGCATACCAAAATACAAAGAAATTTCTAGGAGCATTTAGAGAGAATTATATTTATGATCCATGGAGTGGATTTGGAGAAACACTTAAGAAAATAACCCACCAATATCCTTAGTTAATTCTTATTAAATATTTGCCTGGAGAAATATATATACTTATGGCCAACTTTTTAAAAAAAATTTGTTTTATCTCCTCTCCCCCCATCTAAATTGTTTTTGACTTTTAGCATACAACTGTAGTTATCTTACAAAGTTCACAAAGGATTACAGATGAAAAATAGGGCAAAGAACCCTCCTAAAGTTTATCAGAGGGATTGATCGAGGGTAAATGTGTCTTCAAGATTCTACAACAGATTCTCTCGGCTTATCAAGAGTTTATCTTTCTCTTTTCTTGCTACAAACCCAGTGCATTTCCTCCTTCCTCTGAAAATATGTCTTGTCACTTGTGACTTGAATGTAGACAGAAAACCTCCTAAAAACTATCTTTGCTTCTCTTCATTGTGTGGCTTTCCTTGGCTGAGGCACCCCTCAAAAATAGAAGCAGATTGTGGGTGGCTGTGGCCTTGCTTTCTGGACTGCAAAGAGGAAGGCAGCAGAGAGGGGGTATAAAATTGGCCAAGCTACCCATATATTTCTATTTCAAACTATTTTTACCTATCACAGAATATTAATTCTAGATCCTAGAGGTCACTAAGATGATCTAATCCAACTTTCACCCTTTTATGATGAAGAAACAGCATGGTTACATGACTTGTCCAATACTCACAATAAGTTACTGTTTAAACTGAAAGTAAACCTGAGGCCTCCTATCCCATCTCCCAGTTAGTGATATTTATTCACTCAGAGCCTTCTTCAGGTGGGCTGAATTCAGTCAAACTGATCAGAATGTGGTTAAAATCAGTGGGATCCAAGTCTGGTAAATCTTCAGATTCACCGTGTGAACCCAAAAGTATCTGAGGTGGATCCCAGTCCATTTGGAAAGTTTATTTTGTCAAGGTTAAGGATGCACCCATGACACAGCCTCAGGAGGTCCTGACAACTGGCACCCAAGGTGGTTGGGGCACAGCTTGGTTTTATACATTTTAGGCAGACATGAGACATCAATGAATATGTGTAACATGTACATTGGTCTGGCTGGGCGCTGTGGCTCATGCCTGTAATCCCAGCACTTTGGGAGGCCAAGGTGGGTGGATCACAAGGTCAGGAGATCGAACCATCCTGGCTAACATGGAGAAACCCAGTCTCCACTAAAAAGACAAAAAATTAGCCAGGCGTGGTGGCGGGTGCCTGTAGTCCCAGCCAGCTACTGGGGAGGCTGAGGCAGGAAAGTGGCATGAACCCGGGAGGTGGAGGTTGCAGTGAGCCGAGATTGTGCCACTGCACTCCAGCTTGGGTGACAGAGTGAGATTCTCAAAAAAAAAAAAAAAAAAGATGTACATTGGTCCAATCCAGAAAAGGCATGACAACTCAAGGCAGGGAAAGCGGCTTCCAGGTCATAGGTAGATAAGAGACAAATGGTTGCTTTCTTTTTAGTCTCTGATTAGCTTTTCACCAGACACAGAATTTACATGTGAGAGGAAGGTAGAAGAATAGTCACTTATGCCTTAGTCTGGTTTAGTGAAACAATAGGGCAGAGGAAGCAATTAGATGGTCATTTGTCTCAGGTGAGCAGAGGGATGCCTAAGTTCTGTCTGTCCTTTGTTCACAAGGAATTGCCTTGTGGGCAAATTGTGAAGGAGGTATATAGCTTTTTATATTTGTAGCTATCTTATTTAAGAATAAAATGTCAGGCAGGTTTCTCTGACGCAACTCCCAACTTGACTTTTTCATTTGGCCTAGTGATTCCCGGGTCCTGAGATTTATTTTCCTTTCACAGCTTGTATTTCTCGTACAACCATGAATTCCCATGTCTTATTCAACATTTGTGATATCTGTATCCTGGAGTTCATGTATCTCTAACCTAAAAATCTGTCCCAGTGAGTCTGAGGTCATAAAAGTTGGAGAACTCTGGAGAAGACCACGCAGTTTGAAGATTGTGAGATATGACACCAGTTGTCCTAGACTTGCCTTTATTCTATAAAAGGAAGTATAAAAGATGGGCATTTCTAGATAAAGGGTAGGACTGCTACTTTGACCATTCCTAGCTTGCCACTGCTATGTGACCTATACTAAGTTAACTTTTTTGCTGTCATATCCATTATGACAGGTAGGTTACAATGACCTTTTATTCGGGATCCAGTCAAAGCCTAATTAATTTCTAGAAGGAAAGACTGTTAACTACCCAAATATAAAAGTGTCAAAGAAGTGAAATCTATCTCTTTTCCTTATAAACAGCACATGTATTCTAAATATGAAACTTCCTTTGCAAAAATTACCACAAAGAAAGACATCAGACCTAACCGACTCCATCTTGCTTCTAACTTTAAACTGCCCTTGTTCATTCCTGGGCATAGGCTGAAGTAATCTTGGAAAGGAATTTAGTTTATAGTTTGACTCTGAAACAAAATTAATAATTGCCCTTTCCTGAAAAGACCCCCTTCCTGCCTGGGGACCAGCCTGCCTTTGCAGGACTAACAAATTAGCTACAAGATTAGAAATTACAGTTTAGGGACCATGCAGCCCCGGCTGCAAGAGTCTAAACCTCTCCAAAATGCTCCTAGAGATAACATCACTATTGTAAAACCTACGATCAATGCTTGAGACATTTTGCAGACCCTGCACCTGATGCACCAGCTGACACCTCCCAGAACAGTAATCTGGCTCAACCATTTCTGTGATCCCGCCCACGGACAAAAGACAGCAAGAAGAACTCACTTCGACCCTCTATGATTTCATCTCCAACCCGACCAATCAGCACTCCCCACTTCCCAAGCCCCCACCCACCAAACTATTCTTAAAAACTCTGATCTCCAAGGTTTTGGGGATACTTGAGTGATCATAAAACTCCTGTCTCCCACACAGCCATCTCTGAATTACTCTTTCTCCATTGCAATTCTCCTGTCTTGAGATATCAGTTCTATCTAGGCAGCAGGCAAGGTAAAGCCATTGGATGGTTACAAATATACCAAGATGATACGGAGACTTTCAAGTTATTAACAATGAAAATTCAAATTATGAAAAAAATACAGATCATGCAAAAACAAAACTTCTGATCTACACGCAGACGCAGAACCCAGAAGTAGCTTGAAACATTCGTTCAGAGGACAAAAAATTACCATGAATTCTAAAAGGATATTTTACCCTAAATAGAAATATTCTATCCCATTTCTCTGTCTTCAAGGTTAGACGTTCTCACCCATTGCTTACAAGAAAAGGACAAGTAATGTTTCTATTAGAGATAAAAAAAATGTATGTTTTAGGCACATTGTGGGGAAAATATAGCAGCTGGCCAATTATGATGAGAAAGGAATTTCTAGAAAAATGAATTTTCACTGAGGTCCCTTAGGTATTTGCATGTTGCAAGAGGCAAGTGTGCAACAATGGAAAAGGCTTTCAGATCTTGCAGGTGGCAGTAAAACCAAAACGATGAGTTTTAAACATAACAACAACACTGTAGTTAAAATCTGACTTCTAATTACTAGAGGCTTCTTATGGAATTTCCCCTTCTTTTACTGTAGGTGGAAGAGAATCCAAACTGTATTAGAAATCCTGCATTTAGAGACAGTTCAGTTTCCTGGAACTTGAGGTAAGAACAGCTTTCCTAATTGGCATCTCATCAGTCAACATTATTAGCAGCTGCCGACATTATCAAGAAACCACTCTTACTGTGTTCCCGCTGTGTGCAAGGGAATCACAGAATCAACCAAATCTTTAGACAGAATATAGTAGTAAGTTAAAAAGTATGAATTCTGCCATCAGATGTCCTGGCCTAAAAGCTGAACTCCATCATTTTACCAACTGTTTACGTCTTGGCAAGTTACTTAACCCATTTATGTCTCAGTTTAGTCATATGTCAAATGATGGTGAATATATTTCTGGTATTGAATCATTCCAAGTGTTAGATCATATAATGCATGAAGATCACTCAGCAAAGCATATGTTGTATAGTAGGGACTCAACAAAAAGACACTATTAATGTGAAGAATGTGGAACCCTAATTCCAGACTTAACATTTCTGTAATATTAGATTTTAATCCAATCAAATCATATAAAAATTATTTGAACTTTTTACGATGTGCCAAATACTTGTTTGCAAGATGAAGATAAAATAAAGTAAACATGGCACTCTTTTGCCCTCAAAAAGAACCCAATATAAGTGAGGCATGAATGCACGTGAATGGTGTCACAAATCTGTGTGTGTGATTAATTGCCAAATACTCAGAAAATAAATACCTTCAAAGGAGAAGGGACTATGAAAATTAGTGAAGGATGAGCAAATTAGTTTAATTTAGAAGTTTATACATAGAGACATATTTTAGGAGTTACAGTTTAAGCAGAAATAGAATGAGGGAAAGTATATTTTAGACCCCCTGGAGATTAATTAAACAAGAGTATTTACAATAGGCCAATATATTTAAGGAACAATGAGTTGGTCCTTTTTGATAGAGCAGACTACTTGTGCTTTGAAAAATACAGGAAAACACAAAGCTTGCACCCTGAGTGAATGGTGAAACTGGGGACTGGAGGCAGGTTTGAGCACAGTGTAAAGGAGAATTGCCCAGTGAAAGAAGGGTCAGCCTAGGGTCTCAAGGAGCTGCCCAGCGGAGACGTTGGCACAGTGAAGTCTTACTTTGGGTGGGAGGCTAATAGATGATTTTTTTGATGACATTCTAACATTCAGCTTCATGGCTCTGCTGTGTTTGTCTTGGTGAGCCAAGAGGAGGCTGTCCAACTGAAGATAACAAAGAGATAATTTCTGGCCTCTGCCCTGCCAGATGTTCAAAGTGTAACTATCAGCAAGTTCCTCTCCCCATGTCAGGATCTGACTCACTCCTCAGGATCTCTCTCATAGACTGGTTGTGAGAATTCAAAGAGCTAATTCCCTTTTCAAGTACCTTATAAGTTGTCTACGGCTATGTAAATGACAGAGTAAGGAAAACAAGACAAATTTGATAACAGCTGAGAATCAATTTTGAGAACAAAGCAGAACACAAATCCAACATTCAATCCCATTGCCCTTTCTTTCCCATCTAGCCTCAACCCTATCAATACCTCCAAGTGAAGACATCTCTCTCTAGTCTCCCTCTCCATTTGTGCTAGGAAGTGTGAAGTACTTTATATGCATCATTTCAGTTAGCTGGCACAGCTTCTTCATGAAGTAGGCTTTAGTTGCATCCCACGTTATAGATCAGAAAACAAATGTCCAAGGCCACCAAGTCTGTAATAAGCCAAGCCAGTCCAACCTAACACAGATTTATTTGATGCCAAAGTCTGTGCCACAGATCACTTTTCCAGTGAGTCATCAAGGTTATCCCACAGAGATCCTGAGGGCAGGGGCCAACTGCCCAAATACTGCTCCTTAAGACCTGGCTTTAGGGCAACCAGGGCTTCCCACTGCTATCACCTTCCCTTGAGTTATTCTTATGGCCTCCAAGGGGCCTGAATTTACCTTCTTAGTTAACAATATGTCCATTTGAATAATTAGACTAGAATGTCTCACTGCCATTGAGAAAAGAGAAGCACATATTAAATGACCCTGTGCTTATTACTGGCATGTTATGATGCCATGGAAATAGACATGATAGAATGTCCCTGAGAGCAGCTTCCAGCTGCAGCTAAGCCACTAACCTGCCATGTTCCTTCAGGCAAATAGTTAACTATTTGGGGCATTATAAAATTAGATGATGTATATGGAATAGACTTATGAGCTCTAATGCACTAAAATCCTAATTATTGTTTTTTTAACAGCAGCTGTGGTATAATGCAATAGTATAGATTAGGCTTGAATTAAAGTCACAGGGATGCCACTTCAAACAATGGGATGTTACGCAAATAAATTATATTTTCTGACCCTCAGTTTTTTAATTCTATTAAAAAGGATATAAAATACTCTTTTTACAGTGATGCTATAAAGATAATGGAAAATTTGCTTTAAACTGTACTCTACAAATCATTTTAATATATTCTAGAATTGGTTACTCTTAGTAGTTAATACATATTATTTTTTGAAATTATATTAGAAAAATAAACACATTGTTAGGGTTTAACTTGTCAAATGCTTTCAATTCTTTGGGAGGCTTTTAAGTACTCCTGTTTAAACAAATTAAATTTTTTTACAAGGGCTAATCCAAGGGCTAGAGAAGACATACAGCCTGAGATGTAAAACCCCATTGTAGTGATGCAAGTGTTAACAAGACTCAAAGAAGAGATTATATTAGTGACACAGTCCTCACTGAACAAGGGCTAGGCCAGCCCCTGTAGTTTCCCTTGGCAGGAAGCCCTAGATCTGTTTTAATCGGTCATGGCCTCTTGGCCCTTGGAAGAGCAGCTACAGAAGCTTCTTGCTGTGAGGGGTTCATATAAAGTGAGTTCTTGGAGCAAGATCAAGACCTTCTTGCAATCTGTGTTGCTTTCTCCTTTGATATTTAGCTTGAACTAGAAGTTTGCTCAATGGAGTGGCCTAGAAGCCCCTGCCCTGCATAGAGTGAATTGAAGGTGTCTTATCACTTGCCTGAAGTCTTCAGAACTTCCTGACTCCAGAAAAATAATGAGATTCACATCATTTTGAAAGGAAAGAAGTATTCTAAGAGAAAGCAGGTGGATCCCCACTGAAGAATACAGTATATGGCTTATCTTTCAAAAATGTGATAGTGGCAGAAGGCAGACAAATCCTAGGCAGACAGGAGCAGGTCCCTAGTGAAACCCCACCTTCAAACCAAAGACAGTTTAAAGCTGAAAAGCTAGGCTACAAGTCTCAGATAAATCTACAGACTGGATTGAGAAACTCTCTTCCTGTTTGGCATGGTTTCCTCTGATTGGTCCCTACCCTTCACCTATTTTGCATATACCTAACCTTCCCTAATTGTTTTTTTACACTGTTGTGCCCACCTTTGAGTGGTGCTTTTGTTTTTGCATATTCCCAAACCAATCAGCATGCACTCCCTATTCTGAGCCCATAAAAGTCCCTGGTGACCACAGGATCTCCGCTGGAGTGCAAGCCAAGCACAGCCCAGCGGGACAAATGGGGAGGGGAAGTCCTGCAGCAAAGCTGGGGCCAAGCAAGGACAGGACAGGGGCGTCGCTGGCCAGAGGTCTCCGACTGGCAAAGTGGCTGAGAAAAATCCTGCATCAAATGGTTACTAGGTATCCTTTGTCAATCTCTGTGTTTTATGTTTCCCTGTATAATGGCCTGCTTACTTCCTCTCACATTTGCATTCTGGTCTTTCTTCTTGCAGCTGGGGCCATGAGTACAGCCTACAAACACATGTTCTGTAAGATTTAAGGACCAGAGGATAAAGGGTTCAGAACAACTCTTTAGGGTTCAAGTGATAGAAATCCAAATCACACTGATAGGATTTGTGTGGTAGGCTGAATAATGCTGTGAGCCCTACCAAAGATGCCCATGTCTTAATTCCTACAAACCTGTTATCTTATGTGGTAAAAGGTATGTTGCAAATATGATTAATTGAAGGATCATGACATGAGGAGATTATTCTGGATTAACCAAGAGGCCCAAAGCAATCTTAAGGTCTTTATAAGGAGACAGAAAGGCCAGAGACAGAACAAGAAAAAACGTTACACTGATGGCTTTAAGAAGGGGCCATGATGAAATAAATGTGGGCAATCTCCAGAAGCAGAGAAAAGCAAATGTAGGGGACCAAGACCCTTCCCCAATAAAGGTTCACTGAAAAATCACTGACTTGAGGCAGATTGATTAATAGAAGGAAAGACATGTACATTTATTTAATATGTATACACAGGAGTCTTGAGAATGATGACCCAACCTCCCAATGAGGCACAGAATCTTATATACCATCTTAAAGTAGTACAGAAAGGATGTTGGCTCAGAGCATGGCTGAAAACAGGTTACACTGGTAAATCAGTTTTAGTGGCAAGACAAGTTATGGGAAGGAGAAAAGAAGAGGCTTGGCTAGCAGAGAGGGTCTTATTATGTAGGTGAAGCCTCACAAGTAGCAGCCCTCAGACAGAATAAATGCTAAATATTGATTTCAGATCTTTAAAGGTGTCAGACTCACAGTTCAACTCTCCTAGATTCAGGAAATGCCTAAAAAATGAGGCATGGATGTATTAATGAAAATTCTCTATAGACGCAAATTTTCCTCTACCAAAGGCAGCTTCGCAGGGCCACCTCATTTTGCTGGTACTGCAATAGCCATTTTAAAATATGTGAAAGAAATATATTTGGGGAAAATAGTTTGATTCCCTTCACAAAGAAACAGATTTTTTCAAGAGCCCCCACAAGGAACCAACTCTGCCAACAGCTTGACTTCAGCTTGAAATCAGACTTCTGATCGCCAGAGCTATAGAAAGTAAACTGGGGCTGGGCGCAGTGGCTCATGCCTGTAATGTCAGCATTTTGGGAGGCCAAAGTGGGCGAATTACTTGAGGTCAGGAGTTCGAGACCAGCCTAGCCAACATGGAGAAACCCCATCTCTACTAAAAATACAAAAATTAACCGGGCGCAGTGGTAGGCACCTGTAGTCCCAGCTACTCAGGAGGCTGAGGCAGTAGAATCGCTTGAACCTGGGAGGCGAAGGTTGCAATGAGCTGAGACCATGCCACTGCACTCCAGCCTGGGTGAATAACCAAGATTCTGTCTCAAAATAAATAAATAAATAAAATAAAATAAAATAAAAAATTAAAAAAAAGTAAATTGGTGTTGTTTTGAGCCACTAAGTTCTTGGTAATTTGTTACAGCGGCAATCAGAAACTGATATACTAACTGGAAAAGGGAGATTTATGTGCTCACATAACTGAAAGCTGTTTGTTACATCAGGTAACTAGTCAGGCTTGAGCGGGGCTCCCCCTAGGGTGTAGTGGGTACTAGGAATGTCAGGTGATGGGCAGGTGGTTGTCACACTGCCTCTCTAAAATAAGAATTAGTTGCAGCTAGCGCCAACATAAAGCAGTTCCCCAATAGATAAACACACATGAAATAGGTAATTGGCAGCTATCAGGAATTGGGTGAGTGGCCTCAAGCTTGTGCATTAAGAGGCAAAATAGTGGAGTATAACTTTCCAGGAGCATTCCACCGGAAAAGGGAAGAATGCCTCAGGTGAGCACGCATGCAACTCCAGTAAACACACTCGGCAGGCTCACCTCCCAGGCACTAGTAGGCCACCGCACATGTGGGTGGCTCACCCTAAAGGAAGAATCAAGGGAAAAGTACAAAACAGTGGAAGTCAGTCACATATAAAATCCGAGGTTCAAGGTCAAATGGGGCACTTAATTTCCAAGATGCCTGCTTGGGCCTCTTCCAAGTGTTCTTTCCTTTCTTTCATTCCTTCTCTAAAGCTTTCTAATAAATGTCCACTCCTGCTCTGCTCTGACACATGCCTAAGTGGTTTTTTTTTTTTTTTTTTTAGATGGAGCCTCATTCTGTTGCCTGGCTGGAGGGCACGGGCACAATCTTGGCTCACTCTGCCTCCCGGGTTCTCCTGCCTCAGCCTCCCGAGTAGCTGGGACTACAGGTGCGCCACAACCACTCCCAGCTAATTTTTGTATTTTTAGTAGAGACAGCATTTCACCATGTTGGCCAGGATGGTCTCAATCTTTTGACCTTGTGATCCACCCGCCTTGGACTCCCAAAGTGCTGGGATTACAGATGTAAGCCACCACACCTGGCCCAGTCTCTTTTTCTACCTTATGCCCCTCAGTAGAATTCTTTTTTCTGAGGAGGCAAGAACTGAGGTAGCTGCAGACCTATACAGATTCACCACAGGTAAAGTGAATAACTTCCACCACTAACACCATGAGTACCTTGTTCAGGTATGGCTGGATTCAAATTTGCACAAGATATCGCCAAAAAGCTTTCTCTGTATCTTAATTCTGTTTTCTCTGACAGGCATTCTCCACAGAGAAGCCTAGAACCTCTACGATGACTTTCTTATAAACGTAAGCCCTCTGTAAATGTAATGTTTCTTTCTTTGCAACATGTACAAAAGGCCTAATAACAATTTTAATTGACCAAATTTCAGTCATGTGTCCATTTATCACTGTGGAGGAGGAGGGTTTGATATGGTAATTGTGAGTTCTGGGTCACATGCACACTTCTGAATCTGAAGAGAGATGGGTTCAACCCACTGAAACCACAGGATCTCAAGGCAGGAATAGTTTCCTAGGAATATTAGGGTGCTGATATCAGAAGAATGGAGTATGGCAATACAAAGTGGGCAAAATCCACCCAAGCCACTACTATCAGCCTGTGGCCAGCCTTGTGTGTCACTGATCTCTCTGATAGTAGAAAAAGTCAGTGTGTTATGACGATAAATTTCTCTCTAATTCAATAGTCTGAGGCAGGTGTTCCTGCTTGGGTAGATTTTTCTTTGTTTGTCGTTGATGTAAAACACTCATCTCCAGGTGGCATCTCAGGTTATTGGGTGACTTCCATATTGTGGCTCTACTGCCCAAGTCCACAGAGTTCTTTCCTATCAGACAATAGATGGTTTTGTCTGATAGGACAAGAGTTTTGACAAAGATATGTATCAAGAGTTAGTTCCTCATGAGATATGTATCTCCTAAATTCCCAGCAATAAATAACAATCTTCCTTTAGCCCTTCCAATGAAACATCTTGGAAAGTTCTAAAATCTAGTCAGTACATGTATGGTTGTACAAATTATGCCATTTGTTTATGAATGTTTAAATGACAGTAATTCACTCTGGCCAGATGCTCTGCAATTACAAGCATATTACAGAATATACTTTACCATATCACAGTTGTGTCCTTATACATGGTCCAGCTCCTAGTATAAAACAAATTATTCTCCAGCCTGAGCAGATCTCACAGCCTCATACTACAGGAAACTGAAGGGTCATGAAAAAGTAAATGAAAATCAGGTGATGACAGAAAAAATAGGGGAAGTGCAAGAAGTAAATGGAAGAGGGACATTAACGGGGCCTTGAAAAGAGCATGCATTTTCATTAATAATTTTTGATGCGCCAGCATGCTGTTATTGAGCTAATGGAATTCCTTGGATATGTGGTTTACGGACAATACTGTGCAGCGACATTTGTAAAACAACTCAAGACAGTGGGTACTGAGTGGCAAAAGGTAGGTACTGATTCTCAGAGGTTAGGACTTCTGCAGAGGGAGAGATCCTTCCACAGAACTTAGAGGAAGTGCCCACTAGAGAACTTAGAGGAAGATTCCTGGGGAAGTGAACACTGAGTGGAGCGTCAAAGGATGGGGAGAATATAAGAAATAGAGTCAAGGATGGAGGGATATTTAGATAGGAATAATAGGCCAGGCATGGTATAGCTCATGCTTGTAATCTCAGCATTTGTGGGAGGTCAAGGCAGGAAGATCCCTTGAACCCAGGAGTTTCAGACCAGTCTGGGTAACAAATAACACAAAATGAACAAAATTAGCTGGACATGGTGGCGTGTACCTATAGTCCCAGCTACTCAGGAGGTTGAGATGGGAGGATCACTTGAGCCTGGGAATTTGAATCTGCAATGAGGCAATGAGAGTGAGCTGAGATTGCCCCACTGCACTCCAGACTGGGTGACAGGGGGAGACCCTGTCTCAAAAACAAGCAAACAAACAAAAAAATACAAATAAAAGGAGGTCTAAATAACAGAATTTGTAGTATACAAGCTTAGATTGGCTGGGAGATTAAGAGTGGTGGGAGAATGAAGAAAAACAGAAAAGTAGGTGAGACAATAGAGAAAAATGATAACTAGATAAGGAATAAGGATTAAAAAAGAAAGGGAGAAGTAAAGAGAATAAAGGAGACAAAAACCACAAACACATTTTTAGATGTTCCCAAATTTCAGATGTTCATGTCCATGTTGGTCTCAGAAATCCTGGCTCTGCCAAATAGTTGAGCACTCCTTCTGGGTTTACCAGGTGAGATGTGGGAAGACTCTCCCAAGCTGACCTGGTTGTGATGTCTCAAATCATAGTTCAGAGTGCAGTAAGATCTATCTGCAAGTCTAAGTATCATCAAGTGAAATGAGACCATTGAAACAGGGGAGGGATCTGTAAATTCATTCAGTGATTGATGGTAGAGTTTCTGTATCAGATAACATTTCCTTTGAAATTTTCTACTACTTTTTTATAGTAAAATGTCTAATATTTAAATACTGGCCATGACAGTGAAATTTTCTTCTGGCCCCAAATGAAATAAGGTAAGAGAGGGTTTTTTGCTTTGTCTGTATACTGGTTACTAATGCATTTAACAAATTGGTTACTGTTTTTGAGATTCACCTGTAGTCTAATTATCAAAATTTACATCAGTAAAACAAGACAAAACAAAGACTGTACCTATAATACATCTCCTCCATGATAACCAAACACCACAATATGGTCTTGTCAGGAGTTTTGCATTGTGGCAATTAAGCTAAAATGAAACTATGTTTCTCAGAATTCCCTCCCTGTAGGCTCTGTGTTAGGATTATTCACAAAAGAAGTTGCGTATGATTTGGAAGACAGATATAAAGGAATAGTGATGTTTACACTCGGAAATCTGTGTGAAGTCAGGCAATATTGCAGTTCATGTACACTGTTACAGATCTGCTGGTTCAATATGAAGAGAAAGACTCTCAAACTATACAAGGGTATTTGGGATTTTAACCATATGGGTGGTTGAACCACGTAGTATAGGAATTCATTTATTCATTTATGCACTGTCTGAGTTAAATAATTTTTACTGAGTACCTATTCAGTGAAAGACACTGTGTTCGGTTCTCATGGGAAGAAGGGGAAGAGTACCAGGACATCCTTGACACAGTTCCTGGCTTCATGTTCCTTACCATCCAACAGAAGAGAAAAATGAACGTCCCTGGAACAAAATGATAAATACGCGGTCTAAGTCTTATGAAACATACAGACCATGAAGTACAAGATTTCATTATTGGTTTTTTTCTTGCAATTAATTTGTATGAAGAACCCACCATATGCCTGTTGCTGTCTCACAGGTCTGGGCTCCTAAGGGTGTGAATCTATGGAAGGCAGGACAGTCACCTTCAAATTGCCGAGATGCTATGAGGTGATGAAGCAAAGCCTCCGTCTGAGTGAAGCTCCCTGAAAAGGGAACATGTGAACTGGGGAAGGATTTTGATAGGCAAAAGTGGAAGAGAGAACACCTCAAATAGAAGGACTGACCAAAGTAAAGGTTAAGTGTAAGACAGGGCTATGCACAGTACGAGCTGAAAGCAGAAGAGGCAAAAACTGTACATGTGGAATCTAAAAAAGTCATAGAAGCAGAGAGTAGAATGATGGTTACTAGGAACTAGAAGGAAGGAGGAATAGGGAGGTGTAGGTCAAAGATTATAAACTTTTAATAATAAGATGAGTTATGATGCAGGGAGCTTATAGCATGGTGATTGTAGTTAATAAAACTGTTTTGTTTACTTGAAATTTGTCAAGAGAATGGATTTTAAGTGTTCTTACCACTACACACATACATAACATGGTAATTGCGGTAATGGATGTATTAACTAATTTGATTGTGATGATCATTTTATAATGTATAAGTATCCCAAATCACCCCATTGTACTCCTTGAATATATAAAATTTTTATTTGTCAACTGCACCTACATAAAGCTGAAAAAAAATAGAAGATTTAAAATATAGCAGCAAGAAAAGGAGATTGGGGTAAGAAAATGAGGGGGCATTAAGGTCCCGGTTTTTGCCTTTACAAAGTGATTTCAGTTGATGTTCTTCTATATGTTTAATAATGACATTTTAATAGTCTTAGGAACCCTATGTGATTTGATCTAGGTAATGACTCTCAGTAAGGTTTGATCTAAATAATGACTCACCCTCAGGCTCCTAGACTGGCCAGTGGAAAATAGTTCCTCATTTACTTCAGTGCCTTGAAGCCAAACTGTCTCCTCCCAGGATAGGAGACTTTTCTGCAGGGAGACAATTGTTTAGGATCTCACATTAACTCCATATGTCTGGGCCACATTTGAATGAGGAAAGGCAGAAAGAAGTACAATTTCTGCGATGAGTACAAGACTTTGCTATGAACCAACAGGAATGAAGGAAAAAGTCCTGCTGCATCTCCTTTCAAAAGATGAGACTGTCTGTTTTCTCTCAATTTGGCCAGTCTGTAGATGGGTACATGTCCTTGTCTGGGTAAGTTGTTCTTGAGAGCGTTTACAAATTCTCCATCCTATCACATTTTAATTCAAAACCTGATTAACTCAGCTAATTTGCTCTCAGTGGTAAGACAGGAAAATTCTAAAACCCTAACTTTAATATATAAATTCACAATAGTGATCATTAATCTCAGAAACTACCAACTCAGGAAAAAATAACATCATAAGGAGACAAGCTTCTAAATAATATTTTTCTTCTTTTGTTTTATTGAATATTGAGTATAAACTTTTGGGGAGAAAATCTGAACATAAAGATCAACTTGAAAATGAACATAAAATCATGCACAGTTCCTCCACCTAAAAATAACATCCATAGACATTTTTGTGTAGATGAGTTACTGTAACATCTATCTATACACATATTTCCTAATAAAAATACTTGAATACGATGCTGTAATATTTCTAACTTTTTTTTTTTTTTTGAGATGGAGTCTCACCCCACTGTCAGGCTGGAGTGCAGTGGCACCATCTCGGCTCACTGCAACCTCCGCCTGCCGGGCCCAAGCAATTCCCCTGCTTCAGCCTCCGGAGTAGCTGGGACTACAGGCATGTGTCACCACGCCCGGCTAACTTTTTTTGTATTTTAGTAGAAACGGGGTTTTACCATGTTGGCCAGCATGGTCTGGATCTCCTAACCTTGTGATCCACCCGCCTCGGCCTCCCAAAGTGCTGGGATTACTTGCATGAGCCACCAGGCCCGGACTATTTCTAACTTTTTTAACAGATTAAAATTGACATATTACCACATTAATGACTTTACTTCTACAGAATTGGGCATGCATTCAAATAAATTAAGTTTAAATATGAACTGTCAGATAAATAGGATAGTTTCACACTTTGAAAGCTGCAGCAGGTTAGGTGGCAATAGTGCCTCACTCAGCTTGACTTATTTCTCCACATCTCCCTGGGATAACGGCATCAAGAAGTCTTTCCTCGGGTATAACAACCCTATTTTAATGACACAACCTCTGATGAGCAATAGCTTTCATCATTTTCAGAAAAAGATAGAGACAAACAAATGACAAGCAAATGTCTGAGACAAACAAATGACAAACAAAGAACAAAAAGGAATGAAACTCAAGTAACTTTAAACAGCAAACTCCTGGAGGAATAAAGGGGATGCCAGATAAGAAACAAATCCTTTTATTGCACTATTATCTTTCTTAAATGTAGTTGCTCTCTTCATGAATACTCTCTTTGTCTGGGGACATTAGAAGAAGAACCACAGCTCTAAAAGGCTGGCTGCCAGAGAGATTATTAGAGGGAACATTGCTGGTGCTAGACATTAACTTCGCACTCAAATAGCCCATGATTAAAAATAATGCTTAAAATTTATGGGACTTCCTCTAGTGTGGAAGCTACCCTACTAGGCTATAGATTTTAATATCATTTGGGTTTTGCTTTATATGAGAGTAATAGCTACATTCCTGCAAAGTTGGGGGTGATTTAGATTTTGAAAACTGAATTCTATTTAAAATGCACTGTGATAACTCAATCTTTGAAGGAACCCTGCAGTCTTTGATTCTGTGAATAACCATGACTCTGAAAACCTTGTTGAATTATTTTTGCAAGTTCAGATTTTCATATCTCTGAAGAGGAGTCAATGGTTTTATCTCAGGTCAATTTTGTTTATTAATATTTATGGGACTCTTTGTTTTAAATGGTGAATCTTTGTTTCTTTTTGCCGGATACTAGGTTGATTTCCTGAAATGTGATTATTTTCAGTTGGCTTCTTTATTAGTGTCATGCTGAATGTTTCATATATGAAAAATATTATGGTATATTATATTTGAGGAAAGTGGAGGAAAAATGGGCTAATTAACACATAATATTTATCATGGCCTGAGAACAGAACAAAAACTCTGTTATAATTACAGTAGAATTACCCTATTTCTAGTAATAGAATTACTCCTCTTCCAGAAGAAGAGGAGATGTTCATATAAAAAATACATCAGGGACACTTGCAGGGGGTTAAGAACTGACTACGCAAAGGCATGCACTGAAGTCATTGACATTTACATTATATTTGCTTCTGGTGGAAAAATAGGATAAATTTAAAAGAATAAAAAGGATAAAAAAAGAATGCAAGTCTTTCAGCGAAGATAATTTATTTGTTAAATTAGCTATTTATAAACTGGCAGTCACATTTATCTGTAGAACAAACTTTAAAACAGAGGAAACAATTTTAGTTTTACTTTACTATTAGTTTGGAATTGTGCTACCATAAGTATCAGATTTCCACTGAAATGGGTTTCATTTTCCACCCTCCCATTATGAAAAATGTAAAGTATACATAAGAGCATGAAGTTCTAACAAAGCCTGCTTCATTATGCTTCCACATTCAATTCATGCAACTACTAAATTCTCCCAGGAAATGTTCTCAAGATACTATGGTCCACATCCATCATTATGTGCTGAAAAAGCAGGAAATATGCCTATTAAAGAAAACATTCGTGTGGACAATACATTCCCCAGCAGCAATACTTATAATAACACCGCCCCCACCGCCACCATCCCTGACACACACACACACACACACACACACACACACACACACACACAGCAGCTGCATTCAAGAAGAAAAAGATGAGCTGCTGGCTAAGAGTCGGTTGCAGTTGTGCCCAAGGTCATGTGTCCTTCCTTCCTTTCTGCATGATTTGCATTGTCAGCTACCAGAGGAAGACAAGAGCTGGTAGCAGCAGGCTTTTTATGTTAGTGTGAGACACTAACACGCACCCAGCTGACATGTTTGAAGCTAAACCTGCATCCAGATCGATTGTGAGTCTTCCCTGACCCCCCCAGCCTATGTGAAATCCCTTAATGCTGTGCTTCTCTCCTTTAACACACTCATAACGGTAACAAATGTACATTTAGTATTATGAATATTCTATTACTTCTGTCTCCAGTCTATCCTATAAGCTCTGTGAGTTTAGGGATCTTGTATTTTGTTCACCTTTGTGAACCCTGTCAGTCAGAGGACTGATAGGGGCTGTAAAGGCAAATGCTGGGAATAATCAATTGCTTCAAGACAAGTGAGCTTGGACTCTGAGAGTCTAGCATGAAGACAGGGTCAGAACAGAGCAGGGGGTCTATACCAGGTCCTCAAACAGGACAGCTGACTGAACATTTTAGCCTAGAAGCTGGGCAGACCTAACCCCAGGAAAAAAACAATGCCCAACCTTCAGGGGCATGGGCTGCCTAGAACCTAATATTATGGCAGAATTTGAGCATCGCTGTGATTTGAGATTCATTGTATCTTAAATGCTCTATACGTCAAACAAAGTTTTAAATTGACGAACAAACTGTATATATTCATGGAATTGTGTATTTGATATCCCTTACTGAATAATCATTGCCAAATACAAGTATGGGCATCAAGAGGATAGGCTGGTAGACTGATGTGATATTGAAAAGCTTTGATTACAGAAGTATTACCCAGGGTAATACAATGTCCTTTTCATATTCAGCCTCAACAGATGTGTCCAGTAAAATGAAATAGAAGCCATGGAAGCTGCTCAGGGCTTACTCTGCTCTGGCTTCCTTGGGTTCATGGGGCAGAGAAACCCCTAGAGATGACTTTATGACTTTAATATCTTCTATTGATATGTCTTCTTTTTTAAGAGAAAGTTAAAGGGTTGAGACAGGGAGGTAGTGAGGAAAAATAATTTTATGTCTGCTTACATGGAACATCATTCTGCACATATTATATGTATTTATTCTGAGCAAGCTGCCAATAGACATTAAAGAAAGATCTGCTTATCATGTTATGAAGAAAGAGAAAAGCATGAAGGAAAAACAAAAAGGAACAAGGCTCTCCCTCTGCACCATGTGCGTAATGAGGATAGAGATGAAGGGACTTAGCCTTCAGCCTGTACCTGTCCACCTCCAGTGTTCTCACTCAGTGAAATGAGTACTACAGTGGGCAAAAGATGTTAATCAACATCTTATCAAAGAGAAACAAATAGCCAATACACCTATGAAAAAGTACTTAAAGTTATATTAGTCTTTAGAAAAAAGTGAGTATTAAAATCACAATGAGATACTGCTTCACATGGACAATAATGGTTAAAATAAAAAGACATCTGTGTTGAAGATGACGTGGAAAAACTGGAAACGTCTTGTCAAAATGTAAAATAGTGCAGCCATTTTGGTAGTCTCTTAAAAATTTAAATATTAACTTACCATATTACTCAGCAATTTTCCTCTCGATATCACTCTAAGAGAAATGAAATCTTACGTTTTCATGAAGATTTCTACATGAATGTTCACAACTACATTATTCCAAATAGCCTAAAAGTGGAAGTAATGCAAATGGCCATCAATTGATGAATGCATAAAGTGTGATGTATCTATAAGGTAGAATGCTACTCAGCAATAACAAGAAATAAAAGGCTTATAGAAGAACAATACAGATCAATCTCAAAAAAAGCTGCTGTAACTGATTGAAGCCAGATGCAAAAGAGCTCTTATTTTAAGAGGACATGCATATAGAACATCCATAAAAAGAGGCATCTGTAGAGACAAAATGTAAACAGTGGTTATCTGGGGCCAATGCTGACAATGGACACTGAATGCAAAAAGGTATTAAGGATCTTTTTGGGATGATAGAAATGTTCTAAAATGGAATTGTGGTGAAACTAACAGAGCTCTTCAAATTTTTTAAAAAATGATTGAATTGTACCTTATAAATGGGAGTATTTTATGGAATGAAAATTATAGTTTAAAAAGCATAAGATTTAAGAAAATAACTGACTCATAATTCAACCGTTCATGAAATCAGAAATGAATTATTTTTCTACCTAGACCAAACTGAAGCTGAGACAAAAATACGTGCTAAAGATATTTAAATGTAAAATAATATATGCACACTTCCTACTCCTATAACGCTACATATATTTAAAATAGTGAGGATGTTTTTGTAATTTTTTGATGGCTTTTGCTTTGAATTTTTAGGGCAAAGTAACAAAATCACTTTCATGTTTAAAAAGTGACTCCTGTTCTTTTTCATGCAATTCTACCATATATCAACATCGTTATCAAATTCAATGGTAATTATATATATTAAGCTAACACAGTATACAGCCCTTGGAACATGCTCAGCAATGCCTGTGAATCCAATGTAAACACTTATGTGACCATTAAACATCCTTTCCAACATCTTCACCAAGGAAGTATTTCCAAAGATCAGAAACTCACTACTTCCTACTCATTTCATTTCACTGCTCTCTGAATCTTAGAGCAATGTATTCGAGTTTCTGGTGAGTAACTTTACTTGCATGACTTAGAGGAGTGCTATGCAATAGAACTTCCAGTTATGACATAAATGTGTGGTAATCTACGCTGTCCAACACAATGATCAACGCGAGGGAAATGTTGCCGTGGAGGACTTGAAGTTTGGCTAGTGAAACTGAGGTCTTAAAGTTTTAATTTTATTCGCTTTTAAATCATTTTAAGTTTAAATAACCACATCTGGCAAGGGAATGCCATATTGGAAAGCACAGGCCTAGAGGCTCATCCAATTTAACTGACTCAAGAAAACTTAACTCATTATCTTCCTTAACAAACCTGCTTCTCCTCTACTTGTATTCCCTATCTCAAGAAATATTACAATCACTATCCAGTTGGCCACTCCAGAAATCTAGAAAGAAACCACCTCAGAATTACCCTCTGCACCCAGTCAGTCAAGAAGTTCTATAAAACCTAGATTCTGTTTTTGTAAAATACATATTTTTTTTATTTCAATGCCTTTGGAGTATGTGGTTTTTGGTTACATGAATGAATTGCATAGTGGTGAAGTCTGACATTTTAGTGCACCTGTCACCTGAGAATTGTAAGCTACACCCAATATGTATCCCTCAACCCCCTACCCTGTACCTTCTGAATCTCCAGTCTATTATATCACTCTGTATCCCTTTGTGTACCCATAGCTTAGCTCCCACTTATAAGTGAGAACATATGTATTTGGTTTTCCATTCCTGAGTTACTTCACTGAGAATAATGTGAAGACTACATTCTAAGTGGTCCTTTATTTGTTGCCTGACCTCTGCATTTTACTACTCCTGCATTTTTCATGCCTCTTTATTTCTTATCTGATTTTACGTAATTCCATTTTGTCTCCCAGTCACTTGTCTCATTGGCCTACACTCATGTATTCACATGACTGCCACAGTCAGCTTTTCAAGCATGTCTGACAATGCCACACCACTGCTCTAAACCCTCTGTGCCCTCCACTGCATTCTGGACATAATCAGGATTCCATTTGATGTTGTGCATCGTCTGGCCCCTTCCTGTCATTCCAGTGCCTTTGTTATTACACAGGTGTGTAGGGGTTCAGTCAGGATGGTGGGAGAAATTGCAAACTAAACAAAAACCTTCTTGGAAGGCTGGAAGGTTTTTGCAAAAGCCTCAGGATAGAGTTATGGCTGAAGGCAGCTTAATCCTCTTTGAGCTATAACAAGGGTAATTAACATAGGAATGTAGAGGAGTCTATCTAACTAGCTTGTTTACTCATATGGTCCTAAGACTAACTTTTGACCATCTGCAGGTACATGATTGCTTTCTACTCAGGGGTGTTGGCAATGGTAATTACCTTCTAGTGGTGTTTACTTGAGACCTTTTGTCATTTAATGTGTGCTGAATAAATGCCAGCAGGGCCAGGGAGTCAAGGCCATGGCTGCTAAGCTTTACAGCACTGTCCTTGGAATCTGTAAGTGGCCTGGATGCTCAGCCAGACTGACAGGCATAATATCTGTGTAAGTGTACGTTATTCATCCACTCTTGGGTCAGGGTCTGTGGGACAGACTCCCACATAGGTGTACTTTCTCTGCATCTCTCTGCATTTGCACGAGCTGTCCCCTTACATTATACTAAAAGCTATCTTTTATCTTATTAAGGACATGCTTATAAAGAAAGCAGAGCCCACAGGCAGCAAGAGCAGGTGCTCTGGATCCTGACAGTCTGGTTTGAAAAGTGGAGCTCACCACTCAGTCTCCCTAATCTTCCACTTCCTTACCTATAAAAGTGGGATAATAAAATCACCTATTCCCCTGGAGTTAATGAGATGATATCTAAAAAACATGTACACTCTGTTTGAGACTAAGTAAACATTCCACAAATGTTTGCTGTCAGGCCTCTGACCCCAAGCTAAGTCATCATATCTCCTGTGACCTGCAAGTCCAGATAGCCTGAAGCAACTGAAGATCCACAAAAGAAGTAAAAATAGCCTTAACTGATGACATTCCACCATTGTGATTTGTTCCTGCCCCACCCTAACTGATAGGATATATTATCCCCCATCCTTAAGAAGGTACTTTGTAATATTCTCCCCCACCCTTAAGAAGGTACTTTGTAACATTCTCCCCGCCCTTGAAAATGTACTTTGTACACCTATTCCAAACCTATAAGAACTAATGATAATCCCATTCCCCTTTGCTGACTCTCTTTTCAGACTCAGCTGCCTGCACCCAGGTGAAATAAACAGCCTTGTTGCTCACACAAAGCCGGTTTGGTGGTCTCTTCACATGGACCCATGTGACATTCGGTGCCGTGACTCAGATTGAGGGACCTCCCTTGGGAGATCAATCCCCTGTCCTCCTGTTCTTTGCTCCGTGAGAAAGATCCACCTACAACCTCGGGTCTTCCGTCCGGCTTACAGTTTCATTTCGCGATTAGCCCTCCCCCAGCTGCCTAACAATTTCCTCTTGAAGAGGTGGCTGGAGCTAAAGGCATAGTCAAGTTTAACGCTCCTTTTTCTTTATCCGACCTCTCCCAAATGAGTTAGTGTTTAGGCTCTTTTTTATCAAATATAAAAACCCAGCCCAGTTCATGGCTCATTTGGCAGCAACCCTGAGAAACTTTACAACCCTAGACCCTGAAAGGTAAGAAAGCCATCTTATTCTCAATATGCATTTTATTACTCAATCTGCTCCCGACATTAAATAAAGCTCCAAAAATTAGATTCCAGCCCGGAAACCCCACAACAGGACTTAACCTCGCCTTCAAGGTGTACAATAATAGAGAGGAGTCTCAATTATTTGCCTCTGCTGTGAGAGAAACCCCAGCCACATCTCCAGCACACAAGAACTTCAAAATGCCTAAGCCACAGCGGTCAGGCATTCCTTCTGGACTTCCTCTCCCAGCATCTTGCTTCAAGTGCCTGAAATCTGGCCACTGGACCAAGGAATGTCCGCAGCCTGGGATTCCTCCTAAGCCGAGTCCCGTCTGTGCAGGACCCCACTGGAAATCGGACTGTCCAACTCACCTGGCAGCCACTCCCAGAGCCCCTGGAACCCTGGCCCAAGGCTCTCTGACTGACTCCTTCCCAGATCTTCTCGGCTTAGTGGCTGAAGACTGATGCTGCCTGGTCATCTCAGAAGCCTCCTGGACCATCACAGATGCTTCGGGTAACTCTTACAGTAGAGGGTAAGTAGGTCCCCTTCTTAATCAATATGGAGGCTACCAACTCCACATTACCTTCTTTTCAAAGGCCTGTTTCATTTGCCTCCATAACTGTTGTAGGTATTGACGGCCAGGCTTCTAAACCTCTTAAAACTCTCCAGCTCTGATGCCAACTTGGACAACATTTTTTTTATGCACTCCTTTTTAGTTATCCCCACCTTAACTGAGTGATTAACCTTGTGAAATTCCTTCTCCTGGCTCAGAAGCTCCCCCACTGAGCACCTTGTGACCCCCGCCCCTGCCTGCAAGAGAAAAATCCCCTTTGACTGTAATTTTCCACTACCCACCCGAATCCTATAAAACAGCCCCACCCCTATCTCCCTTCACTGACTCATTTTTCGGACTCAGCTTGCCTGCACCCACATGAAATAAACAGCCTTGTTGCTCACACAAAGCATGTTTGGTGGTCTCTTCACATGGACGTGCATGACATTTGCTACTGTGATTAATATTTCTGACTTTTCCACCTAATAAATTTCTTTTTATATGTCAATGTTCAGATACCAAATTTTGAGTATGTAGAAAAAACTCAAGTGTTTTTCCTCTACTCTCACTCAACACTCAATACAGAACACTTCTGTGACCCTGATGTCTAGGGGTGTTGCTCACATTTCAAGCAATTCTCCAGCAGATTTTCCAGGAGACATCAGCTGGGTGTCCTTGAGTTCCATTTAATTTAGATACCGTCTACCTAGAGATAGCATCAGATCCCAAAGGCTAAGTGCTCAGTCCCAAAAGATGGCCCCTCAGTTCAGATCCTGGTTCCAAGTCCTGGCCTCCTGAAATTCTGATGAACCAGCTACAAATTTGGGTCCCCACAACCCTTCCTAGGTTAGATTAATTTGCTAGAGTAGCTCACAGAACTCAGGGAAATATTTTACTTACATTTACCTCTTTATTACAAAAGTTATTTAAAAGGATAAAAAGGAACAGCCAGGTGAATAAATATGTAGGAGGAGGTCTGGAAGGGTCCTGAGCACAAAAGCTTCTGTCCCCCTGGAGTTGGAGGTGCCAACCTCCAGCCATGCAGATGTGGTTGCCAATCCAGAAGCGCTCTGAATCCCATAGTTTAGAGATTTTAATGGAGGCTTCATCATGTAGGCATGATTGATTATTAATTTAATTTCCAGCCCCTCTCCAAAGATTGAGGGTTGAGGCTAAATCCATGAGCTTCTAATCATTGGAGTGGTCTTTCCGGTGCCCGGCTTCCACCAAAAGTGGCCTCATTAGAACAAAAGATGCTCCTATCACCCAGGAAATTACAAAGGTCTTAGAACCTCGGTGCCAAGAATCAGAGTAGAGATCAAATATTAAAACATAAGATCCTATTAGCATTCATGTCCACAAGAGTATTAAGAACTCTGTGCTAGGGACTGGGGGCAGAGACCAATATGCATATTTTAAAATATTTATTTCACCTACATTGTCAAGGATATCATTTGAGATAGCCTTCTCCCTACCACTTCATTTTGCCTTCTGTGCTATGATTTCATAATACACTTGACATGTCATTTTATGGCACTTAAAGTATAAATAGGTAATTGTTAGTTTGCTTATATTCAATTCCCTCTGAAGACTTTAAATACAAAAAGGGTAGGAACTGTGACTCATTCATGTATTAGTCACTTATGCCAGCATCTAATCCACTATAGATATTCGACAAGTTTGAGCCTTGCATATGAAGTTAGGGAAAGTCAGAGCACAGATTTTCCAGGGATGAGTATACATGTCACCAGATGTAGAAGCTGATCGGTGATTGAACTTTCTAGGATTAATGGAGGTTAACTACCCAATCAGATTCTTAGTCAGTGGCTGGAAGGTAATACTCAACCAGCATTCCTTTGATTAAAATGGAGAGCCTATAACTCAGGCATTGTACCAGGACCCTAAATCTAAATAATCAGGATCCAGCCAGCTTTAGGTTGCACTGGTTTATGACAGTCTCTTCATTAGGATCTAAACCAAGTCCTCTGCAGAATCCTAATTAGTAGAAAAGCACTAACTCTGAGTTAGTTAGTCCCTGGAATATCTTACCACAAGAAGTCAACATTTTGACAACTGTTAAAGGCTACCCTCATCAAAATCAGGTTAAAAATAAGAGTCTCACTTCTGTTGAATCTGTTATCTTTTCTACCTGTTAAAGGGGAACTGAACCCATCCCCTCACCAGTTTGTCAACACTCCTATTTCTAGAATGATCACTATTGCCACAATTAAAAAATATGATATTAAAACCTATAATTATTAGTTTTATGTATAAACCTGGCTAAAGTATAATGCTGAGTTATTTAATCAAACACTACTAATCCAGGTGTTGCTGTGAAGGTATTTGGTAGGCATGGCTAACATTTGCAATTATTGATTTTAAGTAAAGGAGATTACTCTTGATAATGTGGGTGGACCTAATCCAAACTAAAAGGCCTTAACAGAAAAAAAAAGTTTCCCAGAGAAGAAAGTTTGTGCAAAGATGGCAACGTCAGCTCATGCCTGAGTCTACAACCCTATGGACTTTAGACTTGCTAGCCCCAAAATCTCTTGACCTAATTACTTAAAAATCTCTTCGCCTCTCTCTGTTTCTGTCTGTCTGCTTCTCCCTCTCTTTATATATATAGTATATATAATATATAATTGTTATTATATAATTTTATACTGCTCTGTTTCTCTAGAGAACGCTGACTGATACAAAACCTATGTAAGACCATCTCAGGAGTTTAAAGATTAATTTCTATTGTAAAGGCATTTGCTTTCTCCTGTTTTCTGACTTCTCAGAATCAGATAAACTTATTCATGAATCAGGTAATTCACTGAAGAGCTAATTCTTTAAAATAAGGTTATCTCCCAATATGTCTAGGAGGACTTATTCAGGAAGACTTATTCAGGAGGATTTATTAGCCCTTCAAGGCTTGTTTTCAGAAAACTTGTTTTGCATTCAGACAACTTTCATCCATCCATTCTAATGGCTCAAAATCACCTCAAAAAAACTCGTGCACTTATTTGAGGACTTGAGAATTCGAAAGTTTCAGTATGTGTGCATGTGTGCATGATTGTTTGCAGCTTGGGCTTTAAACTCCTTTTTTTTTTTTTTTTTTTTTTTTTTTTGAGATGGAGTCTTGCTCTGTCACCAGGCTGGAGTGCAGTGACGCAAGCTCGGCTCACTGCAACCCCCAACTCCCTGGTTCAAGTGACTCTCCTGCCTCACCCTCCCATATAGCTGGGATTACAGGCATGTGCCACCACACCCAGCTAATTTTTGTATTTTCAGTAGGGATGGGGTTTCACCATGTTGATCAGGATGGTCTCGATCTCCTGACCTGAGGTGATCCGTCTGCCTGGGCCTCCCAAAGTGCTGGGATTACAAGCGTGAGCCACTGTGCCTGGCTGTGCTCTCAACTCTTAGCTCTACCTCACTTCCCACCATATTTATCCTTCTTAAATCCTTTGCTGAACTATTCTATTTCTGATTTAGTCTTAATTCCTGAGGACATGGTGATATATAATGCTTCACTTTTGCAAAACTGCACGTAATCCTTTTTATTTCTGTAGATGAATAATTTCACTACTGTTTATGTAACAGTATACCACCAGGAAGAGCATATTTTTAATGGCCCTTTACACTAAACACAATGAGATGCCTAAGTGAGAAATAAAAATTATTCTACTCTCTCCATTATGCTTGCATAAATTAGATAGCTTATTGTATGTGAGTAACAACATACCATCTTATTATAAATAAGAAATGCTTTTTACAAGAGAAAAAGTTGTTATAAGGTAATCTTAATACGTTTCTATTACTTCAAAGTTTCATTTTTAGGTTTATGTTTGATGACTTTTGATGTAATGACATATTTTACTGTTTTATGTTTATATCCTTTACGCAATTTTTAAAAATTGAGAATTAATACGCTTTAAGGAAAATGTGAATACAAGTTTAATTTCCCACTTAATGAAAAATACTACCATGCAGAGATGAGAATCCAAATATACACATATTAGGTTTTCCTTAAATATGTTCAAAGGAGACTTACAATTTTCTGAAGCATGTCTTTCTTCTTCCTATATCTTGTTTATAAATATAGTACATAATATACTTAGATTCATTCCTTCTTTGTTCCTGTAGCTCCACTACTGATAATTCCTTACATGCCTTTCTGTGCTTGTTCTTACGTGTTCTTTCCCAATTTGTAAACAAATATGGTTAAAATGCTTGTACTTGCTTCAGATAAAGATATTAAAACCAAAAGAATACCTTCTGTGTCAATAATTATTTTCTCTTACTTCATAATAAACTATGTTTTATAATTCTGAGGGTAGAATTCTGAAAATTATATTTTTCTTAATTCAGGTAGCTTCCTTTTGGGTTCCAACAAGATCAGTATAGGAAGACATCACTCGATTCTTCCATTTACTTGCTATTGCTGGCAATATTAAAAGCCTGTCACCAAGTAATGACCTGTCTCCATGCATCAGTAGTTTGTTGTATATCTAGCTGAATTTACCACTACTAGGACCAATTTCAGGATGCACATTCAGAGAATAGCATTACCAGTTGGGCAGTGCTATCTCCTCAGTGGCCCCAGCTCTGTGATGATCCTCTTCCTAGTTTTTGAGTTATCAATATTATTACTGTGGTGACTTTAACTTAAAAGTTGGAATCCCATATCTGTGAAACTCTCCTTCAAAGTCTGGAATGTCAGAAACAACTTGGATGTGCATTTTTTGCAAATGTCTGAGCCCTGAATCCTCTGAGTATGTGGGTATTATCTAATAACCACAGCCTTTTCTGTTGGTTTCACAGCCTTAAGGGTGGTCAATACCTCTGCAGTTATGGCCTCTGTATTACCTCAGTTTTCCTTTTGATCTTTCAATCCTTTAACAATTATTTAACCAATTCATTAAATACTTTCTATTCAAATACATAGCATGACTTCTGTTTTACTGACTGGAGTCTGATTTATTTTATTTTACTTTAAGTTCTGGAATACATGGGCAGAATGTACGGGTGTGTTACATAGGTATACATGTTTCATGGTGGTTTACTGCACCTATCAACCCATCATCTAGGTTTTAAGCCCAGATGCATTAGGTATTTGTCCTAATGCTCTCCCTCCCCTGGCCCCCCACCCCCACCGACAAGTCCCAGTATGTGACGCTCTCCTCCCTGTGTCCATGTGTTTTCATTGTTCAACTCTCACTTATGAGTGAGTGTGTCCATGGGTTTTCATTGTTCAACTCTCACTTACGAGTGAGAACATGTGGTGTTTGGTTTCCTGTTCCTGTGTTAGTTTACTGAGGATGATGGCTTCCGGCTTCATCCATGTCCCTGCAAAGGACATGAATTCATTCTTTTTTATGGCTACATAGTATTCCATGGTGTATAAGTGCCACATTTTCTTTATCCAGTCTATCACTGATGAGCATTTGGGTTGGTTCCAAGTCTTTGCTATTGTGAATAGTGCTGCAATAAACGTATGTGTGCATGTGTCTTTATAGTAGAATGATTTATGATCCTTTGGGTATACACCCAGTAATGGGATTGGGTCGAATGGTATTTCTGATTCTAGATCCTCGAGGAATTGCCACACTGTCTTCTACAATGGTGGAACTAATTTATACTCCCATCAACAGTGTAAAAGCATTCCTATTTCTCCACAGCCTCACCAGCATCTGTTGTTTCCAGATTTTTTAATGATCTTCATTCTAACTGGAGTGAGATGGTATCTCATTGTGGTTTTGATTTGCATTTCTCTAATGACCAGTGATGATGAACTTTTCTTCATATTTTGTGGGCCGCATAAATGTCTTCTTTTGAGAAGTGTCTGTTCATATGCTTCACTCACCTTTTGATGGGGTTGTCTTTTTCTTGTAAATTTGCTTAAGTTCTTTGTAGATTCTGGGTATTAGACTGTTGTCAGATGGATAGATTGAAATATTTTCTCCCATTCTGTAGGTTGCCTTTTCACTCTGATGATAGTTTCTTTTGCTGTGCAGAAGCTCTTTAGTGTAATTTGATCCCATTTGTCAATTTTGACTTTTGTTACAATGGCTTTTGGTGTTTTAGTCATGAAGTCTTTGCCCATGCCTATGTACTGAATGGTATTTCCTAGGTCTTCTTTATGTTTTTTTTTTTTTATGGTTTTAGGTCTTACGTTTAAGTCTTTAATCCATCTTGATTTAATTTTTGTATAAGTTGTGAAAAAAGGGGTCCTGTTTCAGTTTTCTGCATAAGGCTAGCCAGTTTCCCCAGCACCATTTATTAAATGGGGAATGCTTTGCCCATTGCTTGTTTTTGTCAGGTTTGTTGAAGATCAGATGGTTGTAGATATGTGGTGTTATTTCTGAGACCTCTGTTCTGTTCCCTTGGTCTATATATCTGTTTTGGTACCAGTACCATGCTGTTTTGGTTACCATAGCCTTGTAGTATAGTTTGAAGTCAGGTAGTGTGAGGCCTCCAGCTTTGTTCTTTTTGCTTAGGATTGTTTTGGCTATAAGGGCTCTTTTTTGATTCCATATGAAATTTAAAGTAGTTTTTTCTAATTCTGTGAAGAAAGTCAATGGTAGCTTGATGGGGATAGCATTGAATCTATAAATTACTTTGGGTAGTATGGCTATTTTCACGATATTGATCCTTCCTATCAATAAGCATGGAATATTTTTCGATTTGTTTGTGTCCTCTTATTTCCTTGAGCAGTGGTTTGTAGTTCTCCTTGAAGAGGTCCTTCGTGTACCTTGTAAGCTGTATTCCTAGTTGTTTTATTTTCTTTTTAGCAATTGTGAATGGGAGTTCACTCATGATTTGGCTCTCTGTTTGTCTATTATTAGTGCATGGGAATGCTTCTAGTTTTTGCACATTGATTTTGTATCCAGAGACTGCTGAAGTTGCTTATCAGCTTAAGGAGTTTTTGGGCTGAGATGATGGGGTTTTCAAAATATACAGTCATGTCATCTGCAAACAGAGACAATTTGACTTCCTCTCTTTCTGTGTGAATACCATTTATTTCTTTCTCTTGCCTGATTGCTGTGGCCAGAACATCCAATACGATATCGAATAGGAGTGGTGGGAGGGCATCCTTGTCTTGTGCTGGTTTTCAAAGGGAATGCTTCCAGCTTTGCTCTTTCAGTATGATATTGGCTGTAGGTTTGTCATAAATAGCTCTTTTTATATTGAGATATGTTCCATCAATACCTAGTTTATTGAGAGTTTTTAGCATGAAGTAGTGTTGAATTTCATTGAAGGCCTTTTCTGCATCTACTGAGATAATCATGTGGTTTTTGTCATTGTTTCTGTTTATGGGATGTATTATGTTTATTGATTTGTGTATGTTGACCCAGCCTTGCATCCCAGGGATGAAGCTGACTTGGTCGTGGTGGATAGGCTTTTGGATGTGCTGCTGTATTCAGTTTGCCAGTATTTTATTGAGGATTTTTGCATCATTGTTCATCAGGAATATTGGCCTGAAATTTTCTTTTTTGTTACGTCTCTGCCAGGTTTTTGAATCAGGATGATGCTGGCCTCATAAAATGAATTAGGGAGGAGTCTCTCTTTTTCTATTGTTTGGAATAGTTTCAGAAGGAGTGGAACTGGCTCCTCTTTGTACTTCCAGTAGAATTCAACTGTGAATCCATCTTGTCCTAGGTTTTGTTTTTTGGTTGGTAGGCTATTAATTACTGCTTCAATTTCGGAACTTGTTATTGGTCTATTCAGGGATTTGACTTCTTCCTGGTTTAGTCTTGGGAGGGTATATGTATCCAGGAATTTATCAATTTCTTCTAGATTTTCTAGCTCATTTGCACAGAGGTGTTTATAGTATTCTCTGATGGTAGTTTGTATTTCTGTGGGATCATTGGTGATATCCTCTTTATCATTTTTTATTGTGTCTATTCAATTCTTCTCTCTTTCTTCTTTATTAGTCTGGCTAGTGGTCTATCTATTTTGTTAATCTTCTCAAAAAGCCAGCTTCTGGATTCATTGATTTTCCAAACCATACCATAGATCCATACCATAGAATAGATTCATGATTAATTAAACCATCACTTTTATTCAATTGAGATAAAGGGTTTATCTAAGTGAGAATATAGGAGAAGCATGTGGTCTGCTGCAAATGATCATTAAGAATCTCTGGGTTCTCCCTATTGAATAAATGTTACTGAAATAACTGGCTAGTCATATGCAGAATATTGAAACTAGACCCTCTCCTTACACCATATACGAAAATCAACTCAAGACGGATTAAAGACTTAAATGTCAAACCCCAAATTATAAAAACCCTGAAAGACAACATAGGCAATACCATCATGTACATAGGAATGGGCAAAGATTTAATGACAAAGATGCCAAAAGCAATTGTAACAAAGGCAAAAATTGACAAGTGGGATCTAACTAAACTTAAGAAGTTCTTTACAGCAAAAGAAACTATCAACAGAGTAAACAGACAACCTGCTATATGGGATAAAATATTTCTAAACTATGCAACTGACTTAAATCTAATATCCAGCATCTATAGGAACTTAAAGAAACTTACAAGAGAACACAAACAACTCCATTAAAATGTGAGCAAAGAACATGAACAGAAGCTTTTCAAAAGAAGACATGCATGTGGTCAGCAGCCACATAAAAAATAGCTCAATCTCACTGATCATTAGAGAAATGCAAATTGAAACCACAATGAGATACCAGCTCATACCAGTCAGAATGGCTATTATTATAATGCAAAGTCAAATAATAACAGATGCTGGTGACATTGTGGAGAAAAGGAAACACTTATAGACTCCAACCAGACTACTGGAGGGAGTATAAGTTAGCTCAATTATTGTGGAAAGCAGTATGGCAATTCCTCAAACAGCTAAAAGCAGAACCACAAATCGACCCAGTAATACCATTATTAAGTATATACCCAGAGGAATATCAACCATTCTATCATAAATATATATGCATGTGAATGTTCATTGCAGAACTATTCATAATAGCAAAGACATGGAATCAGCCTAAATGCCCAGGAATGACAGATTGAAATAAAGAACTGTGGCACATATACACCATGGAATACTATGCAGCAACAAAAAAGAATGATATCATGTCTTTTGTGGGAACATGGATGGAGCTGGAGGCTGTTATCTTTAGGAAACTAATGCAAAAACAGAAAATCAAATACTGCATGTTTTCCCTTATAAATGAGAGCTAAATGATGAGAACTTCTGAACACAAAGAAGGTAACAACATACACTAGAGTCTACTGAGGGTGGAGGGTGGGAGGAAGGAGAGCAGTAGAGAAGATAACTATCAGGTGCTGGGCTTAATACCTGGGTGATGAAATGATCTGTACAACAACCCCCCATGGCACGAGTTTACATGTGTAACAAACCTTCACATGTACTCCTCGAACCTAAAATAAAAGTTGAAAAAAAAAAACAAAACAGAATGTATGTGTGTATGTGCATGTGGATATGTCTGTAAAAGCTAATAATATATGTGTCTTACATACTGTAGTGCTAACATAAATAAAGTGAAAAGTCAAGGGCTTAAAATTTCAGCTGAGGTTACATTAAAAAGAAAACAAAAAAGGACTTCTGGTTTTGCCAACACTGGACGCCTTATTACTTCCAGGTCCCCTTTCTTACATCTGAAATTCCACGAATAGCACAATAACAAGCAGAAGAATACTCTGAGAGTTGGAATAAAAAGGCATATTACCCAAATAACCCAGAACTTGAGGAATGACATGGTGATGTGTCCTCTTATTCCTTGTTCTGTCTTGTATATCCTGGACAGGGTGCTTTAAAAGCTTCCAGCACAAAACTGCCAACACACGCAGACAACAAAATCTCCAAGAAAAGCCTTCTCAAATCAAAACAGACTTAAATAAATGGAGACACATACCATGTTCATGGATTAGAAGACTTAATGTAGTAAATACATAAATTCTTCTCTAAATTGATCTCTAGGTTTAATTCAATTCATATGAAAATCCCAGCATTTTTGGTAGGTTTAGAGTAGCTTATTCTAAAGTCTATGTGGAAAGATTCAGGTCCTAGCATGCTTAAAAGAATCTTTAAAAAAGGATAAAGTGATAGACTGGTATGGTTGTCTATGTCTGTAGTCAGTTACTCAGGAGGCTGAGATTGAAGGATTGCTTGAGCCCAGGAGTTTGACCCTAGAATTTTGAGGTTACAATAAACTATGATTTTGCCTCTGCATCCCAACCTAGATGACACAAAGAGACTCTGTCTCTAAAATTACTACTTCTACTACTACTAATAATAAAAAGGATAACGTTGGAGAAATAAGAGGCATTACTAATTATTAAATTATTATATCCAATATTAAAGTCTCCCAGATAGCTACAGTAATCAAGGAAGTGTCCAGAGGGTGGCCTTTTCATAGAAGTATAGACAAGTAGATTAATGGAACAGAAGAGAAAACCCTAATATATTCACATACAAGAAGGTCCAATTAGATTTTGATGAAAGCACAAAAGGCATTCAATAGAGGAAGGATAGTCTTTTTAACAAATGATGTTGAAACAATGGGACATGAACAGGCTGAAAATAGAAACCTAACTTAAACCTCATATCTTAAATAAGAATAACTCAAAATGAATCACAGACTTAAATGAAATATTATAATACTTTAATAAAACAATCATTGGAGAAAATCTATGGTATCTCAGCTAGGAAAATCATTCTTTGACATGACAACAAAAGCATAGCTTATAAAAGGAAAAAGTGATAAAATAACATACTTTAAATCTCCTGTGCAGAATAATTTTAATTAACATGTGGAGATAGTCTACCATCAGGAAGGTTGAACGTAACTCTTCACTCCTTAAGTGCGGGCTGCACGTAGTGACTTCCTTTGTGAGTGAGGAGAGTAACTTTATAATAGGGAAACCCAATAAACACCAACTGAGCCTGATGACCAAGGTTCATATTGACTTTGGTCAGCCGTATTGATCATATTTACTCATGATATGATGTGATATGAAAACAACACTTTATTTCTGTGGTCTTCCCCTCCAAAACACACAAACAGAACATAAGATGCAAAAAAAACCCACATCGAATCTCAATTAAGGGATCATAATACCTGACTAGAATTCTTCAAACTACCATAGTCATCAAAAACAGGTAAAGTCTGGCTGGGGTGCAGTGGCTCACACCAGTAATCCCAGCATTTGGGAGCACAAGACAAGAGGATCACTTGAACTCAAGAGTTCAAGAGCAGCCTGGGCAATATAGTAAGACCCCCATCTCTACAAAAATATAAAAATTAGCAGAGCATGGTGGTGTGGGCCTGTATTTCCAGGTATTCAGGAGGCTAAGGTGGGAGGATCGCTTGAATCCTGGGGGCAAAGTTTACAGTGAACCAACAATGCCACTGCACTTCAGCCTGGGTGACAGATAGAGACTCTTTCTCAAATAAATAAATAAATACAAAAACAAGGAAAGTCTAACTGTCATAGTCAACAAGAAGCTAAAGAGACATGAGTACAAAATAAAATGTGGCATCAGAATGGGATTCTGGAAGAGAAAAAGGACATAAGGTAAATATTAAGGACATTTGAATAGAGTACAAGTGCTAGTTGATAATAATGTATTAGTATTGGTTCATTAATTACAACGGATATACCATAGTAAAGTGAGGTGTCAATATCAGGGCAGAAATGGGTACAGAAAATATGTACCACTATTACAATTTTCCTCTGAACTCAAAGCTGTTCTACATTTTTAATGTTTATTAAATGAAAAAAAATAACAGTTTTGATCTTGAAAAGGTTCTGGGAAAAGGATGAAAAGACACATTACAGATTGAAAGAAAATATTTGCAAGCCACATAGCCAACAAAGTACTAGTATCTGGAATGTATACAGCCGTCTTAAAACCTAACAGTGAAGGCCGAGCATGATGGCTCATGCCTGTAATCCCAGCACTTTGGGAGGCTGAGGCAGGCAGATCACGAGGTCAAGAGATTGAGACCATCCTGGCCAACATAGTGAAATCCCGTCTCTACTAAAAATACAAAAATTAGCTGAACTTGGTGGTATGTGCCTGTAGTCCCAGCTCCTTGGGAGGGTGAGGCAGGAGAATTGCTTGAACCTGGGAGGCAGAGGTTGCAGTGAGCCGAGATCATGCCACTACACCACTCTGGTCTGGCAACAGAGTGAAACTCCATCTCAAAAAAAAAAAAAACACTTATCAGTGAAAAAAAAAATCAATCCAATTAGAATATGCACAAAAGACATGAATAGGCATTTTGCCAAAGATGTAATTACAGATGGCACATAAGTACATAGGAAGATATTCAGCATCATTAGCCACCAGAGAAATGCAAATTGAAACCGCAATGGGATATCACACATACATATCTGAATAGCTAAAAAAAAAAATAAAAAGCGGCAACCACAAATACTAGCCAGATTGTAGAGAAACTGGGTCATTCATAGATTACAGATGGAAATGTAAAATGGTCAGCCACTCTGGAAAACAGTTTAGCAATTTCTTATAAAACTAAACATCTAATTACCATGCAATGCAATAAAAGCTAAAGGTATCTTTGGACATTTATTCCAGAAAAACAAAAATATACCATCACACAAAAACTTGTACATAAGTGTTCAAAGGAAATTGTTTGTGGCTATCAGAGAGCAAATGAGGGATTCTTATGGTGATGGAGCTGTTCTGTATCTAAACTGTGTTAATGTCAATATTGTTCTTGTGATCTATCATTTTACAAAATATTACCTTTCAGAAAACTGTTTATATGTAATCTTTTTATTATTTCTTAACAACTGCTGTGAATCTACAATTGTCTCAATTAAAAAGTTTAATTGTGCTTATATTGTGGTCCTAAAACAACTTTTTTTTTTTAATCAGGTGGCACTTTGTCACCCAGGCTGGAGCACAGTGGCATGATCTCAGCTCAGTGCAGCCTCAACCTCCCAGGTTCAAGTAGTCTCCCATCTCAGCCTCCTGAGTAGCTGGGACTACAGGCATGCACCACCACGCCCAACTAGTTTTTGTGTCTTTTGTAGAGACAGGGTTTCACCATATTGCCCAGGCTGTTCTCAAACTCCTGAGCTCAAGCAATCCACCTGCCTTGTCCTCCCAAAGTCCTAGGATTACAGGTGTAAGCCACCATGCCCAGCCTGAAAATCACACTTAATATTTAATTGTACTGTTTGCAGTACTACGATAAAAATAATTTACAGATTCATCAACATTTTCTTGTGTCTCTATCCTAAATATGACATTCATGTACATTTCAGATTTAACTTCTTTCTCATCCAATTAGTTGCCAAACTCTATCATTAATTTAATCAGTCCCTACTATATTCTTGACATAAGTCTTTTGCAAATACTGCTGAACCACGCTTTACTTATATTTTTCCTGATCTGTTTTAATTGTCAATTAATTGTTCTACAAATGCCTTTCTTCCCTTTTACTTTTAATTATATTTATCAATGAAAATCTACCCAAACTCCCTAGAGGGTATATACATTCTGGGCCATAAAAAATATCAACATAGACAAAGACCCAGCTAAGAGACAGGACTATAAGGTGTCATAAAGGCTATCTGACTTGTAACACTTCTATATCTGAAGGAGTGAAAACCTCTAAGTAAACAGAAACATACAACACAGTTGTCTCATTGTTTTGTGTGGAACAGCCATTATCTCTCGAGTTAATAGTATAGCATTAATCCTAGTGAAGATTATATTTACAGTGCTATTATGCATATAACATAAATATTCTGAGATAAATAATAATTGCCTCTTCCCTCTGGCCTCTGATATTGAATATACGCATTCTCTGCTTCACTGACCCATACTGACGGTATCGCCAAACATCTTGATTTGGTAAAAGAGCTGGAAGCAGAGACAGCTTGATGTCGATTTGCTGTTAATGAAGAAAGTGTGAAGGCTAGACTGACATCTACTTACCCAGGGTCCACTTTAATTTAGAAAAATGCAGTCAGGTTGGAATGGAAAGAAACAATATGACTTGTTAATTTCCATTTTCCTATCCTGGGTAGGGAATAAAGAGGTAAATGGAGCTGCTGGTTCATCACAAAGTGCCACTCTGCCTTACTCTGATATGGAGGCATTGGATATTGAAATTCATAGCACTGTAGGCACTGCCCTCTGCTCTGGAAGAGGTCACCCTTATTGTGTTTTTATTATTGGATTGTCTTATATGTCCAGCCTGCACAATTTGAGAAAACTCTGTATTCCATTGAGAGGAGACTTGCATTACACATGGGCAGGCAGCCCAGAGCATTAATTGTATACATATCATTGTATTTCAAAAATAAATCTTTCTCATGTTTTTCCCTTGCTTTCTTGCTCTTGTGCCTTTTCCTTGCCCCTTGAATTAATTTTTCCCATAAACTCACAGAAGCCAGCTGAAATTACAGAGGCAGGTTAGGAACCTGACAATCTTAAATATTCCCTTTAGGTGTTCTGTTCACAAACCTGTCACAGATACTGTTCTTTGCCTGGGGGCACATGTTTCTTGCAGTCTCCAAGAGCACTCTATGTTTTGTAGGCACACAGAAACACACACTTCCTGTGTGCAGTACATGTAGTGATTAACAGACTATGAAGTCAAAATCAACTAGAATAAAAATTCTACTTCATCACCCAACCAGCTTACCTAACCTCATAATAGTCATACAAGCCTCCACTTTTCTCACCTGTAAATTCTAAAATGTCCCAGAGGGATGCGATACAGTTAAGAGAATATAATGAATGTTAATAAATTATCACAGTGACTGGACCTACAGTATATGCTAGATATAATATTTTTAGAGATAATCTCAGGGCTAGAACAGGCTTTAAGAATAATCTGTTTACAATATTCTTCTAAGCACTCTGATTTGAAATGGGGACATCTGGATGAACTCAGAAAAAGCCAAGGATCCCTAATCTCTAGCTTCTCATTACCTATTCCAGTCTCCCCATCTCACTATGTCTGATGTTAAAATCCATTTTGTAATATTACCACCAAATGCTGCTTTAAACACTGTTTACAAATCTCCACTGAAAGAAATCCTTCACCTGTTGAAGGAGGCTTGTCCATACTGAACAGTTTTGAGAATGCTCCTAATATCCAACCAAATCTGGACCCAGTATATTTCACTCACTGATGCTAATTTTACCACTGGGTTTAGAAATAACAAATTTAATTTCTCTTCCCATTTTACTGCTCTATGGAAATTTGAAAACACCTACCATAACCTCCCTAGACTTCTTTGCGTTAAGGTTATGGTATAATCAAAGTGTCAATCCATGAAACCCAACGTTTTTTTATCTACCCAATTGAAATGCTCTTGCCAAATACTTCCTCATCTGGAGTCTCAGTTGTCTGTGTCCTTTCTGTCCTCTAACAAGTAATCCTCTTTGGAATTTTCCCTTTCCATGTTCTAATTACTCCTTTCCTTGGCAAGTAAAGACCTACATTAATTTGGGAGGGAATGGGGCATTTTTTGTAGCTGTCTAGGCTGCTATAAAAGAATTTCCACATTTTTTCAGCTATTTTCTATCTCCGTAATCATAATGTAGGATACTAAAGACAAAGACCATTGCTATTAATATGAGAATCTAAGATTTTATACTTGGAACTGGGTGGGGGTAAAAATCATTGAGAGAACACTTGGCTGAAATTCCTGTTGTCATAACCATTTTACAGATTAGGCAGTTGAAGCACCAGGAGCTTAACTGACTTCCACAAATTCATGTAATCCTATTAGCCTCCCTCCTACTGTTCAAGGGCTCCTTATAACAAGATTTCCCATAAATTTGGTACAGATCTCTCAAGCCAGACCTAGATATTTTGCTATTTTACCTGAATCACTTTTGGGAGGTAATATTTAAAACTCAGATTTTACATTAAAGTTATAGACTTCTGGCTTCTTTTAAAATGTAAGATTTCTGCATTTCTGGGTCGACATTCTCACTTTCCATGGAACTCAATGGTGCCTGCACCATGTAGAAGGGATCATTCTCTCCACTTAACTTGGCTTGGCTTTGCATATATATACATTTACCATGTTGCTTTTGTATTGTATCACATAGTCTTGTAAGCATTTTCATATATTCTTTTTTTATTTGAGGCCATCATAACACTGTAATATCACATGTATATTTTAGCTATAGACAGATAAGATAACTGAGTCCTCTAATGTGTCAGACGGGGTAGTATGGTGCAGAGATTTTAGAGTAAAAGTTCATAATACATGTTAGCCATAAACATTTCTTGCAGAGTAGGAGGCAGAAAAGCCAGGTCTTCTGGAATCTAACACAGGGCTCCTACCATGGTAAGGCTTGCCACGCCCACTTTGTCTCATGTACCTCTCTTGACTTCAGTTTCTGGAATTGCTAAAAATGAAAGCCTCACAGAGCTGCTAATGAACACTCTCTCATGGTCAAGAACTGGATGAGTTACTGAAACATCTCAATATGCTGCTCAACCCAGCTCACTCAAATAGTCCTATATAGAAAACACGAACCATGTCCTGTGTGCGAGGTGGCTTCTGAATCATGCGCTCAGGCTGGATCCTGAGTGGACTAAATATTTTTGCAACCTATTAAAACTGATGGATGTGTGTGTGTGTGTGTGTGTGTGTGTGTATCACACACACAATGATATGATCAGAGTTCATATTTTACTTGGTAAATCACTGACTAAAGGATTGTAATTGAGGACCTTTTTCTATCTTGCAAAGAGCCTGACAAAAAAACTAATTGATGACTCAAATGCCTGGCATTATCCCTAAGAATCATCAGAATTTTCCTGTGCCAAAACCCTAGGCCTCTCATTCATCCCCAAGTCACACAGGTTCTGAAAACTTCACGTTTTCAATCATTTTCTCTAATTTCTCTGGTTTGGGACTTTTCTTCCAATGTGTTATGGCAGATATTTGGCAGCTCTGTGGCCAAATGCAAAAATCAGAAATTGAGGCTAAGAGGAAGAAACGTTCTTATTCTTTGTAAAGGTGTTTTCTTGTGCCCAAGGAGACTTTTTAATAGAATTGGCTAAAGCATCCATGGAAGTATCACCTGGCTATCCTAAGGTTTATTGGTAAAAACAAATATCCAAATGGTGATTTGGAACCAACCCAAAATGTAATAACTTGCAATATCTGGGGGTGTAACCCATGAATTTGCTTTTCTAACAAGCATTTCTAATTATAAAAACCTGAGCCCAGGGCCTCAAGAATTATGCTAAAAACTTAAAAATTATAGAGTAATCAATTTAAGAAAGAGAATACAAAAATAATTTACAATACCCTAGAACTGAAAATCACAAAATAAAATTAGATTGAGATACTAGTTGCAAGATTTTGTGAACATATTTAAAAAATTGCATTTTACCTTTGAAATCAGTAGTAAGATTTATGGTATAAAAATTATATATTAAAGCCATTAAAATAAATTTTAAAAAATAATATGAGAGGTCACAATCTAATTGGCCTAATTCTTCATGTAACCACTAACAGGGGACGGATATGGTAATAATAACTTCTCAAAATTTTTGTAGGCATTCATTCTTCTCTGGGTTTACGACAATAGACAAAAATGTCTTGTCTATATTCATTCAAAGGGGAACTCAATTTTTTGTTCCTTTTGTATCTTGTGCCCCATTAAATTTCTCATTTTGCGATCCCTGAGATTATACAGACTCAGATATTGTTCAGATGCTTTGAGATTTGTAAGCAATAAGTATGGAAAACATAGCAGAAGAAAATATAGAGAATGAATGTAGTTTCCCAAATCATGAGACAATGCCTAGTGTCCTCAGTCTATGCTGTCATATGGCCTCCTGGAGTTTTGTGTTTGGAAGGTAGCTGTTTCAGCTGCTTGTGCATAAAGGTGTGTATGTCTGTGTGTTTGTGCGCCTTTTTACTTATGAATCACATGTAGATACAGTGAACATTAGACAAAAATTCCTTCTTTTCCTTCTAAAATTTTTATGGATACAGAAGAGTCATACCTATTTATGGGATACATGTGATATTTTGATATTTTGTAAGTCACTGCTTAGGAAACAGCTGCACGATATTAAAAATATGAGGTAATTAGGTCCAGAATATTTTTAGTTAAAAAAAGTCAGTTGGGTATGTGGATATTGAAGCAAAATTGATGTTTGGTGGTTTTCCTAACCCTAACACTGTTTTTTTCTTGATAACCTCTCATTACAGACCCAATTTTATCATTAAAATTAATCATTTTGTCATGATTTAGCCATGGGATCTTTGAAAACACATTTTATAGATTGTATAGTGTCATCCGAATATAAGGTATTTGTCATAGTTTGTTCAGGCTGATATAAAATAAAATATATTAAACTAGGTAACCTGTAAATAGCAAAAACTTATTCCTCAAGGTTCTGGAGCTGGGAAGTTCAAGATCAAGGTGATGTTAGTGTCTGTGAAGGCATGCTTCCTCATAGATGGCACCTTTTGGCTGTGCCCTCACACGGTGGAAGGGGCAAGATAGCTCTCTGGGACCTCCTTCAAAAAGGCACTAATCCCCTTCATGAGAGCTTCACCCTCATGACCTAATCACCTCTCAGAAGGCCCTGTCTCCTAATATTATCGTCTTGGGGGTTAATATTCCAATGTATGAATTTTGAGGAAATGCAAACATTTGGAATATAGCAGTATTATTGTTGCCTTAGGAAGAGTTAGCCAATCAGTTTTTTTTTTTTTTTTTTGAGATGGGATCTCGCCTTGTCACCCAGGCAGAGTGCAGTGGTGTGATCTTGGCTCACTGCAAGCTCCGCCTTCCAGATTCAGGCCATTTTCCTGCCTCAGCCTCCCAAGTAGGTGGGACTACAGGTGCCCACCACCACGCCTGGCTAATTTTTTTCGTATTTTTAGTAGAGACGGGGTTTCACCGTGTTAGCCAGGATGGTCTTGGTCTCCTGACCTCGCAATCTGCCCACCTCGGCCTCCCAAAGTGCTGGGATTACAGGCGTGAGCCACCACACCTGGCCCCAATCCGTTTTTAATCATTTTTAGCCTTCTAATATAAATTTCTTTTTTCCCCAACTATTTGAGGTACAAATTCCTCTGAGAAAGAAAAGGTTTGAGGTAAAGTAGTTTCTATTTTAGGATAAAGAGTACAGGAGGACAGGTGGGCTTTTGGTGGTGATGAGAAGGAAGAGAGAGAACTATTCTTTTTCTTTTTTGATCTATTAATTCCGATGTCTGTGGTTACCAGACTGCAGCTGTCAGAAAAAAATAGGCAACTGTAATTGTCTTGAATTTTGGAGAAACATGGATTGAAGATGTAGTGCAGAAATTATTTATATTTGAATAGTAAGAGAAGCCAAGATATAAACACATAGAAGAGTATTGCATTTTTTCTTGGTGACATGGCTAGTAAGTGATAAATCCAAAACATAGACCCAAGTCCTCCTGCCTTAACTCAACACTCCTTTCTTTAAATTGACCTCTCTTTCTGCATTAAAAATATTTGATCAGTGCCCACCATCTATACAACATGCATAAAGCTTCATGAGCATAGAAAACAAGAAAAAGCATGAACCCTTGATAAGAGTGCAGGCACAGAGGCTATCTTTTATTACATATCAAGAATCCCTCTCTTATTGCTATGTCCTTCCCTCGTTTAGATCTCCACTGGGCCATTTTGTGGACCATTAGATGCTTGATATAATCGGAAGCCCCAACTTTAGTCCCTTCATTGAAATTCATGATCAGCATATTCATGCTAGAATTACCTTCCAAAGTTGTTTCTCCTATGGACTACGGACGATGTCTCCCTTTTACCCACAGGATAAAAATCTATTCAACTCTAATTGAAGCCTTCTTTGTCTGACATTCCACATTGGCCACTCTTACTTCTGTCTTTTTCCCAGGTTGAAGTTTCTGATAGACCCAAACTGACCTCTCCCATTTCACCATTCAAGATTCTGCATCAGTAGACATATAGTCCAGGCTTATAAGCAAAATTTATTCCATTTTTCTACCCACCTAAATTGCATTTATTTAAAAGATTCACTTAAATGCCATGTCCCTTGAGAAAATCTCCTTTAGAATCACAGCCTGTGCTTAGCTCTGTATAACTACTGTCTACAATTTATCTAGTTCAGAATATGTTGTTAGATATTTTTTGAATATATATTATTAGGGCAACCAGAGGATGAGAAGGTCTTCGAGATAAGATATCTGCTTTATATATCTGTGTTTGACCGGTTATATGATTAAAACAAATATAGAAAATTAATGAGAACAATGACAGAATTGAATATAAGTTTCATAGGTAATTAAAACAATAAGCATTTCTTGATGATCTGCTGTGTGGTATCATAGGTAGAGTCTCAGGTTTAGGCATTGGGACACTTGGCCTAAAACCTAAAAATTGCTGGGAAGAGCAAACATTTCGAGCATCAGCTTCATATTACACATTAAGGCCACTTGTCCCTAGTTATAGGAGAAATTGAGTAAGTAAAATAATTAAAACTTCTGTACTTTCTTACACGACATTCTGTTTGAGTCCAGAAAACTGCAGGCCTGTTAAAAAGTTTATTTTCTTCAGCCATTCCACACTGTAGCTGGGGGCTTTAAGAAGCCTCTAATCTTAGCAAACATTCATTAAAATAAAAGGCCACCTGGAGACCCTGGAGAAGAACTCTGTCAGGAAGCCAATTAGCTTAAGTCCACCCCTGACTCTGACTGCTCAGTAATTATTCTAGGGCTATTTCTCTATTCCCTTTTTATTATTATAACCTGTAATTAGTTACTGTGCCATATAATTTCCATAGCCACAGGAAATATTTAACTGTAGCATCAGGGGCACCTGGGAAAATGATTAATTCTAGAGAGAGTGTAGTTTGGGTGACTAGAGCACATCAGGACAGAATCTCCTAATTGAGACAAGTCACCAATTTGAGGATCAAAGTAAAACTTCCTGCTATCATGCCATACCAAATGCCCTCCCCCATGGCTGTGTGATCCAGCTGAGAACAGCATGGGCTCCTGAAAGAAGTCCCACAGCCACATCTGGTTTTGAGGTTGTAACCAGACTGTGATCTTGGTTCTGAAAGGAATTCAATCCTCTTCTCTCCACCAAATAATAGAACACATTTCAGTATCTTATTCAAATTATGAAACATAAAACCCAACTTTGGTCAAATGATGAAGTTTGACCTAATTTGACATCTCATTCTCGGTACCCATCAGAGACACGCCCTCTCTCTCTCTCCTCATCCTACACCTGCTCTTAGCTCTTCCATATATTCCAAAATGTCAATGACTAAGTTACTTCTACCCTGTGTGTGTGTGTGTGTGTGTGTGTATCTTGCTATTCATCTCTACTTTTTATTGAATCTCCACTATTTTAGTATGCAGCAGAGTGCTTTAAAAATATTTAGATCAAACCACAAAAGGCTGCTGCCCTCAAGAAGTATTCAGGTAAGTAGGAGGAAGGTAAAGCCAATATTTGTGACTTATTTCTATGCAACGGATGAGGCAGTTTGTGTGCCTTATGTTGTTTAACAGATGACATGAAGTCAGTGTTAGTATTTCCATTTATAAAATAAGAACACTGAGATCTGGAGGGGTTAAACACATATTGAAAATTCATAGATGTATCAATGTTTGAGCTTCAGTTTCACTCCAGGGTGGCCTGCCTCCAGAATCTATGTTCATTTTTACTACAATGTTTGTTTGTAATAACTGCAACACAGGATAGAAAAGAACACATAGAGAGATGAGATTTCAAACTAGAAACTATCCAGATGCTGCCTTTGATTGAAACTCTTTTCCTGTGCCTAGCATAGAATCTACAATAAAATTGAATATATATATATATATATATATATATATATATATATATATATATATATATATGTGAAGAAAATATACAGGGGAAGAAGTGCTTTGTGTCCAGAAAACAGATCAACTAAAATCATGCATTCCAGGGGCCATAGGCATGCAAGGCCCTGAAGATTAATAACTGACCCTGAAGATTTCCTACCACGTTAATTCCCAGATACATAGAGTTTCTCTCACTTGAGGAAGTCTCCTCATGTATGCAAATGATGTGTATGAATAAAGAAAATTACCCACCATGTTTGTGGACCACACAAATCATAATGGTGGGTCAGGCTCAGGTAGAAAGAACATACCCATAGGTCTGTGCAGGAGGGTGCCTGACACAGTTTAAAGAAGGGAAAGATACAGATTGGAAGGGGAGAGTAGGGGACATTTTACACATACAAAAGAGGACAGTTTAAATAAAATTATATAAGTAACAATGTATGTGTCTCTTTACCTACAAAGAATTTGAACCAATTAGAGTTGTAGTAGATTCTGCTCAATACCGCATTTTTTAAATAATTATATCCCATATTATTTTCTTGAATGGGTATATTACTCAGATTCCAGCTCTTTTGCCTCATAAGTTAGTTATTATCTGCCTTACTAATTTACTTTTGATGTTACACTTAGTTTTGCAGTTAAGAGATGTGGATTTTGAAATAAACTTAAACATTTAAACAAAATTATGTGAGATCACAACCTTGTTCTCAATTTGTCTCTCCAGTCATTCTTAACTTCTTTTTATCTCCAAAACCTTGAATCTCTCTCATAGCACAATGTCTTTATGCATGACTTTGTCTCTCAATGGCATGTTTTATCTACTTTTTTTCCTCGCTAAGTCACTGAGACCTTCATGCTGGAAAGCGTCTATGATTCTCTGGAGTGAGGCTGTCTTAGATGCTGCTTGTCTGTGCTCCTCCTGGGTATGTATATATGTGTGCATGCTACACTCATTGGTTTCTCTGCCTCAGACTATTTTCAGATGGAGTGCTTCTATACAGTGACCCATGCTTTACCATCCCTTAAGAAGAATAATTTTTCTAATAGTTTCAAATAAGATATTTTTGAAGAGAAAGGTGTGCGTGTGTGTGTGTGTAGAGGGCCCCACGGGGACATTTATTTGCTTTTATTAAGGAAAGAGAAAGGCCAAGCAATTAAAGGTGATTGGATACATTGATTGCCAAAAACCTTGGAAATATAAAACTTGACAACCCTTCTATCTACCCTAAGGTGGATATAAACATCCACCACCAAAGAATAGGGCTGCCCTCCTGCACAGAGCAGAGAATTTGGTTGTGTTTGTTTCTGGTGTGTGTGTGTGTGTTTTCTTTGGTTTGGTTTGGTTGGTTTGGTAAGGAAAGGGATCTTTACTGAAGTATTAGGGGTTGGGAGAAAATAAATTAAATCTTACGCTTCTTTTTGATGGATAAGGCAGCTCCAAGAAAAGAACTAGTCCTTCCCGAACCACTGTGTCCTAGAAATTGTGCCAGAAACGTCATGCATATTATCTCATTTAATGATCTCTACAACCCTGGGCTCTCACCGTCTCAATTTTATGGATGAGTAAACAATCTTACAAAGACTATACAACTTGCTAGAGTCACCCAGTTGGTTAAAAGTGGTCACAGGATTTAAACCTTGGTCTCTGGCACTCCAAAGCCCTTGCTTACTAGAACATGGGGGTTACTATCTTTGTCTTCTACTTCAGTTACAGTTAAAGTTATACTTAGAAATTTTGGATGTTTTTATTTGGTACTTAGGCCTCATTCTCTTTTCTGCCAGTTAGTCATAAGACATCTTCTTTTTAAAAACATTGTGCAGAAATGACTTAGTTTCTGGCAATAGAGCCTTATTCCCAGGAGTCACATTATCTTTCAGGTGAAGCAGCAGAACAAATTACTGGAATTAAGGAGCACAGTTCTTACCTTTCCAAAGAGGATGCATATTAGAAATGATGGAAGTAGCCAGACACTACGCTATCACTAACAGTAACATATGAATTTGAAGAATTATTTTTGTGATCTGTTGCCTATTTGTGTGAATTACTGACTAGTATGTGAATTCTCTAGCAAATAGAGTAAGGATAAACATAGTGAGGTTTGACCTCACAGGGCAAAAACAGAAATGGTGATTTAAAGTTCTAATAAAAATAAATCAACTTGAGCTAGATTCTCAAGAGAAAATTTATGTGAGTGAGTGGAGACATAGCTGATGGAAGATCTCCTCCTCCTGGCTCCTATTCTAATTTCCATTTCTGATTTTGGCCCTTAGACTAACATAAAAAACTGGCAAAAGAGAAATGAAATTATACATTATAATTATATAGACAAATGACATTTACAAAACAGGTAAACACCTGCAGTGAAACTGTGTTTGAAATTATCTAATAAGAAAGAGAAATAAATAGAGCACTCCCCTATTTCCAGATCCCCTCTATACCAACATGATAGCACAGTTTATTGGATGGTTCCATTATCAGAAATGAACATGGGCCTTCAATGTCTTGCCTACTTGTTTTTGTGTTCTCAAAAAGGTAATCTTCTAAATGTGATTATGAAAAATAATTGCAACAACAATTGTCCCTTGGTGTGTGTAAATTCAGTTTTATCTGCCATTGAACCTACCAGTCACTGTTTAAGAATATCAACAGCAGCTACCAAATAGAATCATTGCAGAGATTAAATGAGACAGTGTAGGCAAAATGCAAAGTCAGTATTTGAATATGTTAGTATCAGTACTCAGGAGTCTGAAAGAGCAGTTTATGAACTGGTAACTGTCCCTACCTGGCTATTTTACATCTTTATCTCAATTAGTGACATTATAGAACAGCAAAGGATTTAGGGATGTTTTGTAACCAAGAACAATTACTTCATTTCTTCAAGCCTGTTTCCTCACTTATAAAGCACCTGGTTCCTAAGGCTGCTCTGAAGATTTTTTAAAAAGATAATGCATATAAACAACTCAGAACAGTACCTGTTTATAAATGCTTAATAAATGTTAAGCACTGTTACCAAGACTGAGGATTTTCAAAGGCATCCGAACAAATTCCCTTAAGTATGTCATCAGCTGTAGTCCCTGTGATTTAAGACTAGCCTGGTTGCAAGTTCCAGATCCCTCGCATTAGGCTCCATGACATATGAGATCTACAACAGGTTTTCAAATCATGTTTGTCCTTAGACATATTTTTAAAGAGGCAGGGTTGGAAAATGGACAGCACAGCCAATGCCACCATTCTTTTTCATGTTCATGGCATCATCAACACTCTTTATGAGCCTGGCCCACATCTTAGATCCCTACTCAGCACATAGAGTACCCTGATGTGAGCAAATGAGAGGAAGCCAATGATACTACTCCCATGGAAACTCATTCTGATGCTATTCTTCTGAATCACAGACCAGGGAGGGAGGTAAATTTTGTAAGAGAAATGGAGTGAAGATAGGCAGGAAAATAAGCACAACAACAACAAAAAAAATGGCTAATATTTCTTCAAGCATCTTCTAAGTCCTTTTCATCAGGAATAGAGATATATTCAGATTCTAGTGCCTGGTTCAACATAACTGAAGGGTTCCTTTGTGCAACTGGGGAGAGAAAAAGGAATAACAAGGAGAATGCCAGCTTGCACTTTAACGTGCAGCTAACAGTGCCCTTTATCAAGCTCCTTCCCTTTATATTCTACTGGCCCCTTTATTATCCTACATAACAAGTCGTTCCATGGAGTCACCTTCCTCATGTCTGCACCCCTCCGGACTCTCCGTCTAAACCAGGCCAGTCTGAAGCTTTCCTTGAGATCCAGTCTGCGCATGTTTTTATAGTGTCTGTAGCTCCCTTCAAATTACTCTACATTTCTGAGGAGACTTGAGGGAAGAGCTGCCTCTTTTAAAAGGATACTAATACTGTTCTTCCAATCTCCTCCTCATGTGCGTAATTTCCATTATATTTCTGGGACAAGAAACTTATGTAGACGTTCTGGGGTTAATCCTAGCCTACTGTTATTAGGAAGCTTATTTATGTTTTTGATGTCTGCTGAGGCCCTTATTTTATCACTGCCTTTTCAGCACACAGAATCGTTCAGGATGATAAAGGATCGTTCTAATTATAAACGCACATCTATCCCTCTTTCACCTATTACTTCAATTTTAGTAGAATATGGTACAGCTGTGAGAAATCAGAGCTTCATAGCAAAGTCTACTTTCACTTAAGATGGGATGCCAAGCAAATCTCTGCTTGCTTTCTCTTTATACGTGGAATAAAGAAAGAAAACTGTGTCATTTACTGGATACATAACAACATAAATATAATAATATTCCCTTAAGAAAATAACTTGCAGGTTACCTATCAATCAATAATTTGCCCAGTTTACATTTACATTTATTTTCTCTCTCACTTTTTTTAAAAATTTTATTTATTTATTATTATTATTTTTTGAGACAGAGTCTCACTCTGTTGCCCAGGCTGGAACGCAGTGGTGCATTCTCAGCTCACTGCTGCAGCCTCCGCCTCCTGGGTTCATGCAATTATCCTGCCTCAGCCTCCCGAGTAGCTGGGATTACAGACATGTGCCACCACACCCAGCTAATTTTTGTATTTTTTAGTAGAGACCTGGTTTCACCATGTTGGTCAGGGCTGGTCTCGAACTTCTGACCTGAAGTGACCCACCCGCCTCGGCCCCCTTAAGTGCTGAGATTACAGCGCCCCACCTCCTCTCTCACTTTCCTTCTCGCTCCTGCTCTCCCTCTTGCCCTTGCTCTTCCTCCCTTTCCCTTTCATAGAAATAACAGGAGGGGAGAGAGAGACACACACAGAGAGAAGTCAAAGGCAGACTGATGGCTGACTGATGAAGGGATAGGAGAGATGAGAGCATGTAGACAATAGAAGCAGGGTCTATCCTAAAAGCAGCAGTTGGTGAAACAACTCATAAGATAAATTATATCACAACCAGTTAAATAAATAATGACTGGTTATTGAAAAATATGCTTCTTACAGTATCTACAAAACTGTAATTTTTAAAATAAAATAAAATGAAAAAATACTGGTCTTAGATGTTAAATACTAAATATTAGCCTTTTCCTACTTTGTCTTTTACCTGACAATTTCAAAATGTAATCAGCTAGGCTAGAGTTTTGCAGGGTCTCATTAATGGAGACAAAAAATATTTCACTGAGTGAGTAATTAAAATCAAAGGAGCTTCTTCTCTATACATGTGATAAAATTAGGGTAATTCCTTCTCAATAATTCCCTCAGACCTCTCCTGGAGAGTTCCTACTCTTCAATCCTTTTGTGTCCCTTCCATTCCTTTAATTAGCCAATCTTAACCTTGTTACCAGCGACTAGACAAAGTCTAATTCAAACTATTTGTAAATTTACAAAAATCAAATAAAAGTAAATCTAAAGCATATCTCTGGAGACATGGAGTTTCTGTCTGTCTCTGAATCTTACCCTTCTGGTGGTATCAAGCTCAGTCCCAGGAACTTCAGCCCTGAACTGACCTTAAAATTTATGATCCCACACAAGAAAAGCCTATTTCAATTTCTCCAAAAAGGTCTCTACATTTCTCCCATGATAAATTCTTTCGTTCCAATCCCATTCTCCTAGCATTATTTTATGATATATATAACTCTGATAGGAAAAGTTACCATGTTGTTGGCTGTTTTCCCCACATTATTGCCCTTTCTTATGCTGTTTTGTTGTTGTTGTTGTTGTTTTATTTATTTGTTTGTTTGCCAGGAAAACTGTCTATGCCCTGCGAGGCTTCTTATAACAGATCCATGTCTCTGCATAATTTCATACAACAGTCTATATCACCCAACTTTGTATTTAATAATAGGCCATCTCATGTTATTTACTAACATTGTATGGGAGAGCGTCTTTGTTTTCCTACCAGATAGTAAACCCATCCACTCCCTCCATCCTCCTACTCAGCTTATGCATGCAATACAATGCACACTGATTACGTATGTGGACACTTAAGGATTACAAACATTTTGTGTGTGTTGCCTAGCATATTAGCTGGAGGAAAAAGTAAGGTAATACTTCTAATAACTTATTAAGAGTAGGTATGTGTATATGAAATTTAATATTAAAATGTTCAACATGGTTACTCAGCAATAAAACACAAATTAAAATCATAATGAAATATTACCTCATGCCTGCTAGGGTGGCTATTATCAAAAAGATAAACAATAACAAGTGTTGATGTGGATATAGAGAAAAGAGATCCCTTGTACACTGTTGGTGGAAATGTAAGTTAATAGTCATTATGAAGAATGGTATGGAAGCTCCTCTGAAACCTAGAACAGAACTTCCATATGATCTAGCAATCCCACTTCTGGGTATACACTCAACAGAAATGAAACCAGTATATCGAAGAGATATCTGCACCTCATATTCATTGCAGAATTATGCACAATAGTCAAGATATGAAATCAACCTAAGCATCTATTAACAAATAAATGGATAAAGACAATTATTACACACACACACACACACACACACACTCAGGATTATTACTCAGCCTTAAAAAAGAAAGAAATTTTGTTATTTGTGACAACATGGATGAACCTGGAGGATATTATGCTTAGTGAAATATGCCAGGCATACAACGATAAATACCACATAATCTCACTATATGTGGAATCTGAAAAAGCTGAATTTATAGAAGTGGAGTGGAGAACGGTGGTTGCTGAAGGCTGGGAGAGGTGAAGGTAGAGAATGGAAAGATGTTGACCAAAAGCTACAAAATTTCAGTTAAACAGAAGGAATACATTTTCAAGATCTGTTGCACAGTATGGTCACCATAGTTCATAATAATATATTGCATATTTCAAAATTGCTAAAACAATAGATTTTAAATGTTCTCGGTATAAAAAAAGATAAGTATTTGAGGTGATGGGTATGTTAATTTGCTTGATATAATCATTCAACAGTGTATACCTACATCAAAACATCCCCTTATATATCCCATAAACATACACAATCATTATTTTTTCAATTAAAAATAAAAACTTAAAAAACTCCCTAAAATGTATGTATGTATATCTATATACATACACACACATACACATACACACATATACATGTCTCGTATACATATATATGTGTAAAGTTTCCTGTGGATACACTTGATATCTGTTGTCTTTTTCTCCTACCTAAGGCTTGTAATGCCAGAGGTGTCATACAACAGGCACTCAACGGGTACGTATGACTGTTGCATTATCACAGAGTTTCTGTATTTTTGTTTTTGTCATTTTCCTCATAAGTACATGTTATGTAGAATGACTGTCAACATAAACATACCCTTTCAGAATTGAGCTTTCTACCTTAAACTTACTGAAATTTAAAGGTTTTATTTATTTTAGCATGTATAGCTCAAAGTTATAGAGAAATGTATGAAAACACATTGTATAAATACATGCAAGCTGTAGAGCACATGCTGTTTCTCTCCTGCAAGCACCCCTCTGAAATTTTTATGTCAGCAACAAGAAGCAATTTGGGAAGAGGAAAGGGAATGAAAATTTCAGAATGTGACATCTGCCCCCCTCCCCTCCTAAAAATATACCTTACCAAGGGACAACTCTTCTTTATATAATAATTGTAGCTAACATATAGTGAACAAATGTTTAAATGAGAAAAAAGAACGACCTTTAGAAAGCCATCAATGTAATAATTCACTAAGAAAAGAATCAGAGGTTATTGCCAAAACACTGGGAGACAGGAGTTGGGAAATATGATATTTACACTGGCTCAGAGATTACTACTGATGACAAAGCAGGGAAGCATATTTACAAAGAAATCCAGGGACCATCTTAGCTGAATGATCAATGTTTCGTCATCAACAGCAGAGTACATGGACCTTTCTCTTGCTGGGAAGCAATGGGAAGAACAGAGCGACACCCTGAGGAATAGCCTTGCTCTGACTCTTACCTGGATCTGATAATGGGGTAAAATTAGACAAACCAAGATTGAAGCCCATTCTATAAGATACTTGGCCTTTACCATTTAAAAATTTCAATATCATGAATGAAAAAGAAAGATGACAAATCTACTCCAGAGCACAGAGATTAACAAGCCATCATATAACTAAGATGCAAAACAGGTAGTTTACCTTCCTGAGCAAAAACTGAATGTCTCTGTGCCTGGGGAATGATGGGAGAAAACACATGCCCTATGCAGCTGCAGCACTGAAAGAAAAATCAGATACCTGATGTTTTATCAAAGAGATCTGGGTTGGGAATGGAGTGGTTATCTCAGGGACTCTGCTCTCTGTTCTCTAGACACACCTGCCTCTTTCCAGAACACAGCTGGCATGCACCTACCTCAGATCTCTTTCTTTTCCTCTGGACTATTCTTCAGGTAGGTATGAATCTCTCTTACCTCCTTTAGCCCTTTGCCCAAATCACTTTCTCTGACTACCCTATTACATCTGTACCCTGTCTTCATCCTCTATGAGCATTCTTTGTTTGATTTTTCTCCAGCATACTTTTTTCGCTAATATACTATATATTTTACTTCCTCATATTTATTTTTGTCTCCCTATGCCCAGAAAGCAAACACCGTGATGACAGGGCATTTTGTCTTTTTACTACTTTTCAGTGCTTACTATATGCCAGCATCATCTTGTATGTGACATTCCCTGCCTACGTGGAATGTGTACTGACCCTCTCACTCTACGTTCAGTGCTGCATCACCTTTAATCTATAATGGCATACTTGAGACAGAAAAATGCATGATGCCACAATGACACAAGAGTTCCGATGTCATGAATCGGTGGTGAAGGCCCAGTCCCATCAAGAGTTTATGAGAGGAGAGAGGATTCCCTTGTACAATTGGTGAGTGCAGGGTGGACACTAAGTGCTCTCTTTCAGTCTCCTGGTCTGCGTGAATGTTCACAACCCCAGAAAGAATTCCAAAAGAGCAAATATGACCTTAGAAACTTCTCTAGCTCATGGTGGCCACAGAAATTGTCATAATTCTTCCAAGGCAGGCAAATTCAGTCTTCACAACAGAAGTGTTACTTTCTCCTGCCTGACTGATTATGCTGAATGTAGGCACACACACAAAAATGCCAGAAACTAAAAATATAGGCCAAACCATTAAAAGTGAACAGTATAATTATTTTTCTAGAAGTATTTGCATGGGGGACATGTGGTCTTCTTGATATATAATATTTATGGAAGATCTTGCTGAAAAACAGAGAGAAAACCAAGATTAGATGTCAAAGTATCTTCCGAATCTATCTTCTTGCTGTAGCTACAAGATGAGATGAAAGAGCCCAGTCAATTCTATAAGACTCAGGCAAGGCTGACTGTTCACCCATGCATGGTTCCTGCTCTAGATGCTAGATCTGCTTTACGTTTGAAATTATACTGTAGACATCTTTGTCAATAAGTCATGCATTCTGAGAACTCTTTCCCTGGGGGAACTCCTTTTGTCTGGAGCCAAATATGCTTTCTTCCTCCATTTCTCTCAGAAAAAAGAAGTCACTTTCCCTTAAAAAATGACTGGTAAGGATTTAGTCTGAAACTTTAAAGTTTACTTGCCCCATAAGAATTGAGCCTCTCACTGCACACTCAGCACTGCATCACACTTAATCTCTAATAACGTATCTGAGACAGAATTAATGCATAATGCCATGATGACAGGATAGTTCTGATGCCATGAATCAATGGTGAAGGCCTGGTCCTATCAAGTTTGCAAAAGAGAGGATTCCCTTGTGCAGCTGGTGATCTGCAGAATGGACACTAAATACTCTCTTTACTCAAGCTAAAAGGACTGCAGAAGTTCTTGAAAAGATCAGTTTCCAAAACTGAATATTCTGCTACTTAGATGGAAAAGACTCCTGGACAAATTCAACAGCCCATCCCCTTTCTCTTGCTTAGGTAAATCTAGCATCATGTATTCGTTCTCTTCTGTTAGTTCCATGATAAACTGGGCATTTAGAATGCCACTTCCTGTCCCTCTGTTTCTTATTATATATAGACTCCCTAGTACTTGACACAACACATCAGCAAGATTCTGATGACCTCTGGTGGTCTCCCTCACTGCTTGAATGCACACACACAGACTGTCAAGCAATGCTAATAAATATTGATTAAGCCAGTGTAGTCCCAAGAGTGATGGTCCCAGGAGAGGAGAGGAATTAAAAAGATCCCACAGACAGCACTCAGGGGAGACATCAGCGAACCTTAAAGAAACACCTCCTACAAATCACAGCTCTGAGGCAAACACCAAAACTAATGAAGTGTTTGTAAATAGATGTGTATTTGCTGGGAGAGCAGGGTAAATGAAGTGTGAGACAAAGCAGGAGGGCTTTGCATGTGGTTTTGAGGCAAAGGGCTGGGAAGGAGGAAAACACAACCTCACAATCTTCCTTTTCTTATTTTTCATAAATCAACAGATAATGTTGTATGTTTTTATCATGTACAACATCATATTTTAATGCACTTATATGTCATGGAATGGTTCAGTCTAGCTAATTAACAAATACATTACCTTCCATAGTTATCATTTCTGTGGTAAGAGCACATAACATTTGCTCTACATTTTGCAAGAATACAATATATCATGATAAGCTTTAGTCATCCTGCTATAGAATAGATCTCTTGAAATTTATTTTTCATACGTAACTTTCATTACATATCCTTTGCCCAACATCACCCTTTTCTGTGTTAGCCATCCCAGCCTAAGTAGCAACCATCTTTCTCCTCTCTACTTCTATTTGGTCAACTTTTTTAGATTACATGTTTGAGGGAGATCATGCACTATTTGTCCTTCTGTGCCTGGCTTATTTAACTTAGCATAATGTCCTCCAGGTTCATCCATGTTGTCACAAATGGCAGGATTTTATCCTTTTTATGGCTGAGGAGTATTTCATTGTGCATACAGACCACATTTTCTTTACCAATTCACCTACCGATGCACATGTAGGTTGATTCCATATCTTGGCTATTGTGCATAGTGTTACAATAAATTCAGAAGTGCAGATATCTCTTCTACATTCTGATTTCAACTCCTTTGGATATATGCCCAGCAGTGAAATTGCTGAAACATATGGGTAGTTCTATTTTTAATTTTTTGAGGAACCACCATACTGTTCTTCATAATGGCTGTACTAATTTACATTCCCACCAGCAGTGTATATGCATTCTCTTTTCTCCACATCCTCATCAGCACTTGTTATCTTTTGTCTTTTTTGTAATGGTCGTTCTAACTGGGGTGAGATGATATCTCATTGTGGTTTTGATTTGCATTTCTCTGATGTGTTGAACATTTTTTCATATACTTCTTGGCCATTTGTTTGTCTTCTTTTGAGAAATGTCTATTCAGGGCTTTCCCACTTAAAAAATTATGTTGTTTGTCATTGAGTCATTTGAGTTCTTTACATAATTTAGAAATTAACCCCTTGTCAGATGTATCGTTTATAAATATTTTCTCTAATTCTGTTGGTTGTCCTTTGGTTTTGTCGATTGTTTCCTTTTGCTGTGCAGAATCTTTTTAGTTTAACATAATCCCATTTGTCTATTTTTGCTTTTGTTACCTTTACTTTGGGGTCTTATCCAAAAAAAAAAAAAGCCTTCCCCAGACTTATGTCATTTCTGGTATGTTTTTTTCTATTAGTTATATAGTTTTGGATCTCACATTTAAGCATTTTAATTCATTTTGGGTTAGTTTTTGTACACGGTGAGAGATAAAGATCTAATTTCATTATTCTGTATGTGAATATCGAGTTTTCTTAATGTCATTTATTGAAGAGACTCTTCTTTCTCACTCGTGTATTCTTGGCATATTTGTCAAAAATCAGCTCATAGTAAATGTGTGGATTTCTGGGCTCTCTCTTATATTCCATTGGTCTATATTTGTCTATTTTTTACTCTTGGGCTATTTTGGTGACTATAGATTTGTATTATGAGGTCACATAGGGTGATAGCTCTAGTTTTGTTTTTTGTGCTCAAGATTTCTTTGACTGTTTGGGATCTTTTGTGGTTCGAATGCAGAGAAGCTTCTCGGCTTCACTCAGGAAAGAATTCAAGAGTGAGCTTGTGGAAGAAGAATGCAGCTTTATTGAGGCAGCGGCAATGTTACAGCTCTGTGACTGCTCCTTGCAGAGCAGGGCTACTCCATAGGCAGTCTGCCTATGGGCAGTTTGCAGTCATATTTATGCCCACTTTTAATAACATGCTAATTAAGGGGTGGGATATTCAGTAAAAGCTAGACAATGAGCTGTAAATTTCAGGTGTTGCTATGGCAAAAGAAACAATAACTTCAGAGCATTGCTATGTCATTTGTGAACTATGCTGGCAGGAGTGTCTTATGGTGATGGTCAGTGAGAGCAACTGGAGGTGCTTTCAGTGCCCCTTCCCAGTCTCAGCCTGCCTTCAATCTGATCTGGAAGAGTCCTGTCTGCCTCCTACCTCACTTCCCTACAAATTTTGGGATTGATTTTCTATTTTTGTGGAGAATGTCATTGGTATTTTGATAATAATTACATTGAAACTGTAGATCACTTTGGGTAGTATGGACATTTAAAATATTAATTCTTTCATTCTGTGAACATGGGATGTATTTCCATTTTTTGTGTCTTCTTTTTGCAGAGGTTTCTGGCAACTAAAGTCTAGAGGATTAAAGCATAGATTGAATAACTGTTCTGGTTTGACAAATATCCACCCCCTACTCACTACCTCCTTTTCTGGTAATATCTCCCTGGTTTTCTACTGCTAACAGCCCATCTCTCACTCTCAAATCATGTTGAAATAGAGAGATAAGACAGTTAGATGTTGCCCCATCATCAGCTTCAAGAATTGACATATGATGCAGGAATAGCCAATCAGAGCATCACATCTGATTGGCGGAGGAGCAGACATGTGACCCAAGTCAAGACATCCTGAGTTCTTGGGATTCTTTCACAGACCTTTATTAGAACCACTGAGAAACAGTTAATCTATTTTGCTGGCTTAAGATGAATAAGATGTAAACTTTAAGTTGCAGAGGCCACTGTAAAATGGAAGCCAGCTTTATAATGAAGCCAAAACAGAATGCAGAGCAGAAAGACAGAGAGAAGCTGTTTCAATCATGACATCACTTGAGTTCAGCCTTGTCCTAAATTTTTTAATTTGATGAGTCAATAAATTTATTTTTTGCTTTAACCAGTTTGCATTAGATTTCTGTAACTGAATATATCCATACTTCTAACAAGAATTTATAGACTTTTATTATACTTTAAGTTCAGGCATACATGTGCAGAACGTGCATGTTTGTTACATAGGTATACATATGCCACGGTGGTTTGCTGCACCCATCAACCCATCATCTACATTAGGTATTTCTCCTAATGCTATCACTCCCCTCGCCCCTCTCCCCCCAACAGGCCCTGGTGTGTGATGTTTCCCCCGTGTGTCCACGTGTTCTCATTGTTCAATTCCCACTTATGAGTGAGAACATGTGGTGTTTGGTTTTCTGTTCCTGTGTTAGTTGGCTGAGAATGATGGTTTCCAGCTTCATCCATGTCTCTGCAAAGGACTTGAACTCATCCTTTTTATGGCTGCATAGTATTATAGGTGTATATGTGCCATGTTTTCTTTATCCAGTCTATCATTGATGAGCATTTGGGTTGGTTCCAAGTCTTTGCTATTATGAATAGTGCTGCAATAAACATACATGTGCATGTGTCTTTATTGTAGAATGATATATACTTCTCTGGATATATACCCAGTAATGAGATTGCTGGGTCAAATGGTATTTCTGGTTCTAGGTCCTTGAGGAATCGTCACACTGTCTTCCACAATGGTTGAACTAATTTAGACTCCCACCAACAGTGTAAAAGCATTCCTACTTTTTCACATCCTCTCCAGCATCTGTTGTTTCCAGACTTTTTAATGATCACCATTCTAACTGGCATGAGATGGTAGCTCCTTGTGGTTTTGATTTGCATTTCTCTGATGACCAGTGATGATGAGCTTTTTTCCATATGTTTGTTGGCTGCATAAATGTCTTCTTTTGAGAAGTGTCTGTTCATATTCTTCTCCCACATGTTGATGGGGTTGTTTGTTTTTTTCTTGTAAATTTGTTTAAGTTCCTTGTAGATTCTTAGATTCTGGATATTAGCTCTTTGTCAGATGGATAGATTACAAAAATTTTCTCCCATTCTGTAGGTTGCCTGTTCACTCTGATGATAATTTCTCTTGCTGTGCAGAAGCTCTTTATTTTAATTAGGTCTCATTTGTCAATTTTGGCTTTTGTTGCCATTGTTTTTGGTGTTTTAGTCATCAAGCCTTTGCTCATGCCTATGTGCTGAATGGTATTGCCTGGGTTTTCTTATAGAGTGTTTACAGTTTTTAGGTCTTATGTTTAAGTCTTTAATCCATCTTGAGTTAATTTTGTATAAGGTATAAGGAATGGGTCCAGTTTCTGCTTTCTGCACATGGCTAGCCAGTTTTCCCAACACCATTTATTAAATAGGGAATCCTTTCCCCGTTTCTTATTTTTGTCAGGTTTGTCAAAGATCAGATGGTTGTAGATGTGTGGTGTTATTTCTGAGGCCTCTGTTCTGTTCCATTGGTCTATATATTTGTTTTAGTACCAGTACCATACTGTTTTGGTTACTGTAGCCTTATAGTATAGTTTGAAGTCAGGTAGCATGATGCCTCCAGCTTTGTTCTTTTTGCTTAGGATTGTCTTTGTTATATGGGCTCTTTTTTGATTCCATATGAAATTTGAAGTAGTTTTTTCTAATTCTGTGAAGAAAGTCATTGGTAGCTTGATGGGGTTAGCATTGAATCTATAAATTATTTTGGGCAGTATGGCCATTTTCACGATATTGATTCATCCTATCCATGAGCATGAAATGTTTTTCCATTTTTTTGTGCCCTCTCTTATTTCCTTGAGCAATGGTTTGTAGTTCTCCTTAAAGAGGTCCTTCACATCCCTTTTAGGTTGTATTCTTAGGTATTTTGTTATCTTTGTAGCAATTGTGGATGGGAGTTCACTAATGATTAGGCTCTCCGTTTGTCTATTTTTGGTGTATAGGAATGCTTGTGATTTTTCCACATTGATTTTGCATCCTGAGACTTTGCTGAAGTTGCTTATCAGTTTAGGAGATTTTGGGACCTCATTCTGTCAATATCTGAACACTGGAGGGAATGTTTTCCCCTTCATGTCCTTATTTAAGTGTGAAGCATCTATTTAAAAAGTACAGAGTTTAATGTACAGTATGAGGTTAGAAAACTCCCCTTTTCTTCTCAACTGCTTAAAATTATTTACTTTGTTTGCCAGAATATCCACGTTCTATCCTTATCACCTTCCCCCAGAATCTCTAAGTTTCCCTGACCTCCAATAGCTTCCTCTCAAGATTAAGTTTCACAGCCCCACATTCTAATGCCTCAAGTTAATGAATTAAATATTTGAACTTCCACTTCTTCTCAACAACTCAGATTTTCCTCTTCCTCCAAAATAAACCTGAAAACCTGAAGTTTGAAAACTGACCTTTGCTAAATTCAAGTTTTTTAATCTCCAACTTCTCTTCTTTACAGAAGGCACTACTCTTCTTCCATATCACAGATAAAAACCTCCCTCAGTAGAATAAATAACTCATCCTTCCCAACAGAAGAGACCTGGTAAGAACTTCATGCAGTAACAATGGACGTTTGATAGATGCTTGTTTAGTTTCTGCAAATGAGAGGATGCTTCACTGGAAGACAGTTCAGTTGCTGTAAATAGAATTTTAAACATCTAATTTTAAAAGATTTTAAAATATTATGTCACCTGTAATAGGAGACATACCACACTTTTAAGCTGAAAATCATTTTACCCATTCTTCAGATACACACAATCCAAGTGAAAGGCAACAGGCATTGACCTAGTCCCTGTTCATGTGGCTCTTTATGTGAAGGGTGTATGACAGCAAGACAGAGCTGGGCAGGAAGGTTTCATATTTGGAAAGTAAGATAACCTCTCAGGTATTCTTTCAGTCTCTGAATCTAGGGGATATGCATCCCTCACTCACAATTATAGTCCAGATCAATCTTGTAGCCAATTCAAATCTCTGGCTGAGTAAAAAAGTTTTAGGACCTTCTTGAAATGTCTTTCCAGAGGTCATAAAACCCCACCAAGCAGCACCAAATCAGGCTTATTTATGTACCTCAGCTAACATTCTGGTTGCAATACTACTCTTTGTTTCCTGTTACCAAGACATTGCCCCATACTCTAGTTTCTGTAACAGAATTCTTGCATGACAACTTACTCTCCCAGAGAGAACATAGTTCTCATCTGTGTTCTCATCTGTGTTCTCATCTGTCTCTCCCGAGCTGAAGTCCCGTCCCTGAAGTCCATTCTCTGTCAGTGGTTTCTATTATCCCACCCCACATTCGGCTGACTGATGAACTTCCCAGGACAGTATTCAATAGCAGAATCTTTGAAGTCAGACCTGCGATTATATCTTGTCTCTCCAACTTGTTGCTGTGCAATCTCAGATAATTTTTTTACTTCCACTAGCCTCATTTGTAAAATAAGAAAACCTGTTTAATTTTGCAAGGATTAAAGATAATCACATTTGTAAAATGTCTTTCAGGTTACTTATATATTTGTTCATTCTCTGATTTTTTCAAAGTATTTGTGGAGCACCTATTATGTTTCAGGAATGGTTCTAGATACTAAAGGACGTAGTACAAGCTCAATAAACAGATCATCAGCATTATACTCATTGTCACCATTATCATCACATAACCACAAACACCATCAACATTTTTATTCATTCTTTTTTTAAAAATTAATTATTCCAGTCAACATTATTTAAAAGCTTTAGGCCAGCATTCACACTTAAGGAAGCGGAAGTCACTGTCTCTACATTTCAGGAACTTATAACTTTGAGGAAGAGACAAGCTGCTGTAGGAAACATAGAAATGAACCACCCTCTGGAATCCCCTCAAAGAGCAGCATACAGCACAGTCCCAAGGTCAGTAAGCAGCCTCCAGCCTTTCAGCTCCTTCAGAGCCCTCTCTAGCTGCTAAGAGTCACTTGACACTCCCTTATCAGAAGTGCTTTTCCGATGACCGGGCAAGGCGGGATATAAATGCCAAGCCATTTGACCCAACGTGGAAAAACTCTTCTCAGCAATATTTGCTCAAAAAAATCCTTGCCAAATGGAAAGAGATGTAAGAACCTGAATTGTAGCTTAATTTTTTCCTGTTATCAATTTGGCTCTCTCTCTTCTTTTCATAGTTATCATTCTTTAAAAATACCTGTCACCCCGAAGTCCATCTCAGCATGTGCCTCTGAAGAACATGTGTTCTGAAGAATACAACCTCAATACTAATTCAACTTGTTGCCTGAGAAAACAGGCAAAAACAATAGGATTTCACTGTAGATTTGTCCCTTCTCTGGGAATCAAATGCCACCACTGGGAGTAGATGAAGCACAGAAACCTCACGCAACAAAGTAGAAGATCAATTGTTACAATTTTTATGAATGGTGACTTGATGTATTGAACTGGTATACTGAAGAAAGAGGTCACACTGGTGGGCTCAGAGTCTCAGATATTTGAGATGTATGGAAGAAATGGTATATATAATGAATTTGGATGACTCTTGCTAAACAATATTAATGGTCTACAGAAAGATAATGAACAAGCAAGGAACTAACAGCCAGAAGTCTTCCTTGGTTGGAGTTAAAGAAGCTCTCATCTCCTGTATTGCATGGGCAAAGAAAGAAAAGGACCAAGATCAGGCCCTAATTTCATGGCTGAACTTCAACGACAGCTAAAATTCAACCAGGATGAGTTGGTATACTGCATTCAGGGGTTTGGTTGGAAATACCTGGGACCCAGATACATAGGATGGGAATATGTGGGGAGATGACCCTAAAGATTTGGATTTTGCAGATTCTTCTGACTACTTTTGAACCTGAAGAAATGGCACACCTTTCTTTTCAAAAACCCAGCATTCCTACTCTTCTGGAAGACAATGCAGAGGTCTCCCACAAGACAACTTGTGTACCCTCAGGACTCACTCCAATCTCCACTCTTGGCCACTAGGTCTATAATTAGAGTAATAAAATCAAGATGATGACCAGCATTAAGATGAATTTAAGAAATCAGGATCAAGCCTCATTTTATCCTGAATACTGCTCCAAGGCTCTGAAACCACAGGGCCAGTGTCTTTTTATTTTTAATTTTTAATTTCAGAGACAGAGTCTCACTCACTCTGTCACCCAGTCTGACGTACAGTGGTGCCATCATGGCTTACTGCAGCCTCGATCTTCTGGGCTTAAGCCATCATCCTGCCTCACCCTCCTGAGTAGTTGGGACAACAGGTGCATGCCACCATGCTCGGCTACTTTTTTTATTTTTTGTAGAGATGAAGTCTAACTATGTTGCGCAGGCTGGTTCTGGGATTACAGGTGTGAACCACTGCACTCAGACCAGTGTCTTCTTATACACAGTTAGTCCTAGCCAGGGGAGTTTGGTGGGGGTAGGGGGGTGTTGCATGTGTAACTGGATTGCTCTAAATAATCCAACAACAAAAAAAGGTAGGCATGACGGACCAAAGTCACAGCATACTCCAGCAGGGGACACACTGAACTGAGTAACAGAGCTAAGTGTGCCCTGGCATGTTCTTGTACCAGAGGAGTACACTGTGTCTGTATTATGAGGCGGCTTGATCAAGGAGGCTGAAACATAAATTTAAATAAGGAAGCATATATTAAATTGGCAACACCTCTCCTAGATTTAAGATTTAACATCCTGGAAAGGCCCCCAGTAAGTAATACATACTCACTAACAGAATGGCTTTTAGGAGCATAGAAAATATAACAGCCCAGGCAGAGTAATGTTGAAATGTTATACTTTTGGTGTTAGTTAGAGAAGAAAGGAAAGCAAATGCTTGGGAAAGTGAGTAGGTTGAAATGGATAAACTATTTCTAATAGCTTAGGTTCTAGGGTAAAGCCCAGACAATATTCTATTTACTAAGACCATAAGAAATGGAGTGAGAGGGACACCAGCATACCTGAAGAGTGGAGGCTCCCCTCTGTATGCCAGGAAAGACAATGATGTAGGTTGTTGCAAAACTCAACTCTCTGATAGCAATAGGGATGATAAGATGCCAGAACAGTAAAATGAAGGTGATGCCACTTAACCATGAAATCCCAGAGAGTCATAACTATCATATGGATCACCAAATTTGGGTTGGAAGCCAATGGAGTCTAACCTAGAGAAAGTTACGGAGATGCTTAATAAAACATGACAATCGTTGGGCAAAACAGATTGGCAGTTGACAAGAGTACTCTTCAGCTTTACCAGCAGCAGAAGACACGAGTAGACAAGGAAGAGGCTGAGAGTGGTTACCTCACTGAATGATCTTAAGTTCTTTTTTAGTTTTCAAACCCAAAACATCATCAACTAAGAGGTGGCTGAATTTTCAGAAGGAATAGTCTTCCAATAGTCTATGAAGCATACAGATTAATGATTTATCCAGACCTTCCGCAAAGACATTTAGTCTTTTGGGCATTTACTCTGGTGACCTTATACAGGCACATGGGAATACCTAGATATTTCAGGACCATTGGATATAGGGTTAACATTATTACCCAGATAACTAAAGCATTCTTACCCCCTTGACATCTCCGCTCCATCTAATAAATGAAGTACTGAGCGAGGTCTGGCTTAGTCTACTGTTTCCAGGGACTCACCCAGTATCATTTCCCTGAGATCATGCATACATGTACCTTTCCCTAGTATATAATGTATGGCAACTTACCAACCCTGGCTCTGAAAAGCATCTTTCAAATCTGTGAGATAAAGTCAACTACACAGATGCCCAGGAAAGCAATAATAGTCTGGATCTAAAAAGGCAAAACATGAATTAGAGTATGACATATCTACTTTGTTGAGGAGCAGGCTGAAAACATGAGAATAAAGCAGAAACAAGATAAATATTGAGATATGAAGGTATTTCATAATAGGCTATAAATTTATATGTTTTTGTTTGTACATTTTTGATGAATTTGCAGTTTTAGAGCTTTTGAAATTGAGATATAAATTTTTTATCTTTTAGCCATAGTAATTTCTTATATATTATTACGATGATTTTATACTTTCATTAATCCATGCATCATAAATAATTTAATACCTATTCAAATCATTTTGCTTATTCTATAAAGCAGAACTGCTGTTTACTGCTGATTCCAAAGATAGACTTATGGTCAGTGAGTACATGAGCCATTGAAGTTATATGGCAGGATTTATTCATGGAGCTGCTGTGGTTATCATCTCCTCTTTGGTATAATTACAATTACTGATATGGGTAGTGGAATGCTTCTGCATGTCTTAGCAGCCCTTGACTTTGCACAAGGATAGAGAAACCTGATATTGGGAGCCAACAATGTCCCCATTAGGACACACTGTTTTTTCTCATTAAGCCATGGGGAACCTGTGAAGTTGATCACTTCACCTCTTATCCCTTGACTTTTAGTCACAATTATTCCCTAAGCAGCCAAACCATGTTTGAAATCAGCAGATCAAGGTACAGAGGAGGAATTTTAGGTCCTTTTATGTATGGTCCTGTATGATCTTTCTGTTCCCTATAAAGAACACTTGAATGCATGTACAGAATGCTCGAGAGAAACAGAAAAGACACTTAAAACACTATATTAATAAGTATGCAAATTCCTAAGAGAAATGAGCTTCCATGAAACTTTCACATCTGATGTTTTTTTCTAAGAGTACAATAGTATAAGAAATAAATGATTCTGTTGAGTTGGAAGACTGGCCAGAATTTAAAGCAATAAGACCCAGAAGACCAAAACATATTGCATAATGAGAAGTGTGAACATGTAGTTCCATCCTCAAATAAGGCTTTTGGGACTGTAGAATTTCAGTTGTTCTATGGAATGGTGTGAGCCCTAATACCAAGGACCCACAGTCAAAGACGTGAGAGGAGAAAGTAAAAGGAAGTCAGATTATTTATAACATGGATAGGAAATTTGGGCACAAATGCCACTGCTATTATCTCTCACAAATGGCAGAAATCATAAATTTATCATTAAACTCTTTCTTTCTGAATACTAAGAAAGTTATAATTTTTTATTATACCTTAAGTTCTGGAATACATGTGTAGAATGTGCAGATTTGTTACATAGGTATATGTATGCCATTGTGGGTTGCTGCACCCGTCAACTCATCATCTAGGTTTTAAGCCCTGCATGCATTAGGTATTTGTCCTAATGCTCTCCCTCCTCTTGTGCTCCACCCTACGACAGGCCCCGGTGTGTGATGTTACCCTCCCTGTGTCCACGTGTTCTCATTGTTCAACTCTCACTTATGAGTGACAACATGAGTTGTTTGGTTTTCTGTTCCTGTGTTAGTTTGCTGAAAATGATGGTTTCCAGCTTCATCCATATCCCTGCAATGAACATTAATTCATTCTTGTTTATGGCTGCATAGTATTCCATGGTATGTATGTACCATATTTTCTTTATCCAGTCTATCATTGAAGGGCATTTGGGTTGGTTCCAAGTCTTTGCTATTGTAAATAGTGCTGCAGTAAACATACATGTGCGTGTGTCTTTATAGAATGATTTATAATCCTTTGGGTATATACCCATTGATGAAGAAAATTTTCTGTGAAACCACTCTCAAACCTTCACAGAAAATCTTATTTGTCATCTCTGATGATCTATAGGCATAATCAGTATTATGTCAAGTTCCTTAAATGTAATGTACCCCAATCTTTTGTGACACTATGAATAGGCAGAAAAGGGTCATTGGATAAATGACATAGAATGTTTCTGTCTCTCCATTGTTATAGTACTTTTTGTCTAACCCCCCCCATTCACCACTTTGTCATGTCATGTACTACCTTGAGCGTTTATCTTTTCCTGTAGTGATATTATCTTAGCTGAAAGTATGTTTTATAATTTATAAAACTCTTTCACATTAATTATTAATTCTGATGCTTATGACAATGCTATGATATAAGTAATGCAGGTATTTTTCCCCCACTCTAAGAAGTAAAATGTCTGGCTGAAAGATGTTAAGAATGACTACGCATTCTTATTTTTACTAACCAACCAAGATGAAAAGTTAAAACTTCAATAATAACAGTTGGTTTTTATTGGCTTTATATATAGGAAACTCTGCCTCTGATTAATATTTTTAAAAGTTAGCTAATACTAGAACTTTGTAAACCACGAGAACAAATGATCTCTAAAGTTTCTTCCAAAAACAGTACCTATAGATCTTGTGGCTAAGTCTAAAAAGGGTCTTTCTAACTTTCCTAAGGGTTTAAATCTGCTTTTTAAGAGCTGCCTGGTTTAATCTTTCAGTTCTGCCTTCAGTATTACAATATACCAAAACTCCAACAGTAGAGTAACCAGAAAATTATACCGTAATATAACATGGAAGAGAAGATTAGTTCTTGATCCTCCCGGCATTTGTTTTTGCACTTAAACAAAATTATTTGATGTTTTTAAAGTGGTCTTAAGTAGAATGGCTACAAATGCTATTAAGCATCAGAAAATTACCAGGCTTTACTAAATCTGCAGGAACAATGTCTCTCATGAATTTTGTGTCATAACAATGTGTCATTGGTGGTTACAATGACAGTAAATAATTTTAGAAAGAAACTGTGGTCAAACGTAATGCATTTTTCTCTGCCCTATGCACCATAGTTTCTTCTAGAAACAATGAACACAGAATTCTTGACTGAATAAAACATGTAAATATTTTTTCTTTCTTCTTATCTATATACTTATTTATGCATTCATGTATTTATTTTAGAGACAGGATCTTGCTCTGTCACCCAGCCTGAAGTACAGTGGCATGATCGTAGTTTACTGCTACATTCTTGAACTCCTGAGCTCAAGCAATCCTCGTGCCTTGGTCAGCTTTCTCGGTAGCTGGGACTATAGGCACAAGCCACCAAGCTTGGCTAAGTTTTACATTGTTTTTGTTGTTGTTGTTGCTGTTTTTTTTTTTTTTCATAGAGACTGTCTCACTATTCTGCCCAGGCTATTCTAAAACTTCTGGTCTTGAGCAATATTGCCTTGACCTCTCAAAGTTTTGGAATTACAGGTGTGAGCTGCCACCACACCAGATCAAATATATTCTTTGAAGGAAGAAAAATATTCAAGAAGGCAAAAAAAAAAGTTCTTAAATCTAATAGAGGAATGACCAAGAAAGTCTTTCTGTGGTTAATGCTCAGGTCTTCTTGCAATGGAAACAGAATTATAATAATATAATAATATAGATCCATGTTGTGAAACACTTTACCTCTCATATATATATATATATATGAGAGATAGAGCCCCAATTCTGTGTCTTCCACTGCGCTTGGTACATCTCATGAGATTTTCACAAATGTGATGCGGTAACTTTGAGGGATTCAAGTCACTTCCTCCACAAGTGAAGCATTTTTAGAAATCACAGTATTTTAGCTTATTTATTGATTTAACTTGTGAAATGATCTCATCACTTCCAAAGTGCAAAATAAAAATGGCATTACTATGGCACTGTAAAAAGAGTCCTGGGCTGAGTGGGGAGACTATGGGAATGAGGTAGGAATCCTTAAGAGGTGGAGCTAAATAAAACAAGTAAAACAGAGAAAATAGAAAACCTCAATGAACTTCAGGCAAAAAAGACTATTTGAATATTTGACTATTTGAATAGTCTTTTTTTGTGTTTCCTCGGGCATTTCTGGGCTGTATTATTCTCTAATGTCACAAAACACTTAAACATGGTTTTCACCTGATATTCAAGGTCCAGTGTCAACTTGATGAGAAGTCTAGAGCTGAATTATAGGACTTTTTCAAAACAACTTTTCTTTTTCATGAGTGAAGCCATAGAAGGCACATTTTACAGTATATAGAAGACTTCCAGCAGAGGAAGAACAAATTTTAACACTCAGAATCATACGCAGGGCATCCAGCTAAAAGGGAGAATGAATATCAATACTTAAAAAAACCAAGTAGAATAAATTTATCATTGCTAAATTGAAAGATTTAAGATTTAAATTAAAAAAAAAACTCAAATTCATAAGTGTAAGATAGAGGAGCTACCATTTAAAAGCAATTCACTTTGTAGAAAACTCTGAAGGGATCATTAACCTCTGGCTGATTATGAACTTGTAGTCCAACCAGAAGAATAATAAGAAAAAAAAAGTTTTATATGATTTTGATATCTTTAGCCTCATTATTCTCAGTTACATAATTCTTTTGTATCAAGTATGGTGCTATACACTTAATATAAAATATGTCATTTAGCCCACACAATTGATTTTATGACGTTAATATTACTATCCTCATTTTGCAGCCAGGATTCCAATGTAGGTCAGCTGATGCTAAGGTCCCTGCTATTAATTCTGTATTATATTGTTGCCCCATAATGTCTATCAAAGGACCATGATCTGGGAATTTCAAGTAACCTCATAGCAATAAAATAAAATAAAATAACGACCAGCATAGAGAAACAAAAATAATAAAGGAGGTTAAAAATTGGTGCATGCACAAAAAAAATTTAACATTTTTTAAACTGAATTCTTTTGAAAGGTGAATGATTCATCTAGAGAAGTTGATGTGTGAAGACTATAATAAGTAGTCATTACAGAGACATAGAGCTGTCTATGGCTTGATATGCTCTGGGAATCTGAAAAGGGATGATAGTTCTTGGCTGCAGAAAGGCAAATTTTGTCTGAGTATAAAGAAGAAGCAATAATTTCAGAAATTGTACAATATAATTTGTAGCTTTGCAAAAACGTAAACCCCCTGTAACTGGCAGTGCTTGAGAAAACTCACGAAGATGCAAGTTGAGATTCTCAGAGGAAATGACAAAACAACCAACTTCGATATAATCTATCATCTATTCCTCTTTCAACTCAACAAATCAAGGTTCTAGATAATGGTGAACTTCTTTATCAGTGTACACAGAGTCAGAAAACAATCATTTGAGGCCGTGTCAATTATTGCTGAATGAATTGATCACTATCAGCTTCTTTTTTTGTAACTGTATTTATACATTTTTATTTAGCTAATCTTTAAATAAATGTTTCCAATACAGTAGTTAATACAGTAGGGTAGCTTTAATGATTTAGCCATGCCTTTCCTCACATAACAGATTTAACTTTAACAATGTAAATGGGCATTTTTAATAATCTCTCATTTACATTTATTTACATTACACTTTATTTTTGTGGAATTTTATTGAAAATTTCTAGAATGAAATTTGCACAAGTGACTTTATTACAAAATACCAATTTTAGCCATTAGAGGCCGAATCCACATCCAGTTTCCCAAAATTTACCACTGATACTAGATAATTTATTTCCCCTAAAGGAACCTAATAGGAGTATGTCCACATCAGTTTAGTTCTTCTCCCCTTCACTGTCCAAGTTAACATTGTTTCCTGAATTCTCAGTCATGGTTTACATCACCAGATACCCAGTTTCCATCATCAGGATTCTTGGATTTGCCCTGAAACTTGTCTTCTCTTTTACTATCCTCCCCACCAATGCAACTAATCAATAATCAATAATTAAAAAGCAAATAATCAGTCATTAAATCCTGTTGGTTGTACCACAGCACTGTCTCCTGAATTTAGACACACCTTGCTTAAGCACTGTAATTTCCCTAAGCCAGGTCCTCATGGTCTCTTTCACTCTTACAGTAGTTTGCCCTCTCCTTCCTACTTCCTCCTTTAGTCCATCAAATCAGTCTAGAAAATGTTGTCTCCAGATCTATTTTTCTAAAAATAGCAACCCTTTAAGCCTACAGGCTTACTACACACATTATATTAGGCATACAAACTCAATGATCACATTTCCCCCACTGCCAGTGAAGCCTGCTCCTCCTCCCTATGCCTGCTGTGTTCCCAACTGCTATGGTCTGAATGTTGGTGTTTCCCCACATTTGTATACTGGAACCCAATACCCAATGGGATAGTATTAGGAGGTGGGGCCTTTGAGAAGTTAATAATTTATGAGGGTCCCACCCTCATGAATGGGATTTAGTGCCCTTATAAAAGAGGCTTGAGAGAGCTCCCTTTCCTCCCTTGCCATGTGAGAACACACAGAGGCATCGTCCTTGAAGAAGGCCCTCACTAGGCTGAATTGGGGCACCTTGATCTTAGACTTTCCAGCCTCTAGAACTGTAAGTAATAAAATTCTGCTGTTTATAAATCACTCAGGCTGATTTTTTTTTTTATAGCAGCCAAAGCTAACCAAGACCCCACCCAAAGATACCTGCTGGGGAGCTACTTAAAATACTAATCTTTAAACTATTATTAAAATGTATTATGAAGGAGAAATTTGTACTCCCTAGTACAAATTTTGCATCAGGGAAAATATTGTACTGATTCGAAGGAACATTTTGGTATACCACTTGAAGGTGGAATTCGACTTCTAAAAGTCAAGAATGAATCACAACTAACCATTTTTTTAAGGTGAGTGTGACTGGTTTCCTGAAAAATGTTTTGTTCTCTTGAGAGGGGATATTAGCGTAGAAGGGAACTGATCAGAAAAATAAGAGGCAGAGTAGCCTCCCAGGTGTCCTCTTTAGTGATCACTACTCCATTTGGTAAGCCATTCAATTCTAATTAAGTAAATATAAATACATATACACAGAAACAAACAATATTGGTTTAAATAATCTCTTCTTATGATCGGGTCCTTTCACCTATCTGCCTAGGTCTGGCCCTTCTCGCTTTTGCTCTGAAAGTTTTCCTACGCTCTGGATATGCTGGACACTCACATTGCTGTGCCTTTACCCACGTTGTTTTCTGTGTCATGAATGACCATCCACTTTCTCACTCCCTGTCCTCCATTCCTGAGAATATTCTCATCGTTAGTAACTGAGCTTAAAGAGTATCAGCCTTTCCTTATAGCCCCAGGTACTGAATACCTCTTTGTGTTGTATCCTCCATGTATTTGTTCACACCATTTTATTTTTATTACCTATCATTTTTAATGTTATATATATTTTTTCGCAAGTCTATTTTCAATAATAGTCTGAGTTACTCCAGAGCAAGAATTCTTCACTTATTTTCATTTTCTTAGTGCTTATCTAGTCTCTCCGCATTGTCTAAGTGATCAAATAATGTTTTTTGAATTAACTGAATTAGTTTCTGTTACTTTTTAAATTTTACAAAGGAGGTTCTAGCCTTGATTGAGTCACTGACCCATTCAGTAACTTAAAAAGTAATGAGAATGGCAGGGCATGCCCATACACATTGGAGCGCTATGTGAAAAATCAAATAAGTTAATAAATAAAAAATGATACATTATAGTAAAGCACTGTACCAACTTATGTTATCTAGCATTAAACATCATTTTATCACATAAGATTATTTGTTAAATGGAGTGGAATGAATCAGTAGTAGATCAAGATCTGTGCAAAAAAAAAAAAAAAATCACATTAATGTGAAAGTCCAAGGTGTTTAGTTACTGGTCCATGTTCCCTGACCAGAGAGTGATTGGCAAAGACTGCATCATGAAACACCTCCTCTTCTAAGGAAATCTCCAAAAGTTTAGCATTCTAAGTCAGCAAGCACATAAGTCCAGAATAGCAAAGCAATTGTCCAGCGCCTTACCAGTCTCTAAGATACTTGTGGACATGGAAAGAAATCTGGGACATGGATACTCATACTGTTGAGAATGGATAACAGCACAGAAAGAAAATTAAAATGTCATTGAGACAGACCTTGGCAGGATTCTTCAATTACAGTGCTCTCTTGATATGGAATACAAAGGGCAACCATTACAAGGTCCTAAATGATACACTCCCCACCTGCAAATGCAAGGTGTCTACTGTATCACTTAGGATCTTGTAGTGGCTGCCTCTTTGTATTACTTGTCACCACACTCTATTCCTCCAAGAAACAATAACAAAATTAAACAAATGAGTCTACAAACTTGTTTCAGCTAACACCTGTTTCACTAAATATTCTAAATAGAGCCCCCTGGTAGTAAATACCTATTGACTTTGTCCAACACACATTACTTTGTTAAATATCTTTGATTTTCAGAACCCATCCATCCTCCAATCTCAGTTCATGTTGTTTGAGTGAGACTGACCACCGGGGGTAGATATGTGACTCTAGCCATCCTCTTGCCACACAAAGTGTTTCTTGTGTGGGCATGTGACCTAAGTTGGGTGATGAGAATCTTACCTAATCCAGTCGAACCATTGCAAAACAGAGACTGCTTGTTTCTAGGGTTGCCAAGTAGGTAGGTGTTAGGTCTGAGGCTACTGATGACTATTTTTCTTCTACATGTAAAGAGCTTGCTTTAGGATTAAATCAACATTAAGGAAGCAAGGAAAGAGACAGAAGGAGTAATATTTCTAATGACAGTGTCTCATTGTTTATAAACAATGAGCCACTTTTCCACTTAATCTAATTGTTCTTAGTTTTCTGTTTCTTGAAACCAAAAGATTCTTGAATAATACATCTCTAGAAGTCCTGCATTGTGTCCTCTCTCCAGAGCTGTGTTCACTCTGCCCCATTCACATGATGTATCCTTTCATCAAGTCCCTGATTAAGGCTTGCCTTCTCCAAGAAGTCACTTCCCAACCAGAGACAGTGATGGCCTTTTCCTCTGGTCTCTCAGACCACTAGTGATCTGACCCTTTCAGATGTACTTACTGTGGGTTTCAAGATTTTGGAGACATTCCTCTGTAATTGGGGTGTCAGTGAGAGAGCTATCCCCAAATCCTCATGCCCTACACTGCAACCCATCCACATCCCACTCTTCAGAGGTCTATGTTAACGTGGCTGATGAAAATATCCTAAAACACTGCATTTGGACATTCTTCACCCTTCCCGTGGTCTCTGCACATCAGAGAACTCAATTTCTCCTGAGCCGCTTGGCTTCCATCTTGGGATCTGCACATGGTGTTTATGTGTATCTCCTTTTTAAAGCTCTTGTTTCTTCTTTATGAATATTGCCTAGATGCCAAGGATTTGAAAGTTAAGAAGCATAAGATTGTGTCATCAGAACAGAGTATGCCACAGAGTGAAGATTTCCAGCATCTTACTGGTCTCTCTATATCTTTTTCCTCTCCCCTACTCGATATTTATCTGTCTTCACCCTATTTCCAAGAAGCAAAATGAACCCTGTTTATTTCTCCATCTTCTTGGTTTAGTGAGCATCTTTATTGCTTTATCTGACTATATGAAATTCTCAAGTCCTTGTCAAGCATATCTTCTAAATTAATCTTTGCTCTTCCTGAGAATTCCAATATTTATGATTACATCCATCTCACTCCTCTTTAAGCATGCATTGTTTTACCAACTTGATGCTAAGACCTTTATAAATAATGCAGTAAGGAGTCAAAGAATCTATCTTTGTGAATAATTTTTCAGTATTTGAATCCTAGTTCTACTGCTTTCCAACTCTGCAATCTTTAGCAAGTTAAGTCTCTAACCCTGTAAATCTTCATCTATTGGGATAATAAAATTTACCTCAAAGATGGAATAATGCACATTAAATGCCCTGCACATAGTGGGACCTCAATATATGTTAGTTTCCTAATCTACCTGCAGTATGCATTTAACACTTAACATATGTCTTGGCATAGTTTCTTAATAAATAACTAATGGTGTAATGATAGTGGTGCTCTGGCATTACAGCATAATACTGCACTCCTGATGAAAACTGGGCTCCCACACATATTGTGACTTTGATATGTCCCTGAAGCACGGCCTACCATTTTTATTTCCTAATAAGTTATCTGTCCTTTCATAGAGCATACTTATGGGTTGCTTTAAATTTAGTACTTTCTAGTCTTTGCCAAAATCCATGATTCACAAACATAAATAAGATTATCAGAACAAAAACTAAGACATGGGTGCATGGGTGCATACGCACATGTGTATATTTAGAAACTGGAAAAACTAAAATGAAGATAGCCTTTTTGGGACAAAATATCCCTTCATTAGAAATATTAAAAATACATAAGAAAATATCTCTTCATTAAAAATACTAGAAGTGCATAATTTTTATAAGCATACCCACAAGAATTACTACCTATCCCATTACCCAGTGAAATTGCTCCATATTGCCAAAGATAATACAATTAATACTAGTGCCCAGAGAGGCAGGTGGCACATCTCTAATTCTTACTAACACTGAGTGTTCCAAATAAAATATCGCTTCAAAACTCAAACCTTCATTATATTATCTAATGTAAAGGGAACAGTGGCAGTCACAGGCAAAGACAAAATTTCAAGAAACATAGTGCAACTGCAAGCTTAGAACCGACATCACCAGTGTTGTTTCTGAATACTGTAATCAAGTTGTACTTCATTTTACTTCCGTGAAAAAGATGTGGTCAAAAAATATATATGCACTGAGGCTTGGTGTTACTAAGAAAAGAAGAAATACTTCAGTAGGCAACTGTCTTTAAATGAATATAATTAGCTCAATTTAAGAAATTGACCATTGTTTTGAAACATTACATACAAAGGCTATTTGTATAAACTGCAAAGAGAAGTCTGTCTCTCCCTGTTTTAAACACACACACACACACAGAGGCAGAAGGAAAGAAAGAAGAGAGAGAGAGAGAAAGAAAAGAGAATACAAGAGAAGAGAAGAGAAGAGAAGAGAAGAGAAGAAAAGAAACGAAACGAAAGAAAGAGAAAGAAGGAAGGGAGGGAAAGGGAAGGGGAGGGGAGGGGAGGGAAGAAGGGAAATGTTTCAAGCTATTGTAGATTAATTTTAAAAATGTACCCAATTTTTTATGCCTCCCTGTATACAAATCCTTTGCAGTATGACCTTGTAGCTTCTCCCATTAAAAGCTGGAATCAATTGCACCACACTTTAATCCTGGTGGGCTTTAGTTGCTTTGGCCAATAAATTGAGGTGTAAGTGACATTGTGTCTGTTCTAACGAAGGCTGCAAAAGGAATATTGGTTAGTTCTCACTGTTTAACATACCACTCACAACCCAGTATCTTAGAACAATTAGCATTTTTTGTTGCTTGGAAATCTATGGATGAGTTGAGTGGTTCTGCCAATTTGGGCCATGTGTGGCTGATCCTGGCAGGGCCTGCTCATCATCCAGCAGGCAAACCCATATCTTTTCACATGGTGGTAGCAATTTCAAAGCGAGTCAGGAGAAGTGTGACAGGCCTCTTAATCTTTAGACATGGAACCAGCACATTTATTCTTTCTGTTTTCCAACACAATTCAAAGAGTCAGCATAGATTCAAGGGACTGGGAAACAGATTCTACTTCTTGATGGAAGGAGCTACAAATTAACATTTTAAAGGTAGTAAATATGTATAAATAGATAACTGAGGACATTTTAATAATCTAACACAACAGACTCTGAACACTCTTTTAACCCTTTTGAAATCCTACTTCCATTATAAGAACAACCCCAGTCAGGCGCCAGCCAACTTTCAAACTTGTGAGTAAGACCGTCCTGGAGCAACCGACCTCAAGATGACTAGTCAGCTGACAAAAGATGCAGGAAGAAAACAAGGAAAGCTCAAAACCACTCATCTAAGCCAGCTCGAATTGCTGCGCACAGAATACTGAGCTAAATAAATAAATAAAACTAAAAGTCAACCAAATCTTGGGAAAGTATATAAAGTAGAAGCATTAAGGTGTCAACAAGTCACTGGTACGTGGCTTTCATTTGATAGATGTGCCTGCTTTTATGATTAATCAGCAAGGAAGGAGCAAAGTGGACATAAAACACAATATTAGTCTCATGCTGCTGACAATCTTGCTAGTAAGACAAAGGCTCAGGCATCATCTACCATTTCTGGTGCTATGTTTAATATATGTTTATATCTGCATGTATTAAACTGCTTTCTAGGAAGCTCATAACATTTTTTATGTGTTAATATCTTTTTTAAAAATGTACTCTCTTCAAATATTTAACTAAATGTAGCATTTTCGCATACTGAATTCAGCCATCTGATAATGTTATGCATGATCCAAACCACGTTATTTTTATTTGCTCATTTCTATAATCATTCATTAAACCACAACCCCACTGTGGGCTCCAACTATATGTAAATTGTGTGGAAAATTTTAGATATATAGTAGTCACGTATATATAAGAATTGGCTTCAAGAGTCTTCCAGAACTGATAGATAGATAAAGAAATAGAGAAGCAAATAGAGAATTGCATACTATGCTGTCAGCATTGGAATGGGTTTATAGGAAAGTTTTTTGGGTCTAATATATGGAGAAATTAATACTGTCTTGGTGCAGTTGTGGTTGGCAATATCCTCCAATGGCCAATTTTATAAAAATGGTCAAAAAGCAGAGGGTTATGGGGGGAAGAAAACATTTAGGATTTTGTTAAAAATATCAATTGTAGGGCTCTAAAAACAGACTTGATGTATCAGAATCTCTGTGGCCAGAGCTGAGTGACCTACATTTTAAAGAGTATCCCAGGTGATTCTCCTGCCCAGTGAAGTCTGAGAGCCACCACTGCAGATTAATTGACATATGTTTGGAGACATGGATAACCAGTATTGCTAAGTTTGATTCTTACTTCCTCTTTAATGTGTTTAATACATGGACATTAATTTTTGAAAATGCAATTCAGTGGGAGAGATTTCTGAGACAGCATTAAAATGTAAGTCCTTGACAGACTGATTATTTTAACTGTGATTAGTAACAAATTACTTGCAGCCCACTCCATAACTGATGAAAACACAGGATGCTGAATTAAGAGTTCCTGTGTGAAATCCTGGCTCTGCTCCTTACGATCTGGGTAGGCTGAAATAAAAAACCTAGTTTTTCTCTGTCTTAGTTACCTTTATATGATGTGAAATAGGGATTTTAGTGACCTATCTACCTTATGGGTATCTGTGTGGGCAAAATAAGTTATTATATGTAAATTACTTGATATATAAGTTAATATATGTAAAGAATTTGGCACATAGCAAGGGCAAAAAAAAGTGTTAGGTATTATCTTTAATCTCAGTCTCTCAATCCTTTCCCTCTCTAGGCCTAGCCTAACGTCACTACCTCACGCTTTCTTCCACATCATTTCTCTGTTGTCTTTTCTGATGTTTTCCTGGACAGGCACATGAGACAGAGGTGTCTGATCTCCACAGGAGGGTTGCACTGTGAAGAGATTTTTTTCTAATGAAAGCATGGCTTTCATCCAGGGTCACATGATCCTTAGGAGAACCAGCCACTCTGCCCTTACAACAGAAATCTAGAAACCTGGTATTTCATTTTCACCTCTTACAACCAGCAAATAATTCCTCTCCCTCCGTCGTCAGCAGCACAACCCTTAGTTCTTCAAAATGAAGTTATTTGGATGTGAGGATTTGCTGAGAGTATGAATATTAGGCAGTTGGCATTTACTCTCAGATCTTTTATCTTCAGATGTGCTGTGTGAAAATTAGAATGCCTTGTGAACTGACTGGGCATGATGGCTCATGTTTGTAATTCCAGCACTTTGGGAGGTCAAGATGGGAGAATCACTTGAGCCCAGGAGTTCAAGACCAGCCCTGACAATATAGTGAGACCTCATCTATAACAAAAATTAAAAAAATAAAAAAAAGCCAGGCGTGATTGTGCATGCCTGTAGTCCCAGCTACTATGAAGGCTGAGGTGGGAGAGTGGCTTGAGCCTGAGAGGTCAAGGCTGCAATGAGCCATGATTGTTCCACTGCACTCCAACCTGAACAGAGCAAGATCCTGTCTCAAACAAAAAAGATTGTTACAATGCCTCTTCCTCCGCTCTCCTCTGTGTGTCCTACTTATATGCATGTGATGAAATGCGTCTCCAAGGTCATCATTAGGGACTACTCGAAGGCCTCTCTCTGCTCTTAGAAATTGCTTATTCTTCACGTCATGTAATATTCTAATAATGTAATTTGAGTCTCACTACATAGACCACTTCTCTAAAATTTGGTAAAATTCCAGTGCAATTAGTATACATATTGAATATTTTAAATCCTAAAAAAAGTTAGACAGATTTTTTACAGTTACTTACTTTAGAAATTAAGCCTCTTTGTTTAGTAAGAACAACTTTTATGGCTATGTTTAAAAGTGATGCATTTATGTATTTGGAACAAGTTGTGTCTCTTATTAATGAGTTATAATATTTTTAAATATATTATAGGTATGAGTACTTTATCACGTACATGTCTTGCAAATATTTTCTCCTAGCCTGTGTCTTTTTATTAAGAGCATTTTTTAAAAGCAAAAGTGTTTATAAAATCTTAAAATTGTTGATAAAGTCTTATTTAATGTTTTTTCAATGATTTTTGCCTATGTTCTACATAAGAAATCTTGGCCTAACCTCAGTTACAAATCTTCTCTCCTATGTTTCTTTTTTTCTGAAAATTTAAAAACTTTAGTTTTTGTATTTAGCTCAATTATCTATTTCAAGTTAAAATGTGCAAAATATTTGAACAGATGCTTCACTAATAATATGCAAATGAAAAATAAGCAAAGATACATAATACTAGACATTAGGGAAATTACATGAAAACTGTGATGATATGATATTGTACCCCTAGTCCAATAGCTAAAGTTCAAGAGTCTGATAATATTAAGTGTTGATAAAAAAAAAAACAGAGTAAATGAAACTTTCATACATTAATGATGGGAAATCAAAATACTATAGTAATAATCACCTTGGAAAACAGTTTTGCAGTTGTTTATAAAGTTGATCACAAACTTATTGCATGATCCAGCAATTCTGCTCCTAGGTAATTATGTAAGAAAAACAAATAACAGCAACAAAAACAACAAAAAGCTATGTCCACATAGAGACTTATAAAAGAATGGTAATAGTAGCTTTATCTGTAATGACCCCAAACTGCAAAGAACCCAAGTATCCTTCAACTTGATAAATAAATAAAAAATAATGATGGATTTATAGAGACACACTGCTCAGCAATAAAAATAAACTAACTATTGTTACATGAAATAACATGGATAAACCTCAAAAGCAGTATGCTAAGTGAGAAAAACTGGAGGCAAAAGACTACCTACTATATGATTCCACTTATATGAACTTCCAGAAGAGATAAAACTATAGTGACAGAAAACAGCTATGACATTTTTCGCATCTAAGGGCAGAGGGAAACGTTGACTGTGACAGGGCTAAGGGTATTTTTTGTAGTGGTGGGATTATTATTTTTCTTTATTGTGGCAATAGTTACATAATCATATTTATTGCCAAAAGGCATTAAAGTGTACACAAAACTGGTGAATTTTAGTGTATGTAAATTATACTTTGACAAGCCAGTTTTACAATGCAGTTAAGTAATTGTCATTAAATTGGAAAACAGAGTGACTTACAAAGTCTCATTTGCCCTTCCCTAAGAATAAATGAGTTAAATGTCTTCTGTGTATGTAGAAATTTTATGGCATTTACATTGTGCTAGAGGAACCATATCAAAGCTTTTAGCTCAGTGTTAACACTGACGGTTTTAACTGCCTCCCTTCTTATTGTAGCATACATTGTTTACAGATCACAAGGAAACTAAGAGCATAGTTATTTGCAATTTTTAAGGTATTTAAAACCATTTCACCTGTCCTCTAATTTCAAAGACTTTTTAAGTGGCTGCAGCACTTTTCTCTGGGGGAGTTGGGATTGGTTATTTTTTTTTTCTTTTTTTTTTATTATGCTTTAAGTTTTAAGGTACATGTGCACAACGTGCAGGTTTGTTACATGTATATACATGTGCCATGTTGGTGTGCTGCACCCATTAAGTCGTCATTTACATTAGGTATATCTCCTAATGCTATCCCTCCCCCCTACCCCCACCCCACAACAGGCCGCGGCGTGTGATGTTCCCTTTCCTGTGTCCAAGTGTTCTCATTGTTCAGTTCCTACCTATGAGTGAGAACATGCGGTGTTTGGTTTTTTGTCCTTGCAATAGTTTGCTGAGAATGATGGTTTCCAGCTTCATCCATGTCCCTACAAAGGACATGAACTCATCATTTTTTATGGCTGCATAGTATTCCATGGTGTATATGTGCCACATTTTCTTAATCCAGTCTGTCATTTTTGGACATTTGGGTTGGTTCCAAGTCTTTGCTATTGTGAATAGGACCTCTTCAAGGAGAACTACAAACCACTGCTCAACGAAATAAAAGAGGATACAAACAAATGGAAGAACATTCCATGCTCATAGGTAGAAGAATCAATATCATGAAAATGGCCATACTGCCCAAGGTAATTTATAGATTCAATGCCATCCCCATCAAGGGATTAGTTATTCTTTAATAAAATGCTCAAGGATCAGTTCAAGTAAACCTGTCCTTAGAAATATTATATTTTTTAATAAATTAAAATATCAGAGTATGATAATCTTTATTAAATTATTATTATCAGTAGTTTCTCTGCTTCTTAAAGCACCTAAAATTTTTTGGAAACAAGGTGAAGGAAATGAAAGCAAGAGAAATACGTCAGGGATTTCCAAAATATGTAAACTGTTCTCAGAATAGGTAAAATATTCTATGGGGCTACAAAATAACAAGGAGTTTATAATATGTTTTGGAGATTAAATACTGACAAAATAAAATAATGACATTATGTGTTCAAGAGCTTGTAGTCCCTCAGCTGCCAGGAATTTAAATATTAAAACATGACATGGTTCATCACACAACCTGTAGGATTTGAAAAGTTTGTTTAGAAAGAGCAAGCTATCAAGAGCTCGAAGGGGCAGCTACTAAGAAACTTACAGCACCTCCTTTTCACTGCCATGTGTATAGCAATGATCAAGTGTAAGAAACTGACTACAAGATTTCAGGAAAAGGAGAGAGAAGGACTGGGATAGTCAGAGACCTTCTTAGGAAACATGGGCTTAAGCTGGACTTTGTTGGATGAACAGGATGTGGATGGGTGAAAGGGAGAACAGAGAGTGCTTGAAACGAGATGGGATACACTGAGTATAGCGCACGGTGGTGAGTAGTTAGTGATGTGTTCAGTGACCATTGCCAGCATGCCAAGCAGTGTCTCTAGATCATTAAACCAGGAAAAATGGCTTGAATGAAAATATAAATGATTTTTAATGAACATAATGAAAAATTTTTAAAAATTTATCATCGACTCCTGACTGAAAATGATGGCTTTCAAAAGAATATTTACAAGCAAATTTTTCAGGACTGAATGACATTCAAGTCCAGATTAAAAGCATACACCAACCATTTATAAAAATGAATAAAAGGGATACAAACCAAGGCACATATTTGTGGAATTTCTGACTGCTAGGGCTGAAGTAAAGATCCACATGCATTGAGACAGCTAGAACAATATGGGAATCAGAAGGCCATCAGCATTTTCCCCAAGCAGCACCGAATGCTACAGACAATAGAACCATGTCTATAAAATTTTAGGCAGGGCAATTAATTTCAGCTTATAGTTGAAAGCAGTCTTCTTATTGATTGGTTTGTTTTTGTTTTGTTTTTGTTTTTTTGCTTCCAAAGCATCTTTTTCAAGAAACTACCACTGAGGAAGGAATCCCACAGAAAATGGGGTAAGTTAGCTGACTAAAAGAGAAAGAGAACACACATCTAAAACATAATAGATATGTAACAGATCGAAAAAGAAATTGATAGAGATTTCAATATTTCAATGGAAAATAGAAACTTTAAAAGAGAGATCTCAGAGAAAATAAAAATTAATCATTTTCAAAATTGTTTGAGCCATTTGGGGAAAAATACTGATAGCCATATAATAGTAATGATAGAAATAATTTATAATGGATATGCTAAAAACTATACAAGTGACAACAAACAAATATGACCATAGTTTATTATATTATTATTGGATAGTTACTTAAATAATTTGTATTAAATCTATTGGGAAAATAGGAGAAAAATAGGAACTGGAGATGCAGTATTATGTGATAGTAATATTAATAAACCCCCATCTATCATAACAGGATATGAACAGGCATACATTTGTAAAGCAAGAACACCAAGATATAGCATTAGAGATTTATGTCAATAATTAAAACCACGTTTTTTTTCTGGGAAACTGAATTTGGGAATTTGAAATAGTGAAAAGCATCAGTCTATTTTATTATAAATATTTTAGTTTGAATTTAAATGTTCATCTTTAAAATCTTTAAAGCTATCATCATTTTAAATTTCTTAACATTTTTCTAATGACAAAGTAAGAGACGTCATCAAATCTTTACAGAAAATTAAATAACTGCCTTTCTAGAACTGGAAAAATGAACTACCGATGTTTCCTGTGTTCTGTTCTACGATTTTCATTTGTTACAAAATGTGTTAAATGTTTTGGCAAACCTAAGGAGTAGTTGCTCCTCGGAGGACTGGATTGCTTGGTGGTGCCATAACAGGCCAAGTATTTCAGCAAACTTGGTAGAAGAATATTTCCTTAAGGAAAGTAAACTTGACATACTTTTCCTACTAGCCATTCCATATTTGAATGTTGTTTTAAATATCCTAGACCTATATGACTCTCATATGGAATACTGACTTCTGAGCCACCTTTCACGAGGCTGAGATATGGTGTAGGGTACTTAGAGGAATAAAAATATCTCTAGATCACTCATTTGTTGAATTGGTCAAAGAAATTAAAATTGCTTCACATGTAAAAGAAAAATCTGTTGGGGGCCGGGCGCGGTGGCTCACACCTGTATTCCCAGCACTTTGGGAGGGCAAGGCGGGCAGATCATGAGGTCAGGAGATCAAGACCATCCTGGCTAACACGGTGAAACTCCGTCTCTACTAAAAATACAAAAAAAAAATAAAAATAAAAAAAATAGCCGGGCGTAGTAGTGGGCGCCTGTAGTCCCAGCTACTCAGGAGGCTGAGGGGGGAGAATGGCGTGAACCCAGAAGGCAGAGCTTGCACTCCAGCCTGGGTGACAGAGCGAGACTCCGTCTCAAAAAAAAAAAAAAAAGAAAAAGAAAAAAAGAAAAAAAAGAAAAATCTGTTGGGACATGTAGGCTGGTTTATAATATTTCTGCAGGTCTATTCTAATATTTTGTGTGCTGAAAAAATACAACTGGGGCCAGTTGGTTAGAAGTCACAGAGAGGTTGATCTCAGTTTTATAGGGTCAAAAAAAAAAAAAATAAGGAGATTATCTACAATTATAATTGCGGGATAGAAGTCTGAGTTCTCTGTTCCTATAGTTGCTTGAGGAAGGCCAAAAATTCTCATATGTCATCCAGTAGAGCAACAGAGCTGTTTTATCCTGTAGGAAATTTAAATATTCTTGCATTTTATGTGATTAAATTCCAGAGTGTTAGAACTGCAAGGGCCTTTTAACACCGTGCAGTCAAACTTCTTGATTTAACAGATGATGAAACTAAGGATCAGAGGTATTGGTGGGATTCAGTGGGGTTACCGGATGAATGAGGATGGACTGAGAAACCAAGTCTCTTTGAATTCAATCCTATCTTTTTTCTACGTTTCATTGCTGCTTTAATGTGAATGTAATCCAAGAAAAAAAAAAAAGAGAAAGACACCCAGATGCAGATAACAGAACTATCTAATAGAATGACAAACACGGAGATTAACAGTGTGTACCAAGAGGCTGATCCTGAAAGAGAGCAAAAAACAGAACTATGGCTCTGCAATTTCTACTTTCTCTCTGGCTTTCTTTGAATGGAAAGGCTAATATCGGATTCTAGGCCAGGTGTTGGCAAACTTTTTTCTGGAATGGTGCAAATAATAAAAATTGTATGCTTTCCAGGCCACAGATACCCTCTGTCCCATATTATTTGTTTTGTTTTTATATTTGTTTGTTTGATTATCACTCTTTAAAAATGGGGAAAAATCCTTTTTAGTTTGAAAGCTACACAAAAATAGGCTACTGGCTAGAATGAACCACAGAGAGCAGTTTCCTGACCATTGGTCTGGTCTGTTTAGTAAGAGGGAGTAGGACATTAAATGTCCTTTGAGAGACAGAATGTTGCGGACAAGAAAGTATGCTCCTCAAGACAGTAGTAGGTAGATGTTTATTGTCTTCAGAAAATAAGTTAAGGGTATCTAGGCTGTTAAAAAGTCCTCTCCAATCTGTTAGAAAAAAATACATAATAATAATAATAGCCAAAGAAGAGAGACAACCATCAGCTCTCTATGGGCCATGTGTAGTCCCTGTGACTTGATGAGTTTTATGCAGAAAAAGACTGTTAGTTGCTTGATGTGAAATCAATTAGTGCCATAACACAGCAATCAGAAAGTAATTATAGTCAAATCTAACAATAGACTTTATGGGCAAAAATAAGATGAAGAAAATAAGATGCATAATTCAGTAATGGAAATGTTGTTTACTGAATAACTAATCAAAAACATTAAAAAATAATGGGGTTTTAGAAAATCTCTTCCCTGTCACATTTCACAGCAGGGAGAAGGATATGACTCCAGTGTGAAGCCATGAAGTAGGTGACTTTTCCTCAGGGCAAATTGAAAAACAAGGAAACAGAGGAATTAAAATCACACTTGTCCTTCCGCTCAAGTATTTTTGCAATGCTCCTAAACATGGAGCTCTCTGTGGGCATGATCTGGAGACAGACGATGAGAGAGCGAGAGAGAGAGAGACATACATACATACCTATATACATACAAACATACACGGATGATAGCTGTTGAGCTAGAGAGATACACAGATAAATATATTTGTACTGTGAAGTCCACTACTTCATACACGTTAATTAATCCTCATGAAGAAAGTTATACAGTAGTTATTATATTCCTCATTTTGAAGATGGGAAATTGAGGCTCGCAAAGGTTAGGTACTTCTCTAAGGTCTCAGGCAACAAGTGGTGCGGTCAGGATTAGAATTTTGGTAACTCCAATGCCAAATTTTTTACTTTTTTACCATCTCCTGCTTCCTCTCTTGTAGCCACCTTCTACCTCTGCTAATTACAAGATTCCAGGCTAATTCCCAGGCTCTACATTCTCTGAGGCAAGCACAGTAGATGGTCGATTGCTGTAAGTTAATAAGTAGACTCCACTGCAGAGTCACAAACAGGCTCTGCTAATACGCTGCCTCTGGGGAAATGAAATCTTGGAGAAAGAGGATGTCTTAGAACTGCAGCATGAGGCAATGTCATGGAGCCAGTAGAGTGTTGGTGAGAGAGCTGATAGATGGACAAAAGGAATCAGCAAAGGAAATCAAGGATGCCTGTACCCTGACTTACTGAATCAGCTTAATATCACCCACAGGAATAATTGCTCCCTGCCCCAGCTCTTAATCTCTGACTCTGCTGATTAATAATATTAATGATGATAATAACAATCATAATTTCTTTCATCAAAACTTTTTATACTAACAGCCTTTAGCTATTTAAATGTTCACATAGGATATTCTATGACCCTTCACAATTTTATATTGTCTTTTATGGCGTTCAATCTTGTATTAAGATAGCAGAATTCTTTTCCCTCTGTATCTTGTACATAAAAGAAATCTGAAACACAAAAGGATCTAACCAGTGAGAGAAAACACACTCTTCCTACTGTCTCAGAACCATCGGATGCTTATTAATATTTAAATTTAAGACAGTAGAACAGCAACAATAGGAGTCCATTCTTATCAAAGCTCAGAAACCCCAACAGAGAACACAGGAAGAGAAGCTGGAAGGTGGTAGAGGTGCATAGTAAAAGGGTCAAAGGATGGAATTTAAATGTAACAAGGACAGCAGGAATGTGTTCTAGTCAAATCAAAGACTGAATTCATCCCTGATGCTGTTTCACAGTGACAGGCATAACCAGTAACCACAAATGACCTGCAACTTCAATGCTGAGGTCAATCTGTCACAGGAAGACAATCTCATGAGCAGGAGCAAATCCCCTTTTTATGGGATCCAGACTTTTGATCAAGCTTAATTCACTGAAGGGGTACATGTGGGCATGTGTGTTTTCTGACCAATGTGAGCATACATAAGAGACAAGGACTTAGAAACACACACCTGAAAATTAGACATAGAGCAGAGAGAAAATACCCTATCAGTTAAACAGATCTTAAAATTGCAAACAATTAAATCTACTTATGTGTGTCAAATTGCTGGAATTGACCTCTAAATTTAACTTGGAATCATAAATACAAGCAGGCTTGAGAGAAAATGTCATTTTGATGGAACCCAGGTATTTAAAATTTTTTCATATAGGATAAGTTATAAGGTAGAAATGGGAGAGGCTTTGACAAGTAAATATATTTTTTTCAGAGGAGTTGAGTTTATTAATACAGTTTTGTAATTAAAACTTTGGGAAGGAAACCTTTCTTAAATTTATTTGGAAGGATGGCCACAAGGAAAGAGAAAAAAAACTGTCTCCAAAGGCATCACTGAGCAGTTGCATTAACCCAAGCCTAAGGTATTTCAAGACTTCTAGGGTCAAGGTGACTGTCTCTTGATGTATGTGTGTGTGTGTGTGTTTGTGTGTGTGTGTGTGTGTGCGTGCTCATTTAAACATTTACAAATTAATTTTCCAATACAAAGTCCTTCCATTTTCTGCAAATATCAATAAGGAGATTCTTCATTTGCTTGTTCTCCAGGTTTTCTTGTGAATTGGCTCCTGATGTGCTTTACTACTCCTTCATGTAAAAGACATAACCAAGTGTAAAGAATCCTGCCATCTCCCTCACAATAATCAACTCTAATTCTCAAAAGCTGATAAAGAAAGGAGCATCCTCCTAGCATGAAGCACATGGAATCACAAAGATTTCTTGAAGATAACGTGAAGCTCATGGGACTGGAATCTGTTTAAATTATCCAATTCTTTCCAAACAAGAAAGTTCATGGGACTCTTCCACAATCAGTAAGAAAGTTTTGAATTGACTATTGTATTGGCTCATTTTAATATGTAATGTAATTGCTGACTTTTTTTAATTCTGGTTGTTCATTTTACTTGTCCCTAATCTTTTAAATATCTAGTTCTAGTTCTTGAGAATGGCTAGGATCTCATACATGGTGGTATAATTATACATACTTTTAATTTTTTAAAGTTTAATTTGCCCTTTAAAGATAATTATTCTTGCTTCTAATATAATCTCATTCTCAATCAAATTTAGAAGCCAAAGTAATATGCCAATATCATTTGGACTGCGATCTAAACTTGCATTCAAGTGTACTGCAGAGAGAAAAGCCAAGGCTCTCAGGAGTAAATATTGATTCTTTGGAGGACACCCAAGACACCAAAATAAAGTTCTGAGAAGAATTATACAAACTAAATATGCAGGAGACAGGATAGTTACTCTGATCAAATAAGAATTTGAATGAGTGCCGTTGATTGGAACCTCAAAGGACATACCCCACCACTGTGGGAAAGTTTCACCTCCCTAGAGCAGAGGTCACAGGTTCCTCCTTAACTTGGGCCTCAGTGCCCACTGCCTGGAACTGCTATTTATTTTTTCTACACATACTGCTTTTCCCTGGCTAGGTTAGATGCCCCTCATGGACAGGCTGTTTCTGTAACTCCAATTTCTAGCCTGCACAATGCCTTAGATGTCATTGAAAAGCAATACAGCTCTGTTGTGAAAATTTATGCAGATGAAATGAATCGTAGCTCCTGCAACTTATGTTGACTCGCTTAGAAAAAAAAGTAGAATGATGACTTCAGAATTATAAGAGAATAGAAGATGTTACATTTCTAAAATGCTTTTTATGTATTTGATCTAAAAATATTCAAACTTAAATGAGAAGTAAAACTTATTTGCACTACAAGCAACATAACAAACATCATATTCTGAGGAAAGGTAATTTCATCCATCAACCCATAGCTTCTCACAAAAGAACTCAGACATCCTGCTTTCTGTCACAAATATTAATACTTTTATAAAAAGGAAACAGATTAATAATATAACAAATCTGTGCAGAATGTGTTTCATTAATTTTCCAGGAAGGCAGCATTGCAGAATTACTTGAGAGTCAAGTTTAACCTTATTTTCTACTATGTACTTACTGTTGTTCCAAAACATGATCAATTTATTTTCTGCAAGACACTGAGCATTGCTGCTAAAACAAGATTGATTCCGAATCTCTCCAAAGTAACTGCTTCTTTTATTTTTATTTTTTATCAATGTTAATGAAACCACAGTGTCTTGGCAAAATTCAATTTAAGATCCTTTTTCCACCTGGAATGTTTTGGGCACTTAAAAACCTTAGACATTTCTGGAACATGAGTTAGAAGAATATTTTTTTCTACAGTATTGTTTTAAAATAATATTCTAAAAAGATGTTATTTAAATGATATTCTAAAAGGATTATTTTTTAAGGGGAGAGAAGAATTACTCTATTTTCATACAAATCCTCCACAGGGAAATAGACAATAATGACTGTTCTCGAGGAATTTTTGCGGTTATTTTTGCTCACAAACAATCTAAAGTGGAACATGCTATTAGAATACTTTCAGTACTGTGTGGTAAAACTAGTATTTACTGAAAAACTAAAATGAAAGGTTTATTTTACTAGTCAGGCTTACAAAATAAAACATCCTTAGAAAATGCATTTCAAAATAAATCTCATGAAATGGATATTTTGCCTTTGCACAATGATCTTTTAATTTTAGTAAATATTTAACTTGCCACAGAATAGTAGCAAAATATACTGTCATCACCATTCGTTCAGGTTTCTATCAATTTATTAAGCACCTACTTTACGCTAGGGAATATAATAGATTCTATCTATTCTATAATTATGTCTACTTTTACAAGTTACTATACAACTATTCTTTTCCAGCTAAAGCAAATATTTCTCTAATCCCAAATCATGTGAATGGTACTTTTAAAAAAATTCTTGAAGATTAAAAAGTTTGTGCTGTTTTGGATGATTCCTTTGGGCACAGTATATTTGCTTAGTATTCATACGTATTTAAAACTTTTTAAATATCCATGATACTACACATTATGGATGTAGCTTTATTGTTATGGTTATTAAATGAGCATTATTTAACAAAATATTAATAGGATCAGTATTCTGAGGGATTGCTTATATTTACATAATTTGTTTCTGAACATATCTCCATTCGGTTACTGAAAATTTAGCATCAGATAGATGTTTTAAATATAAACCGGTGATGAGCTAATCTTTTCAAGAGTCATATGACATTAATGTATTCCAGGATTTAGTTTTAGAAGAATATTAAAACTTAGGCTTCTGCTCTCATTAATACCTCTAGTAAGAATTCATTTTTCTTTTGTCCTAGTTCCATTATCTTTAGTTTGAGCAGTGCTAAAATCTTCCTCTTACAGTGTATGTCTATATATATGATTGTGTGTGTGTCGTGCATGTGTATGACTGTGTATTGAGCAGTATATAGTAATTGAGAGTATGGGTATGAAATACAACAGATATGTGTTTTGATTCATCATTTCCAGACTTTGAGGTTAACCAATTTATTTATTTATTATTATTATTATTTTGGAGATGGAGTTTCACTCTTGTCACCCAGGCTGGAGTGCAATGGTGTGGATCTTGGCTCACTGCAACATTTGCCTCCCAAGTTCGAGCGATTCTCTTGCTTCAGCCTCCCGAGTAGCTGGGATTACAGGCGCCCACCACCACGCCCAGCTAATTTTTGTATTTTTAGTAGAGACAATGTTTCGCCATGTTGGCCAGGCTGGTCTTGAACTCCTGACCTCAGGTGATCCACCTGCCTCGGCCTCCCAAAATGCTGGGATTATAGGCGTGAGCCACAGCTAAATTATTCAAGTTCGTTAGCCTTATTTTTGTCAACTGTAAAATGGGATGGTATAAGCTATTGTGTTGTAATATGTTAGATCCATGTCACATAACTTCAATAAACAGGAGCTATTTATTTTATGTTAACAAATGTTCTCCTCATACTTATTGTTGATTTTTGATGAAATATTTTATTTAATCACAGTAAATGTCTAATAAGTATTTCTTAAGCTGAATGCCTTGGATCACATTTCTAGGTGAAAAAAGAATCATTAGCAACTGAAAGCCTTAATTACTCAATCACTGATGGCTGTACAACATATCTGCTATCAAAATGCCACATTTTCTGTAATATATTTAAATCCATAATTGTTTCATAAATCTTCCTGTAGAAAACATTTAAAAAGTTACATAATCTCAGCATCTAGATTTTATTTTTCATTGATAATTAATACAAGAATGAAAATATCTCTGTTGCAAAAGAGATCAGTTCTGTAACAACCCAGATTAGCAAAAAATATAAACATAAGTTTCATGTCTTGTTTCAAAAAATGTACAAAGATATGCAATTCACTCAATGTTTATGCCTTTAAAATTAACGTCTAAAGCAATCTGACTTTGCAAATTAAGTGGGAAGAGTTTTTGAAACAATATGCTTATTTTAACCAAAGTCTAATATACTGAAAAAGGTGATTAGTTGCCATTGAAAACAGTAGTCCAGGCAACAGGATTTAGTGGCATCTGTGTAAAACAATTCAGTGACTATATTCCAGTGTTCTCATTAGTTCACTTCTAAAAAAATACATTTTATTAGCTAAAAACTGCTTATTGATCTCAAAAATAGTATTTTAAACAGTGGTCATAGGTGCTTTGGTAGCCCACAGAAAGGATATAGCAAAACTATAGAACTTAGAGGCAAATTTGGAGAAAATAATTTGCTAACGTTAACAACATATAATGGGCATGCAATTCATGCAGACCTATATTTCCCAACTAGGCATTCGGGCTGTGCATAAAATTATTTAGATAAAGATATTATGTAACAGTAAGTATTTTGTTAAAGTGTAAAGGCATAACCTTAAAGTCATGGTTAGCACCCTTTAAAGAGAAAAAAGACCTGTCATATTCCAGACCATCACTGAGAACTACAACTGCATTATATAAGAAATCAAGAAAAAGATATATAAACCAAAATAGGTCCACTATTTCAATATGTGGTTAAGGTCACTTTCATTATGTTCTCTAGATGCTTGTGTGCTGGTTTATGACTACCTGGAAGAGAAAATGTTTCTTCCTAGGCTTATTTGTGTCTGAATTATCCATATCTTTTCTGGTTGGCAATCCATATCATAGGCACAGTAGCATATCAGGGTGGAAATAAAGCACGAGTGTTTCTAGCCTTGGTCCTTAAATGCTATTTTGTTACAACACATGCTTTTATTCCCTAATTCTGGGATACTGGAGTTTCCTATTTTCTCCTGTGGCTCAAGACTTTTTCTTCTATCTTCATTTATATTTTTATATTTTACTGTTATCTTTACACCATTGCACAATAACCAAAATCCTGATTTATCTTTCACAATTTAAGCAGTACATTTTATATATAGTATAGGTTTTATTTCATTTTGTTTTTTCTTTTTGGTTTTTGGTTTTGGTTTTCTTTTATTTTTACAATTCTCTCCAATCCCAGAAATTAAGGAGTCTATAACTTTATCTTGAGCGTCTCTGATATTGCACATGGGATTTGATCATAAACTAAAAAAAAAAAAAAGTTAAGTCAAATAGAGAGGGTGAAAACACAATGCAAAGAATATGTAGGACTTCAGTATTTTGCCTAGAATCACTTATCTCTAATTAAAAATGTATACAAATGAAGTAGCATATTAGTGCATTACCTTTCTCATATAACAAGGCATAGACATGGCCAGGATTAAATTGGCAGCTAGGTTGCATCATCAGGAACTGAAATGCTTTTATCTTTCTATTTGGCATCATCAACAAATTAGCATTTGCTCTCAGGCTTAGTCACTCTGCTCACACCATGGCTGCATTACTCTAGCTATCAAGTTTTCACACAAATATGTCAACATGTGAGAAAGAAAATATTTCCTTCTGCCTGTCTTTCTGAGAAATCCCTGTGTGGTCTTCCTCTCAGGTCCCATTGGCCTGGATAAAGTTACATGCTTATTATCCTGCTGTAAACTGAACTATGTCCTTTCCAAAATCCATATGTTGAAGCTCTAAACCACATGACTATGTCTGGAGATAGGGCCTTTAGGGGGCAATTGAGGTTAAATGAGATAATAAGGGTGAGGCCTGACCTAATTGGATTGGTGGCCTTCTAAGACGAGAAAGAGAGGGAGATCACTCTTTCTCTGTGAGCATCCACCAAGGAAAGACCATGTGAGCACACAGGGAAGGAGGCAACTTTTCGTGTACAGCTTACGAGGCAAGCCGTCACCAGACATCAATCCTGTTGGCATCTTAATATTGGACTTCCACGATCCAAAACTGTGAAAAAATAAATTTATATTGTTTAAGCTACCCAATCTATGGTATTTTCTTATAGCAACCTGTGTAGACTAAGAGAAATCTTAACTTCACAAAAGGCTGAGGAAGCATGAAAACTCTCTGGCATTTTCAGCTTTTATGTGGAAGTTGGTCTCTGTCAACAAACCAAAAGTAGAGTTTACGAACTAGCCATAACTTAAAAAAAAGAGACAGAGAGAGACAACAGACTCAGAAAATGCTTCAGATTAAACAGTATTGTGTGTGTGTGTGTGTGTGTGTGTGTGTGTGTATTAATCCTTATTATTCCAGAAGTCAATTGGGAGGATAGTGAACATATGCCTGAGAGGAGAAGGGTTGTAGCAGGCCTTGGATGTCTTCAGCCTAGCTCCAAAATAGGGAGCATGAACTTGGTATTTAATAGAAAGAGAAAACCTTATTTCACTATTCTACAACCCATTTTAATTCTAGGGCTCTACATTCCCCTTAATGACCAGCCTGGTATAATTGGGAGGTGTGAACTCAGAAATGCCTCTCAGAAGGAACCTTCTTGATTCAACTTGAAGCTGTCAATACCATGTGACTCTGCCCATGAACTTTCTACGATTCAGACTGTTAGGTTCAGTGGTGTTTTAAGTTCCTGATCCCTGTCCTGCAGTATTAGACACAACAAATATCCAAAATCCTAGAGAATTTTCCTATCGATAAAAAAATTCAAAATAGTCTAAAACAAATACAATGAGGAAACAAAGGTTATAACCAGGTGGTTCATTTTAAAACATAAGAAAACGTCAAGGAGAAGGTAGCAACAACAGTTAACTCAGAAGAATCCAGGGCATTAAATTACTTGCCTCTTTCCTGAGGAGCCTGCAATATTCTTTAAGTTTTATTTAATAAATGGTCATGTTCATTCTTATTCTTCTCCTTTTTTCCCCATTTAAATCTATGCTTGTCATCCATTACAGCTTGATTGTCCCTCTATGCTGAGGGCTGCAACACAATCTTTGTAATTTTCTCTACATTCTACTCTGGCTGAGGAGTGGTGCTGGATGGTGAACCCTACCTGGGCAGTTTCAAGACTTTTTAGTGCAAGAGAAAACACTGCTGCCAGGCTTGCACCAATATCCTATCAGCGGTGCCAATTCACTTTGGCTTTGAGGTTGATTTGAACTGAGAGTCATTTTCTTGCATATATTAAATATTTTTAAATGGATGTAGGTCAGAGAACACTTTATTGCTAGACATTAGTAATGGTTGGTAAGACATTGAAAAAAAATTTTCATTAACCCAAAAGTTTAAGTTCTAAAAGCAATTCTAGACAAGCGTACAAAATCATATGCAAAAAGATACTCATTTCAATGTTGCTCATGAAACATAAAAGTATAAGCTAGTATGCATCAAAAATAAATTATATCTATGCAATGAAATACCAGTGCAAAAAAAGGCAATATATTCTATTAAGTTGTACACAGATATTAATGGTAATTTGAGTGCTCAACATGTGCAGATATTGTAATATTCCTAATAAAAACTAATACACATGAAAACATTGAGAAATAGTAAAATTACATTACTTCCTTAAGGTCACGGAGCTTAAACTTGACTAAAAGAAAGTTTGAACCTAGTTCTATGTAACTCCAGATAGAGATCTATTAATTCCTTCATAAGACCACAAGAGCTGCTAGATCTTCAAAATATTCCTCACTAATGTAACAACTTTAACCAGTTTGCAGTTGATCAAAGCTGTTTTTTTTAAGTATCATGATTTTTACACTGTCATAATATTATTCACAGTTGGGACGAGATATTGGGGAAATACGGTCCTGGGCATAAAAAGGACCAAGAACCAATAAAATGTAAGCAATTTGGAACCATAAATCTAGATAGAAAATAAAGGGAACAATGCTGTTGGTTAATGAAGTATGCACAAAACACACAACATAATATGAGGGTAGAGGAAAGAAGATAGTTTTTAAGTGTGGTAGAAAGAGAAATATGCTTCTCCTTTGTGTACAAAGACAGGTGTTTCTCTTGAAGTCAGTGGCACTACAGACATGGCCAATGTACACATTGGATTTTCCAAGAAAGTTCCCAATATACGTAAGTTTATTGTTTTCAATTAGAGTAGCTCAATGAAAATTACAACTAAATATCTGTTTCTAATGGTTGAAAAGTTTTCAAATGCAGATAATTTTACAATCAGAAAAATATTTTGTTAGAACAATTATTTTACTTTGAATTTTGGAAAATATAGGAACTATAATCAGAAAATTTTGGTTTAGCTACCTATTTATTAGGATGATAAAAGTAATATGGATGACTTGGTTGTTTCTAGATTATCCAGCCTCTGCAGCTAAATTTTCCCAGGGCTTTATGAACAAGAATATCTACTAATAATAGCAATAATAGCAATGATGATGAAGCTAATTAAAAAAAAACCAGAACAAGAAAATATATGAATTGAAGCTTTCCTTTTTGCAAAGCTCTGTGATAAGCACTTTTCAGGTATTTTCTCAAGCAGATAGTGCACATATATCTTAGAGAATGTATACATTTTTTGCCATGTTACAAAACAGTAATCTTATTTGGAGAAACTACATAACTTGCACTAAGTAACACAACTGTTAAAGGCTAAACAGAGACTCTTTCTCTCCAGTTCGTTTGATTCCATATCCCTTGATCCCCATGCCTCTAGAAGAGTAAGACGTGCGTTATATAAATATATAATAGTAAACATGAACAAATCTAGAGGAAGGAAAGCCAGCCTTTACTTGTTACTCCAGAGTTGAGGGTCTCCTTTTGAAAGAAAACGTGCAGACACTGCTGACTTGTGATCTTTTGACTGGGATGCAGTATGGGAATATGACTAGCACCTAAGTAAAAACTCTATGCCCCTGGCCAGGCACAGTGGCTCACGACTGTAATCCCAGCACTTTGGGAGGCCGAGGCAGGTGGATCACAAAGTCACGAGTTTGAGACCAGCCTGATCAACATGGTGAAACCCGGTCTTGAAACCCGGTCTCTACTAAAAATACAAAAAATAGCTGAGTGTGGTGGCACTTGCCTGTAATCCCAGCTACTCAGGAGGCTGAGGCAGGAGAATTGCTTGAACCCAGGAGGCGGAGGTTGAAGTAAGCTGAGATCACACCACGGTACTCCAGCCTGGGCGACAGAACAAGACTCCGTGTCAAACAAACAACAAACAAAAAACTCGGTGCCCCTTGCTGGCTTTATGCCTTCAGCAAGATGTACTCTGCACCATACTTACCTCTTCAATAAAATAAAAAAGGGTAATAATTGCCTGTTTCTTAGGAGCAAATGCAATATTAGGGGTATATAATTTAAACAATAGTTCATATGCATAATAAAAACTCAATAAATTATTGATAATACTGTTCTTATATTGCAGCCTATTGCATGATTATATTTTCTTCTTTATCTGAACTTGAATAAAATAGTGCTTTACCTTACAACTTGAGGAATGATAATCCTTGCAAGGGACAACTCATCTTTCATTACATGAGCTTGAAAAATCACAGCACCAGATGCTCCACACTTACAGTGAGTCTCTACTATATACAAAACACTGGCCCTGGCATTGGAGCCTCATGAATGAAAGACAAACAGCTTCCTTAACTTTATGGACATTTCAGTATTCTGTGTGGTGTGGTATGTTTCACAGCAGGAGGGAATTGAAAGAATGTGAGACACAAGACCTACTTTTGGGGCTTAGGTTTCAGAAGACAAAATAATCACCAATGAAACAGAGAGTGTCCTGGTGCTAAGCCATTAACTTTAAACACAACATTCAGAGAAAATTAGAATGTAGGAGAAAACCTCTAGGAGGAATCTCTAGAAGAGGAAAATCTAAAGAAATGTGAAATGTAATGATACTCAGCCTAAAAATATTTTAATGTTTAAATTTAGTATACACTTTTTTCAGACACACAAAAGTATATGATGACCATTATATGCTTGCCTCTCAGCTGAGTGTTATCAATACCAGTTGACGCTGCCTTTGAACACATTTCTGCTGCATCATGTGATTCTTACAGATGTATAAGTCTGGACATCTATGTAATGTACTAGAAATAAAACACTTTTAATGATGTCATAAACAAGATTACTTACTTGCATGATATGCATAAACAGATATGCTCTGCTGCTGCAACACATCCCCATGTAGGGTACACGTATAGCTGATTTGTGACCTCTGGTATAGCTCTACAGTTTAGAACCAAGGGGAATCTACCTGTATTTTGCTAGTGTACTAGACACTTTCTCACATATTAGCTTATTTAATTCTCACAGGTATTTTATTTTTTCCAATTTTCAGATAAGAAAACTGTACCTCCTGTGAGATGCTGTCCAGGGTCACATGAGTAAGCAGAAGAGCTGGGTTTCTACTCAGTCCTTCTGACCACAAATTTACTTCAGTGTCTCTGTCCCAGTCCTGATGCTATTCAGAGATGTGATAACATTTAGGTTCCGTGATAATCCTACATGGGTTTCAAATACTGGTTTTAACAAATGCTGTGTGTGTTACTTTGAGCAAGTTACTTGAACTCCTTAGGTTTAACTTTTCTAATTTTCAAAGTAGAAGGAATAATGAAAACTATGTATTAAGAATATTCTAAATATTTCACGGAGCCACTTATTAAAAGTAATTAGCATTATCCCAGACACATAGTAAATGCTTAATGATAATAGTTATGATTGATATTTCTTTTGTGAAGGTGATTTTAAAGCTCTACAGCAAAATGTACAAGGCTGACACTTGGAATTTCTATGTAAATGAGTTGGCTTTGGGAGGCAAATATAGTGGATGTTGGTTATGACCAACTGTCAGAGAGCATCTGCTGCCTGCATGGAGCTGGGCTGTCCTTTTCTCTATGATTAAATAGCCCAGAACCTTGAAAACTGAGGTCTCCTCCTTATTCCACAATGACTGCATTAAAATCCTTCTCTTTCCTCTAGGGACTAGTCAGTTCAGTCTTATAACGACTTTCAAAATGCTGGAGAAAGGTTTGGCTTCCTGGAAAAAATTATACTAAAGAGTAAACGCATAGAATTAAAAGATATCATCTTCTTTGATAAATACAAAGTTAAAGCTGAAGGCTTCCTTTACTACCACTCCACTACCATCCTGTAACCTAATCCTCTGACATATTTCCCCTCCCACAAGAAGAGGAACACCGAATCTGAACTAGAAACAATCACTTTTCAGTTCATAAAACATAAATCTGAGTTTTTATTAAAAAAGAAAGCTGCTGAAATTTTGTTAACGAATGCAATGAATCTATAGATCAATTTGGATAGAATTGATACCTTAACAATATTGAGTCTTCAAAGAGCATGGTAAAATGTTATCTCAAAATATTTCTAATTTATAAATGCTATTTTTTAAAATTTTCATTTTCAAAATGTTTATTGTCAGCAATTAGTTTCTGTATACCGATCTTGCATTGTAATTTTGCCAGTTATTAATTCTGATAATTTTTCTTTCAGCTTTTAATTTTCTATAGATTCATATTCTATGTAGAAAATCATGTCCCCATAGAGATTTTTTCCTCTCTCTTTTTCTCATGAATTGCTATCTCTTTCCTCTTCTGTTCCCATTTTGATGCACTAACTATGTTGAATGAAAGTGGTAGAACCAGTCATGTTTGCCTTATTCTTGGTACTAGGGAAACAGAATTTTTCTTTATTAAATGTGATGGTAGCAGGAGGATGCTTTCACAAACACCTTTTATTAGGTTTAAGAGTGTTGTTTTTTTTTTTAATTTAAATCACAAATGATTGAATTTTGACAAATGCTTATTATTTACTGAAAGAACTACTTTAACTGATCACCTTTTTTTTCCCTTTTCAGTATATTAATTTGGTATATTTGACTTTCTGATATAAATTCCTTTTGATCATAATTGTTATATGTTTCTGAATTCAAATTACTACAATCGATTTTGTGAAGGACTTTTGCATCTATGCCTATAATGAACATTGTTATATAGTTTTCTTGATTTTATTATTTCTTTCCCTTTTTTGGTATTAAGTTAATGTTGGCTTCATAAAGTGAATTTGGAAATATTTATTCTCCAGCTTCTGCATTGCAGAAGAGTTGTAAATATCTGGCATCATTTCTTCCTTAAATATTTAATGGAATTACCCAACAGGTTCATTTAGGCCTACAGTTATTACTGTGAGGAGAATTTTAACTGCTAATTCAATTATTTTAAATAAACATAGAACAATTCAAATTATATTTTCTTCAGCAGGTTTTATCAGTTTGGACCTTCTACGAATTTTTTCTATCGTATCTAAGTTTTTAAAGTTATCTTTATTTAATTATTATTATTATTATTATTTTTGAGACAGAGTCTCGCTCAGTCACCCAGGCTGGAGTGCAGTGGCTCGATCTCTGCTCACTGCAAGCTCTGCCTCCTGGGTTCACGCCATTCTCCTGCCTCAGCCTCCCGAGTAGCTGGGACTACAGTCGCCCACCACCACGCCCAGCTAATTTTTTTGTATTTTTTTTAGTAGAGACAGGGTTTCACCGTGTTAGCCAGGATGGTCGCGATCTCCTGACCTCGTGATCCGCCCACCTCTCATTATTTTTGTGTGTGTATTGAAACTCCAGTGATGTCAGCTTTTTCATCCTTGGTATCAATAATCTTTTTTTCTTTATTGATATGGTTAAATGTTTTCCAATTAATTTCTTTTTAAGGAAGCTGCTTTTTTCCTGTGTTTTTTGTTTCTTTTTCTCTGTCTTTATAATTTTGTTCCATTTGATTAGTTTGAATTTAACTCATTTTTTATGTTCTGATGTCTTATAGTGGAAGCTTAGATAATTGTTTCTGACCATTCATTTTTTTTTCCAGGATAAGCAACTAAGATGATAGATTTCCCTGTAAGCACTGCTTTAGTTGCATCCCAAACGTTAATGTTTTGTCTTTTTTCCCATTCAACTTCTTTTCTCATCTTGTGATTATTTTTTATTCTTTCTTTATAGCAGTACTTTCATTCTCAAGTAGTTAGAAATTTTTCAGATATTTTCATTTTTTTCTATTTTTAATGTAATTGGATTGTGGTAAGAGAAGATACTTTGTATTATTTCAATTTCATTAAATCTGGTGATTTTATTTTTTTATGGCCCAGAATAGTCTACCCTGGTAAATGCGCCAGGTGAGCTTAAACAGAGTGTATAGTCTTCTATTTCTGGGTGAAATGCTTGATGAATGTCAGTTATGTCTAGTTGGTTGATATGTTTCGATGTGTCCCCACCCAAATGTCATTTTGAATTGTAACTCCCATAATTGCCATGTGTCATGGAACGAACCCTATGGGAGGTGATTGAATTATGGGGGCGGGTCTTTCCCATGCTGTTGTCCTGATAGTGAATAAGTCATGCAATCTGATGTCCTTAAAAAAAAACGGGAGTTTGCCTGTGCAACTTCTCTCTTTGCCTGCCATCATCTACATAAGATGTGACTTGCTCCTCCTTGCCTTCTGCCATGATTGTGAGGCCTCCCCAGCCAAGTAGAACTGTGAGTCCAATTAAGCCTCTTCCTTTTGTAAATTGCCAAGTCTTGGTTATGTCTTTATCAGCAGCATGAAAACGGACTAACACATTGGTTCATAGGATTGTTCAAGTCTTTGTATTATAATTTTCTCTATAATTTTACTAGTATTTAGAAAGTATAAATATCAGTAACTATTATTGTGGGTTAGGCTGTTTTTATTTCAATTCTATTAGTTTTGGAATATATAATTTGAATATGTAATGTGTTAAGTGCTTATACAATTATGTACCCTTGTGTTTGACTATGTGCATGTATTTGTGTGTGTCTGTCCTCTTCATCATCAACAAACTCATGAGAAGCTTCTGAATTGAAGCCTGGATGAGAATGAAGTATGACTGCCTACCAGAAATGTGACAAAAGTCAAGTTTATAACTTCTCTTAGACTCAGATTGGCCATCTTCAAAATTAGAATGTGTTCTATCTCACATCATGGTTTAGGGACATGAATTTAATTTTTAAAAATCTATGAAGCAGCCAGGCGTGGTGGCTCATGCCTGTAATCCCAGCACTTTGGGAGGCTGAGGTGGGCAGATCACCTGAGGTCAGGAGTTCGAGACCAGACTGACCAACATGGAGAAACCCCATCTCTACTAAAAATACAATATTAGCCAGGCATTGTGGCACATGCCTGTAATCCCAGCTACTTGGGAGGCTGAGGCAGGAGAATCAGTTGAACCTGGGAGGCAGAGGTTGCGGTGAGCCAAAATCACACCATTGCACTGCAGCCTGAGCAACAAGAGCAAAACTCCGTCTCAATAAATAAACAAATAAATAATCTATGAAGCACTTACCATATGGTCTAGAAACATAAAAGACAATCATTAGTGGCAATTCTTTGTTAATAGGTTTTATAGCTACCTTGGTGAAGAGTAGGATTAATTATAGAATTGTATAAAATTAACTACTAAACTTGAGGCATAATTTCTTTCCTATGGCTCCTACCTAACTCTCCAGTCTCCTCTTATAAAGTACTTCTCCACCAGGCAACTACGCTCAAAACACAATAATGTTCTCTTTGTTCTCATAGGACATCATGAAATTTTCAATTCCATGTAATTCTTCAAATCCCAGCAAACTGTAAAGTCCTTGGTAAAGCTTTTGCTAATTCTCCTAGAGTAAGGGAGATTATCACTACACTTATCTGTAATCCACATAACATTCTGTATGCTCATTTTTTGCCCTTCTAGTTTAACATTAGAGGTTGTTTATTTATACGACTCCATCAACCTGCAAACACTGAAATGGCAGAAAAGGCATAGTTTGTTTCATCTTTGTATCTCCAGTAAGCAGAATTGATTAATTAACTATAGTAAAGCTTAATGTACATGCATGTTCTGTAATTCAGTCACAAACATTTACTGTGCAGCTGTGTTAGCCAATCCTTGTCCTTGGTATCGAGATGGGAATAAAAGTATAAAATACACTAAAGAAGAGTAGAAAAATTAAGACTCAAAATCTCTGAATAAGTGCTGGATGTGTAATCATGGATTCTAGTGTCTTCATTTCTAAAGTAAAATCATTAAGAAATCCTACCACACAGAATTTTTTAAAACACAAATTAAATTGTGGCTATCAAAGTGTGTAATTTTTGGTTGTCTTAAAGACATAGCTTTTTGATTTTATGGAATTCCTAAGGTTTACATTGAATTTAATTGAGATTTATGACCCACGTATACCCAGGAAAATGCAATATCTATAACATGATATTAATATAAGACACTATACTATATGTCTAAAGAATAAGCCATTAGTTTGTTTTCTAACAAAAAAGATAAGAATAATGGAGTTGAAGGCATCAGAGGAGTCAACATAGGGGAGATATAACTAAAACAGATAAGATTTAAACATATGAACTGAAGACTAGATATGTATTTGTGAGTTTCCAGATACTGCAGCACAATGTGAATTTGCAGTGCATCCAGCAGTTTCAAAAGGTGACTGCTGGTTCAATTTGTTTGCAATGACAGGAAGCAAAAACAGCTAAAGGTGTAAAATGGCAGCAAATCCTTCTTCATAACATTATAGTCAACAAAGGTTATTATACAACCAGAAATATGACCAGAGAATGTCTTGGATAAGAAGGTGGAGATCACAAGAGCTGGTGGCTGCAGAACTGAAGACTTGGAATGGATCCAAGAGTACCGTTTCCCACTGCACGTCCCTCCACCCCATCACCCATTGGAACCTAATTCTTCACATTAACAACAATGAGCCTCCCCACCACCTACTCTTTCACCTAAAGGCAGTTTCTGATTTTTGATTGTGTTGATTTCCCAGGGTGCAAGTCAATAATTCTGTTTCTTTTCTTTCAACTGCACCTACTCATTCTGAATAATGTTGGATTTGCTGAATAATTTATCCAGATTTTTGCACGTGCATTTCAAGATAGGTCTCTTTACAGAATTGTCAGTGTTAAAATGATTTACTACAAAATAAAATAAGAATAAAGTAGGAATCAGAGCCAACTACCATAACCAGGAGCTGAGTAAGAGTCTTTTAGGTGGTTTTGGTAAAAATTAAGCCTTCTCCTTTCTTCCCCAACCCCTGACTCATAAACAATATCCTTCTAAATCCCTCCAGTTCACTTTTCTCCAGTAATAGAGTTCAAGTTGTCTTTCAATTTCTATTCTAATGGCATTGTATTCGATTTTTTTGTGTGTGTAGAAAACATACAATCTGTACACCTAGCAAACATGTTCAGGACTCATTAGATTTTGCTTTAAGTCACAGTAATGTTCTTTTTTGCAGAGGCATTGCACTTGACAATTACTCACCCAGATAACTGAATGCAATGAATAAATATGTGCTTTACAATGTCTGCAATGTCCAGAAGACAAATAGTAAAATAGACCTTTATTTGAAAATAATTCTGATCATTTATCATGCGAACATGTATTTATCTTCGTGACTCTGTTCATTGAAATTGGAATTTAACAAACTTTGTTTCTCAAGGAGCCAAGGACATTGGATATAGATATTTGGAAATAGCTCATTTTTTTATATTAAGACAGGCTGGTCCAGCCACTTTCTGCACAGAGATGACTGGAAAGGCTCACTTTATTCTGGAACCTGATGTTTTCAATAATTAATAAAATATTGGGTAAGAATTGTCCAGAATCACAGAAAATCTCACTGAGAAGAATCCTTGGCTCCACCATTTTAGATTGAAATTACTTGGTTTCTCCTTCTTTAATGCTCTTCTATAAAAGGAAAATGATTTTTTACCAGACTTTTGTGAGCAGACATTACACATTTCAGTCAATGGCAGAAACAATAATCGTTAGATTTTGCCACGAGGAAAGTTCTCTACTAAACCTGTTATATGGGTTATTTCATTTCGTGCTTCAGCAATCCCACTCACATGTCCAAAATTATTTCCTACATCCCTCAGTCTCCCCACTTTACACATACTGGCTTTCTTTAAGTTTCTGCCAGCTGCCATGATCTTACTTACATATGATCTTTGCACATCCTATTTCTTAGGATTGGGTGGAGTTCCTTCTCCCTCATTTCCCTCATCATTGCTCATTACCTAATACATTATTTTCATTTCAATTTTATTCTATTTTTAATACATAATAGATGTAAATATTTTCAGGGTACATATAATGTAATACATTCATATAATTTACAAAGATCAAATCAGTGTACTTGGGATATCCATTACCTGAAATATTATTCTTTTCTTTATTCTAGAAACATAATGATTATTCTAAGTATTTTGATTGAAATATACAATAGATCATTCTAAACTATTGCCACCTCACTGATCTATCAAACATTAAGTCTTCTTCTTTCAAATTGTATTAATATTTTTCTACCCTGAAAAATATTAAATTTGCCTATTATACATCTTATTATACATAGAAACTTAGGGCCTCCTCTTTGGAGCTTTTATCACATTATTCATTGCTTGCAAATTTCATCTTTTCTGTATATATCTGATTCCAAGTTCAAGTACTTAGTAGTTGCTAAAATTCAGGTTACCTAAAATTTCTCAAGGACAAAATCATAGACAAAAGGACGTCCATGTGGACAGTTAATCAAGGCCACAATAGTCAAGGAAAATAATAAATGAGTAGAATGTTATAGTTATATGTTTGAATAGTATAGTCAAATAACCAAGGAAGACATTTCCTAAATTGCACTTCTATTTCTGTAAATCTCTGTCAACATGGGACACAAGTGTATTAGTCTGTTCTCACACTGCTGTAAAGAAATAACTGAGACTGAGTAATTTATAAATAAAAGAGGTTTAATTGGCTCACAGTTCTACAGGCTGTACAGGAAGTATGGCAACATCTACTTCTAGGGATGCCTTAGGGAGATTTTACTCATGGTGGAAGGTAAATGGGGAGTAAGTGTCTTACATGGTAGGGCAGGAGAGAGGAGGAGGAGGTGGTGGTATAAACTTTTAAACAACCAGATCTCACGAAAACTCACTTACTCACTATCATGAGAACAGCAGCGTGAGTGCTAAACCATTCATGAAAGATCCACCCTCATGATCCAGCCCCATGGTCCAATCATCTCCCATGAGGCCCCACCTCCAACATTGGGGATTACAATTTGACTTGAGATTTGGTTGGGGACACAGATGCAAACTATATCACTAGTAAATCAAACAAGTTCCTAACACTGTACTAGAGAAATTGTAGGTGCTCAATAGGTATATTCTACTTGATTGATATAATCAATATCTATCCCACTCTACTCTCATAAGGAGTCTCTGGAAAAATTAAAGATCCCATTCTTCTAATCCAATGTGTGAACGTTTAAAAGATCAAGTTGGTGTAGATATTACCCCTCAGCCTTTTTCCACTGCGAGTTGTAAAGAAAGTCTAGAATGGAGGTAATAACTTTATTATATATCTGCATCCCAGATGGTAGCTTACAATATTTATTTGTTGCTGGGAAATATACAAACAGATTTATGAATGTGTCTGTATTATTAGAAAGACTATGTGAAATGTAAATCTTAAGTACCAATAAGCCTTCGAAAAATAAAATGTCACCATTTTTTTTGTCATCTTTTCTTATATTTGACTTCAACCACACACAGGCCTTACTCTGGGGTTGAGAAAACCTTTTCCCTTATAGGTGTTCCATTTGGGGTATTTGAGTCATGTGCGAATGTGTTTTGCTACAGTAAATTTCAATTTTTTTCTCTAATAAGAAAATATAATGTATTTATTTATTATAACAATAAACACAGCTGTAAAATGAACCATAAAAATAGATGACATGAAAATTCCTGTAACTAATGTGTCAGCTATAATTGAGAAATAAATTAAATGATCCATCTGCTTCCTACCATTGATTTCATCATTTTCTTCACTATTTGGGTATTTAAAACCAAGACAGCATTATTTATACTAATTATTCACTAACAAAATTGCCACATCTATATTGATTGGCTCTGTAGTATAATTTTGCCAATCTTTAACATACTGTTGCTTTTTCCAATACACTCAAACCTAATGAGCATAAGAACTCCTTGTCTCATTAATATCATTTTGTCTTTCAATTATACCATTAAGTTGTATCTGTGCTGGTTACTTACAGGCTTTTGTGCAATGAGTGGAAGAGTAATCTATTACTGTGGTTGTGATTTCAAATGAAAGAAGAAAATAAATAAGAAATAAATATGCATGTTTCATGTGTGTTAAATCATGTGATATAACCTTTTGGCTAATTTGGTTTAGTGGCAAGAGTCCAAATAACCAACAATCATTGAAATAAATTAACTATAATTATTTCACATATTTCCCCTCATATTTTTAAGCATCTCACAATGAGATAGGGGACACAGCAAGAATTTGTTTTCATTTTTTTCAAATATATGTGTATATGTGTATTATTATTAGTATTTTAACCCTTACCTATTGCTGAATTCATTTTTATCTTGAATTCACACACATATTCATGACTTAGCCTAACAAACTATTTGCAACACTTTAGAGAGGCAATGATAATACAAACCTGCCTCTGTAAGTGCTTTTACTTCCAATGTTTTATTTTAACTACATAAGAAATTCATGTAGAAATTCAGAGATAATAATAGAAACATAGGTAAGAAAAATAAAATATAATTCATCAGATTTAATGGCCCCTTACACCTTCTGTGCCTGCTCCATTTTTCATTGCTGCACAATGAAACACTGCAAAATCTTGAAACCTAAGACAAGAATGTTTATTTCACTCATAGACCAGCAATGTGGGTGGCAATGTGGGTTCAGTTCTTCTTTATTCCATTGGCATCAGCTGTAGTGGTTTGACTTTGAGAAGCTGGAATCATCAGAAGATGCGCTTGCTCATGTCTGACATGTCTCTGGGACCTCAGGTTAAGGAGTGGCTGAAAAAACTACATACATCCTTTCTATGGGGCTGTTTGACTTCTTTATAGTAGAATCAATGTGTTCCAAAAACAAACATCTCAACAAGGTTTGGCATAAACTATACTGGCCTTTTCGAAAAAGCATTTTCTTATTTGAGATCATTTTAAACTACAGAGCAGTTGCAAAATTAATACAAAGACTCTGAATACCCTTCACCCAGCTTCTCCTAATGCTAATAATTTGCATATTACATGTTTTTCCACCACGAATGCCCTTTTTTTCTGCTCATGATTTTGTGGTCTTGAGAGTCAGCAGTTTGTGCTGGACATATCTGTGTGTTTCTGCTCTTGAGTGCAGGACTTGCTGGTCTTAGTTCGGCTCACTCCTGTGATTGTTGGCAGCTGCTGGTTAATCTAACAAGTCTCAGCTGGGTTGGCTCCTCTCTACTCCACATGTTTTCTTAACCCCCAGCAGGTTAGCCTGGACTTGTTCTCAAGGGAAGAGCAGAGGTATTCCAAGAAAATGACCTAAAGTAAACCACACTTCTTCAGACCTAGGCTCAGAACTCATACAATATTGTTCTGCCATCAATCAGTCATATGGCCATCCTAGATTTAAGGGTGGAGACAAAGACACCATCTCTGATATTTCTCATAGGAAACTTAGTAAACTTCAATTCAAAAAGTCAAGTATTAGCATTAATAAGTCTGTTCTTTTATCCTTTATTAACTGGGATTCTCAGAGCCGAAACAAGAACCACTAACTTTCTTATGTCAATACACATAATTCAGTTTCTGTGAAACCTGATAGCTACCTTATTTTTGAAATTTTAATCTGGTTCTAGCATCTTTCCCTTGACTTTTCCAGCAGTCTTGCTTGGACTACTCTGTCCCCTGTCTCCAGACACTTGTCCTGCTTAACCCACTTAGAGGATTAATACAGTCCTCATTCCCTGACAGATCTCTGGTGTCACCTGAAATGCCAAACTCCAGATGCTAGGCTTTGACAGACTGTTTTCATAAATTTTCTTTTCCTCTGCCATTTTTTTTCTTCTCCTTTCTTGTCCTTGCTGCAATGTCTTCTGCCAATGAGTAGAGGCAGAATAAAACTGAGATTCCAGAATCTCATTAGCTTCAGAGGGGGAAAATGCTGCAATTTTTGTTTTAATATGATACAATGTGACAATATCTATCATTTATTTATTTCTCCATTTATCTATCTTTCCATATGCATGGGCACAAAATACAAATATGTGTAAATATATGCATATACTTGCTTATATAAGCTTCAAAAAGCAAAAAAAAAAAAAATGAAAAAACAAATTAAGAACCCCTTGAAAGAAGATTTATGAGGAAACAGCAAACATATTTAAAAATTGGAACATGTTAACTTTATATAACAAAATTTTTCAATTCAGTCCAAAAGAAAAGAGCAGCCATCACTTCTCTGAGAATATTAGTTTCCAGATCCACATCTTCCTTTCTGTGCTTCTTCTGACATGCCTGTCTAGCTTGCTAGTCCTATCTACTTGGATGCTGGATGGGACCTGGAAGATAGTCCAAAATTGGACTCTTTATCTTTACCCTAAAATGCATTCCTTATGCTTTATTTCATTGTTTTTTTGTTGTTGTTGTTGTTGTTGTTAAAGGTGCCAGTATCTACTTTGCTATCAAAACCCATAGAATACTCTTTGGTTTTTCTTTTTTTTTTACAATTTCCTAGTCCTAATTAACAGTGGAAATAAATGATTCTGAATGTCTCAAGCTCCTGACAATCATTCCCTTTCTTCCTAATGCAGGCCTTAGTTACCTCTTCCTCTGTGGCATTGTAGTCACCTGACTGCATTTCCGCCTGCAAGTCACTTCTTACAGGAGAGAGAGAGAGAGAGAGAGAGAGAGAGAGGGAGGAGGGGTCTTGATGCTAGCTGTGCTATCTTATTTTTACTTACTATTTAGGAGACCTTAGGATGTTATTTACTGTAGCATCTCTGAGTCTCATTTTCCGTTTCAGCAATACAAGCATAATCAAACCACGTAGGTGATACACTGTGAGTCGACAGCATTCTATGCCCTACTGTACATTCAATTTTCATATATCATAGCTCTAAACACACTAATCCCTGATGCTAACCCCTTTCATTGTGCTTCATTGCCCTCAGAATAAAGCACAAGTTTCTCAGCTTTGACTGATGGAGCTCACTGAGAACTCCCATTAACTCCTCATATATTCCTGACCCTGCTTTTATGGTAATGTCTTCATTTGTCCTGGAATGCCCTGTAGCAGGGTGGTTAGAAGCTGGGTTTTGCAGTCAGTCAACAGGGCTTTATATCCCAGTTCTATTGCTTGTCAGCTGTAGGCCCTTGGACAAGTGGCTTAACTCCAGTATGACTTCATTTACTTACTCATAAAATGGGATAATAATAGCTAATTCATAAGATTATTACAAAGGTTAAGAAAGTATTAAAGCCCTTAGAACAATACCTGAAGACATATTAAAGCCCTAAGAATACCTGAAGACATAGTGAGATTTCAATAAATATCAACTATTATAAAAGAGTTTTTACTCTTAGCATCCTTCAAATATCAGCTAAAGTTCATCCTTCAGGAAGCCTTTTCTAGTGCACTCAGTCAGATATAAACTTCCATTCCTAGCTCATACTCTACCTAGACGCAGTTGTTGATATTTAGTTTCTGTCATATATTATAATTAAATGCATGCAGTATTCCTACTAAAACATCTAGTCCTTAAGAGGAAAAATATCTCTTTCATCTAATACATCATTGCTAAACGCAAAGTAGAAGTTCAGGAAATATACAATGAATTAGTTGATTTCCACCTGCCTACCAAAAAAATCACACCAAAAGATAGAGTACAATTAATTTAGACCATTCAAAATGTCTTAACTGGTTTCATAAGGACTATAGAAAATGCCAGCTTCAGAAAATAAAGTGTTTCAACTTTATTTCCAGAAAATAAATCACAGAGTGTACAGCAACTGTAAACATTAAATATGTTTAATTGGCCTATCTTCATTAGAGGTCAGAATTAATTCTGCTACTGAGTTTCACTTATAGTACATAAAAAATAAACCATGAAAAATGAGAAATTTAAGGCTAAGGATTGGCATGTCTTGTTATACGTCATGTTTAAGCAACACATAGTAGCTCTTAGAAGCTCAAACTCTCACTATAAATTAAGGTATTATATATCAAAAATATGTTCCTGCCCATTTTGTTATCTGCTTTCTGACTTAAAAAAACATCTGCAGGGAACTAATGCCACACAATGGGGAAATAACAGTCTCTACAATAACGGTGCTGTGAAAATTTTATGTTTTCTTGCAAAAGAATAAAGTTGGACCCTTTGTGCCATATACAAAAATCAACTAATAATGAGTTAAAGGACTAAAAATAAGACCTAAAATCACAACTGGAAAAAATGCATTGGGAAAAAACCTTCATAAAATTGGGTTTGGCAATAATATTGTGGAGACAATATAAAAACAAACATAGACAAATGGGAATGCATCAAACTCCAAAAGTTCTGCACATCAAAGTAAACAATCAGTGGAGTGAAAAGGCAACCTACAGAATGAAAGAAAACATCTGCTAATCATAAATCTAATAAGGGGCTTATATCCAGAATATATGAATATCTCCTACAACTCAACAATGAAATAACCCAATTTAAAAAATGCTTATGAAAATACATCCTAACATCACCAAGCATGGGAGAAATTAAAATCGTAACCACAATGACATATCACTTTCACCCACTAGGATGGGCACAATTAGAAAAAAAACATATTGTCAAGTATTTGCAAGGATGCTGAGAAATTGGTTCACCTGTGTATTGCTTGTGAAAATGTAAAATGGTGCAACCACTATGGAAAACAGTACGGTAGTGACTCGAAAAATTAAAAATAGAATTACCATATCATCTAGGAATCTTGCTTCTGAGTTACATCCAAAGAAATTCAAATCAGGATCTTGAAGAGATATCTTCACAACCATGGGCATTGAAGCATCATTCACAATAGCAAAAATGTGGAAGAAACCCAGATGTCAAAGGATGGAAGAATGGATAAAGAAAATATGATAAATACACACAGACACACACAAACACACACACACAGTGGAGTATTATTCAGCCATAAAGAAGAATATTTTGCCATTTGTAGCAACACGGATAAATCTGGACATCTTTGTGCTAAATAAAATAACTCAGTCACAGTCACAAGACAAATACTATATAATTTCACTCATGGAAACAGAAAGTAGAATTGTGGTTTCCAAGGATCAAGAGAAATTAAGAGTTGGTGTTCAGTGGGTGTAGAGTTTCAGTTTTACGATATCAAAAATTCTAGAGCTCTGTTGCACAAGGTGCAGATAATTAACATCACTGAATTGTACATTTAAAATGATTAAGATAGTAAATTTTATGTAACATGTATTTTACCATAATTATTATTTTTTAGTTGTTCAGGATCCACAAAAATTAATTAACATGTTGGGATATTTTGGAAGAAGTCACATTGAACAGCTCCTTCTTTTTAATTGAAGAGATATTTCTCATTCATTTTTTCCAAAACTCAGAATTCTAAGTGCAACTCTACTGCCATTTCCTGAGACCAGACCTACCAGTAATTAAAAGCAGAATTTAAGGTAATGTATTAATAAGATAAATGAAGGTGATTCATATTTTTTCTTCCCTCCCACATTTCTTTTTCCTTTCATCTATTTCTAGAGATGTTCATCTCCTACATACATATTACCTAGGTCATTGGATCTGCTAATTAACCTTTATGTTGAGTATACCTACAACATACCTGGTAGCGCTGAGATAAAAACAGAGTAAGCTGGCATGACATATCTTATCAGGCTGGACAGATCAGTTCTCAAGTCTCTGGGGGGACCAAAACTCCTTGAAGGAAGAAGCTATATTTGCAATATTATGCTGACTGCAAGGGCATCAAAAGGGGCCAGTAGACTGTCTACAAAGTTTGAATCTGTGAAATTATTGACCAGGTGACAATGTTCTTCATACGTTTAGGCCAAACAAAACTGCTTTCATTCCAAAGGTCTTCTTTCTGCATAAGTGAATTGATCTCTTGGGAAAAGCCCTCATTCTCTGGGTACCCAGGAGTATATTTTTGGCTGCAAGTTACAGAAATCCTAACATAATTGACCTAAATGGTAAACACATTTATTGTCTTGCATAAGAAGAAGAACTGTAGAAGTAGGATATTCCTGGTTCATTAAACAGCTTAATGACATCATCATGGCTTAGGTTTCTCCTCCTAACTTTCTTTTCTGCCAGCCTCTCTGTGTTCACCCCTTCCATGGCCAAATAATGTCTATTGGAGTTCCATCTGGCATATACTGCTAAGCAGCATTATGCGAAATAATGAGGCTGTGTCTTTTCATGGGTCAATTTTGAAGGTTAAAAACAAGCCAAAAATACCATCTCTCTGAAGTCCCACTGGCAGATATCTCCTAACATTTCATCGGCAATCACATCACAACATTTATTGGAAATGGAAATTGGATGACCTTGTCTTACAAGCAATCAATAATGTTTCTCATGTTCTGCTACTAACCAGTTGTACAACTTAAGTGCCTTTTCTCTCTAGGAGTCAACTTTCTTTCTTTTTTCCTTTTGAGTATCTTATCTATATTTAACTATATGAATTCTTGGAAAATCTAATTCAACCAGTCTTTTCTATGTATTTGGTGAGTAGACTCCTACACTTGTAGGATTCTATGCTAGACTGTAAGAGTTTAAAAGATTACTGAGATATGCTTTTTGCCCTTAAAGATCTTAAGGGATTAGACAAACAGACATTCTCCCATGACACTGGATTCAATCTGAAAAGACATAAATCCATAGCTACTGATAAGTGACTTGACACCTGGGGGACTCTGAGACTAAAACAGTTGAGATCAGATTTAGGGGATAATAAGGAAAGACACTGGGTACTGAGGATACAACTTGAGCCTTAGACTGATCCCTTTAAAGCTAGGAAATTCTGGACTTTTCTATAATTTAGACCAGTAACATTTCTTCTAATTTAAAGGATCAAAGTGATAGAGTGAACAAATGCATGAAACTGGAGAAGGCCTGAGTGTTTCAGAAACAGCCAGAAAAAAATGTAAAAATTATCTTGGAAAAAAAGGAAAAGAAGAATAAAAATATTCTGCAATATAGGGTACTTGTCAACAACCAGCACATTTGCAAGTTGACATTTTCCTCTAATGCCAGCCCATATCATATATTTCCATGAAAATCAATCTAAAAGCTAATAGAAAGTGGGGCCAAGTTGATGAAATGTCATTTTCTCTGACTGCTTGATTTCCTTTCACCCTCCTCGAATTGACTCCCTGACTGTGTCATGCATAGGTTAATTGACACAGATGGTTTTTTTTAAATGCAGAATTGTGGGCACATACAGCTTAAGTTGTAACATGGAGATAGCTATAAGTCAGGCTAAGATGAGACATGATGATGATGATGATGATGACGATGACGATGACGACGACGATGATGGTAATGAAGATGTCAAAACTGTAACATCTACAATTTATTGTTTGTTTCCCATGTTCCAACCATTATTCTAAAGATATTAGAAACATAATTTCTGCATACCACCACTACCATTTTGTTGAGTGTTGCTGAAGCTCCAGAAACACAAGTTACTTTCTCATAGAACTATAGCTTTAAGTGACAGAGCAAAAACCAGATACAAATCTGTCTAACTCCAAGCTGTGGTATGTTATCTAATATACTATAGTTACTTTACATCTTGTCTTAGAGGTTCATGTTGGGATGAACCCCTGGCATGTACCTAATAAGTGTATGATGACCATGGCAATGGAATGCTGCCCATCCTTCTCTTACTGTCAGGGAGATTAATATCTCTTTGCTTATTGGGAGGGAGTTTGAGGGGGCTAGCTGGATACCCAGCTCAGTCTAGATCAGGACTTCTTAATCTTGTTATTATTGACATTGGGGACCAGATAATTTTGTTTGTCATGAGGCCTGTCCTGCAAATTGTAAAATGTTTAGCAGTATCCTTGGCTTGTACTACCCTCTAGATGCCAGCAGCACCCCCTGCAGGTATGACAACCAAAAATATCTCCAGATATCCATCAGATACAAATCTACATTTGGTTGTAAACGATTGGTCTAGAGTCTTATAAAAGAGATAACTTGCCTTAATTCATTTGTGCTACTATAACAGAATACCTGTGACTGCATAATTTTTAATTAACAGAAATTTATTGGCTCATGGTCTGGAGGCTGGAAGTCTAAGGTCAAGGCATTGGCAGTTTTGGTGTCTGGTGAGGCCATTCTCCTCCTCCAAGAAGGATGTGCCTTGTACTCTGCATCCTCTGGAGGGAGGTAGGCTGGATCCTCACATAGCAGAAGGTGGAAGGGCTGAGAAAGGCAAAAGGGAGCAAATTTGACCTCTTATAATTGCATTAATCCCATCCCTGAAGGTGGAGCCTTCATGGCCCAATCACCTTTTAAAGTTTCTTGCTCTTAATACAGTTACAATGGCAATTAAATTTCAAGATTAGCTTTGAAGAGGACAAACATTCAAATAGTAATATACTGATAAAACAGAGAGAGTCAACTTTGCTCTTTGTGATTGGAATTATCATATAATACATTGTTCTGAAATATGCTGTGTTTTTCTTTATTAAAAGCATAACTCCTATTGATTAAAAGAGAAAGACAAAGGCCAGACAAGGTAAGCCTCTCCAGGAACTAGACTAAGTCAAGTCAAGGACCCAAACATTCTAGATTGGGCTGTGGATAAAAACAAGCTCCTGAAGGGAAGTTTGGATCTGGGCCATATTTAAGAATCAGTAGGAGAGATTAGAAAAAAGAGCTTGGCAGGCTACTGACCTGGTATTCAAGTCTCATCATTGCATTATTTTAGGCAACTCTGTACTGCAGAGCAAGCTGCCCAGTTCAGCTTCAAGGAGGGAAATAAACTGGCATTTGCTGAAGCCCAGTTAGGGACTAGGCATATTTATACTTCATCTCATTTTGTATGTTTGCTGACCATGTATACAATATGCCTTTGAGTTAGTTCTTATTATTCCCATTTTAGCAAATACAGACTTGAGATATAGAGATGTTAATAGTTCTCCCAAATTGCCAAACTAGTAAGAGGAGAAATAGAATTAGAATTCTCCGATGTCTAAAGTCAGGCCCATTAAATCAAGCCCTCTCACAATTCAGAAGAAAAAAAGGTGATGGGACAGAGTACTCCAATAACTAGTAACTCAATTATTTCCATGAACAGGTAAGACAATTTTGTGGTTCTTACTCGTTTAAAATATGTATAGAAACATTGCATTTTTCCTTAGAGAGCATGCAACACTTTGAAATGAGCCAAAACATTCTTTTCTCCAAAGGAAATACGTAAGCCACTTTACATAAGTCAATTTCTAGCTCATAGGTCTCAGAAGTATCATAAAGAGCATAAGTAAATATAAATATGTGCACATATTCTCACAGCAATTGTTAAACCATTATTAAACTACATGGATAAGAAGACTAAGAACTGAAGGCCAAGAGGAGGAGTCTAGGAAGATGACTGGGTAGGAAGCACCAGGAATCTATCTCCCCCTTACATAACAATTAAGCTTGCAGAATCTGCCTTATATGACTGTTTTGGATCTATGGAGTCTATTAAAGCCTTGAAGCTTCCAAGAGAAGGCTTCAACACTCAGTTGTGGTTAACTTTGGTCAATTTCAGCTTTTAGCTCAACAGCAGCTACTACTTCCCCATGCACAGCCCCATGGCAGGCACCGGTGCATGTGCTCCTGAAGCAGCTTCCATGCATATCGTAGGAACTGGGGTGTGGGACAGCAATAAAGACCTGTCTTCTAAATATTGGGGATCTGTGTTCTGAACTCTGATTGCTGTTTCTAATCACTGAGGCCTAAGCCAGAGGTGAGCAGCTATTATTGTTTCACACCCCCCCATTAAAACAAACCCAATTCCCTTCCGTTGAATGACGTTGAGGAGATTGAAATGTCCACTGCCTTTTTTTTTTTTATCACTTTCCTTTTTCTCTTTTTCTTCTTTGTGGAGCCAAACTACACTAGGACATTGAAAAGCAACTGCATACTTTGGAACATTTTAAAAATTACTGTGCATACCCAGGCAAAGGCTCATGCTCAGAAAACACCTGAAGAGAATTTAAGTTTACACCTCAGGTTGATCATCAGCACAGAGACAGCCTACAGAAATTGAAAACAACAAGTCCTGGAGAAAGAGGAGAATCTGATTTTCAGAGCTGCCACATTATTAGTTCAGATGTCCAGTTTTCAACAACAACAACAAAACTACGGGGCATACAATTAAATTGGAAAGTGTGGCCCATTTACAGGGAAACAAAAAACACAAACACAAAAGAGGAACTATCCTTGAGAAAGACTTCATAGCAGATTTACCTAATAAAAAAAGACTTTAAAACAGCTCTCTTAAAGATACTCAAAGAACTAAAGGAGGGAATCACTTCCAAGATGGCTGTATAGAAACAGCTCTGGTCTACAGCTCCCAGCAAGACTGATGCAGAAGACGGGTAATTTCTGCTTTTGCAACTGAGGTACCTAGTTCATTTCACTGGGACTGGTTGGACAGTGATTGCAGCCTACGGAGGGCAAGCAGAAGCAGGGCAGGGCATCGCATCACCTGGGAGGTGCAAGGAGTTGGGAGATTTCCCTTTCCTAACCAAGGGAAGCCATGAGTGGCTGTACCTGGATGAATGGTATACTCCTACCCAAATACTGCACTTTTCCCATGGTCTTGACAACCGGCAGACCAAGAGATTCCATCCTGTGCCTGTCTTGGTGGGTCCCATGCTCACAGAGCCTTTCTTGCTGCTAGGACAGCAGTCTGAGTTCGACCTGCGATGCTGGAGCTTTGCAGGGGGAGGGCTGTCCACTATTGCTGAGGCTTGAGTAGGCAGTACTATGCTCATAGAGTATAATAAACAAAGTGGCAGGGAAGCTTAAACTGGGTGGAGCCCACTGCAGCTCAGCAAGGCCTAGTGCCTCTCTAGATTCCACCTCTGGGGGCAGGGCATACCTGAACAAAAGGCAGCAGACAGCTTCTGCAGACTTAAACATCCCTGCCTGACAGCTCTAAAGAGATCAGTGGTTTCCCAGAACAGTGTTTGAGCTCTGATAATGGACAGACTGCCTCCTCAAGTGGGTCCCTGACCCCCATGTAGCCTGACTAGGAGACACCTCTCAGGAGGGGCTGACAGACACCTCATACATGTGGGTTCCCCTCTGGGACAAAGCTTCCAGAGGAAGGATCAGGCAGCAATATTTGCTGTTCTGCAACCTCCACTGGTGATACCCAAGCAAACAGGTTCTGGATAGGACCTCCAGAAAACTCCAACAGACCTGCAGGTGAGGGGGACTGTCTGTTGGAAGGAAAACTAACAAACAGAAAGGAATCGCATCAACATCCACAAAAAGGGCATCCACACCAAAACTCCAACTGTAGGTCACAAACATAAAAGACCAAAGGTAGATAAAACCGCAAAGATGGGGACAAACCAGAGCAGAAAAGCTGAAAATTCCAAAAACCAGAACACCTCTTCTCCTCCAAAGGAACACAACTCCTTGCCAGCAAGGGAACAAAACTGGACAGAGAATGAGTTTGACAAGTTGACAGAAGTAGGCTTCAGAAGGTCAGTAATAACAAACTTTTCTGAGCTAAAGGAGCATGTTCTAACCTATCGCAAGGAAGCTAAAAATGTTGAAAAAAGGTTAGATAAATGGCTAACTAGAATAACCAGTGTAGAGAAGAGCTTAAATGATCTGATGGAGCTGAAAACCACAGTACGAGAACTTCATGAAGCACACACCAGCTTCAATAGCTGATTTGATCAAGTGGAAGAAAGGATATCGGTGATGGAAGATCAAATTAATGAAATAAAGTGGGACGACAAAATTAGAGAAAAAAGAATGAAAAGAAATGAACGAAGCCTCAAGAAATATGGGACTATGTGAAAAGATCAAATCTATGTACAAGATTCTATGTACTCAGTAAAAGACATCTATGATTGCATTAAAACCTCATAACACTGAGAAGTGTGTTTGCACCTCCTCTTACAAATGAACAATTTATGTTAGGAGAGATTAGGTAACTCACCCAAAACAAAATAGCAAGAAGAAGACAGAGACAGGATTGGGTTTGGAGATCCAGCTAAACTGAGGACACTAGAATTGGGAAAATTGCTGTAAGAGAGGCTCGTGAGAGAAGGAGGTTGGTAGGAGAAATTACAGATTTGGGAAATTAAGAGTGATTTCACCTAATTTTGCAGCAAAACAACTAATATTTAGGTCCCCCTTTAAAATAAACTCATTTATGAGTTCATTCAAATTATGTAAACGGCCTGTGGCTCATACCCTAGACTGGGCTATCTGTGAGTATTCAACTGCATAAATCCGTTTAAATGCCATCACATGCAAAGAAACACTGTTCCTTCCAAGAGACCAGATTTAGCCATAATTTCATTTCATTCACTCATTTGTGCAGTTACACATTTACTCTTTCAAATATTTGATTTTCCAGTAAATGTCAGACACTGGGGCTATAGAACCAAAGGTGTCATGCTCTGTCCCAGACCTGGAGGAACATCCAACCTTACTAGAAGCAGTAGTCAAGAGAATAGACCCAGACAAACACAGAGCCATACCCACGTGTCTCCAATCCTAACATCTCTTCTGTGCATTAAAGGTCAGCTCAACAAAATCCAACTCTTGGAAAGTCTTTGTGAAGTGTAAACACTTGCAAAACTCTCTCTTCCACACATTGTTAAGCCAACTGAATCATTTAACCACAGGTTCTCAGGATGATTTCCTGGTAAGTTAGAATATCTTTTTAAGCATCAATCAGTTTCTCTCAGTCTTCTCTCAACTAGAAATTATGGCATTAATTAAAAAGAGGAAAATCAATGGAAAACATGTGTGTTCCTTTACATCAATTCACTAGCCATTAAAGTTACTTTTCAGCTTATTCAATGAGAAATAAAAACCTATCACAAAATTAAAAAAATTGATTATATATGTGGAAAGAGTTTTTTTTTGTCTGTTCATTTTGTTTTCTTCAATAATCTTAAAGCTTTTCAGGATAAGAAAAATTTAGGTTTCAAGTTGCCTCAACTCTAAATCTGAACTTGTGAAATTCAATTTTCCTCTAAATCACAGGCCCAACTCCTTTCCATTCCCTTTAAGACAGGGATAAAATGATTAAGTAAACCCCTAAACTTAAGGGTTTGCTGTCATGACATTTTTCCTGAGGTAAGGGCAAAAAATGTGAAAAAGAGTATAAGTCCTTAATTGTATGCACAGTCAGGAGACAAAACATTGTATAAATGTAAGTTGGCCGATACTTTGGTTACTTTTCTTGCCTTCTGAAAATGCAATAAAACTGCACTAAAGAAGCAAAGGGGAGAAATGGCTTCTTGCATACAAATTTCTCACTTTCCAAAGACTGGCCAGAAAATCAGCTGTTTTTATCTGTGTTCATATCTCTCAACCATTTAGATACTTATTATATTCTTCATAACCTTGACGATATTTCATAAGAAACAGAAATGCTAACAAAGAAACTTAAACAAATTAAATGGAACCTACTCTTTGACATGCAAATGTGTTTTAGTTTTGCCCCGCTAGGTCGTATGTTTCATTATGATTAAAAATGTCAAACAATATTTCGCCTGCTGGGAGTGTAGGTTTTACTTCTACTTTTCAATCTTACTCAAACCTCCTTACTGAATAATTTATGAGGTACAGCAGCCTTTGGTTGCTTTTCTAAAATTACAAACTATGAACCCCATGGTGGCATTTTGCTAAATGGTTTTGCACATATTGGCTTTTGAACATTTACAGAATAAAAGTACACAATAAGAATATCTTTTAGATGATTATTCTCTTATGTGCAACTTTCAGGAAAGAAAATAATCTGGCTACATCAATAGAGCAACTGAGTGAGTCAAATCTTCTGTCTACTCAATTCATGAGTTTGTCTTTCATTTTGGGTGATGTAATCCTCAAATACTTATCAGTCTCTCTCATTCCTCACTAACACTCTTCCCCTCAACCTACCTTTTGCTGAAAAACTCATTGATTAGGAGTTATGTGGAGAGCACTTACTAGCTGAAAGCCAAAGTAGTATATTGAAGCCACCTGCTTTCTCTCTAACTACTTCCTCTGGTGTTCTGTGAGCTTAAATGAGCTTGCCAGGGGTGTTTTCAGTGTGCCAAGGTCACTGGAAAAATAATTCCCTTTGTAATATGAAATACTTAAAGGGCACTCATGAGAGAAATGGAACAACCTATTTGGGGAAATCAAGACGGTTGGGGACACTGAGGTTTTACAACTGGGGTTTTAAATAGGTATGTTTTGTTCAATAACTTTTTAGAATAATAGACTACCATGGTCGTATGTTCTTGTCCATCCAAAACAGCAGTTGAGAAGATCTAGTGAGATAATATACGCTTAATGTAGGTCCCATCCCATGGAAAATGTCCAGTATGTTTGTATTAATTTTCCCTTTATGTGAGAGTCACTGTAAACATGCCAAGGGGAACAGGGCTTTCTTTAGGAGGAACTCTGTATTAGAAAACTTACTTTAAAAAAAGGAAGATGAGAATTTTAGCATCATAGCCATGATTGACAAACGGGAGACTCTACTTTATACCCATTAGGATGGCTATAATCAAAAAGAGCCAAAATTAAAAAGTGATGCTGAATATGGGAAGAAATTGAAACTCATATACATTGCTAGTAGGACTATAAAATGATGTGGTCACTTTAGAAAACAGCTTGGCAGTTTCTCAAAATGTTAGATATAGAGTTCCTCTATGACCCAGCAATTTCACTTCTAGGTATATAATCAAGAGCACTGGGAGATATACCTAATGCTAAATGACGAGTTAATGGGTGCAGCACACCAACATGGCACATGTATACATATGTAACAAACCTGCATTTGTGCATATGTACCCTAAAACTTAAAGTATAATAATAAAATAAAAATTAAAAAAAGAGTAATGAAAACATATGTCCACACAAAAACTTGTACAGGAATATTTATAACAGCACTATTCATAATAACCAAAAAGTAGAAACAACCCAAATGTTTATCAACTGATGACTGGATAAACAAAACGGTATATTCATATGACAGAGGATTATTTGGCCATTTGAAAATAATGAAATGCTGATAAATGCTACGACATGGATGAACTTTGAAAACATCATGATAAATAAAAAGTCCAGATACCAAAGACGACATATTATTTGATTCTATTTGTATGAAATGTCCAGAATAGGAAAATTTGTAAAGACAGAGGATGCCTGATTGGTTGCTTCAGACTGGGGGATGGAACGTGACTGCAAATGGTACAGGGGTTTTCTGTTGGGTGATGAGAATGTTCTAAAATTATTGGTGATGGTTGCACAACTCAGTGAATATATTAAAATCACTGAATTGTGCACTTTAAAGGGATGAATTTTATAGTATGTGAATTATATCTTAATAAATACCTTAAAAAATAATAATTAGATAAGAACCAATTCACAGGGTCCCAGAATGGGAGATATTACATACATGTGCTGTGGTATCTTATACATTAAAGTAGTATATCAATTTGAAAAGTAATTTTTTCTATCAAAAGTCAAATCAGGCCAAATTAAAGACGTTTAGTTTATTGCACATATAAAAGAACAGTTTGAGAACTGAAAAACTACGAACTGAAAAGTGGTAAGAAGCCTGCTAACAGCAGTTACGCAGTTACAGATCACAGCGAATAAGGGAGAATGTATTTTGACCTTTTTAAAAAATACATTAGCATTGTGTGTTACATATTAGCATTCTTTTTTTTTTTTTTTTGAGATAGAGTCTCATTCTGTCACCCAGGCTAGCATGTAGCATGCAAGAGCAAGATCATAGCTCACTGCAGTCTCAACTTCCCAGGTTCAAAGAATTCTCTCACCTCAGGCTCCAGAGTAGATGGGACTAGAGCACCAATCACCATGCCTGGCTAATTTTGTTGATTGACATGGAGTCTCACTGTGTTGCCCAGGCTAGTTGTGAACTCCTGGGCTCAAGTGATCCTCCCATTTTGGCCTCCCAAAGTGCTGGGATTACAGGCATGAGCCAATGCACCAAGTCCATTAAGCATTCTTTTTTAGGTAAGCCGACTGTTTAAGCTGCTCTGTCTATAGCTGACTGTCTTAATTTCACTGAATCATGCTTATAAGAACTTATAACTTCCTTTTTTTATTTCATTTATGATTAGAGCTGGCATTCCAGTGAAATCAGAATGACTTATGTTTTGGTTACCTGGTTTAGAGCAGTTGGCCTTGGGGTATATCCAAACTATGGCCTCCATTTTTTCTTTAATTTTTAAATTTTTTATTATACTTTAAGTTCTGGGATACATGTGCAGAATGTGCAGGTTTGTTACACAGGTATACATGTGCCATGGTTGTTTGCTGCACCCATCAACCCATCTACATTAGGTATTTCTCCTAATGCTATCCCTTGCCTAGCACCCCCACCCTCCAACAGGCACCTGTGTGTGATGTTACCCTCTCTGTGTTCATGCATTCTCATTGTTCAACTCCCACTTATGAATGAGAAGATGCAGTGTTTGTTTTTCTGTTCCTGTGTTAGTTTGCTGAGAATGAAGGTTTCCAGCTTCATCCATGTCCCCGCAAAGGACATGAACTCATTCTTTTTTATGGCTAACGCTCCTTTCTCTGTATAATACATCTTGAGACAGTCTTAAGAATCTACCTTGGAGAAAGTGTCACAACAAACTACTATGTCTCTCCAAATACTGACTTTGACCTCTTTCAAATGGTCAGAACTGAGTACTTGATAACCTTTCATGCTCAGCATGAGGACCTGAGGAACCTCAATGAGTATTAGAGTGTGGATCTGCAAGACCAAGTTCAGTGACAGACAGAGCTCATTCTGTGCTTCTCACTTTTTCTTGTGTCTCAGGATCAACTCCCTGGCGTGTGACCCAGATAAAGAAAGTTTATTCTCTTTAGAGAAACAGAGAGAGGAAGAGGAGAAGGAGAAGGAGGAAGAGGAGAAGGAGAAGGAGGAAGAGGAGAAGGAGGAGGAGGAGAAGGGAGGAAGAGGGTAGGCAAGGGACAGAGAGGGAGAGGGAGGAGGAGGGTTGGCAAGGGAGGGAAAAGCAGAAGGGAAGGGAGGAGAAATGAGAAGAAAGAAAGAAACAATGAAGGGAGGGAGGAAGAAAAGGAGCCGTTGCATTCACACAGTGGTAGTAGCCACCTTCTTCTTGTTTTGTTTTGTGTTGTTTTATTTTCTTTATCTTTAGCTTTTAGTAGAAGAAAACTGAAGGCGTGTTTTTCTTTCACTCTCACCTTTTACTCTTTCTATTCCCATCTCCCATCAACCTGGTACGACTTATCTCTTGTAGTTCCAGAGTCTGGTACCTTTATGCTGACTGGACTCTAACATGATAGCTGGTTGTGGAGAACATACAGGCATGGTTCCTGTAAGCCTCCCATCACCCTGTCACAAAGTACTTACTGTGTATTTTTACTACTTTGGGGAAAATTCATTAGCAAAGGATTGTTGCTGCAAAGTCTGGAAATTATGTCTTTCTGTGCATTCAAGATAACCTCAAATGCTGCAAGAACCCAAACATTGATAAAAATAACAATGAAACTAAACACCCATTTAACATTTATCATATACAAGACTTTGTTCTGTGTTTTCTGTTTATTAACTCAACTAATTCTCATACAGCCTTATGACATGGATACATATTCATTTCTATTTTACAGATAAGAAAGTTGAAGCTTAGCAAAGTAAAAGACCAAGGTCACACAGTGATAAAGCAGGATTTGAACCTAGGCAGTCTGATCCTAGAATCTGGGGTCTTTGCTCCTGAGCTAGCAGTGCCCCAGCCTGACTGTGCAAATTATCATTAATTGAGAAATTTTGTAGATGATTAATGCCAGGATTATTCTCCCAATTTAATAAGACTTTCTGGAACCCTACGCATAAGTCAATTTTTAAAAGCTTCCTCAGGTGATGATAATGGGTAATAAAGGTTAAAAGCCATTGCTGTGAACTGAATCACCTAAATGAAGAAAGTTTGTCCTTTACAATTATTTTAATTATTTTGTTTTAATAAAGGCAAAGTCTCAGTTTGGAGCTATTATGTCAAGTTAGGTTTGATAACATTATTTTATTTTCACTGTATTTATTGTATTTATTTTTACAGTTATTATCTATATGTAGCAGATAAGAAATATATAGATGTATACAGATATATTGTTAAATATAGATATATGAAACAAAGATAGGGCAAATATTGAAAATAAACTTAGTTTAGTGAGCTAAACTAAGGTGGTTCATAGTGGGAGAATTAAGAGCAATAACATCAAAATGCAGAACTGGACGTAGAAACCCTGAAATCAGATACTAATGTGCCTCTAATCCTCAATCAGCCCCTTTGCACCTCTGGACATCAGTCTTTAATGCCAAGTGGACACCCAAAGTGATCCACTTCGAGTTTCCACTTGAATGGTCTGCTATTTAACTTCTTCACGGCTATGTAACACAGAGTGGGTGCTCAATTGTTAGTGAATTTAAGAAAAAAAAAAAAAGCGAGAGAGAGAGAGAGAAAAAAAAAAGGCCAGTGGGAAGATAGGAAGGAAAGATAAAAAGTTAAGGAATAACTTCACAAAATATATCGCCTTTCTCAGGGAATATATATATATATATATATATATAGAGAGAGAGAGAGAGAGAGAGAGAGAGAGAGAGAGAAAGGCATATATATATATATGTGTGTGTGTATATATATGAGAAAGGCATATATATAGATAGATAAATAGAGATATCTCTCTCTCTATATATATATATATACATATAGATATAGATAGATAGAGAGAGAGAGAGAGAGAGAGAGAGAGAGAGAGAGAGAGAGAAATCAGTACATTAGGCCAGAAGAATAAATCTTTATGTGGAATTTCAGTCACCAAGGATAAGTAGGTGATGAAAATAATTTTAAAAGAGTTTCCTAATAGCCCTCAGATGGCCCCAGGTTGAATGACTTGCCTTTTTCAGGCATTTTCTTTTTTCTGCCTCTTCTCTAGCTAAACGAATATACAATCTCTGCTTTCATTCTCACCCAGCATTAACATGACACTAGTAAGTACTATTCTGACAACCCAGGATTTGCCTCTACTTTGAGGAAGTTAATGCTCTGGTATAGCCACAATCTTGATTTCTGAAGGCAGAAAATACGTCTGGAGGTCTTAGCAAACTCACAGCTTAGACTCAACCCTGACTTTCAACTCACCCCTTCCCCAGCCAAAGCCCTTGGATCATAGAGCATGGATAGAGGCCTATGGCGTTTTCTTCCCAGTCCTCAGCAGACATATTACATCAGGAGTGGTCTGTTGTGTTTACAGCTGGTAACACTGGCTCCAGTAAGGCTGAAGGCAGAGAAAGAAGGTTGAAAGCTGTTGTAGTATCCAGCCAAGAAATATAGCAGGTGACAAATCTTTTAATGTGTGAGTATGCATGTGTGTGCTGATGTACGTAGGAGGTGGAGGTGTAGGCAGAGTGACATATTGTGAAAATAAATAAATGTATGATCAACAGGAGTCAGTGATTAATTTAGAAAGAAGGAGGAGAAAAGAGGGTTTCTTAGTTGATTTTATACTATTATGACAGAATGTCTAAGACACACTTATAAAGAACAAAAATTTATTTTTTTAAACCTACAAATTTATTTTCTCATAATTCTGGAGGCTGGGAAGTCCAAGATCAAGGCACCATCAGATTCTGTTGGTGAGGAATACTCTGCTTCCAAGATGACACCTTGAAAGCTGAGTCATCCAGACAAAAGGAATGCCATGTCTTTACACAGTAGAAGGCAAAAAGGGAAAAGGGGACCCATTCTGTGTCCTCACATGGAAGAAAGCAGAAGGGCAAAAGGGATGAACTTCCTCCATCTAGCCCTTTTATAAAGTTGCCTAATCTCATTCACGAAGGCAGAGCCACACCATTCAAAGGCCATGCCTCATGGTACTATTGAACTGGGAACTAGGTTTGAGCATGAATTTTGGAGATGACAAAAACATTCAAGCCATAGCAGAAGGTCTCTGGCCTGAATAGCCAAGGAGATGGTGATGTCACTAATGAGATGATGAATCCTAAGAAGGAGGTGTTTTGAGGAGCTCCCTGGAAAGCTCCATGAATCAGAGGAGGCTGTAGGATTTTGGGCTGAGAGTGAGCTGCAGCAGTTAAAAATTCCACGTGGAGATAGCCTTTTAAAACCAGCCATTTTAATTCAAAATAGCAAAAACATAGGATTCAAAGCAGGAACATGGAAGGAATACATGACATGACATATGAAATGAAGACCTTTCATAAGCACAGCCAATAAGAAGAGGAAGAGACTAAGGTGAAGGAAAGAGAAAAAAAATCAATAAAGAAATACAATTTTCCGCAACTGTCACTCTAGCCAGGAAGGCCCATGGAAACGAATTTTGATTAAGTGCAGTAATCCTCTGAAGCAAAATGAGTCACTGACCCCTACTATTAGGTTGGTGCAAAAGTAATTGCAGTTTTTGTCATTATTTTTACCTGGCAAAAACTGCAATTATTTTTGCACCAACCTAATAGAAGCTGGTTTTCTCTGAATCTATCAACTTCAGATGAACAATTTTATGGTAGAATATAATGAGTTTGAGATGATTTGTTTAAATGCCACGTGAATCACTATTCAATGATTTGAGGCATCATCTCAGACCACCTCCCATCTCCAAGCTGTCATAAACCACCCTATCGTATGGCAGAGTTTAGCTTTTAAATCACATCCAGAGGGGTTTGCACAAATGCAGACCAATACCTTAAAGATTACTCTGATGTTTACATGTGAACTTAGTAGTGTGCCTAGTTGGACATGATGTGAGGGCAAGAGAAATAGGCCCATCTATTCTGCAGGATTTGAAAAGAGGTAGAGCTGCTGAGATTGAACAAGTGTTTTGGGCCAACTAGAAATTCAAATGTCAAGTAAGCTGTAATGGCAGGCCCTAAAATAGCAACTCTGACCATAGATGGAAGGACAGTCAAATGAGAATAGTACTAAAAGTGCAATTGAACATTTACTAGACTTCATAGCAACATTTGCACCACAGAGAAAAGTCAGCATCAGCATCCTAAAGCAAAACGCTCATGACACATGAATTAAGAATGTTTGTCACAGCCAGGTGCCAATGACTAAAGTCTGCAACAGAAAAAGAGAATGAGCAAATACAAGGTAAATCATTTTTATCAGGGAGATAGCCTGCTTAAAGTTATAAATGGTCATTATTAAAAGGGGCTTTGTGTGTCCTCACTTGTATATTAATTTCATACATTTCACAGCAGGAACCCAATTAGTTTCTACTTCTATAGTTAATCAAAAATATTAGGTAATTAAATTAACTTTCACAATACAGTCTAACCATGTTCCTAATACAATAATATACTGAATGTTCTCCTCTCACTCAATGTATCACTTTACTGTACGTTCTTTTCTTCTGTAGACATTAACTGGGTTTCATATTTATTTGCAACGTTTTGAAAGCCCTGCTTAATGATAAGCTGAGTATTTTTCCTTAAATTGAAATTTGTTGAATGTTATTCAAATCATCCAACCATAAAATGAAAATGAAATTATATCTGTGGAGATCAGCTTGAACCACTTTCATATCTTTACTAAAATAACATCCAGGTAGCATTTTTAACTTTCCTAACAACATATATACCAAAGCATAATTTGTTACATTTCAGCATCATATGAAGTTATAAACAAAACATTCAAGACTACAGTTAACTGGTTCTCCTTTGAAACCTTATAAGTGAATTCATTATCTCCAATAATGTTATTGTCATCTCAGTTATCTTTCTAAATTGCATTTCTTTTAAGGATAAAGAGAAAACTAAATCACTTCGGCTTACTGTTAGTATAAGGTAGAAGGCAGTGATTCACTGCAAACTTGGTCAGTAAAGAGGCTCAATTTCCAATACTGTTTTGACTGGCACCAAATAAGTGCAAGAGAAGAGATTGTTTCACAGGGCTAATACATGTATCATACCCTCACGATACAAATCTGATATACTATCACGAATCACTAGCTTTCCTTCTGCTGAGCTAATCTTTTTATTTTTATTTTTTTTTTTTTTGAGACAGAATCTCACTCTGTTGCCCAGGCTGGAGTGCAGTGGTGCAGTGGCGCGATCTGGCTCACTGCAACTTCTGCCTCCTGGGTTCAAGCAATTCTCCTGCCTCAAACTTTCCAACAGCCGGGACTATAGGTGCCCACCACCATGCCCAATTAATGTTTGTATTTTTAGTAGAGAAGGGGTTTCACCATGTTGGCCAGGATGGTCTCCATCTCTTGACCTTGTGATCTTCCTGCCTTAGCCTCCCAAAGTGCTGGGAAACTAATCTTTTTTACTCCTAATCATATATATGATGGTGCTCCATGTTGACAGATAGTGTAAGAAAAGCCAACCTTAAGAACTATTTTTCAAATCCTTCAGAGGGTAAATCAACTTATTTTCCCAAGAATTTTTTTCAAGATTTTTTTCAAGGGCACAAATGATTGTGAATGGTCTAACATAGTTTTCCCAAATTGGTCCATATCAATCTGCCTATTTGCAGAAAGATAAGTAAATGGCAAGATATTTACATATGGCAAGATGGCAGAAATAGAAATAAAACAAGGACAAGAGATCAAGACAGAGTGACAGACAAGAAACTAAACCTTGACAGGGACATGGAAATGTATGTACATAAGTGAATAACTTGTCCCCTTAGTTCCATTCTTCCATTTTTAGCTTAGTTCCATGGGCAGGACAAGAATTATGGAGAAAGAATGGAGTTTGAATCTTGGCCAATCACATATTAACTATGTCTTTAGGCAAGTCACTTAACTTCTCTGAGACTCATGTTTCCCATCTATACAAAAAGACATACAGCTAGTTCACAGGGTAATTATGAAAATAAGCAGAAAATGCAGAAAATGTAGCCTTGCATAGAAGCAATATAGGTCCTGGCCCCACTTTCTCTCAACAAATATGTATTATCATATTTTTAAACATAGCTCTTTCAAAACGCCTTTCGTGGTACTGGTAGTGAAGGTACTGAGTTTATTTCTCAAGCACGGGTACAAGATTACCTTCAAAACAATTTAGCTCTATTTCCAGACCATGTCCACTTCTAATACTATGCTTGCTCCATCTTCTGCCTGCTTCCCAATGATTCTGGGTTTGTTGTTTATGTAACATGATTATGATTTGTCAGAGAGGATTTGTGGTAGGGGTGTGAACCTTCTATATGAGCATCTGTCTGGCTTGAATCAGAATAGCGAACAACATACAGATGGTCTTCCTGGAGTGGTTTATTACATTCATTACCTGAACATCACACAGCAGTTTTCCACAGTTGGCTAACACCACTCATGCTCCCCATCTCTCTAATGTGTATTACACATGTTCATAATAGCATTCACTGGCCTTAAACTAGTTTTTTTTCAGCGCGTTTTTTTTTTCAAATATTTCCTTGTCCCTGTAAGTGTTCTTAAAAGTCACTTTCAGTGTTTAATTTTTTACCTTTTTTCACTTGGCCTAGTATAACCATGTTTCACTCTGCTATATAGTCTGTCTAGCCATTAAATGGCTGCTTGTTATTTCTTCTAATGAATAAACTGTGGCTTACTTCACCATTTTCCTGTTGTTGAACTTCTGAAGCTATTCTAATGGTTTCAGAAATTAAATAATGTGGGACTGAATATCCTTACTCACCACTGCACTCCAGCCTGGGTGACAGAGCAAGACTCCATCTCAAGAAAAAAAAAAAAGGTCATAAAAGCAATAAGAATTACGGGGGAAAATGGGATTAGTGGCCTGACACTCAAAAACTTCATTAGTGGTTGGGGGGTGGGGGTGGGAAAGATAGGAGCATTCAAAAAGGATAGTAGCACAGTTTTGCATATATAAAATAGTTAAGAAATACATAATCCTTAATAAATGTGACACTTTAAGAGAGCTGAAGTTTGCTTGTGGAAGCAGTCACTTGAAGGGTGTAGCTTGTGAGTAAAGTAGTAGAAGGAGTGTTGTCTGAAATCAGACAGAAAGTTATTACACCAGATGTGCATGAATGTGGCTCAAAACACACCTGCAGTGAACTGAGGTAGCTTATAGGTGTTGGAGGTGTATGCATGTATGCTTGTTTTGTATATTTCTACAGAGTCTGTTCAGCTTGGTGAAGCTTTCTAAGTTCACGTAGTATTTCACATGAACAAAAATATGCATAGGCAAACACAAAATTTGTGTTGTGCTCAAATCAGTCCCTAGTATATCAGTTATTAGAAGAAATTCATGTTTTTAAAATATAATATTATCACAGAAATGACTGCATATACTTCATCCTCAGAATATATATATACACACACTGCATTGGATGGAGCATGGGCCTGACAAAACATTCTCAAGTGAGCCTGCTTTTCTTATGCAATTAACCAATACCCATTTTAAGAAAGCCAGCATTGTTTACTTTTCAAGAAGTAGATGGGATTAATGAATCACTAATTTCAGATTTGATTAAGTTGACTTGGTTGGAATCAGTTAGAGACCAGATAAATTGTAACGCCATCTATTTTTAATTTTGAATCTCTTTGATTAAGGCAAATTTATTTTGCAAATTAGATTTTATTCCACATTATGTAAAATTGACGCCCTTTCCAAGATGGTACTTATGTCACTGAAGTGGGGCAAAGTCTGAAAAGAAATACATTGGGTAGGAACCATCCTGAGCATTATATTTTTCTTCAAGGGTTCAATACCAGCTCGACAGCCATGTGTTTAAAACCAATTGTCAGGAGCCAAATCTCAGAGTGGCCAGTGCTCTATGAGACCCCCAGTCCTGATCCAAATTTTCTCATCTGAAGTTCCCTCTCCCACACTCATTTTAGAAATGGGATGTTCTTACTGAACAGCTACCTTTTTTAAATTATTATTATTATTTCTGGCTACATTATTTGTCTATGATTTTATTTATCCAGGGTTTTCTTATTTTTTAATTATAGTATATAATATATACATAGTTGAAATAGCAAATTGTATTTATGGGTTTATCAGCCGTGACAATAACAACAGAAACATGGAGAAAAATAAAATACTGCATTGTGACTTCACCCTCTCCCACCAGAACAGAATCTTTCTATCATCATTCTCGCCAATCCCCTAGGCAACAGCGGAGGTATGCTGGGAGATTTCCATATAAGGGTGGGTCTTACTTAAGCTATTAAATAGAGAGGGAGGAACAGGAGCAATAGTCTTTATCTGGAATAAGCAGCACTGCACATATTATTTTTTCCCTCCTCGTTTCATTCCTGGAGCCAGCCTGAGACAAATACACAGCAGAGCCTGCACAGTCCCTACCCCTCACTCTTGGTTTCACTTCCCTGCCCACCAACCCATGTGCCTGCTACCTTTCTTCATATACCTCACAAATCCCTTGTGCCTTAGCCCCACTTCTGTCCTGCTAAGCTTTTAATATTCTGTTTCCCCTCATTTTCTGTATCTCAGCCTTGTCTCAAGTCTTGACACCAAGAAGTGAATGACTGTTAACAACTGTGTTAGAGATAGGATTGCTTAGTGGTTAGCCCAGGACACTTGGGTTTCTGTCCGATCTTTGCAATTTTACTATGGCCTTGGGGAAGTTACTTCACTTTTCTGAGCTTCAGTTACACCATATCCAAAATTAATAAAATAACATTTCGTGATTGCTTTGAGCATAAAATAAGCGATGTCAAAACCTGGCATATAATAAGTATAGAACAAATACTTTCACATCCCTTGTAATTACATTCTTTGGCAAAGAAGAAACACTAAGAATTTAGGTATTAAAAGGTTAATCCTGGCCAGGCACAGTGGCTCACGCCTATAATCCCAGCACTTTGGGAGGCCGAGGCGGGCGGATCACCTGAGGTCAGGAGTTTGAGACAAGACTGGCCAACATGGCAAAACCCCGTCTCTACTAAAAATACAAAAATTAGCTGGGCATGATGGTGGGCACCTGTAATCTCAGCTACTTGGGAGGCTGAGGCAGGAAGAATTGCTTGAACCTGGGAAGGCAGAGGTTGCAGTGAGCCGAGATTGTATCATTGCACTCCAGCCTGGGTGACAGAGCGAGACTCTGTCTCGAAAAAAAAAAAAAAAAGAAAAGAAAAGAAAAGGTTAGTCCTACCCTCTGTAATACAAGTATGTCTCAAGGACAAAGGAAAAAGTTAATTGATGGTTGGGACAGGTTCCAAGACCTTTGCTTTAAAGATTTCAGGTAGTCTTTCAGATAAGATGTGATGTGGCCCATACATAAACCCTGAGACTGATTCAAAAAGACACAAAATCCTGACTCTGCTCTTATTAGTTGCCTGGGACAAGTTACTTAGTCTTTCTATGCTTTGCCTGTAAAATAGTGACGATAAAAATACCTATTTCATGTTGTGTGTGTGTGTGTGTGTGTGTACATGCCTAAATGTATGTTGTAGATAATTAAATAATGTATTTAAAGTCCTTAGGCCAGAGTCTGGTATGTATCAATACGTATTTTCATATTTATTATTTTGATGATGATGATAAAGATAATGATATCATGAAGCATAAAAAATTACCAAGACTTCAAACAGGCTTAAGATGTCTTGAAAACATCATGAAAGAGCCTATTTCTGCAACTGCTGTAGACGTTTAACCAGACCATTAATATTGATGTATAACATGCTGTGTGAATTTATTTCTCTGTCCAAGGATAACCAGATCCATCAACTGTCAACACAACATTAAATGCTTTGAAAGGTTGTCAGAATAATTCTCTGAGTAAAATGCTTACTGAACTTTCTTTCATTTTAGTGCTTCAGGTAGTAACGGCGCCAACATAAATTTAGTCATGGATAACTTCAAATATTTACGATGGTCCCCTGAGACACCACCTGAAATGAAGTCTCAGGTAAATGACATTATAGAGGACAAAAATGTTAACTGTTTACAATAGCTTTTTAAAAAGCAGTTAATCTTTAAGGAAGGCACAGGGAATATTTCCAAAGCAGACTGATTATTGGAGTAGATAAATACTAATTGCAAATAAAAACTAGAGATTTTTTTCTGTCCACCTTCAGGATCCTGTGTTTCCTGCACAGTCCACAAAGCACGATGTTGAGTCACCTGCTCTCAGAGTCCATGACAGGTCTGTACAAAACCCCTAACAGATAAATCAAGCCCAACCTCCCTGTCTTGTGGATTATTTGAGAATAGAACTGGAAAAATATGTCAATAGGATAAATACATTGCATTTAAATCATTCTCTCCACCTTAACTAAATAAGTGTTTTGCCTACTAAATATATCTGTTAAATAGATTGAATTATTTGTTTCCTAAGTTGACTTTCTAAATTATATTTTTCTCCTCATGAAAATATATATGCAAATTGGGCAATTATTTATGTTGAATATTCTCTTCACATACCTGGCACATTCTCAAACCTCAGAGAAAATCTTCCATTTGAGGTAATGTTCTAGCCTCTGTGCCTAGAGATACAATTCCCTTATCTGTTACCACCCAATTCTCTGCCTGGCCTAGAGGCAGACATCATCTGTTGTAGAACAATCCATATGTAGGTCTTAGAGCTATATTAGCCCTGTTCACACATAATATTTCCCATAGATAGCATTATGTTTTCATTATGACTTTATTTACTTCTAGAAAATAAAAGCATACATACAAAACATCATTATGTGATGTACAAACTTAATATTGTAGTACAAATAATAACTTGGAAACTTATCTGCTTCTTCTCAGCAGGTAAGCAATACTAGTCCAATGCCAACAAGCCACTTGTTCCTCCCAGCACAAATTTTAACCACCTTCCACCCTGTATTAGTCTGTTCTCACATTGCTATAAAGAACTACCTGAGACTGGGTAATTTATAAAGAAAAGAGGTTTAACTGACTCACAGTTCTGCAGGATATACATGAAGCATGGCTGAGGAAACCTCAGGAAATTTACAATCATGGTGGAATGCAAAGGGCATGTCTTACATGGCCAGAGTAGGAGGCAGAAAGATCAGGGGGAAATACTACACCCTTTTAAAGAAACAGATCTTGTGAGAACTCACTCACTATCATGAAAACGGCAAGGGGGGGATATCTGTCCCCATGATCTAATCACCCGCCACCAGGCCACTGCTCCAACATTGGGGATTATAATTCTACATGATATTTGGGTGGAGACACAACTCCAAACCATGTCTTTCTGTCCCGAGCCCCTTCCAAATCTCATGTCTTTTTCACATGTCAAAATATAATCATTCTTTCTCAACGGTTCCCCAAAGTTTTAACTCATTCCAGCATTAACTCAAAAGTCCAAAATGTCACCTGAGACAAAGCTAGTCCGTTTCCCCTGTGAACCTATAAAATAAAAAACAAGGGTCGGGCACAGTGGCTTATGCCTGTAATCCCAGCACTTTGGGAGGCCAAGACAGATGGATCATTAGGTCAGGAGTTCGAGACCATCCTGGCCAACATGGTGAAACACCATCTCTAGTAAAAACACACACACACAAAAATTAGCTGGGTGTGGTGGCACGGACCTGTATTCCCAGCTACTTGGAAGGCTGAGGCAGGAGAATCGCTTGAACTTGGGAGGCAGAGATTGCAGTGAGCTGAGATTGTGCCACTGCACTCCAGCCTGTAACAGAGCAAGACTCTGTCTCAAAAACAAAAAAACAAAAACAAAAAAACACAATTTCATTACTTCCAAGATACAATGGGGCTAGAGGCATGGGGTAAATACTCCCTTTCCAAAAGGGAGAAATTGGCCAAAACAAAGGGGCTACAGGGCCCATATAATTCCAAAATCCAGCAGGGCAGTCATTAAATAAAGCTCCAAAATAATCTCCTTTAAGTCCGTGTCTCACACAGGCCACAGTGACACAAGGGTTGGGCTCCCAAGGCTTTGAACAGCTCTGCTGCTGTGGCTCTTCGGGGTACAGCCCCTGAGGCTGCTTTCACAGGCTGGCATTGAGTGTCTGTGGCTTTTCCAGGTGCATGGTGCAAGTTGTCAGTGTATCTACCATTCTGGGGTCTGGAGGACAGTGGCCTTCTTCTCACAGCCCCACTAGGCAGCCTAATAGTGGGAGCTCTGTGTGGGGGCTCCAACCCACATTTCCCCTCTGCACTGCCCTAGTAGAGGTTCTACATGACAGCTTCACCCCTGCAGCAGCTTCTGCCTGGATATTCAGCTGTTTACATTCATCCACTGAAATCTAGTCAGTGGCTCCTCATATGGTTTGGCTGTGTCTCCCACTTAAGTCTCATCTTGAATCTTTTTCTTTATAAATTACCCAGTTTCAGGTATGTCTTCATCAGCAGTGTGAAAATGGGCTAATAGAGTAAGTTGGTACCAGTAGAGTGGGGCACTGCTGTAAAGATTCCCAAAAATGTGGAAGTGACTTTGGATCTGTGTAACAGGCAGAGGTTGGAACAGTTTGGAGGGCTCAGAAGAAGACGGGAACATGTGGGAAAGCTGGGAACTTGTTGAATGGCTTTGACTGAAATGCTGATAATGATATGAACAATGAAATCCAGGTTGAGGTGGTCTCAGATGGTGATGAGGAATTTGTTGGGAACTGAAGTAAAGGTGACTCTTGCTATGCAAAGAGACTGATGGTATTTTGCCCCACCCTAGAGATCTATGGAACTTTGAACTAGAGGGAGTTGATTTAGGGTATCTGGCAAAAGAACATTCTAAGCAGCAAAGCATTCAAGAGGTGACTTGGGTGCTGTTAAAAGCATTCAGTTATAAAAGGGAAACAGCATAAAATTTCAAAAAATTTGTAGCCTGAAAATGCAATTATAAAAGAAAAAAAAATTTCCTGAGTAAAAATTCAAGCCAGCTGCAGAAATTTGCATAAATAACAAGGAGCCAAATGTTAATGACCAAGAAAATAGGAAAGATGTCTCCAGCGCATGTCAGAGACCATTGCCATAGGCCCTCCTATCACAGGCCTGGAGGCCTAGGAGAAAAAATGGTCTCATGGGCGTGGCCCAGGGCCCCCCTGCTGTGTGCAGCCTAGGGACTTCGTTCCTTGAGTTCCAGCCACTCTAGCCATGGCTAAAAGAGGCCAAGGTACAACTCAGGCTTGGCTTCAGAGGTTGCTAGCCTCAAGCCTTGGCAGCTCCCATGTGCTGTTGAGCCTGCAGGTACACAGAAGTCAAGAACTGAGGTTTGAGAACCCATCCTAGACTTCAGAGGATGTATGAAAAAGCCTGGATGTCCAGGCAGAAGTTTGCTGCAGGAGCAGGGCCCTCATGGAGAACCTCTGCTAGGCAGTGTGGAAGGAAAATATGGGGTCAGAGCCTCCACACAGAGTCTCCACTGGGACAGTGCCTAGTGGAGCTGTGAGAAGAAGGCCGCCATCCTATAAACCCCAGAATCATAGATCCACTGACAGATTGCACTGTGTGCCTGGAAAAGCCACAGACACTCAATGCCAGCCCATGAAAGAAGCTGGGAAGGAGGCTGTACCCTGAAAAGACACAGGGCCAAAGGCCCAAGTCCATTGGAACCCATCTCTTACATCAGTGTGATCTGGATGTAAGACATGGAGTCAAAGGAGATCATTTGGGAGCTTTAAGATTTGTCTGCTCTTGATTTTGGAGTTGCATGTAACCTTTAGCCCCAGGTTTGGCCAATTTCTCCCATTTGGAATGGGTGTATTTATCCAATGCCTGTACCACCATTGTGTCTAGGAAATAACTAACTTGCTTTTGATTTTACAGGCTCACAGGGAGAAGGGACTTGCCTTGTCTCAGATGAGACCTTGGACTGTAGACTTTTGAGTTAATGCTGAAGGAATGATTGGTTTTGAAATATGAGGACATGAGATTCGGGAGGGGCCAAAGGCAGAATGATATGGTTTGGCTATGTCCCCACCCAAATCTCATCTTAAATTGCAGCTCTCTTAATTCCCATGTGTTTTAGGAGGGACCCAGTGGGAGATAATTGAATCATGGGGGTGGTTCCCCTCACACTGTTCTCATGGTAGTGAATAAGTCTCATGAGATCTGATGGTTTTACAAGGGGAAACCTCTTTCACTTGGCTCTCATTCTCTCTTGTTTGCTGTCATGTAAGACATGCTTTCACCTTCTGCCATGATTGTGAAGCCTCCCCAGCCACATGGAACTGTGAGTCCATTAAATATCTTTTTCTTTAAAAATTACCCAGTCTTGGGTATGTCTTTACCAGCAGTATGAAAACAAACTACTACAGATCCCAAGCTACAACTCTTGCCTTCTCTCTACCCACAGGCCTAACACTATGTGGAAGCCACCTAAGCTTTTGCCTTGCACCCTCTGAAGCAACAGCTCAAGCTATACATTGGTCCCTTTTAGCCACTGCTGGAGCTGGAACAGCCATGATAGAGGGTGCCATGTCCTGATGCTGCACAGAGCAGTGGGCCCTGGGCCTGGCCCATGAAACTGTTCTTCCCTCCTCGCTCTCTGGGCCTGTGATGGAAGGGCCTGCCACGAAGGTCTCTGAAATGCCTTCAAGGCATTTTTCCCATTATCTTAGTTGTCAACATTTGGCTCCTCATCACTTGTGCAAATTTCTGCAGCTTTCTAGAATTCCTCCCCACAAAATGGGTTTTCTTTTCTCCCATATGACCAGGCTGCACATTTTTCAAACTTGTATGCTCTGCTTCCCTTTTAAAAATAAGTTTCAATTTTATATCATTTTTGACTTACAAATTTGAGCATAGGATGCTAGAAGCACCCAGGCCACATCTTGATTGTATTGCTGCTTAGAAATTTCTTCCTTCAGATACTCTAAATCATCTCTCTCAAGTTCAAAGTTCCACAGATCTGTAGCATGGAAGCACAATGCCTCCAACCTCTTTGCTAATGCATAACAAAGTGGCCTCTGCTCCAGTTCCCAGTAAGTTCTTCATCTTCATCTAAAACCACCTTAGCATGGATTTCATTGTGCATATCACTATCAGCACTTTAATTACAACAAATTAACAAGTCTCTAAGAAATTCCAAACTTTCTCTCATCTCCTTTCTTCTTCTGAGCTCTCCAAACTGTTCAAACCTCTGCCCATTATCCAGTTCCAAAGCTGCATCTACATTTTCAGGTATCTTTAGAGCAATGCCCCACTATCTGTACCAATTTAGTTTATTCTCACATTGCTATAAAGATACCTGAGATTGGGTCATTTAAAATGAAAATATGTCTAATTGACTCCTAGTTTTTCAGGCTGTACAGGAAGCATGGCTGGGGGGCCCCAGGAAACTTACAATCATAATAGAAGGCAAAGGGCTCATCTTATATGGCAGAGCAGGAGGAATAGAGAATAGGGGGAGGTGGCACACACTTTTAAACCACCAGATATCATGAGAACTCACTCGCTCTCATGAGAACAGCAAGGGAGGAATCCACCCCCATAATCTAATCACCTTCCAACAGGCCCATCCTCCAACCTTGGGGATTACAATATGACAAGATATTTGGGTCAGGACAAAAACCCAAACCATGTCATACCCCATCTGCCTTTGTAGGTTAGTAGAGGGGTAATAGGGAAAGGAGGCAACACCACATCCATGAACTGAGAACTGACAACCTTGACAATAGTTATCTATTGTCTTGGTTAGCATCATAAGATGTTTTGTGTGGACAAAAAGGATTTGATGTTTGAGATACAAAAGGGAAGCATTAAACAAAAGTGGTATTTAGCACCCAGACTGAGACTCATGCGGGTTCTCTGTAATGATAATACTACAGGTTGACCAGTGGCTACAAGTCAGAGATCAAGCTGAAGCAGTGTTGGTTTCTTTTGAAGGCTGTGAGTAAAGGATCTGTTTCAGGCCTCTTCCTTGGCTTGCAGAGGTCTGTCTTCTCACCGGGTCTCTTCATTTTGTCTTTTTTTTCTGTGTGTGTCTCTCTGTCTGAATTCTCCTTTTTTATGTATACCAGTCATGTTGGCTTGTGGTTCATTTTAATGACCTCACCTTGACTTCCTCTGTAAAGATACTGTCTCCAAAGGTCACACTCTTAGGTACTTAGAGTTAGCACATCAGCATATGAATTTTACAAGGGACACAATTCAAACCATAAAACATGTACAGGAGCATTCATCACATAATTGTTGTGAGTGTTGTCAGCTAATACTCCACAGGAGCCTCCTACCTCTGAGAACTGCTTTCAACCAGAAGCTGCTTTGCCTGCATATTTATTCTCTATCACTGAGAGATTAGTAGGCCACAGATAAATATTGGCTGACTTGTGGGTATAAAAGTCCTGCCTCCTTCCTCCAGATTGGGCCAATAGTGTTATACAATTAAGGCTCCAGAGTGTCCCAAGGATTCTGGCTGTGATTTTGCAGAATCATTAAGGATTTTGTAAATTCAATTCATCATACCAGATTGCAAGCTCCTTCCATCTTGTATATGATTATAAACTTCTATAATAATTAGCAGCATTTGTAATTAATGATTAGCTTTGTCCATACATTAGCGCTTGTAACACAGCACAAGTGCATCCTTGATAAATACACATTTGGAAAAAGATCTTGCTAAGCTGGGGCTCAGCATCATTTACACAAAACACATTATGTACCCATATAGAAAGAGTAACAGATAAATGACAGTGCTGACTTTTATGTGATGTAAATGATCTTCTAGGCACTAAATGATGTGTGTATGTATTACATATGTGTATATATATTTTTACGTCTTACATGTGTGTATAAATATACATTGTGTGTATATATATCACACACATATATGTATGCATGTATGTTTATATGTAAGGTTTAAATATATACTTAAATATATAATGAGCTTTAAATACATATTTAAATAAAATAATAGTCTTCAACATGAATTTTAATCTTCATTAACTCAGGTTTTGAAAACAAATGACATACTAGTTTATTAAATAAAATAATAAACATTTAAATTTTGGAAAAATAAGAATTATGAAATACATTTAAAAGGCACAATAACCACAATCTGTGTAATAAAATGCTACCAAAAATAATTCCATAATGAGAATGCTTTAGTGAACTAATTCTGAAAATTTGTCATTACCATATTTACTGTTGGAATGAAAATAATGTTCCCAGAGAGACTTAAAAAAGCATATCTTTTTAAGTAATGTAAATTTTTCTTAATATACTTGCCTGCATTATTGCTTCTAGGATTTGTTCTTGGCAATGTGTTTTTACATTTGGGTTGGACTTCTAAAAGCAGATTATCAGAGGATTTCTGATTCTGGCAAAGATGGAGTGGTCATTTTTATTTAGCCCAACTAAAAACTCTGGACATAACATAATAAACAAGCTTTGGAAGAGTATTGAAGATGGATTGCCTCAAGTACTCAGTACTTGAACAACATGGTAATGAGTATCCTCAGTTTTCTTACTTCCTCCCATATATCTTGGGCAGGATATTGCATAAGCCTTTAACCTGTAATGGCCAACAGGCATGGAAAAAAAAATTATCCAAGAAAAGCCTGTCTCCTTTAGCCAAAATAACAGAAAATGGGTAACCTAAGGAGGAAAAAAAATCCCAATACACAACCTACTCCAGGCAAACACCACAGAAATCCCAATCGCATACCACTCCCACAGTTTCACTCGGGCCAACTGGGAGCTGACCTTCTACCCTACCACTAGAGAAGCATCCTGTAGAAGCAGGCAGTGATGCTCCAAATCTTCTGCCTAGTGATGTCTGCAGGACTGAATAGGGAGTTGACCATCAATTCTTTATTTATTTAGAGAAGGAATGCTCCAAATCTCATGCTCCAGTAGTGTCACTGGGTCACAGTAGGGAGCGGATCATCATCCTTTATCTGGTGGAAGCCAGATACTCTAGAACATACTCTGATTATCCTTCCAGGGTAGAATTAGTGGATTCCAGGGTCAAGCTGACTCTCCACTCCCATCCCCATTTAACAAGGGCCTGGGAAATGAAGTTGGTTAGCACTTTGTTTATTCCCATTCTTCCCCTAATGTCAGTGAGGCCTAGTGTGGAGCTAAGCGGCAGGCCTCAACTTAAAACAATAAAGTGATGTGATTCAGATATGTTTTCCCTCCTCGTGGTGTCAGAAGGGCACAGTAGGGAACTAATATTGGTACACCACTTTTAAAAGGGATGTGGAAGCTGAATTTCTAGCTGATCTATTTGCAAAGGGGCAACACTCCACTTTTTCCAGTTGGAGCAGGTGGAGGAGGGGATCCAGCAGAAAGCCAAACATACGTGCCCCCTTGCCCTCATGCTACACATCAACAGGGGGAATACAAGATTCAGAATATTGTAATATCAAAAATGTATAGGGTTCAGTTTTAAAAAGAACTTATCATACTATGGACCAGGAAAATCACAACTTGAATAAGAAAAGATCATGGATAGATATGCCAACATTAAAGTGAATTAGATGTTGAAATTGTCTGATAAAGATTTTAAATCCAGCTATTATAAAAATTTTTTAATGTACATTTACCAATTCTCTTGAAACAAATGAATAAATAAAACATTTCAACTGAGAAATAAAAGTTATGAAAAAGAACCAAATCGATAATTTAGAACTAAAAATTGCAGTATTTTTTCAAAATGGCTGACTAAGGACATTGGACGCCAGATTTCCTAAGAAAAAAGATGAAAGTTACAGGTTAACGGACAAGTTCTGAATGGAAAACTGAGTGAAGAAAACTAGGACCTCTCATCGTGTCCATGGGGAGAAGCTGGTGTTCACAAGAGAAAAGCAGCAAGACTCTGGCAAAGACCAACCCCAGGGGAACTTGAAGTTCTGTGGAAAGGATAGGTGGGAGTGCTTCTCTCCTTCCCTCACCCTTGTGACCAAACTGTTAATGAGCCCCTCTGTCCTCATGATCCAGGGCAATGCTGTCAGTGGAGATTTAGGGTTTCCTGAGGAAAGAACCAGGTTTCCATGCCTGCACTGCCTTCACACCTGAACTGAGGCATTGGGAACCATACTTGTTGTTCCCCTGTGGTGGGCCACTGCTCTGCCTGGGGATTCTCTGCTCTTGAATCACTGCACCACCAGATTCTTCATAAATGTACCTCACAACCTGGTCTGATTTTGGCAAGCACAGGCTAATGATGGGTCCCTGGAGAGCTGTGGAATCCCCTGGAGATCTAACCCTCAGCATGGACCACTCCGAAAAAAGGGGGAGTACAGTCCACCAAAACCTCCTTTGGGACAAAGGACACATTTCTGTGGCACAAATTGATGAAAATGGCAGCGCTGATACCTGGGAATAGATGTGGGGAGGGTGTCATCTCCCACCCCCCATACCCTGTCAACTGGTGTGGACACATTAGTGGTTCTTCCCACTGGGAAGTCTGCACATGTGCACTTGGAGAAAGCATTTTAAGCACTTTTCACAGTGGCATGACTTTTGCTGAAAGTGAGCCCTTGCTGCTTGGGCACACATGAAGGACTGGACCCAAGTCCCCTTTCCTACACAGAGTGACAGTATCTCACCAATGGAGATAAGAAATATCACAGAGTTGTCTGTACTGGACTCAGGGAAAAGGTTCTGCCCAAGCCCACTTTGATGGAGTGTATTCGTGGCCCACAGCTGCACTGTGGTTGGCAAACAAGAGGTCAAGTCTTTATGAACTGAAGGTCATGAGCCCAGAGACACAGGTGTGATAGGGAAATGAACCAGGTTTCTGCTGGCTCAGGATGAAGAACTGGTGCACTCACTCTTCCCCTTCCCTTGAGACAAGAGCACACCACACATGATCTCTTCCCAACACCCCCTGTCAGGGCAGGTGCTTCCACCCATTATCGACCTATCTGGGCATGAGCAAGCTATTACTCTTAAGCTCCACTTATGGACTACGGTCTAAAATGCATCACCAAATAACAAACCTCCTTCCAGAAAGGCTTAGTGCTTGCCCACAAGACAAGCTTGCTGACCTCCACATCCTCAGACCCACAGAAAATAGTGTGTCCACTCATTTGTCCAATGCATAGCTATAAAAGCAACATCCAAGAAAGTCACTGCACAGAAGTTATCCACAACCAAGCAACACAAACACAGCACTGCCCCACTGAATGTGTCCAGAAACAAAGCCAAGTGATCATATACAAAATACACCATACTCATACCATAAAGGGAAAAAAGAATTTTAAAAATATCCCAACCAAATGATAGGAAATTCAAAAATAAGAAGCAACAGCTCCTTAGAGATAAACACAAAAACACTGGCACTACAAAAAGCCAGAGTGTCTTGATACTACCAAAGGATCACACTAGCTCTTTGCAAATGGATCCTAACCAAATTGACAAGCCTGAAACAACAGATAAATAATTCAAAATATGGATCCAAGGAAACTCAATGAGTTCCAAAGGAAAGTTGAAATTTAACACAATCCAATAAACTGATTATATTTAATGACATACAAGATATATATTAATGACATACAATTTATGACATATATTAATGTCATAAATTAATATATTTATGACATACAAGATAGCTATATCAAGAAAAAATAGAACTTCTGGAATAGAAAATTTCGTGACAGGACTGTCAAAATATAGTAGGAAGCTTTAACAATAAACTAGATCAAGCAGAAGAAGAAATTTCAGAGCTTGAAGATGTCTTTCAAATTAACCCAGTCATACAAAAAAAATTTAAAACTAACAAAGCCTTTGGAATTATAGAAATATGGAATTATGTAAAATGATCAAGCCTAGAAATTATTGGCATCTCTGAGAGAGAATGATAAAAAATAAAAGAGGTGGAAAACAACTTTGAGAGAATAATTGAGGAAATATTCCCTAACCTTGCTAGGGAGGTCAACATCCAGATAAAAGAAATATCAAAGAAGAAGATAATATATTAGATGACTGTATGAGTTTGCTCTTACATTGCTATAAAGAGCTACTTGAGATTGGGGGATTTATAAAGAAAAGAGATTTAATTGGCTCATGGTTCCACAGGCTGTAGAGAAAGCATAGCTGGGGAGTCCTCAGGAAACTTTCAATTATGCCAAAAGGTGAAGGGAAAGCAAGCACATCTTCACATGGCCAGCAGGAGAGAGGGCAAAAGGGGAAACGCTACATACTTTTAAACAACTAGATCTCATAAGAACTCACTATTAAGAAAACAGTGAGGGAGAAATCTGCCCTCATGATTCAATCACCTCCAGTTGGTCCCTCCCCCAATAATGGGGATTACAACATGACATTTGGGTGGGGACACAGAGCCAAAGTATATCAATGACTATTCCAAAGGCATACAGTCATCAGATTATCCATTGTCAACACAAAAGAATAAATCTTAAAGATAGGTAGAGAAACAGCCAAATTATCTATAAAGGAAATCCCATCAGATTAACTGCAGATTTTTCAGTGGAAACCTTATGAGGCAAAGAAGATTGGTGGCCTATTTTTAGCCTCCTTAAAAAATGTCAGCAAAGAATTTCATATCCTGCCAAACTAAGATTCATAAACTAGGAGAAGTCTTTCCCAGAAAAGAAAACACTGAAAGAATTGGTCACCACCAGACCAACCCTACAAGAAATGTTCAAAGAGCTTCCGAATGAAATTAAAGAATGATACTTGACACCATAAAAGCACATAAGTTCAAAGCTATCAGATCCTATAAAGCAATTACACAATTGAGTTTACAAAGCACCCAACTAGCAACAATATGACAGGAACAAAACCTCAAATATCAATATTGACCTTGGATGTAAACAGCCTAGTACAATATGACAGGAACAAAACCTCAAATATCAATATTGACCTTGGATGTAAACAGCCTAAGTACTCTACTTGAAAGACATGAGTAACAAATTGGATTTGAAAAAAGGCTTAACCTCTGTTACTTTCAAGAGACCTATGTCACATCTAGTAATATCCACAGGCTCAAAGTAAAGAGACGAAGAAATCATGTAAGTGGAAAACAAAATGAGCAAGAATGGCTATTCCTGTATCAGCTACAATATACATTAAATCAACAATAAAAAAAGACAAAAGACAAATAAGGCCTTTATGTAAGATAAACGACTTAATTCAACAAGAAGACTTAACTACACTAAATATGTATGAACCCAACATCAGAGCACCCAGATTTATAAAACAAACAGTACTAGATGTAAGAAAGGAGATAGAGAGTCACACAATAATAGTGGGCTACTTCAGCACCCCACTGACAGCAGTATACCAAGGCAGAAAGCTAACAAAGAAATTCTAGAAGTAAATTGGACACTTGATAAATTGGACCTGGTAGTCATCTAAAGAATACTCCATTCGACAACCACAGAATATGCATTTTTTCCATCTGTACATGGAATATTTTATATAATTAACTACATGTTTGCTCATAAAGCAAATCTCAATAAATTCAAAAAAATTGAAATAATATCAAGTATCTTCTTAGACCACAGTGGAATAAAATTAGAAATCAATATGAAGAGGAACTCTCAAACCCACACAAGTACATGGCAACTGAACAAATTATTCCTTAAGAACTTTTTAGTAAACAAAACAATTAAGGCAAAAATCAAAAACACTTTTTAAAACAAATGAAAATAGAGACAAAACATACCAAAACCTCTTGGATGCAGCAAAAGCAGTGTTAAGAGGAAAGCTTACAGTACTAAATGCATACCTCAAAAAGGTAGAACTATCTCGAGTTAACGACCTAATATTTCTCCTAAAAGAACTAGAAAAACAAGAAAGAAACCAAACCCAATGCTAAAAGAAGAAAATAAATAGCAAAAATTATAGCAGAACTAAATGAAACTGAGAATAGGAAAATGATAGAAATAATCAAAAAACAAAAAGTTGGTTCTTTGATAGGATAAACAAAATTAACAGATCACTAGCTAGATTAACCAGGAAAAAAAGAAAGATTCAAATAAGCAACTTCAGAAATGACAAAAGTGACGTTACACACGTGGAAATACAAAAGATCCCCAGTGACTACTATAAAAATCTTTAAATGCACAAACTAGAAAACCTAGAGGAAATGAAAAAAATGCTGGAAACACACAACCTCCCAAGATTAAACCAGGAAGAAATTGAAATCTTTTTTTTTAATTTTATTATTATTATACTTTAAGTTTTAGGGTACATGAGCACAGTGTGCAGGTTTGTTACATAGGTATACATGTGCCATGTTGGTGTGCTGCACCCATTAACTCATCATTTAGCATTAGGTACATCTCCTAATGCTATCCCTCCCCACTCCCCCAACCCCACAACAGTACCTGGTGTGTGATGTTCCCCTTCCTGTGTTCATGTGTTCTCATTGTTCAATTCCCACCTATGAGTGAGAACATGCGGTGTTTGGTTTTTTGCCCTTGCGATAGTTTGCTGAGAATGGTGGTTTCCAGTTTCATGCATGTCCCTACAAAGGACGCGAACTCATCATTTTTTATGGCTACGTAGTATTCCATGGTGTATATGTGCCACATTTTCTTAATCCAGTCTATCATTGTTGGACATTTGCGTTGGTTCCAAGTCTTTGCTATTCTGAATAGTGCCACTATAAACATACGTGTGCATGTGTCTTTGTAGCAGCATGATTTATAATCCTTTGGGTATACACCCAGTAATGGGATGGCTGGGTCAAATGGTATTTCTAGTTCTAGATCCCTGAGGAATCGCCACACTGACTTCCACAATGGTTGAACTAGTTTACAGTCCCACCAACAGTGTAAAAGTGCTCCTATTTCTCCACATCCTCTCCAGCACCTGTTGTTTCCTGACTTTTTAATGATTGCCATTCTAAAAGGTGTGAGATGGTATCTCATTGTGGATCTGATTTGCATTTCTCTGATGGCCAGTGATGATGAGCATTTTCTCATGTGTTTTTTGGCTGCATAAATGTCTTCTTTTGAGAAGTGTCTGTTCATATCCTTCACCCACTTTTTGATGGGGTTGTTTGTTTTCTCCTTGTAAATTTGTATGAGTTCATTGTAGATTCTGGATATTAGCCCTTTGTCAGATGAGTAGGTTGCAAAAATTTTCTCCCAATCTGTAGGCTGCCTGTTCACTCTGATGGTAGTTTCTTTTCTTTTGCTGTGCAGAAGCTCTTTAGTTTAATTAGATCCCATTTGTCAATTTTGGCTTTTGTTGCCATTGCTTTTGGTGTTGTAAACATGAAGTCCTTGCCCATGCCAATGTCCTGAATGGTATTGTCTAGGATTTCTTCTAGGGTTTTTATGGTTTTAGGTCTAACATGTAAGTCTTTATTCCATATTGAATTCATTTTTGTATAAGGTATAAGGAAGGGATCCAGTTTCAGCTTTCTACATATGGCTAGCCAGTTTTCCCAGCACCATTTATTAAATAGGGAATCCTTTCCCCATTGCTGGTTTTTCTCAGGTTTGTCAAAGATCAGATGGTTATAGATATGTGGCATTATTTCTGAGGGCTCTGTTCTGTTCCGTTAGTCTATATCTGTTTTTTGAAACCGACAAGAACAAAGACACAACATACCAGAATCTCTGGGACACATTCGAAGGAGTGTGTAGAGGGAAATTTATAGCACTAAATGCCCACAAGAGAAAGCAGGAAAGATCTAAAACTGACACCCTAACATCACAATTAAAAGAACTAGAAAAGCAAGAGCAAACACATTCAAAACCTAGCAGAAGGCAAGAAATAACTAAAATCAGAGCAGAACTGAAGGAAATAGAGACACAAAAAACCCTTCAAAAAATTAATGAATCCAGGAGCTGGTTTTTTGAAAAGATCAACAAAATTGATAGACCGCTAGCGAGACTAACAAAGAAGAAAAGAGAGAAGAATCAAATAGACATAATAAAAAATGATAAAGGGGATATCACCACCGATCCCACAGAAATACAAACTACCATCAGAGAATACTGTAAACAACTCTATGCAAATAAACTAGAAAATCTAGAAGAAATGGATAAATTCCTCGACACATACATCCTCCCAAGACTAAACCAGGAAGAAGGTGAATCTCTGAATAGACCAATAACAGGCTCTGAAATTGTGGCAATTATCAATAGCTTACCAACCAAAAAAAGTCCAGGACCAGATGGATTCACAGCCGAATTCTACCAGAGGTACAAGGAGGAGCCGGTACCATTCCTTCTGAAACTATTCCAATCAATAGAAGAAGAGGGAACCCTCCCTAACTCATTTTATGAGGCCAGCATCATCCTGATACCAAACCTGGGCAGAGACACAACAAAAAACGAGAATTTTAGACCAATATTCTTGATAAACATCGATGCAAAAATCCTCAATAAAATACTGGCAAACCGAATCCAGCAGCACATCAAAAAGCCTATCCACCATGATCAAGTGGGCTTCATCCCCGGCATGCAAGGCTGGTTCAACATATGCAAATCAATAAATTAATCCAACACATAAACAGAACCAAAGACAAAAACCACATGATTATCTCAGTAGATGCAGAAAGGGCCTTTGACAAAATTCAACAACACTTCATGCTAAAAACTCTCAATAAGTTAGGTATTGATGGGACGTATCTCAAAATAATAAGAGCTATCTATGACAAACCCACAGCCAGTATCATACTGAATGGGCAAAAACTGGAAGCATTCCCTTTGAAAACGGGCACAAGAGAGGAATGCCCTCTCTCACCACTCCTATTCAACATAGTGTTGGAAGTTCTGGCCAGGGCAATCAGGGAAGAGAAGGAAATAAAGGGTATTCAATTAGGAAAAGAAGTCAAATTGTCCCTGTTTGCAGACGATGTGATTGTATATCTAGAAAACTCCATTGTCTCAGCCCAAAATCTTCTCAAGCTGATAAGCAACTTCAGCAAAGTCTCAGGATACAAAATCAATGTACAAAAATCACAAGCATTCTTATACACCAACAACAGACAAACAGAGAGCCAAATCATGAGTGAACTCCCATTCACAATTGCTTCAAAGAGAATAAAATACCTAGGAATCCAACTTACAAGGGATGTGAAGGACCTCTTCAAGGAGAACTACAAACCACTGCTCAATGAAATAAAAGAGGATACAAACAAATGGAAGAACATTCCATGCTCATGGGTAGGAAGAATCAATATCATGAAAATGGCCATACTACCCAAGGTAATTTATAGATTCAATGCCATCCCCATCAAGCTACCATTGACTTTCTTCACAGAATTGGAAAAAACTACTTTAAAGTTCATATGGAACCAAAAAGAGCCCACATTGCCAAGTCAATCCTAAGCCAAAAGAGCAAAGCTGGAGGCATCTCGCTACATGACTTCAAACTATACTACAAGATTACAGTAACCAAAACAGCATAGTACTGGTACCAAAACAGAGAAATTGAAATCTTGAACAGACCAATGAAAAATTTCAAAATTAAATCAATTATAAAAAAACTACCATCCAAAAAAAGCCCTTGACCAGAGAGATTCACAGCCAAAGTTTACTAGAAGAGCTGGTTTCAATCTTACTCAAACTATTACAAAAAAAAAAAATGAGGAGGAGTGTTTCCTCTCTAATTCATTATGCAAAATTAGTATAATCCTGAAACCAAAATCTGGTAAGGACACAACAACAACAACAAAAGAAAACTGCAGGCCAATATTTCTGGTGAACACAGATGCAATCATTGTCAAGAAAACAGTAGCAAAGCAAATCTAACAGCACATCAAAAGATAACTAACCATGATCAAGTGAGTTTTATCCCTGGATGCAAGAATTGTTCAACATAAGCAAATCAATAAATGTGATTCACCACATGAACAGAATTAAAAACAAAAAAAATATATCATCTCACTAGGCACAGAGAAAGCATTTTATAAAATCTAACATTCTTTCATGATTAAAAACCCTCAGTAAACTAGGCATCAAAAGAACATACCTAAAAATAATATAATCCATCTATGACAAACCCACTGCCTACATCATACAGAATGCACAAAGTTGAAACGATTCCCCCTAAGTACTGGAAAAAGACAAGGATGTACAGTTTCACTACTTCTATTCAATATTGTACTGGAAGTCCTAGCCAGAATAGTCATGAGAAAGAAATAAGTACATTCAGAAAGGAAAAGAGTAAGTCTAACTATCTCCATTGGCTGATAAGATCTTATAATTAAAACACCCTAGTGATTCCTCAAAGACACTGCTAGACCTGATGAACAACAGCAGTAAAGTTTTAGAATACAAAGTCAATGTACACAAATCAGTAGCATTTCTATACACCAATAATGTTCAAGCTGGAAACCAAATCAAGAATTCAATCCCATTTACAATAGCCACACATATACACACACACACAAATAAAATATAACTGAAAAGGTGAAAGATTTCTACAAAAGAACTACAAAACACTGCTGAAAGAAATTATAGATGACACAGCAAATAGAAAAACTTCCCATGCTCATGGATTAGAAGAATCAATATCACTAAAATGATCATACTTCTCAAAGCATTCTACAGGTTCAATGCAATTCCTATCAAACTCCCAATGTCATTTTTCACAGAGTGAAAAAAAAAACTATCATAATTTTCACATGGAACCAAAAATAGCCCAAAAAGCCAAAGCAATCTAAAGCAAAAAGAACAAAGCTAGGGGCATCATATTACCTTACTTCAAACTATATAATAAGGCTACAGTAACCAAATCAGCATGGTACTTCTACAAAAACGGACACATAGATCAATGAAACAAAACAGAGCATCCAGAAATAAAGCCACATGCCTACAACCAACTAATCTTCAACAAAGTTTACAAAAATAAGCAATGGGAAAAGTACTCCCTATTCAATAAATGGTGTGGGGAAAGCTGTCTAGCCATATGCAGAAGAATGAAACTGGACCCCTACCTATCACCATATAGAAAAATTATCTCAAGATAGATTAAAGACTTCAGTGTAAGTCCTGAAACTGTAAAAATTCTAGAAGAAAACCTAGGAAAAGTCTTCAAGACATTGTTTGAGGCAGATAATTTATAACCAGGACCTCAAAGGAAAATGCAACAAAAATAAAAGTTGACAAATGAGACTTAATAAAACTAAAGATCTTCTGCACCACAAAAGAAATAACAGAGTAAACAGACAACCTATAGCATGGGGGAAAACATTTGCAAACTATGCCTCTGACAGTAGACTAATTTTCAGAATCTATAAGGAACTTAAATTTATCAATAAGCAAAAAAAAATTAACTTCATTAAAAAGTGAGCAAAGACCAGGAACAAATATTTTTCAAAAGACATACAAGCAGCCAATAAAAATATGAAAAAATGTTCAACATCACTGATCATCAGAGAGATGTAAATCAAAACCACAATGAGATTCCATCAAATGGCTATATTAATAGCCAGTCAAGTGGCTATTATTAATAGCCAGTCAAGTGGCTATTATTAAAAAGTAAAAAAATAACAGATGTTGGTGAGGTTGTATTGAAAAGGGAATGTTTATACACTGTTGGTGAGAATGTAAATTAGTTCAACCCCTATGGAAAACGATATGGAGATTTCCCAAGGAACTAAAAATAAAACTACCATTTGAGCCAGCAACTCCAATACTGGATATCTACCCAAAGGGAAAAAAATAATTTTATCCTAAAGAAACCTGCACTCGTAGGTTTATTATAGCACTATTCAAAACAGCAAAGTCATGAAGTTTACCTAGGTGCCTATAAGTGGTGGATTGGATACAGAAAATGTGGTAACATGGATGCAGCTGGAGGCCATTATCCTAAGTGAAATAAAATGGAAACAGAAAATAAACTACCACATGTTCTTACTTACACATGCCAGCTAAACGATGGTACACATGGACGTAAAGATAGAAACAATAGACACTGGGGACTGCAAAAACAGGGAGAGAAGTGGGAGAGCAAGGGTTTTAAAATTACATACTGGGTATTTGTTGGAGGCCGCACAAATGTTTCTTGTGATTAGGTACCTCTAAAACCTGTTAGTAATAATATGAACCTGTGGTCAATTAAGCAGCTGACTAATCATATCTCCTCCTCCTTGTTCTTGTTACCCAATAAATAAAAAGGGCTGTGGAAGCTCAGGGCAGCTGTCTTTGCTCACTAGAAACAGGGAGCCCTTTTCTTCTCTCTTCTTCTTCCTCATGCTTAGCCTTTCCTTAAAATAGTTACTTATGTTTTTTGTTATCATTTCTACATTCGTCCCTTCGTTCGGTTGTAATGACGGTCTCAAGTGGTAACAGTAGTAACTGCTGTAGTGATGGTCTCAGGCAGTAACAGTAACTGCTGTTACTCAAGTAGTAGTAGTGGCAGTCGGCCACAAGTGGAACCTGCACAGGAACTATCAGGGACAAACAGAGACCTGAAGGGACCTGAAGAGTCCTGCAGGGACAAATAGAGATAAATAGAGATAAATAGGTAGAGGGAGGGAGGTGGAGGTGGAGGGAGGGAGGTGGAGGTGGAGGGAGGGAGGTGGAAGTGGAGGGAGTGAGGTGGAGGGGGAGGGAAGGGGAGGGAAGGGAAGGAGAGGGAGGGAGAGGGAAGGAGAGAGAGGGAGGGAGAGAGAGGAAGATGGAGGGAGGGGGAGGGAGAGGGAGGGAGAGGGAGAGAGGGAGGGAGGAAGAGAGGGAGGGAGGAAGAGAGGGAGGGAGGAAGAGAGGGAAGGAGGGAGGAAGAGAGGGAAGGAGGGAGGAAGAGAGGGAAGGAGGGAGGAAGAGAGGGAAGGAGGGAGGAATAGACAGAAGGAGGGAGGAATAGATGGAAGGAGGCAGGAAGAGAGGGAGGGAGGTAGAGGGAAGGAGGGAAGGAGATAGAGGGAAGGAGGGAAGGAAGGAGGGAGGTAGAGGGAAGGATGGAGGGAGATAGAGGGAAGGAGGGAGGGAGGTAGAGGGAAGGAGGGAGGGAAGTAAGTAGAGGGAGGGAGGTAGGTAGGTGGAGGGAGGTAGGTAGAGGGAAGAAGGGAGGTAGAGGGAGGGAGGGAGTTGGAGGGAGGTGGAGGGAGGGAGGGAGGGAGGTAGAGGGAGGGAGGGATGGAGATAGAGGGAGGGAGGGAGGGAGATAGAGGGAGGGATGTAGAAGTAAGAAGGTAGAGGTAGGTAGGGAAAGACAGGGACTTGAAGGAACTAACGGACCACAGGGACAGACAGGGTCAGCTAGGGATAAAGACTATCAAACTAGCAATATAAGGTCAGTGCCCTAAAGAGGTAAAAAAATGTAGACTAGCAAAGACTAGCAGAGATTTGCATGGAAGGTATGCTAGAACAGGAAGAAAAAAAAAAACCTAAAACCAACTAGATGAATGACCAACCCTGTTACAAGTCTTCAGGCAGCATGTACTGGTCTAAAAATGTACTGGTCAGTGCCCTAGATGTACAAAGAATGGGAAGCTTTTGAATTAGGGTAACAGGAGGAAGAATTTGGCTATTTCTTTTCTCTTTTTTGTTTGGAGTTTGGTACATACCATCTTTTATTTCAGGGTTTTAGAACATTTTTTGCCCCACCTACAGCACCTATTGAAAGTGGTGAACAGAAGAGGGAGGATGAAAATTGGCTTGTACTGTCTTTTGTGGCTACAGAAAGGCTAACTTTAGCTTTGGCTTTCGTGGATTGTAAACGTGCACTGGCACCTGTGAGATGTGCAGAGGACTTGGGAGGTTTTCTCAGAGCTTGTCAGGATATGGAAGCTGAGCTTCATTGCTCTGCAGTATTGACTCAGGCAATGGCTAATTGGGTAGCTGATAGATCTAAAGGAAGCCAAGGGTCAAGCCCTAAAGTGGGAAAGTGTTATAAGTGTAGACAAATTGGACGTTTCAAAAAAGAATGGCAGCAGACCTCTTGGCAAAAGGGATCTTGTAACACAGTTCCCCTCTTAATAGAAAAAAAGGCCAGGACTTTGCCCTCGTTGCAATAAAGGAAATCATCGGACTAATGAATGCCACTCAATATTTCATCAAAACAGCACTCTCCTGTCGGGAAGCAAGAAGGGGGCCTGGACCTGGGCACCTCAAACTATGAGGGCATTTCCCGTCCAGGCCACAACTCCATCTCAGGGGTGGGTTTCCGGAGGCACATGGATTGCCTCTCTCCAGGAACACCTGGAAATGCAGGATTAGATCTCCTAGATAACAAATTATGTTAATGGAAAGAAACAAACTTACTAAGATTCCCATTGGTATTTGACGACATTTGCGAACAAGATACATGGGATTGATTTTGGTAAAAGCTGTCTTAACTTACAGGCCCAGGAGTTGTTGACTTTGATTGTGAAGGAGAAATTCAGGTAGTGGTAATGTCACAAAATCTTTGGGTTTGTGAACCGGGAGAATATGTTGCTCAACTGTTGCTTATTCCCTGTAAATTGTACCCTTCTCTACGTAAGAAGAAGCAAGGAGGTCAGGAATTTGGAAGTGCAACTAGGAGAGAGATTTATCTTTCACAACCCATAGCATCTAGTGGACCCACCTGTACAGTGCAAATTGAAAGTTTAAGGATTGCTTTTTGCTATACTGTTGTATGAAAAGGATAAGCCTCGATTTGCTTTCTGTCTTCTGTTAATGAGAAACAGCCTGTCTCTCATTGTCACTGGAAAGTTTTACCCCACGGTAATTAACCAAAGAAGCAGAAGCTGAGCTAACAAATGCTCAGCAACGGCATGCCTTCTGGCTACAGCCACAAAAGGTTTTTGCTTCTGTTTCAGTAGGTTTACTAACGTGGGGACGAGGGTATGCTTGTGTCTTTACAGAAGATGGACAAGCCATGCAGGTGCCCTCAAGAAGTGTGCAACCATGGAATGGGAGACTGGTGGGACCCATGGATTCCAATTACAGGCCTGGTTCCCCTAGTATGAGCCATGAGCCAGTTGAATCCGAATGAGAAGACAGAACGCGGACCGACGGAAATCATGCTGACATCAACCCCCATAATACGGGGACAGATCAAGAAAACCACACAGGAAGCTGAGAAACTGATGGAGCGCCAGAGTTTCACCTTTTGCTGGAACTCAGAGGCACAATCGATGTTTAACGAACCAATGCTTTCTGACTGAGCTCCTCTCTACCCTGAATACAAGAGACCCTACTAGGCAGGAATATCATTGCCCTTACTCAGCATGAAGAAGTTGCAGAAGACGGACCTTCATCCTTCTGCAACCCTTAGGATTAAGGGTCCTCTTGTAAAAGGGAAGGGGAAAATATGTAAGAAGCATTCAAACCAGAGCAACTCTGTTTTGAATAAGGGTTAAGAAAAATGAAGCTGGATCACCAACTGGCAGTTAAGGGCTGCACAGCCTGCAATTGCCTTGCTCAATTAATTTGAAAAGGGGAGGCCGCACAAATGTTTCTTGTGATTAGGTACAGCTGAAGCCTGTTAGTAATAATATGAACCTGTGGTCAATTAAGCAGCTGACCAATCATTACCTCCTCCTCCTTGCTCTTGTTACCCAATAAATAAGAAGGGCTGTGGAAGCTCAGGGCGGCTGCCTTTGCTCACTAGAAGCAGGGAGCTCTTTTCTTCTTTTCCTCTCTCTTCTTCCCCATGCTAGCCTTTCCTTAAAACAGTTTCTTTTGCTTTTTATTATTTCTACATTCATCCCTTTCTTCAGTTGTAATGAAGGTCTCAAGTGATAACAGTAGTAACTGCTGTAGTGATGGTCTCAAGCAGTAGCAGTGGCAGTCTGCCACAGGTATTATGTTCATTACTGGAGTGATGGATTCACAAGAAGTCCAAACCCCACCATTACATGATACACTCATGTAACAAACCTGCACATGTATCTCCTGAACCTACAATTTTAAAAATGCAGCCAGTAACCGAAATTTAAAAAACAACAAACAAAAACTTTGGATATATTTAAGATACAAAAGAACTGGATACATTCAATTGTAAAGTGGTATGACAGGATAAAATCAGCTTGAGGACAGAGCAATATATTTTACAAAATCTGAACAGAGAAATAGTAAACTGTAAAAGAATTAACAGTATGAGGTACCTGTGGTACAATAACAAAGATGATATTCATATCTTAGTTGTAGTGGAGGAGAAAGTGACTAAATGTGTTGGAGGAAATGATTACTGAATTTCTCAAACATAATGAAAGATGCAAATCTATAGATTCAAGATGCTTAGTGAACACCAAATAGAATAAACCTAAGTATCATAATTACAATTCTGAAAACTAAAGACACACAAAAATTTTTTACAGCAGTCAGAAATGTGATGCAATACATATAGGGAAACACCAATTTGAATGATGGAAGATTTCTTACCTGAAAGCAGAGGCCAGAAAGAAGTGTAGCATTTTCAGCTACTGAAAGGAAAATACTGTTATTGTACATCTGCTAAAAAGCATCCTTTATAAATATATAAATTAAGGGGATAGCAAGATATTTTTTGGGAAAAGAAAACTAAAAATTTGTTGCTAGCCTAAGTATCCCTCAATGAATGGTTCAAAATAGGTTCTCTAAACAGAAAGGGAATGACAGAAGGAATAGAGTTTTACAAAGGAAATAGGATCAAAAAGGGAAAAATAGGGGTGAATACAGTATCTTATTTGGTATTAATTTCTTAAATAATATTTAATTGTTGAAATAAAAATTATAACAGCATATCACATGTTGCTCAATGTATGCTGAAGAAATAGGCAATTATATTTCAAAAGCAAGGAGAGTAAAAGTGACCCAAATAAAAGTATGATTTATATGCTTTATTCAAATGAATAAAAGCACATTCTCATTTAAACCATGCATGATCTTAGGAATGAGGTGAAGCAGGAATTACTATGTTCCCATGTAAATAAAGTGAAACTTAAAGATATTTCTTACTTGCCCAAAGTCATCTTTCATATACAAAATGCCCATTTTTCAATCACTTTAAGTCATGGGCTCTGAATAACAAAATTTTTAAACTATTTTTTTCCTATATTGACAGAGAATTTGAGCTTTTTGGGATAAATGAAAACTATCTAAAATAGCATTTTTGTAATAGTTGCACAACTGCTTAAATTTATTAAAACCCATATAAACTTACACTTCAAATAATTCATTTTACTGTATGTAGTTTACACCATATTACTGTTGAGAACAAGAAATATTAGTATGATTTTCCAATAAAGTAAAAATTCAAGGTCAAAAGCAAAGTTCTTTCATTGATTTTCTGTAGTTCCTAGTGACATGTTTCATGTCATAGAGACTCACTGAGGTTCAGGTAGAAAGAAGGAAGTCAATTTTGGTAGTTTTGAGCTGGGTTTGACAGAAGTGAGAAATTTCTCTTTAATTTTTTTGATTTTTATTTTTTTTAACTTTTAAGTTTAGGGGTAAAAGTACAGGTTTGTTATACAGGTAAATTGCATGTTGCAGGGGGTTGGTGTACAGACTATTTTGTCACCCAAGTGATAAGCATTATAACTGATAGGTAGTTTTGCATCCTCCCCATTCTCCACTCCACCTTCCAGTAGGCCTTGATTGCTATTGTCGCCTCCTTTGTGTCCATATGTACTCAATGTTTAGGTCCAACTTATAAATGAGAACATGTGTAATTTGGTTTCCTGTTGTTGTGTTAGTTTGCTCAGGATAATGGATTTCAGCTTTATTCATGTTGCTGCAAAGGACATGATCTCATTTTTTTAATAACTGGATAGTATTTCATTGCATAAATGTACCACATTTTATTTATTCAGTCTACCACAGACAGACATTTCTTTATCCAGTCTACCACTGACGGGCATTTAGGTTAATTCAATGCCTTTGTTATTGTGAATAGGGTAGCAATAAACGTGCATGTGAATGTGTCTTTTTTTTTTTTTTTTTTTTTTTTTTTTTTTTTTTTTTTTTTTTTTTTGATACGGAGTCTTTCTCTGTCACCCAGGCTGGAGTGCAGTGGCGTGTTCTCTGCACACTGCAGGCTCCGCCCCTGGGGTTTACTCCAGTCTCCTGCCTCAGCCTCCCGAGTAGCTGGGACTACAGGCACCGGCCACCTCGCCCGGCTAATTTTTTGTATTTTTAGTAGAGACGGGGTTTCACCGTGTTAACCAGGATGGTCTCTATCTCCTGACCTTGTGATCTGCCCGCCTCAGCCTCCCAAAGTGCTGGGATTACAGGCGTGAGCCACCGCGCCCGGCCATGAATGTGTCTTTATAGTAAAACAATTTATATTCTTTTGGGTATATGCCCAGTAATGGGATTGGTGGGTTGAATGGTGATTGTGCTGTAAATTTTTTGAGAAATTGCCAAACTGTTTTCCACAATGACTCAACTAACTTACATTCCCAGTAGCAGTGTATAAGCATTCCATTTTCTCCACAATCTTGCCAGCATCTATTACTTTTTCACTTTTTAATGGTAGCCATTCTGACTGATGTGAGACGGTATCTCATTGTGGTTTTGATTTGCATTTCTCTGATGATTAATGATGTTGAACTTTGTTAATCCCACATATGTCTTCTTTGAAAAGTGTCTGTTTATGTCCTTTGCTCACTTTTTAATAGGGTTACTTTTTGCTTGTAAATTAAGTTCCTCATAGATTCTGAATATTAGACCTTTGTAATATGTATAGTTTGCTAATATTTTCTCCCCTTCTGTAGGTCATCTGTTTACTCTGTTGATAGTTTATTTTGCTATGCAGACCTTCTTTAGTTTAGGACTCATTCGTCAATTTTTTTTTTTCTTGCAATTGCTTTTGTTGTTTTCATTATGAAATCTGTGCCAGGTCCTAAGTCCAGAATGGTATTTCTTAGGTTATCATCCAGGCTTTTTACAGTTTTAGATTTTATATTTATGCCTTTAATCAATCTTAGGTTGATTTTTGCATATAAGGAAGTAGTTCAGTTTAAATCTTCTGTATATGGCTAGCCAGACCATTTATTGAATATGAAGTGCTTTCTGCATTGCTTATCAATTTTATTGAAGATCACATGGTTGTAGGTGTGCAGCATTATTTCTGGAATCTCTATTCAGATCTGTTGGTCTATGTGTCCTTTTCTGTACTAGTACATGCTGTTTTGGCTACTGTAGCCTTGTATAGTTCACCATTGAGTAATGTGATGCCTCCGGCTTTGTATATTTTGCTTAGAATTGCCTTGGCTACTTGGGCTATTTTTTGGTTCCATGTGAATTTCAAAATAGTTTCTTCTAATTCTGTGAAGAATGACATTGGTACTTTGATAGAAGTAGCATTTAGTCTATAAATTGCTTTAGGTAGTACAGCCATTATAACAATATTAATTCTGCTATCCATGAGCATGGAATGTTTTTCCATTTGTTTTTGTCCTCTGAGATTTCTTTGAACAGTGCTTTGTAATTCTTGTTACAGCAGGCTTCCACTATTTTGGTTAGATGTTTCCCCAGGTATTTATTATTTTTGTGGCTGTCATGCATGGGATTGTATTCTTGATTTGGTTCTCAACTTGAAAGTTGTTGCCATACAGGCATACTACTGATTTTTGTACATTAATTTTATATCCCAAAACATTGCTAAAGTTGTTTATCAGATCAAGGAGCTTTTGGGAACAGACTGTGGGGTTTTCTAGGTATAGAATTACATTGTTGGCAAACAGGGATAGTTTGACTTCCTCTTTTCCTATTTGGATGCCTTTTAGTTCATTCTCTTGCCTGATTCCTATGGCTAGGACTTCAATTTATATCAAATAGGATGATAAAAGAGGGAATTATTGTCTTGTTCTGGTTTTCAAGTGGAATACTTCCAGCTTTTATCCATTCAATATGTTGGTTGTGTGTTTTTCATATATTGCTCTTATTATTTTTAGGTATGACTAGTTTGCTGAGAGTTTTTAACATGAGGAGATGTTAAATTCTATTAAATGCCTCTTCTGGATCTATTGAGATGATCACGTGGTTTTTATTTTTAGTTCTGTTTATGTGGTGAATCACATCTATTGATTTGCATATGTAGAACTAACTTTGTATTCTAGGCATAAAGCCTACTTGATCATGGTAGATTAAGTTTTTGATGTGCTTCTGAATTCACTTTACTAGTGATATGGTTTTGCTATGTCCCTACCCAAAATGTCATCTTGAATTGTAATCCTCATAATCCCCATGCCCAAGGGTGGGACCAGGTGGAGGTAACTGGATCATGGGGGTGGTTTTCTCCCTGTTGTTCTTGTGCTAGTGAGTGAGTCTCACAAGATCTGATGGTTTCATAAGTATCTGACATTTCCCCTGCTTGCACTCACCCCATCCTGCTGCCCTGTGAAGAAGGTGTCTGTTTATCCTTTGCCTTCTGCCATGATTTTAAGTTTCCTGAGGCCTCTCCAACAATGTGGAACTGTGGGTCAATTAAAACTTTTTCCTTTATAAATTCCCAAGTCTCAGGCATCTTTTTCATAGCAGTGTGAGAACAGACTAATACAATTAGTATTTTGTTGAGAATTTTTTGCATCAATATTCATCAAGGAAGAATATTGGCCTGAAGTTATCTCTTTTTGCTGTGTCTCTGCTAGACTTTGGTTTCAGGATGATGCTGGCTTCATAGAACAAGTTAGGGAGCAGTGACTCCTCATCAATTTTTTTTTTTGGAATAGTTTCAGTAGCAGTGCTGCTATCTCCTCCTTATAAATCTGATAGAATTTGGCTGTGAATCCACCTGGTCCAGGGCTTTTTCTCATTGTTAGGCTTTTTATTACTGATTCAATTTCAGAACTCTGTATTGGTCTGTTCAGGAATTCAGTGTCTTCCTGGTTCAATGTTGGGAGGTTATATGTTTCTAGGAATTTACCCAGTGCTTCTAGGTTTTATAGGTTGTGTGCACAGAGGTGTTCTTAATAATCTCTAAGGGTTTTTGTATTTCTGTGGGGTCAGTGGTAAGGCCCCCTTTGTCATTTCTAATTGTATTTATTTGAATTTTCTCTCTTTTTTTTCTTTATAGTCTAGGTAGTGGCCAATCTATCATATTAATTTTTTCAAAGGACAAGCTCCTGAGTTTATTGATTTTTTGCATGGCCTTTTGCATGTCAGTTTCCTTCAGTTCAGCTCTTATTTGGGTTATTTCTTTTCTCCTGTTAGCCTTGGGGTTGTTTTGCTCTTATTTCTCTAGTTTCCCTAATTGCGATATTAGGTTGGTAATTTGAAATCTTGCTAACTTTTTGATGAGGGCATTTAGTACTGTAGACTTTTCCCTCTTAACACTGCTTTGGCTATGTTCCATAAATTCTGGTATCTTGTTTCTTTGTTCTCATTAGTTTCAAAGAATTTGTTGATTTCTGCCTTAATTTCATTAATTACTCAGAAGTCAATCAGGAGCAGGTTGTTAAATTTCTATGTAATTGTACAATTTTGAGTGTTTTTTAAGCACTGATTTATATTTTTATTGCACTGTGGTCTCAGAGCATGGTTGGTATGATTTCAGGTGTTTTTAATAAGTTGCTGAGGATTGTGTGGTTAATTTTAGAGTATTTGCCATGTGTAGATGAGTATAATGTATATCCCTTTGTTTTTGGCAGGAGAGTTCTGTAGGCATCTGTCAGGTCCACTGTCCATATCACTATCAGCATTTTGGTCACAACCATTTAACCGGTTTCTAAGAAGTTCAAAACTTTCCCTTATATTTCCTGTCTTCTGAGCCCTTCAGAATCTTCCAATCTCAACTTACTACTAATTCCAAAGTTGCTTTCACCTTTTCAGTTATCTTTACAGCAATACCCCACTTCTGGTACCAATATGCTGTATTAGTTCATTCCTGCATTGCTATAAAGAAATACCTGAGACTGGGTAATTTCCAAGAAAGAATTTTAAATGACTCATGGTTCTTCAGGCTGCACAGGAAGCATAATAGCATTTGCTTCCGGGAAATCCTCAGGTAGCTTCAACTCATGGTAGAAGACAAAGCAAGAGCAGGCACTTTACATGGCAAAAGGAAGACTGAGAGAGAGGGAGGGTGCCACACACTTTTAAACAACCAGATATCATGAGCATTTACACAATAGCACAAGAACAGCACCAAATGGATGGTGCTAAACCATTCATGAGAAATCTGTCCTCATGATTCATTCAGCTCCCACAACGTTCCACCTCCAACATTGGGGATTACATTTCAACACGAGATTTGGGTGGGGATGCAAATCCAAACTACATCATAACACGTGCCTTCTTACATTTTGTGTTTGCTTGGTAGAATTTTCTCCATCTCTTTACTTTTTCCTTTGCGTGTCATTGCCTATGAGATGAATCTCTTGATGACAGCATGATGTTGGGTTTTGCTTCTTTATCCAACTTGTCACTCTGTGCCTTTTAATTGGGGCATGTGGCCTGTTTACATTCAAGGTTAGTATTGATATGTGCAGATCTGATCCTGTTATCATGTTGGTAGCTGCTTATTATGCAGACCTGTTTGTGTTGTTGCTTTATAGTGTCAATGGTTTATACAGCTAAGTGTATATTGTAGTAGTTAGTAATGGCCTTTCCTTTTTAACCTTAGCTCTCCTTTTAAGACATCTTGTAAGGAAGATATGCTGGTAACAGATTCCCTTAGCATTTACTTGTCTAAAAAGAATATTTCTCTTATGCAGCTTAGTTTGGCTGGATATGACATTCTTCACTGAAAGTTGTTTTCTTTTTTTTTTTTTTTTTTTTTTTTTGAGACAGAGTCTTGCTCTGTCACCCAGGCTAGAGTGCAGTGGCACAATCTTGGCTTACTGCAACCTCTGGCTCCTGGGTTCAAGCAATGCTCCTGCCTCAGCCTCCTGAGTACAGTAGCTGGGTCTACAGGCATATGCCACCATGCCTGGCTAATTTTTGCATTTTTAGTAAAGACAGGGTTTCACCATGTTGGCCAGGCTGGTCTCAAACTCCTGACCTCAAGTGATCTGCCTGCCTTGGCCTCCCAAAGTGCTGGGATTATAGGCATGAGCCACCACGCCCAGGCCAAAAATTATTTAAGAATGATGAATGTAGAATCCGAATCCCTTCTGGCTTGTAGGGTTTCTGCTGACAGGTCTACTGTTACCCTAATGGGGTTACCTTTGTAGGTGACCTGCCTCTTTTCTCTAGCTGCATTTAACATTTTTCTTTCATTTCTACCTTGGTGAATCTAATGAATATGTGTCTTGAGGATTTGTCCTGTAGTATTTCACAGGGGGTTGCTACATTTTCTGAATTTAAATGTTGGTCTTTCTAGTGAGGTTGGTGAAATTTTCATGGATGATATTCTGAAACACGTTTTTTGTATTGTTTGGTCTCCTCTTTTTCAGGGACACTAGTGAGTCATACATTTGTTCTCTTTGCATAATCTCATATCTCTTGTTCATTGTTCTTTATTTTTGTTTGAGTTATTTCAGAAAGCCAGGCTTCAATATCTGAGATTCTTTCCCAACAGTGGCAGGGGTGGGCAGGGTCATGCACTCTGCTGTCTGCGTGTTTCTTGGGACAAGAGGAGGCTGCACCCTCCAGCTGAGTTCACACTGAAGTGAGACCTCTGGGATGGAAACTCTAGCAAGTCTTGCCCCTCTGGCTACTAGTGGTGGGGATGGCTGGAGTGGCTGGTTGAGTTCCTGCTTAAGTAGGACTGCTGGGGTAGAAGCTGGTGTTGTGTACTGCCTGGCAAGGGGTGGAGGTGGAGCAATCTTACTACTCATAGGCCCTGCTACTGCAGCCTCTGCTGGGGCTGTGGTGATGGTGCTTGTCTGCTCTGGGGACTAAGGTGTGTAGAGGTTCCCTTAGACTCAAGTATTGCCTCTGCAAAATGTCAAAATGGCTCTCTGCCTCAGACTAGAAGTATGGTGTGGGGCTAGGGGTTGGGGAATGTTCATGGGGCTAGGAATATTCTCCCATTCCCAGTCTTGCCCATGTCCCTGTGGAAAACGTGATTCCCCCAGGGGCCTCTCATTCACTCACCCTTTCCCATGTTGAAGAGGTACTTCTGGCTCCATGCCAAGCCCAGTCAGGCTGCTGCCCAGCTTTGCTCATCTCTGCTGTGTTCCCCTGCTGCCATGATGGATCTTGATGTGTTTTCCCACATGAATGGCCTGCAAGGTCAATATTCATTAGCCCTTTCTTTCCTCTCCATGATAGCAGCACACATGAGCTGCTTCTAGTCTGCCATCTTGGCCCTGCCCCTCAAATTTGTCTTGTTAAAACATTTGTTAACTTGTTTCATTTAAAAAAGATATGCATGTACACACATAATTTCATCAAAAATTTAATAGTAGTTTTTCCCATCTGTTTAGAAAGAGTAGATACTTGAAACCAAATCATCTTTTGAGGTTTTATCCCAGAATCTCTCCTTCTTTCCTTTCATCTGTATTACTACTGAAGAGCATTATATATGAAGGAAATTAAATTCAAAATTTGCACATAACACATTTTTAGCTAGTAGCAGTTCTGGTTCAATTAATTCCTTTAAATAATAGGAGTAAAATATGGTTATTGTATTATTCTTGTAGCACAGCAGAATTGATATGGTTGAACATTTCATTTTGTAACAATGTTTAATGTCAATAACAATAGTGCTGAAAAATATTTCATGGAGTAGAGAGGGACAATCTGAGGGGAAATGTAAGCAAACATCTAGGTCCTGAAATCAAAGACATGACTTTTATTTATTATTGGGGATAAAGGGAGGGCTCTGTTGCAGAAATCAGAATACAAACATCAAATAAAAAACTGTGTAAGGCATCTCATTTTGATCATTTTAATCACTATTACATAGTAAAAGCTAATATTATTAATGGGACATGAAACAGCAACAATTAAAGGAATATGGAGTTGAAAACAAGTTGAACAATGTCCTTGAGGGTTGGTGAGTCACAACCTATATGAACTGACTTTTTTTGTCATCTGGAAGTTGCGATTAATAACACTATTACCTTAAGGATTCAATGCACTAATATTCGTAATGTGTATTGATAAGGTATAAATTATAACATGAATTTGGGACAATTGTTCCTTCTGAAGTTATTTTAGACTATAATACTTTGGTCATTAGTTCTAGATAATAAAAGTCTTCCCAAGATAGGGTTTAATTATAATAATAAGAAGAATATTCACCAATTTACTTTAATGCCCTTAAGATGAATAATTTGCCCTCTTCATTCCTCTTGAGTACCTATTTATTCATGTGAATAGGCTTTTTAAAAAGATAATAGGAAAGTTCATGACCTTGTGCTAGAACTGCAAATGGTTTCAGTAATTGAAGAGATAGCCAGAAGTACAGGGGTTCTGTAATGAAATTGAAGCCAGGTACTAAAGATTATTGGTTTATAATCACCACTGCATTCTACCTGTGGCTAAAACCCAACTCTACCCCACAAAGATAATAGACTGACAATCTCAAAAATACTTTATTCATTCACAGGTAAACTAAAGCTGAAGATGTTTAATTAATTTGCCTAAAGTCAGAACACTAGCAATTGAAATAAATGTATTTGGTGTGGATTTTGCCTGGGAAGTATGTTACCCATTTCCTTTTCACCACTCTGCACTGACAGAAAAAGCTAGGTATTCCTTCTTTAAAGCTGAGCCTTCAATACTGTCATTTACCTTTACTTAATGGCTAAGACTGAACCCAGCAATTCCTCTTCTAGCCTCCAACCTTAGGTAAAATATCCATTAGAGCTTAATAACACTCTAAGAAGAAAAGGTCATGTAGTTCCTGGATGGCTCCTATGAACCAAATGAGGGCAGCAATGAAAGGTAGATGGGCTTTTCCTTTCTCAGCAATATGAGAATGGAGAATCAGACACTGGGCAGTTCAGCAGCTTGGAATGCCAGGCCTCAGAATGGCCAGCTGGCTGCTCTTTTGTAGCAAGCCTGGGAGCAGGGGCAAGAACATCAATGAATATTGATCCTTTGACCAACCCATAAGCCCAAAGGAGGCATTGCCTCTTTTTCACACAAAAGAAACTAACCATGGGAATATTTACCTTCAAACACAAGGAGCCCATTTGTCCCATGCTGTTGCTTAGAAAATATTTATAACTAGCATCAGCCATTGGCATGTCCAGGGTCAAAGATTCAAGTTGGTGAAGTCATTGGACCATTCTATGGCAAAGCTTGACATGGCTTGCCTGTGCGTATGTATGCATTGTTTCCATTAGTTCATGTACTGGGAAGGCAATGATTATAAGGCCAGAGTTAAGAATGTGACATACAAATTTGCTTTTTCCACAATTCGTCCCCCTATTCCATCACATCCAACTCTGCAGAAGCCACAGAGAGGGCCAGGAAAGAAATTATGGGTGACACAAATAAAACTATCCAGCCTATTAGAAAAAAATTAAGACAATCCCCACCCCTTGAAAAAACAAAGAGGTGTTACCTGGCAGAGGCATAATAATCTCTTTTTTAATACAGGAATTATTGTTAGGCCTTTCCCCTAATGCTAGAGACAGATTTTTTTGTGGTAAGAAGTATCTTTGGAATAGACTAGACTCTTATGCAATTGTTTGAAATAACTGAATTTATGTATGTTAGTAGTGATAGGTTATGTTTTGATGCAACTCAGATCCTTAAACATCTGGCTTCAGACCTATCTGAACTACATATTCATGAGGATATTCAGCAAGGAATTATACAGGCAAATGTATTATTATACTTTTGTGTGTTATCCCCTAACCTCCCCACAACCCCTGCAGGAGGGGCTCCTAGTCTTATTTGATCAAAACTAAAAGAGACACAATACTGTAATCAGTTGGCAGAGACATCTGACATAAGAGGGCACATATCCAATGTTCTGTAGAAATGAAATGTTGAAAGAAAGCAGAAAGAGTAATTAGAAGGTGTGGATTTCCACCTACGAGAAAGAATCAAAAGCAGAAATGAGAGATTTCAGAGACTCAGAGAAATAGAACAAGGTAAAAAGAGACAGAAATTAAGACATGTAGGAAAAGATCAGAGACAGGGGCAAAATCAAAGATAAACAGAAAGGAGACATGGTTTTTATGTCCTCATAGTTTTCTAATTTCTTGATTCCATATTGATGAAATCCTTGATAGCACTGTATCCTTAAAATAATCCCAACCTACTTTCTACCCTGTATAGGCAAAATCATTTAAGTAAATTTCTTTCGTTTGTATCCCAAAGACAAGCGCATGTCCTCAACTGCATAGTGTCTGTCACACAAGTTCCACCCCATTTGGGGGCAGTCTCTTTAATCCTCACAGAAACCTTGTGGAGAAGATACAATCACTCTCCCCACTGCTAGTGTAACCATGAAATAAATCTTGCAAACCAGGACAAGTGAATATGGGCATAAACTAAGAGTGTCCTTAGCAGAGCAGATCATGTGGTCATAAGACCCATTACAGAGGTGAACTGGGGGGTACAGAGGGCCAGGGCTCTTTGGTGATCTCTCTAAGACATGAGGTCAAGAGATCCAGACCAGAGACATGTCCACTTTGTTCCTCTAGTTTCCTGATACCTTGCAGTTTTGCCTTCAGTGAGCACTATTGTTTACCAAATAATACACAAAACACACAGCCAAAAAAGAATAACAACAACAAAGGAAGAGGTCACATTGCTATATAAAGAATTACCAAATGCTAGACCGAAAAGGTGAGACATGCAATTAGGATCCTTAAAGTAAGAAAATAAACAACCTTTGCAAGTTTAAGAGATACTCCTCTGATTAGGCCATTAATCATGAACAGGTCTGTCTCTGTAGCCATTAATTCTGACACCACAGTCGTGGAACAAAGGGAAATAGCAAAGCTGACCTAGGTGTCTTCCTGTGAGCTCAGGTGCTTGACAGCTGACCTGGAAAGGGAGTTGTATTTGTCAGCTTTGTCCTTCTGATTCTGATGGAAGTGTGGTTGAAACCTTTAGAAGGAGAAGTCAACCCTGCCCTGGAGAGAGTGGTGAAATATTCCTATGCCTTTGGACTACATTTTATGATAGTCAGGGAGTCTGTGGTCATCTCTAACATGAAAGGGTAGAGGAGTAAGCAGATTGTACATTCAGCATATAACAAAAGAATTGCATGTTGCCAAAGTTGTCCTGGAAAATCTCCTGAGTCATCCATAATGTGCAATATGTGCAGTTGGAAATATACAGCCCTATACAGTTATACCTATACATGCTAAAGTGAAAGAAACACTGAACCAGATTAAGATGGAGGGACTGAAGTCCCCGTGTTGTAACTCAAATCATTCTGTTTTCAAGGGAACTGTTGGAACCCTGTCAATGTTTTCCCTTGAGAACTGGATGGGTCGCCCACACCCTAGTTGTTACATCCTAGTGAAAAGTGATCCACATTCTGCCTCCACATGGGCAGCCACAGCAGAGTGCAAACACCTTTATAAATAAAAAAGTGTCTGTTAGTATCAGCCATTTTAGAGTCTGTGCCTACATAATTTAGTATGCATCAGGTTAAATTCACCCTAATGCTCTTGGTGATGCAGATGTCTTTTTCACTCTTGATCAGCACTGGGATTATAATGAGCTTCCACTGTATTAACTCCAACCAAAAGAAACCATAAAACAAGCCCCTCCCTGAAGGAGGCATGGGCTCATGGCGGGGTGGTCATTGGTCGACCTGCCGTGTAATGTGCCAGTGCAAATGTTCATTAAGCAGAGCGCTGGCCATTCGCAAGGATGGATTTCAGGGAGACTGAAATGAAGCTGGAAATGTGAATGTTCACTCATGTTGACACCTGGACTTTGTCTGCTGCCTGCCCCCAGTGATCAATCCCAAGCTTCCTCTTTTAGGGATGAATTCCTCCAAGCCAAAGACTCAGAAATATGATCAGAACAACATAGGTCTAGGAAATGTGAGTCCTGGAAAAGGCCTTGTACTGAACTGCATCACTTTACAAAGAAGAAAACTGATGCCCAATGTAAACTTATGGCCTGTTGAAGAGAAAATTACACAAAAGAAAAAAATATGTCTCTAATACTAATATTCCTTTCACATCTATTACAGATATGCTTGTCACTGTGTTCATTTTATTTAAACACTTTTCTAAATTCAAGGAGAACTGAATCCTCACAAGGAAATTACTCCTTTCTCACTTGAACCCATTGAAGTGTCCTTTAATGTGCTTTTACTCTTTTAAATGTTTCCTTAACATGTCCACGACATTATTCTCATGTGCTTTGTTCAGGTGAAAAATCCAAAGAAGAGCAAAAGTTGTTAAATGTCTGATAAAGACCTTCACACTTTTACACCACTCATGTGTCTCATTTTAACACTGTACAGGGTGGATGGAATAGAGTTAATAATTAGTGAGAATCTACTCTTGGGGTGAAGATATTGTATAGAGGTCTATGATATATCCTGTAGCTTGCATCACTTCTGTGATAAAGGCATCATTTTGACCATTTTACAAGAGAGACAACTGAGTCCCAGGCAGTTAAAGAACATCTTTCCAGATTATTAATTAAATGATTGGCAAGAATTTAAATCCAGTTCTACCTACTTCTAAAGTGCACACTCTTTCAGCTCCTACACATCCTCCCTAAGGCACGACTTTAAGAACTAATGCAGTAGTAATCTATCTACTGCAGTGCTGATTTTTGAGTCAGAAGTAGGTATAATCTGGTGTTTTATAAGTGAGACAAAGTTGGATTTATCTCACAATATAAACAATATAAAAAAGGGAGGAACATATTTTTGTATAATTTTGTATGCTTTTAAATGATTTTCAGATAAACTTTATAACAGCTCATAAGGAAAATAGGACAGATTTTTATATCCCATTTTTACAGATGGGAAAACAAGAGGTCAAATGAAGTGCTCATGATTCCACGGTGAGTTAGCGAAGGGCCCAGGTTGACCCCCTCTAAGTCTAGATCCCTTCCTACTACATCATGCTGCTCGGATATATAAACAGAAGGACCTCATTTTATTCTGACATTACTGACATTAGGTACTTTTTTTTCCCCTCAGAGAAGCTAAATTATCCTTCACTCAAGACAGAAAAGTGCAAGGGCAAATGTTTCTTCCACCACCACGCTTAGGAGCTGTTGACACATCCTGGATTTAGCTCTTTTTGAACCCTCTCCTGGTCTCAATCCCTCCTCCCCAGAGAAACTGCAGGAACATTTCACTGGAAAATCTCCCCACAGAGGAAAGGACAACCCTGGCAGGGGTTCTGATGGGCCTCATGCTGTCGCTGGTTCAGGATGCTTGGCTGCCTCCAGCTGCACTGTAGGGACAAACTGCAGAGGGAGAGGTTCCCACTGTGCCCCATTTGAGCACTGATCTGTCTACTGCCTGCAAGCTTAACCTCCAAATGGACTCTGGGCCTTGCCAGTCCGAAGGACAAATATATTATCCTTTAAATAAATAAGCTAACATTTATAAGGAGCTTTACAAAGTTCTGCCACGTGTATCATCTAATTAAATCCTGAATCCAACCCCATGAATATCTGCATTTTTTTCACATGGGGAAGCTGCTTAGTGATGAAATTACTTTGTTGACTTAATTTGTGTCATTTGGCCTCCAAAATCCCATGCCATTTTCCCCCGCATATTTTGTTTACTTAATGACCTTAGACAATCATCTAAATCCTGGTGGTTGAAACGTCCCCAAGACATCATTCAAAGACCTTATCTCTCACTATATCAGATATCCAGGCGGCAAGCAGCTCTTGAATTCTACATGAGATCCCTTCTCAGACACATGTCACCTTTCCATTATCTGAAACGGAGGGGCTAGGCTTTGAGCTGATGCTCAATGAACCACATATGTGTTTCTGACTTGAATTTGCAATCTCAGTCTTCTCTCTTTATTTGGGATGATAATCCATGACTTCACGGCCAAAGCCCAAAATTGTCCTGATTTATGTTCATCTATCTCATCCTAGAAGCTTTAGGTTCTTAAGAAGTTTTTGAATTTGTTGTTGCAGAGAAAAAAATCTAAGTGTAGGAAGTAGGATGGAAGGGAAACAGCAGAGCAATCTATTTGGGCTTTTTGCTATACTCTCTAAACACAGCTGGCTCTTCCATGTCCCTTAACACAGCCTGTTTGTATGAGTCTGGGACATCACACTATAATATCTCCTCAAAAGAATTTCTCTGTACTGTTTTCTGCCTTGACCCACTACTTTTTGATTATCTCTACGACTCTACAATGTTGGACTCCATTTCCTGGACCTCTATAGTTGCACCTAGTCCTTCACTTAGTTAAAAAGTCAAACTTTTCTTTCTGGCTTAGTGAATTTATTCCTCATTTCTCAATTCTATCACCATAACCCAACGTAGAGAGTCATTAACCGTCAGATTTGTTTTCATCTCTAAAAGTAGGAAATTTGACTACATTATCTAAAGAAGGAAAGGAAAAGGGAAGGGAGCAGTACACACAACATGAATGATCAGAATTTCAGAGGTAGAAGGGAATTTAGTGGAAATAAAATCTATTGTTTTTGGTTTTACCAATGGAGAAACCATTATGTCAGTAGAATTTATTAGACAAAAGTATATGTACAGATAATTGTAGATATGCATATAATTTCACTGAAGCTTATCATAAACTTAGGTTAAGGACTCTGCAACTGGTGCTCAGGTCAAGACTCAATGCAATTGGTGTTTGGGTCACATATTAGGTACTTAATTTAGAACACATGTCTAAGTGTCACATAATTATCTTTCGTTATCTTTAGTTGCTTCATGTGTATTAAGCAAGTGTATTTAACTATAGAACTTGCTGAATATGTTTACATCAAACCTGTAGAAAAAAATAGGACAAGAAAAAGGTAAAAACAGCTAAGACAAATGAAACAATGAAATTTGTGATACAGCCGTCATTTTACATCAAATGTATTCATTTCCATGAGGGTAATAAAGCTTTATACCCTCATGTTGATTTTACCAATTAACAAACAATAATTATTTATCACATGGAATGTTCTAATTTTTAGTGTAGATAATATGATTCCCATATTGAGTGTTTAGATAATTTGAGTTCAACTTCTTATCTGAAGTAAGTTTAGCTTCCTATTCAGAGATATTTGAATTTGAAAGGTTATAAGGTTAGGTATTTATACTAAATGGAGGAAGTGAAAACTAGAGAACAAAATAGGTGCCTCTCTGCTTGGGTGATAAATGATTGTGCATCTAAAATGTTATTACAGTTCTACTGAATCATGAAACATAGCTTATATAATTAATCATTAAAACATACTGAATCTGCTGAAGAGAGATAAAGAAAAAAATGAACTCAGCAGTATTTCAAAGCCTAATAAAGAGGTGTTTAAAATGTTGATTTAATCTTTATTATTTTCAAGTAGCTTTATATTTTTATTTAAAACCAGTTTTATTATACTTCATTTAAAAATATATAACTACATAAGTAATCCATTAGGGTAGTCAGACTTCCACCAAAAACTACCAAAAAAAAAAAAAAAAACCTGGAGGGCAGATAAATGAAAATATACCAAATGTCAGAAAGCTCTCAGACACATAAATGCATTTTTCTTAACATGTTCAATAAGAAAGGCAAACAGAAGCTGAATCCTCAGCTATTATTAGTGAAGGAGAAGTTGTCCAAGTGATTCATGAGGCAGAGTTTAAAACTTTGTATAATTGCTGGTGCAACAAAATTCAGCTATAAAAATTCACAGGTGCCTTAGGTCTCCCTAGAGTAATGAACTCAATGTAGTCATCACACAAGGAACATTTCCCAAGATCTTTCAGCTAAAGACAAGTAAGACTTTAAGTGTTCCAGAGTCCAATTCCAATCTAGATAATTCAAACTCAGAAAGACTCATGTCGATTCCAGACTGGGATGTAAAGGAGTATGCATTCCCAACCATAACACCATTCCACTAAATGGTCTGCAGAAAATATAGATCCAGAACTGGAAGAAATATATGCTATATTTAGTCAAACTCATTCTGTTTCCGATCAGAAATATCCAACCAAAAACGGCTTAAAAAAGAAACAAAACAGCTGGGCGTGGCAACTCACGCCTCAAATACCAGCACTTTGGGAGGCTGAGGCGGGCTGATCATGAGGTCAGGAGATCGAGACCATCCTGGCTAACACAGTGAAACCCCGTCTCTACTAAAAAAACAAAAAATTAGCTGGGGGTGGTGGCGGGCGCCTGTAGTCCCAGCTACTCGGGAGGCTGAGGCAGGAGAATGGCGTGAACCCGGGAGGCGGAGCTTGCAGTGAGCCCAGATCGCGCCACTGCACTCCAGCCTGGGCAAAAGCGCAAGATTCCATCTCAAAAAAAAAAAAAAAAAAAAAAAAAAAAACTAAAGGGAATTTATTTAATTCCCTCCAATAAACTAGGAAGTAAAAGGAATCTGGAAGTAGATCTTCAGTTGCACCTGAACTCAAATACTGAAACAATATCAAGGGGGATTTATCCCACTCTTCATTATTCAGTTACGATACACATCTTCATCAACAACAGCAACATTATTAACTATATCCTGGAATATAATGAAGGAAAAATACCAATTGATTAATCTTTATAGTATAGTCTCACCCTCAGATTCTAAGAGAGCCTAAGCACATGGAGTATTTAATATTCATAATATTTATCATCAAATATTTTGTATTAATATTTTATTATTGTTGATGCTGGAAAATTTTCTCAGTTTTCATAGTGTGCCCTTAATACTATGCTAGAGATTAAGGTTGAAGTTGGCACAAGAATACTTGGGAGGTTCCATGAGATTGAGAGCGGCATAATCCTCAGTCAAATCCTTTCTCATCAGCCATGTGAACTTAGCTAATTAATTTATCTTTTCTGAGCCTCAATTTCTCCATTTGAAAATAAGGATAATAATGTCACCATCTACTCCAAAAGGTTATTGCAGCTAATGAAGGATACGATATATGTACACTGCTTAGCACAGTGCCTGGAACATAGAACTAACTCTAATTCCAAGAATTTCACTAACTGTAACCCAAACCCAGCAATTTTTATTGATTCAGAAATATTTATTGATTGCCTACTAAGGATCAGGTACAATGGTAAATATCAGGAATTTAAAATGTGGGCGATACACATTCTCTATTTTCCAAGCATTTAAACCTAGTCAGATGAAAGGAGAAAAAATATCAGGACCCCAATGGGGATATGCTCTAAGCCTTTAATGCTATACTGAGAATTGACCCTCTTTTCCCTGATCAGGAAACTGTAAGAAAAACTCCATCTCTCTGAGGAAGAGCTGTCTCTCAGGATGCAGCCTGGTCTCATGTAAGATAACTAGTTGGCAAACCACCTCACTAGTCAATCAGGCATACCCTAACATGTATGAATGCTAATGTTAGAACACAGCATAATAAAGTCACGGTGCCAATCTCATTCGACAATAGGTATTCAGAATCTGATAAAATATTGAACTGACCCTTTCCTCTATATATAATCTGATTGCATATATTCATTGAGGTCAATTATTTACTCACTTACAAGAAAAAGTCAGCAAAATTCTGTGATGGACCCAGAAAAAGAGTATCTGCATCAAGTGTGACCAACTTTAGTTGCATTTGTTTCTCCCTAACACAGATTCCTGCAGTCTGGCAATCACTTCAGGTCCTGAGGGTATTTTAAATGTTACTGTCACTTAAGTCAAAGTATTCAGTCAGCCTCTTTGAATATGGACTAATGGAAATTGTATTTGAATCCACAACTCATGGATTGAAAGAGGTGCTGAGGGAATGAGATTCTAAATATAAATCCGATAACCTTGGATACAGCTGAAGCATCACTCAGCCCCTTAACTTGATGTGTTCTGCCAATCACAAGGGACAGTGGAGAGAAGCGTTGAATAGTAGAGAATTGAAAGGGATTTTCTCAATTTACAATGTATTCATTGACTTTACTTGGATATACATAAGAGATGTATGAATACATACGTAAGAGAATATGAGTCATGTATACTGTTCCCACCATTGTATGTCTGGGACCTGATACAGTCTCTAGTATATCATTGATGCCCAATAATGAACTCCAAGTACAGATTGCGACACTCCACAGATGAGGTATTTCTCTTGCAGAAGGGTCTTCTGAAAACAGATGTTTACTCTGTCACTTGCTTCTCTCTTCACACTCTTGGCAGCCAAACTCATACAAAGTGCTCTTCAATGCCACCATCCTACCAATCCTCTACTAAACTAATATCTCAGTGGCAAAGTTGGACATCCTTCAGCAAAAACACTACTCTGGGGATGAATATATATGGCTCTGTTAAAAAAGAGGGTATATTCATTTGAAGAAGAGATCAATCAAAAACACCTTTCTTTCTTCATTCATACATTCATTCCTTCATATTTGGGTCTTAAATATGTGATTTGTCACAAAGCATTTTGGAGTCCTACAGTCCTAAATCCTAGCTCAGCTACCTAGAGTATTCGTCCATTTTCATACTGCTATGAAGAAATACCCAAGACTAGATGACTTATAAAGAAAAAGAGTTCAATGGACTCATAGTTCCACACGGCTGGGGAGGACTCACAAACCTGGTGGAAGGCGAAGGTGGAGCAAGGGCACATTTTGCATGATGGCAAGCAAGAGAGTGTGTGAGGGGAACTGCCCTTTATAAAACAATCAGATCTCATGAGACTTATACACTATCATGAGAACAGCATGGGAAAAACCCACCCCCATGATTCAATGACCTCCCACTGGGTCCCTCCCATGACACATGGGGATTATGGGAGCTGCAATTCAAGATGAGATTTGAGTAAGGACACAGCCAAACCATATCACCTAGTAATTGTGCAAACTTACACTAGTAAATTTTTCTCTCTGGGTCCCAGTTTCCTGTAAATTGGGTTTACAGTAATATCTCTCTTACAGAATTTTAACAGGAAATTTATTTGAGAGACCATGAGTTATGATCTTTCACATTCAGTATGAATCAATACATCAATTAAAGGAAAACAAATGGTAGTCCCATTCTATTTATTTCATTCTTCACTTATGAGTAAAAGTTGTATTAAACTATCCAGTCTTTAGGGCACATACCCAGTGAGGTACATAAGACAGCTGGTCTGGAACAGGAGTCCATGTGCTCTGTGTTGATAAAGATAGGTTTTATCCATGAGAAAGAATCTATCTGGGAAGTTCTATAGTACAAATGCCAGACTCATTATCCATAACACTGAGCCAAAGAACCCTGAACACTCAATACTAAGTGCCACCTTGGCTTCAGAAGCAGAGGAAGTGGTTTGCTTCCATAGTACATCCATGGCACACTTGGTCACGTGCCAAGTGTTCTCTTTAATGTCCCCAAAACTCTAAAGATTCTGAACATGAAAACATGTATCATACTGCCAAAATCACTAATGACCAAAAGCAAATAAGAGGAAAATGAGAGCACTAAAGCAACCTGACCCAATTTTGGATCCTGCCCACATGTTAAAGAAGTGCCAAGTGATTTCCACACGTCACACCTGCTTAGTTAGCAATAATAAAAGCTTTCAGAAGATCAGAGGGAAATTAAATAGTTACAGATAAATGATCTAACAATTTTATCTCAGCCAGAGAAGGGACAGGATGCAATTTAATAACATGATCACAAGTGGAATTGCAGTTTAATGACCTTGCACTTTATAATTTAATGGGACACACATAGTACCACACTGAAAGTAAATGGATTGTCAAATGCAAATGCATATACTGGCATTTTATAAATAAATTATTACGGCACTAATTGCAATTAAATTGCCATGGTTTAATATGGCCTAGTAATTAAGTCATAAGTGGCTTGCTGCCTGGTTCTTGCCTGAACCTGGCAACAAAGAAAACTATTTGACTCAGCTAAAGTAGTTCTGAATATACCCTCAAACTTTTGTAGGGCAATGGAGGTCCAAAGGAATCCCAGCTCTACACTTAAGGGTTATTTCTCCTCCCCCTTGCCTTTTTAAATGAATATTTACAAAGAAAAACAATGCCAAAGTAAATTGGGTTAACTTGAACTCTTCTTGTGTGTCAAGAAATACTGCCAATTCTGACTCAGTCTTCTCCAAAAAATTTTTTTTCCCTGAAAGCTTAGGGCACCTCTCCGGTTAGCTAGTTTCACCACCCATATATTCCTCGGTACTGAAAGGAGAATGCCTTTGTCAGAAATGCCACTACAGTTGTGAGCGTTGGTTATACATAAAACTTCCATGGGATCCCTTTGGGTCATCTGTCCCTGTCTGTGCTCCCATGGCTCCTGTGTTTAACCATGTCAAAGTATTGTTTTCTCCACATTTCAATCATTTATTCCTGGATATATGTATCCATTTACCTGAGGGCAGAACTATGACCCTTTGTATTATTTCCAGATCCTAAAATATGCTATGTATTCAAATCTATTGGTTGTTAGTGAAGGAAAAAAAAGAAAGTAAAGCTAATTCACAACTCATCATAATCACTAAAAGCCCATATGTAATAATTAATTAAATCAATTCATACTCATTTCAGTGTCTGCCAACTGCAAGGGTTTTTGAAGATATAAACAGAGATACATGATAATCCCTGTCTTCAAATGAAGTACAGTCCACTTACCAAAAAGAATACCCATATAAAGATAAAATCACTTTTTGCCAGACACTGCTTTGAAAACAATATGAGCTCTTCAATCCTCACAATGATGCTATTATTGTACTATTAGTATCCCTACTTCATATATGAGAAAATGCACACCAAGTTTAAGAAACTTTCCCAAGGCCTCTCTACTGGTAAATGAAACAGCCAGGCTTGTGTCCCAGGCTAGCTGGCTCCTGAGCCTACATGTTTAATTACTGCAAGATTTAACTACAAGAATACTCTATTTAAAGTATTAAATAGAGTATTTAAAGGAAGTGAAGGTCAATGATCTTTAATGCATTGAGGCAACTAAAGACAGGGTCAAAGCAGAAGTAGTGTCTCCAAGGGTGGGCAGGGTCAGATGGAGAAAGGAGTTGATGAGTAAGGAAAGTCAGAATGGAGTCAAAGGTGAACATGGTATGGTCAGAGCAAAGGGCTCAGGTGGACCACAAGGAAAGATAAAGCTATAGTAAAATTGTGGAGGACTTCACCACCCATGCTAAAGAAACCTTCAGATGTTGTTGACATCTGATCTTTGCAGCCAGAAAATTCTGGTCACTTGGCCCATCTTTAAGCTAAATTTCTTGACTGAATGCCCACTGAAGCAATAGCATTTTCTTCTCCCCAACTTTGTCATGCGGTCACTCAAATAAGGTTAAAGCAGCAGGTAGATAAACTCTGCCCTCCCTTTTCATGCCTTGTCACACACAGTAAGTCTAAAAAGGGTGAGGACAGGTACATTCCATCAAAAAAGGGCAGAACATAGAAGCTGCTTCTTTCTTCCTTTGCAGACACTTCCCTGGGAGAGTTTCTGCACTTGCTAGTGCTTTATATGTCAGTGCTGACTTCTTTGACTGAGGCCACAGGTTTTGGATAAACCAGGAAGTAAAATGCTTGGATACTCATTTCATATTGTCAGTGTCCTCCCAAATCTACTTTGGCACATGATAAATATTAGGAACAAAAGCTGTTTCATGCATCACTATTTTAACTGGCAAGGTATTTTATTAAACTAGGGTAATGAGTAATGGGGATGTTTTTGAACTTCATCAGTTATAAATGATCTCTTGTGTAAAAGAACACACAATAGGCATCTCTTACCCGGTATCAGTTAGGTCAATGTCTCCATAAGGACTGGATTTCTGGGTTACTCTATGACCAAATTCCATCTTGCTGATCCAAGCTCCAATCTACTAAAAACCACAAATTCTTGTGCTTAGTCTTGACTCATTGAGGAGAGCAGATTCCCACAAGGTAGACCCTGACCTTCAGGAATCCCCTGGGAAAATTTTAAACCCTTGAGACCAATTTCTCTGGAAAAATCACAAGCAGAAAAAGAGACCTGCAGAGCTGTCTGAAAGATGGTGGCTAACTAGGAGTCCTAAATATATGAAAAGTCTAAGCATTTCAAATCAATACTATTATCAACTAGGCTAATGATTGATGGGCTAAATGTGTAGGCTAATGATAACAGCAAAAGCATTAGAACTCCAATTTTGGTGTTCTACTATAGGCTAGGCACAGTGTTAGGTACTGCATCCCACTTCTCATTACAACCTTAGGAGGTGATCATTATTACATTTTCACATTTCTAGATAGGGAAACCAAGCCTCCAAATGATAAAATAATTTGCCCATATGGCAGGCAATAGAATTTGCCAGAGTTAATACAATATGTCTCTAAATTCTGTGGTCTTAAGCACCACCCTGTAGCTAGTTCACCAATCTACCAACATTCATCAATGTAGAACAGGGGTACATCTTCCAGATGACCCAGTATTTTTATTGAAGGACCTCTCCATCATGTACAGATTTGGAAATAACTAAATTCATCTGCCCAACTATTTACCATAGGCCCAAGATTGCATTGATTTAGCCTTGCTGGATTTTCTTTAAATTAAATTATTTTGTGTTTGAAGAGAGTTCACAGAAGAGTAGGGATTGACTGTTGCAATCATCAGCAGAATTAAAAAGAATTTTTGGATTATCCTCAGGTATCTGTTGGATCCTAAGTAAAATATATAAGAGAAAACAGCGTATGAACGGGGAACAGTCTATGCTCACTGTATAAATGAGGTCCTAAAACAAAGCAACCTAGTTTATTTGTTCTGTTGTTTTTCTGAAAATAACTGTCTTCAGAAAAATGGTCTTATTTGATAAAAGGGGCTAATTTTTTGCTTATTCATTTATGTAGGTAGGTATGCATATGTATACATACGTGTATATATATGTATGTGTGTATGTATATATATATATTTTTCCCCTATGTCCCAGACATTTTCAGTGACCAAGAATAACAGCTATTTTCCTCTTTCTCTTTTTCTTCCTCCTCCCCATTGTCATATACATTTGATACTTTAAGGGGAATTTGATCTTTATTAGCTTCTTTTTTCCTCTCAGCAACCATGTAGAAAAGGTAGGCTGATTATGACCAAAAGGTCTTAATGTTTCCTTCAGCTTGATGAGACTTTCAACAGGTCTCCTCCTAACTATAGGCCTCTGACCTACATTTTCTTTGAGCATTCACTTTAGAAAACTTGGTATTGTTAATTCTTTCTCTGCCACTTTGAGTTGGAAATCTTCTCCCACCTCTTGCTGGTTTTACAACCCAGGAATATCTTTCTCAAGGAACTGAAAGCCATCCTTTTGAAATGTAATCATTAAGGACGATAGTTCCCCTAGATCGCATCTCTATGGAAGGGTAGGGGGTTAACTTTGATAAGTGCCAATTAGAAAATACAGATGGCCTGATCTTATTGAATAATCTACCCACTAACATCCTTCAGTATTCTTCGCCTAGCTCACCCCAGCACTTAAAAACCCTTCTGCCCTTGTTTCATCAGAATTGACTTCAATATCTCTCCCCTGTTGCAATAGTTTTGAATGAAGTTTCCTTTGCCTATTTAATTCTGTTCAACAAAATTTTTCTTTGGCAGTTATTGTCACTACTGTTCTGCAGATGTGGAAACAGATTCTAAGAAAGTCAAGAATTTGCCCAAGGACACAGAACTGGCAATTAACAGAGACAGAGCCAGAATTTGTTTGTTTTGCTCCCACTGCTCTTTCTGCAGTAGCAATGGGGCAAATGGAGAAAAAGAGACCTCAGAAGTCAGATGTTTCAGACATTTAAAAGCTGGGGATCAAACTGCTTTTGCAAAAATTATAACTAGGAAATTACGACAGTGAAAGAGATCTGACCTAACCTACTCCATCTTGCTTCTAACCTCCAAACTGTCCTTGTTCATTTTGGGGCATCAGCCATATTAGCTTTGGGAGGAACTTGATTTATAATTTAACTTTGAAACAAAGACAATAACAGCATTTTCCCAAAACAAACCCCCTTCTTGCCTGGGACTAGATTGCCTTTTCAGGACTAAAAACTTAGTCATAAGATGAGAAATTGTGGTTTAGGAGTCACTGTTGAAAAACCTGAGATCAACACTTAAGATATTTTGCAGACCCTGCATTCCAATGTACCACCTAGATGGATAAACTGGCTCATCTGGTCTTGTGGCCCCGACCCAGGGACTAACAGCACAACAGGACAGCTTTAACTCCCTATGATTTCATTTTTGACCTGACCAGTCAGCACACCCCCCCTTTCTCAACCCCTACTCACCAAATTACTCTTCAAAAAGCCATCCTCAAATTTTCAGGGAGACTGATTTGAGTAATAATAAAACTCAGTCTCGGGTACAGTTGGCTCTATATGAACTAAACTCCTTCTCAATTGCAATTTCCCTGTCTTGATAAATCAGCTCGGTCTAGGCAGTAGGCAAAGAGAACCTGTTGGGCAGTAACAGGAGTGTTGATCCTTTCTGTCTGGGTTATCTCCTGCTTATACCCACATCTTGTGAATGAGAATCAAAGGAGTGTGTGTGTGTGTGTGTGTGTGTGTGTGCGCGTGTCTGTGTGCGCGCACACCTGTTTAGATGCACAAACAATATGTCTTTTGTTTTGTTTTGCTTAAGTGGGGGTGGAGAAAGTGAGGTAATCCTAAAGTCTTCTTCTAAGATGTAGGTAATGGCTAAATGTGGAATACGAACAGACCAAGTTTGCTTATGTGGAACATGGACTAAAGCCCTTCTTACATCCCCTTTTTACCTATTTCAGTGACTAGAGAACAGAGTGCTCTGAATGTTTTGCAGGTCGTCTTGTTGGGAAGGTGAAGAAGCTGAGCAGAGGTGATGAAGGGTGCTTTATGGTCTTTATTAGCCAATAATGACAATATTGTTTTAAAGCCTGCCTATAACAAAGGCAGTTTCATAGCACAGGTTTTGTGTGTGGGATATGCAACAATTCATTTCTTACCATATAGTGATCCATTAACAAGTGGAGGAAGGAAAGAATACAGCAATGTTTTTAGGGACAATTTTAGAATTACATTAAGCAAATTGATCACAGGAACAGACCAATGAACCATATAATCACATGCCTTGACTCTAATCATTCTAATTACTTCAGAAAGAACTGTTTAAGATAATGATAGTGACTCATGATTGCCAGGTAGTATCCATCTTTGGGGTATAAAATTCAGAATAACAAGTTTCAATATTCTTATTCTCAGAATGCTAATCTGAAATTAAGTAGAAGAAATTGCTGTTATTTTAACTCGACTTGGACAGTGCTGATAGCTGAAGCATGGTCTAGATGAACAATAAGAATTTGAGAGTTTAATTGGTATTTGCAACTTGGTCTGTATTATGAGGACACCAGAGGTATATTTTAAGGTTTCTCCCCATTAAAACTTATGTTTTGAATGAAGACACACATCTTAGACATAGCTTCATCATGCACACACAGAAAACTCAATCAGTGGTAGATGTTAATAGTTCATTGTTTTGAGTATATGCCCCAAAATTAATCACACCTAGGTTTATATTCCATCTTGGTCACTGTGTTTTCTTTGGTAAAATATTCAATCTCTCTGAAATTTTATCTCCTTTTCTATAGAAAAAAGATAATTATATTAGCTACCATATACAGTTTTGTGACAGTCCGATAATGAAAAGGCATAAGACAGTGTCTAAGACATAGTGAATGATCAATAAACGTTATCTATCACAGTTATTACTAATAAATAAAGATAAGATAAAAGGCAAGGCAGGGAATGCCTAGGTGAAGCACAGGGTGTGTATTGGAAGCAGCATCTTAAGGAAGTATTATGCCAGAGTCAAGAGGATGACCTGAAATTTGTCAATCTAGACAGGGCTAGTCAAGAGCATACCTTCTCTTGAAGTCCAAGGTGTGTGTAAGAAAGGAAAACAGATGAAAGGAGGGATTTAAAGCAAATGGTGAAAATTAGACCTGGGAGTTAATTCTTAGCTGGCATGCATGTAACTCAGGTGAGTTTTTACAGACTAGGTTGATGCAAAAGCACTTGTGGTTTTTGTCATTCCTTTTATGGCAAAAAATACAATTACTTTTTCAGCAAACTAATAATTCTTCCAGTCATTCGGCATCAGTGATGGTAGTAGAATGGACACCACAAAATATAAAGAGCCAATTATTATTATTATTATTTTTTAGAATTCTAACAACCACTTCATCCTCTTCCTCTTACTGCTGGGCTCATTTATTTTTATCATAACAACCTCTTCCTTGGAAAAAGACTATGACTACTAGGCCCCTGACTGTACTTCAGGTCTATTATTGCCCCTTACCAAGTAGTTGACTATCTGAGGACAAGCACAATTTGGTGCCAGAGTAGTTGTGACACATTTGAGATTAACTTTGATACCCATTATTTATGTACCTAACGGGGGCTCCTCCCACTCACAGCTCCTACAGAGTGATTATTTTAACATATAACTCAGTCAGTTCACTCTGAATACCTTAATTGGCTTAGAGATGGACATGTAACTACGAGTGGACCATCCAAAAATTGTCTTGGAAAGAAAAGCAATGGCAAAGAGACTCATAGTTTGGGAATATGAACTGGAAGACACAGATGGCAATTTCAGATGTTGGGGTTTCAAAGTCATGTAATCTTGAAGCTGAGGCTGCTGTTTCCAGCCTAGATGCACATACAATTATAAATGAGTAGAATCTAGGAAAAAGGGAATGAAGAGAGACAGAGAAGAAAGTACATTTGCAGAGAGTTAACCCAGAGAAGACAGGGAAAGGTGAAATGAAGAGAGTACTATGGAGCAGAACTGCCTTTCTAGATATTTGATTCTTAATCTTCCTAAGGCCTAGTGTCGAGCTGTTTTCAGAGTGTCCTGCAAACTCTCTGTGGCTGTACAATGATCCCTCCAACTGCCCCTTTTATTTGAGCTTGTTTGTCTTTCTTACCATAAATATGGACCTAACTAGGAGAGAAACCTCATGTTCACTCTGCAAGCAAAGAGCTGGAAGAACCAACTGAACACAAACTTGTTTTTTTCCTAAATTTCCACATCCATACTGGCCAATGTTATGAGAATGGCCCAGAGAAACTATAAAAAAAGCATCATAACCACTGGAAGGGTCATGGGACAGCCATTTTAAATGTAGTCCAGCTCAGTGAAGACAGTGCCTTTTCCCAAGTAGGTCTATTGCTAATGCAGTAGGAGCCTCACAGCTCAGGGGAAATAAGCAGGGACTGGACAGCCCTGAAGACCATGGTTTAAATCTGACTCCTCCACTTACTGACTGTGTTACCCTGAGAGAACTAGTTTACTTCTAAGACACTCAGTTTCTGCATCTGTGAAACTAGGATAGTGACATCTAACTTACATAGATTTGGAATAGACCTACTATAATAGTGTCCATGCAGCTTCCAGTACAATTTCTGCCATGAGTTTGAAAAAATGTAGCATTTTTTTCTTGCTGGACAATTTGTCAAGCTGAGTGTAGACTGGATTTCAGCTCCAATTTACTTTTTCAGCTCTGTCCTCTTCAATAATGGTGCATGGTGACCCTCAATATGAGATACAAGGTAAGTGGTGGTTATCATCATGTTTGTGTGGGTGATTTATATCAGGAAAACAACATAGATTCATTTAAGGAAGGTGAAACTAACGTTTTCCCTCAGAGAAGTTTACATAACTGGTAGAGAAGCTTGGATAAAAATTCTAAAACGAGGAATCACAAAGTGTTTCAGCTAGTTAGGAAAATCAGTACAGATCAGTGAGCTGTCAAAAGAATGAATTACTTCTCATTGGTTATAACGGAAATTGGTTTGCACTTACCTATTTCGGATTAATTTTTTAACCCGATGTCTGACCAAATGTCACCCTACGCACCAAATCAGAAACAAATTGACAAGGGAAGAAAACATGCCCCAGACTTCCAAAAGATAGGCTACCCACCAAGAAACAGTTGATCTCTGTATAATGCAGAGTACGTAACTGAAAATGACACTAAATGGGGAAAAAGTCTTGTCTAATTTTATGAACATGCTAGATACAGTTTGCTGACAGATTTATGGATTATAACTGGCTGACATCCTTCTGTTTAAATGTTCACTTGTTTCCTTCGAAGACAAGAAAATCAGTTAATCTTAAGGCCCTTTGAATGATCTTTCCCCAGAACTTAATGGACTTGAAATCTGTCTGAGAGCAATTCATTCAATCTGACGCAATGCTACAGATGGTAACCATCTGAAGCCCTGAGTTGTAGAAATTCTAAAAAGTGACAGACTTCCTCAAATAGTATTCTACATGGAGGTGAGAAATAATTAATGCATTCCAAATTAGAAATAAGAGGGAGGCATTATTTGCAATCCTTGATCTTCTTTGAGAGATCTACCTTATAAAATTGCTGAGTGACTCAAACCCCAGGATACTGTGACAAGTGCTTAGTCCTTCTGTGTTCTTTCTATACCTTTCAGGAAAGGTGGAAATAAAAGAACTCAGAACCATGTAATTCTTATCTTCAAAGCAAGGGGACAAGACAGATAAAAAGAGTGCCTTAAGTAAACACTGAAAATTTGTTTAAAAGTATCATCTAAAAGACAAGTCAGAAAAAATGCTTTTACTTCCAGGTTTGGCAGATGTTAAGAAGTTTCGCAGTTATCAAATTCAGAAAAAGCTTCAATTTTGTATTGATAATCATGAAAAAGCCAAGAATGTTTAATATTCCACCACTACATTATGTTGTTTTTATTTATTCTACCCATATACTTTATCCCAACTTCTATAAAGGTTTAAGAACAATAAAGGAAAATAGGAAGAAGATTCTTGTGAGACAGGTCTGAAAAAGGTTAGCAAATAGCCTAAAGTACAATAAATTCTCAATAAAATGACCTTCCCTTCCTCCGATAGGGCATCTTGATTCTATCTTAGGGATTCCTAGTAAGTCTAGTAGAAGGCAGCTGGCTAATCCTTCCCAAAAAAGAAGTAGTCCTGAAGAGTCTCTGAATCTCTGATAGAAAGCTGTTCTCTCAATAAGAGTGAATGGCACATCCAATACTGAAAAACACTCAACTCATATCGGAGGGTAGTGAGGGGAGATGCCTGCTAATCCTCCATCAGGATCAGTCTTGGGTGCCTACAGCCAAGAACTACACATGTCCTCTACCAGGTAAAAAGAAGTGATCATCTGGAGTCCTAAGAACTAAATAGACATGATTTTGAATCCTGTGGGACACAGTATAACTTTCTCTGACCCATAGTTTATTATTCAAGTGGACTAAAAATTTCTACTATGTAAGAGTGAAGTAAAGAATAAAAGATAATATGAGAAGATATTAATGTAGTTCCTGGCACTTGGTACATATTAAATGGTAAAACAGTAAGTTAGTAATATCTCCATGTGAATCAGGATACTAGAGATGAGAGGAGATTTCTGGGGAACATGGAACCCCAGCTGATGATGAAGAAGACTCAGTACATTAAGAAGTGGTAGGACTTCCAAGCACAAATTTTGCTAAATTTGCAAAATTCCACAAATCGTCAGAAGTATAATATTCTTTAAGAAGAAATAAAGTCAGCCATCTTTACATTACCATTATCTTATTCTCTCAAACTTGGGCTGAAATAAAAATAGTCCACTGGACTGATGTTAGAATACTGGGCACCAAAAGCTGTATGATAACTCAAATTCCAAACTCAACAGAAAAAATACAAATGTTCCAGACGTTTCTTTTTCTTTCTTTTTTTTTTTTCCAGACAGGGTCCTGCTCTGTCACCCAGGCTGGAGTGCAGTGGTGTGATCACCACTAACTGCAGTCTCAACTTCCTGGGTGCAAGTGATTCTCCTACCTCAGCTTGCCATCTCACCTCCCCAGTAGCTGGGACCGCAGGTGTGCATCACCAAGCTCAACTAATTTTTTAAAAATTTGTTTTTGTAGAGATGGGTCTCCATATGTTGCCCAGGCTGGTTTCAAATTCCTAGGCTCAAACAATTTTCCTCCCTCAGGCTCCCAAAGTCAGACATCCTTCTTGATGGGGAAAAAAAATGGAAAACAAAGAAAGAAATGGGAAGAAGAAAATAACATCCAGTCTTGAGAGCAATTCTCTGGCTTTTAGGTCCTAGCATCAAAGTAATCTGAGTTCACTGAGGCTTTGTAAACAGCCCATGTATGTTTCTGTTTTCAAATACCTGCACACATTCCTCCAGACCGTAAGACTTAAGAGATTTTAGGAACACAAAAGAAGAGATCATGGCTAAACTTATGTAATACATAGTCACATGGCCTGAGTTTGAATACCAGGTTGAATTCTGATTAGCATGTGACTTGTGAAGACACTCAGCCCTCTAAAACATGGATTCCTTCTTTATGAGGAGGACAAATACTAGTACCCACCTCATAGGGCTGAGGTGAAGGTTCCAATGGGATGTTGCATATTCAATTCTATGTCAAAGGCTGTTCATGATTAGTACCTGTACTTTGTGTTTTTGATTAGTACCTCTATTTTGGGCTCTGTGAATAATCTTATCACCTGGTTTGGTTGTAAATGTGATCCATAGGTTTTGAGTTCTTCTACCTAGATTTTCTGGCTAGTTTTACGTGGAGATTAAATAAGATTGAAAAACATCCCTACTGCATTTCTAGAATATTTACTGTTAGTTTTGAAATCTCCACTGAAACTTTTAAATAAGATTTTAATAAACTATTTTAGAACAGTTTTTGATTTATGGAAAATGTGCAAAGATATTACAGAGAGGTCTCATGTCAGCCTTTTAAAAAACTGGTCCTGAGTCTTCAATTTGATGAGTTTGTACAACTGTAGACAAGATGCTTAATTGTATACCAGCCATGTGACTGGTCTTTTTTCATCTTGCTAGCATGCTCTTCCTTGACCTCTTGCTCTCTCTCTGATGAAGCAAGTTGCCATGTTGCAAAGTGCTCTATGGAGAGATCCACAAGTCTTCTTGCCAACAGCTCCTGAGAAACTGAATCCTACCAACAGCTATGCGAGTCAGTAAGGAAGTAGTTTCCCCCTAGTCAAGCCTTGAATTTACAGTGACTTTATGAAAGATCCAGAGCTGGAGGACCCAGCTAGGCCATGCCTACAGAGCCCAAATACCTGCATACATTCCTCCAGACTGAGAGACTCCGAAGATTTTATTTTAGGAACGTAATGGTGAGGCTGTGGCTAAATGCATACACTTTAGAGTCACATTGTCAGAGTTTGAATACCAGGTTGAACTCGGATTAGCACTGTGACTTGCGGAGACACTCAGTTTCTCCAAGCCCCAGGTTCCTTCCCTATAAGGAGGGCAAATAATAGTGACCACCTCATAGGACCGACATGAGGGTTTTAATGGGATGGTGCATATTCAATTCTATGCCAAGGGCTGTTCGTGAATAGTACCTATATTTTATGTTTGTGATAAGCGTATCTAATGTACAGAAATTGTGAGATAATAAATGTAATTTTAAGTCTAAATTTTGGAGCAATTTGTTATGCTGCAATAAATACCTAATACAGGGAGCCACTGTATTAGGTATTAGTATTAGTGTAGGTATTAAGTATTAGTGTAGACTCTGTGCTAACAGCTGGGAATATGACAGTAACAATCCGGGTTCCTACCCTGCCCTTTGGGGCTTACAGTATGGGGTTTGCTTGGTGACTCTGAAAGTCCATGGCCCAGTGCTCCCCAGTTCTCTTTCAAAACCAAAGCCCTGAACCACCCTACATCACAAAGGGGCTAAATGGGAAGGTGGAGCATTTTTCTAACCAGAGCTTAATTTTTCAAATAGACTGGAAGAAAAGTTTCTACATGCACTCACTGCATGTTTGACATACCCCTCCTGGTTAATATTCATAGAACCTTGAAGGAATCCCTGTTAATACCCAGATTTGAAATCTCAGAGCCAAGTGCTACAGCCTTGGGGCCTGATTTGCATCCATGAATATGCAGCAGCACGAGCCCTTTGCTTGGGATTTCTGCCCTATGATGGGTGTCACTGGTAAGTGTATGGCTGTGCATTTTCTCTTTCTGAACTGAATGTCCAACTCAGGAAATGAAATCTGAGCTGTACAGCAGAGGATAACTCCCTTTTCTATTTTCTTTCTACAGCAAAAACTCACTCTGGCTTCAGCAGCCCCTAAAATGTTTTCACTTTTGTATAAATTCTGGGAGAGATGATGTGATTTTTTATGGCTTCCTCCAGCCCTAAGGTTTGAGGGATGGTGAGTAAGCCATTTAACTGCAGTCAAGTGTTCTACTAATATACCACTTAGACCCCAACAAACAAATAAGCAAACAAATAAAAATAAGCAATCACTGCCATGTATGATGATCTTCAAAATGTAGGCAAATAGCTCATTTCCAGAAACTTATGATTTGATATTTTCAAATCATACTATTTTCACGTGATTGGCACTTACCATGTAGATAAGAAGCCTTTGGAATAGACTCAGAAAAAAATTTAGAGACTCATTTTGTCTTTTGTTAAGAAAGACACCTCTCATTTTCTATAAATGAACAGCAGGGGAAATGGGTCTTGAGTCCTACTGGAATCACCACCGTTATGCACATGTTCACTATCTATCTTTATCTCCTTCATGTATTCCTTTGATGGGGCCAAAATGATCTCAAGAGGGTAATGGGTGCCTCCTTTGAGGAAGTAGTAAGAATTATGGCCCAGGTGGACTTGATGCTATCTAAACTCCATCTCCATTGGCAGGAGGTGAAGCAGCACCTCCTTCCAGACACTCGGTCTCAGAGTGTCATCAGGCCACTGAGGTAGCGGCTGGTCAGTTGGGTTCATTGGGCATAATGTCTCAGTTTTTTGAAATACTTGAACGAGATTCACAGGCAGTAATGCATAGCTTTAAAAATGCCAGAGTACCTTAAAAAAGATAGTATGCCATTTGGTAAAAAGCAGGATCACTGCTGTTGAACTAGATGAGTAAAGACTCAATCCAAAGTTGGTCTACACAAAGGGAAGGGAACCAGCATTCACAGAGTACCCACTGTTGACAAATGTTATCTTAAATTCAGCCAAATGCCTCAGAAGATATTTGTCATTATTCTCATTTCACAGTCCACAAAACTGAGACTCTGAGGGGTTAGGTGAGTTGCTGAGACTACAGGGTCTGTATATTGAAGATGCTGAACTCGAAGACAGCTATGCTTTTCATGTCTGGGTTCCTTCTATCCTACTGTGGTGGCATAAGAGATGTACACCTTGGCCTTGGCTCTGTTTCTAAATGGCCAATGGCATAGGCTTTTAGTCTGTACATTCTCTGCCACTGGGTTCTTCTGTGAGGAAATGAGTTGTTTAGATTAGGTAACTTCTGTGTTTCTTAAAGTAATAAGGTCCTCATCCTGTGACCTAAGGGGTCAGTGTGGTAGGTGTTCAGCAGAGGAGTAGAAATCAGACCTGAAAGCTAGGCAGATTGAAAGAATTACATTGAGATAATAATTCCAGTTTTCTTTAGAAGAGTGATTAACTCCAAAAACAACAAATGGGGAGGCTCACAAAAGCCTGCCCCAAAGCTAAACTGGCTTAGATTTGGCTATAGACATCAAAGAATAGGATGTAGCGTTTCAAGTCTGTGTGCGTGTGTTGGGGCTGCAGGCTCTTCAGACACCCTGTGACTGACAGGCCCATCCCCCAAGGAGACTGAGATGAACTATAGTCCTGGTCTCAGAGCCATGATTAGCAATACCATCCCCCACTGGCTTAGACAAGCAATTCTAACATTGCTGGTCCTCAATTTCTCGAAGTTTAAATCAGCATGGTGCCTATGTTCTCATTTAGATCACATGAAATGGTGAAAATCAGATGTAAAATTGCCTCAAGAGGATAAAATGATCTGAAACATTGCCACAACTTTAAGAGAAAGTATTTACAATATAAGATATTAAGTAGAAATTACATACCATTTATTTTGATAATGTATGCCTTTTCGTATTACTGGTCTGTGTAACGTTTTTAATGCAAACACAAACACACTAACACACACCAGAGAACAAATTATATATACATATGGGTTTTTTTTTTTTCAAATTTTGGCATAACATACCTGATATGGTTAGGCTTTGTGTCCCCACCCAAATCTCATCTTGAATTGTAATCCCCAGGTGTTGAGGGAGGGACCTGTTGGGAGGAAGTGACTGGATTATGGGGGCGGTTTCCCCCATGCTGTCCTCATGATACTGAGTGAACTCTCATGAGATCTGATGGTTTTATAAATGGTAGTTTTTCCTGTGCCCTCGCTCACTTCTCTCCTGCCACCTTGTAAAGAAGGTGTCTGCTTCCCCTTCTACCATGATTATGTTTCCTGAGGCCTCCCCAGCCCAGCAGAACTATCAGTTAATTAAACCTCTTTCCTTTATAAATTACCCAGTCTCAGGTAGTATCTTTATAGCAGTGTGAAAATGGACTAATGCGACTAATGCAATACCTGAGTAAAAAACACCTAGTAAACTTATTTTAAAAATCAGATTCCCAGGCTCCACTCAGAGCTACTGAAATTAAATCAGAATTTGATGGTGAAAAGTTTATAGGAAGCTGCATTTCCAACTCATTTCCCAAGTATTCTTTGGTCTCCAGACTATATTGTGAGAAAACTCAATATCTCTGACTATACATATTGAAATTCTCAGGCATAATTTGCTACTGTTGGTGTTTCTACTTAATCTGAGCCCTCAGGAAAACTCTGAGACCTGTCCTGTGAGGATTCAAAGATGCTGCCCTTGTGCTAGAATACAGGTTTATTGCAAACAATTGGCATTTATGTAGCTTTCAGACAGTTTGGGTAGGGAGACATGGTGGAAAATAGGAATTGAATACAGAATTCGTATGGGTTCTTTTCTTCCTCTGGTTCTCATTAAGGGTAAAGCTATTTCTTCATCTGAGAATGACAACCCAAAATGACTCCTAAAAATTTGAAAAGCACAAACCAAATTGGCTCAGTTTCCCTCCTCATCCCTACTTTCATATCTAACAAATGAAATATCCTCTCCCACCTTCTGCTGCAATCAGCATCAATGAGGCAAAGAATAATTTGAATGCATCTGATCAAAGTTTCCAGTATTTTTCCCAACACAATTTATTGGGCTTAACTAAGGGTAGGCATGAGAAGGGTCTTGCTTCCATGCATACCCGGAGCAGGAGTCCAGCAAAGTTAATCCAGGAGCTCCAACACATGGCCCAGTGAAAGCTTCCTCATCACTCTGTGTCTACAGAACCAAAACTGGCTCAGGAGGTGAGAACAAATCATTTGGTTTGTAATCCTTTCCAATACAACTGACCCTCCCTAGAAGCAATAGCGAAATAAAATATTTAAGAACAAGAACTCTGGAATCAGACTTACTGGGACCAATTCCCAGCTAGACCAATCATTTACTCCTCTGAAAAATAGAAAAAAAAGTTCAGCAAATGCTCGATAGTTTTTATAAATTGTAATTTGAATGACTTTGATAAGAAAACTGCTGGACAACCTTTATTATTTGTTTAGCTTAGTTGTCTTAAAGGGAGAGGGTGACACTTCCATGAGTTTTGTGGAAGTGTACCTTTTTTTTTTCTTCTAGGACTAGTCACCTTAAATGAAGGCTTAAATCAATGAGTGATGACTCTGTGAGTATAGATATTGTCCCTATGTGAATAAGTATTTTTTTCTTTTGAAATATACATCCAATAAAGTATCGTCACTGATATGACAAGTTCCCTTAATGATATCAGGCACTAAATGAATGACTTAAGGCTTACATATGTAGTGCATGAAATGTGTACCAACCTTTGCATTAGAGTGTACTAATCCAGGAAAGATGTTTCCTTGACACTAACCCATTTTGATTTGTATTAACAACTTCTATTGGGTAGATACCATCACCCACTTTTATGGGTGAGAAAATGAAGTTTAGGGAGATAAAATAAGGTCATTTACTAACAGAGTTGACATTTCCATGATTCTTCTACACAAGCGCATGCTCTGTGTAAAACACGAGGGTTAGATTTCACAACTCCTCAAATCCCTTTCAGAGCTAAATTCTGAGACTCAGTGATATTGTGGACCAAAATATGACCCACCCCCATATCATATCAATTTTATGCATTTAGTTTCTGATATAAAATGATTATTCTGGGATCCTAGTCTACAAACATTAGCCTTGTTTTATGGTACCACCCATCCTATCTTTACCTTCAATTCTCTTCAATCTTTCACATATGTCAGTCATTGTTGAGCACTCTCTTTTTTAAGGCCCTAATGATGCTCAAGAATAAATCTGATTTCTGTATACCCTGACTTGAAAGAACCACAATCTGGTCCCACAGTTTTTGCCTTCTGATGAAATTCAAAACTTTCTATCAAAATACCACCATGAAATTGGCCCATAATATCATTTAATAAGTTATTTCTTTTGACTTTTCTTCTTTATTTTTGACCTTGAATACACAGGCTGATATGCTGTGTGAATTTCAGGATGCTAAACCAAGAAGTATAATCCTCAGGGAACAGAACTTTTGTCACAATAACATAGTCAATTTAGAAATTTTCCTTCACTGTCCTCCATTGCCTTATGTTCTTCAATGATGGGCTATTTGATTGAATATCCTTTTCTGACAGATTTCCTCAACCTTACCCATAAAACAAAGCACTCATACCCAATGACATTCCATGATATATTACACCATAAAAAAATGAAAAAATAAAATGTTCTACGTATCATAGAGAGTTTTTCATTTAGTTATTATTTTAGATATGCAGGTTTGTCAGCTCTCACTAGCTGAATCATTAGTTCCAGATCATTACTACACATTACTAGAACAATGGCTATAAAAAGACAATAGGCATAAGCATGACAAGGGTAAGAAAAGATATGATTATTTGTACCTACTTGTAATATACCATTCTAACGTCATATTTTTTTCTTCTTCAACCAATGAAAAGTTGATACATATTTAATACAAATTTTATTTTGTTTTATTTTTAATCATACTTATTTCTACTTCCTTTTAAATTGCTCATCTGGATTCCAGTGACAGCCATGACAGAGCAACAGACGGCAGATCTAACCTCTTTCTTTAAATAACTACAAAGCCAGACCAACTATGAAGAAACTGTTTTTAGATGTTGAGTAAGATAAAGCATAGGACTCTGATCCATGAGCAAAGGAAAGAAATGAGGTGAGCTCTATATTTTCCATGACTTAAGACACTTTCCATACAGAGAAGTGAGTGCCAAACATAGAGCTTCCCTTCATTCCTTTTGGTCTCAATGAATGGAAGAAACAGAAATGATGTATGGAGCTGCTGTGGCTATTTGCATTTTGTGGGCAAGGTTACATAGACAAGGAACCTTAATTGCCAAAGACCTTGAGAAACTTAAATAAGAGTTCCCTTGAGACTTTGACCTAGTAATTAGCTGCATATGTGCAAGTGAGAACCAAGGAAGCCTGGCAGAATAAAAAAGCTACTTTGGACTGAGAGACAGTACACTGTTGAGAGATATTGGCATTCAGAGTAGATCAATCTTACTTCCCATCCCAATAAATATGTTAAAAATCCAATAAGCCAGACCTTAAAGAGCAGGGCTACTCTAGCTCTAGGTAAGGACTATTTAGCTCCAACATTATAAAGCCTAAGACCAAGCTTAGATAGAGCAAGCTGATCTGTCAAAATTTAAATAACTGCAAGAAAAAACACTTCTTAATAGAAGACAGCAAGCAGACTCTCAGCAATGCAACATCCACAATTTCCAACATAAATTAAAAAATGATAAAGCAATAAAGTGCGACACATAAACCAAGAGAAATGACAATAAGGATAAAAATGCTCAAAGATGATCTAGACATTGGAATTAGCAGATAAGAAGTTTAAAATAGCTATCACTAGTATGTTAAAAAAGTTAAAGGAAAATAAGATCATTATGTGTAATCATATGTGAAAACTCAGGAGATAAAAGGAAGCTATTAAAATAGAGAAACCAATGACTAAATACCGAGATATCTGAGATGATATATTTATTTTGTCTGGCATTTGAGTGCAGTGTTCTATAAACATTAATTAGTTAAAAGTAGTTGACAGTATTGCTCAGATTATCTATGTCTGTTTTTTTTTCTTTTTGGTCTAGTTATTATGTATATAACTGAAAGTCAGATAAAAATTTCATTTGAGATTGTAAATGTTTATTTTTCCTTTAAATCTGTCAGCTTTTGCCTCATATAATTTTGCTATTAAGCACATGTACATTTATGATTTTATTCCTAATTCATACTTTGACATTATGAAATAGCTCTGCTAGTATTTCTTTGTTTTGAAGACTGTTTTATTTGCTATTAATATAGGTTCTTCAGATGTATTTTGATTATCATTTATATGGTATAATATTCTATTTTCAGCCTATTTGTGTCTGAATATTTAAAGATATCCCTAATAGACAAGACAGAGTTGGTTCTTTTCCATCATTCTAATAATCTCTGTGATATTTATGGATTGCATATGCTATTCCACTTAATGCAGTATGTATGAATATTGCTCGATTTACTGTTTTCTTATTGTCACCTTTATTGTTTCTTATCTTTCCTTATTATTCCTTTCTTACCTCTTTTGTATTACTTGAAAAAGTGTTAGAATTTCATTTTAATTTGTCTGATGATTTTTATTCATGTCCATTTGTACTCTTTTTAAAGATAAGTTTCTCTGGGACATACAAAAAGTATTTTTAAGTCTTCACAGATTTCTGAGTCAATATTGTACCACCTCATGTAAAATGTGGAAACTGTGCAACCCCATAGATCCTTTAACTCTCCAATCTTTCTCATCTTACAGATGTGATAAACATCCAAGTCAATGTTATAACATGTTTTAACATTCTATATATTCTACAGTAGTAAGAGAAGTAAATATATTCTGTTGTATTTACCATACCAAATTGTCTTCATTTATTTTCTAAAGAACTGAGTCATCCTCTGGTTTTGTGACTCTTGCTCCTTAACTAAACTATGCTTTACTGTACGGCAGATATGATGGTCTGAGAGTACAAAAAACAAACCCAAAGTGTTTTATTCTCTCATACCACTACAACCAACACAGAAGACTTCTGTGACCAGATGTGTGGTCACACATCAAGCAAGCAATCAGTTCTGCACGGGGCACCAGCTTGATGTCCTCGAATGCAGTTCAATTCTGACACTATCTACCCAAAGGTAGTATCAGATCCTACAGGTTGAGGGCTTAGCCCCCAAGACTGCCCACCAGCCCCTTCAGATGCCAGTCACAAGCTCCAGGTTGTTTTATCTTTCTTTCTCTGACCGGCTGGCTATAAACTGGGAGTTCCATGACCTCTTCACAAAAACACACCCCCTGCTTCATGTAATTAGGTTCAATTAAGTTACTAGAGTGGCTCAAAGTATTCAAGGATATACTTAAATTTACAAGTTTATTTTAAAGGACATTACAAAGGATACATATGAGAAATGCACAGTGCAAGGTGTGGAAGAAGGAGTGTGGAGCTTCCATGCTCTCTCTGGCTATGCCATCCTCAAGGATCCTTCATGTGTTCAGCTGTCCTGGAGGCTCTTTGAACCCTGTCCTTATGGTTTTTTTATGACGGTGTCATTAAGTATGATTGATTAAACCATTATCTATTGATAATCAACTTAATCTTCATCCCCTCTTCCCTCCCTGGAGGTTCAGGAGTGGGGCAGAAAGTCTAAGCCCTCTAATCGTCCCTTCTTTCTAGTGACCAACCCCCATTCTGAAGCTACCTAGGGGCTGCCAGACATCATTAAACTCATCAGAGAACAAAAGACATTACTTTGGGGCATCTAAGGATTTAAGAAATTGTATGCCAGGAAACAGGATCAAAGACCAAATATATATTTCACAATATAACAGCTGGATAAAAATTACCAAAGAAATATATGTATTTCATTCTTATTTTTGCCAGATATACCAATATGACAATATCTACTGTCTCCCTACAAACACGTGCATGCATGCACATGTGAGCACACACACACACACTACTTTCAAGTGACTGTTGCATCATTACCTGGACTCTATAGTTTCTAATGAGAGGTTTTAAAACATTTTTCAAATCATTGTTTATCACTGTGTATCATTTTTATCTGGCTGTTTTCAAGATTTTGCTTGTTTTTCAGCAGATCTACCATGATGTTTTGGTGAATCTATAAATTTATGTTTCTGCAATTTGTGATGTTTTCAGATATTTCTTTGGATACATTTTACTTATTTTTCTCACTCTTCCTCAGGGATTCAAATCACATATATGTTAAATAATTTGATATTTTCTTATATGATTGTAAGTCTTTGACTTTTATGGATTATTTTTATTTCCTTTCATATTTGTGTCATTGGATAATTTCTATTGTTTCATGATCTTGATTTTTGACTTTTTCATGTCCTTTATGAAATTAAACAAGTCTTTAAGCCTTAATTTCATATTGCTAAATTTTTCAATTCTAAATGTTATTGGGCTCTTTTACGCACTTTCTGTTTGCTGATTTTCCTTACTTTTCATCTATTAAAATAATATTGTCTTTAATTTCACTGAATATACTTATAATAACATTTTATAAAATCCTTGCTGGCTAATTCCAACATCTCTGTCATCTTAAGGTCACTATATACTGATAATCTTTCGTTTTGAGAATGGGGCACATTTTTCTCTTTCTTCACATGTAGAGTAATTTTATCACATTATACACATTGTGAATGTTATACGTTTATTATTTTAAGTGTCTTTAAATGGAATGTGTGTGTGTATAACACACAATAAGTCAGTTAGACTGAACCTCAAAATGTCTTTGGGGTAGCTAAAATCTCAGCTAAGTTTTTATCCGTAGCTTGGCTATTTGCAGTTCGCTACACATTTGCATGTTTCAGAAATGGAGATTTAGGCAATAGTTTTTGTTCTTTCTCTGGTTGTCTTGTCCCTGGGATTCTCCCCTCATTTTCTAGTGGTTGTAAGCTAAGGTTGTTCCAAATTCTTCCCCTGGTTCTTCAGGCCAGAGAAATTTCAGGAATTGTATTGAAGTTTTAGCTGATCCTCTCACATGAATCATGACCCACCTTTAGGTTAAAAGATATAAAAACTGGAAATGCACCATATATTAACACTTTCATTCAAGTGTTGCTCATCTTACTAACCTGCCTTGTTGGGTTGATTTTTTTTCTTTTTTTACTTATTTTTAATTTTAAGTTCTGGGATACGTGGACAGGATGTGCAGATTTATTACATAGGTAAATATGTGCCCTGGTGGTTTGTTGCACCTATCAGTTGATAATCTACATATTAAGCCCCACATGCATTAGCGTTTTAACTTGATGCTCTCCCTGCCCCTGCCCTCCCCAACAGGCCCCAGTGTGTGTTGTTCCCCTCCCTGTGTCCAGGTGTTCTCATTGTTCAGTTCCCACTTACAAGTGAGAACATGAGTTGTTTGGTTTTCTGTTTTAGTGTTAGTTTGCTGAGGGTAATGGCTTCTAGATCCATCCATGTCTCTGCAAAGGACATGATCCCATTCCCTTTTATGGCAAAGGACATGATCCCGTTCCCTTTTATGGCATAGTATTTCATGGTACATATGTACCACATTTCCTTTATCCAGTCTATCATTGATGGGAATTTAGGTTGATTCCATGTCTTCGCTATTGTGAACAGTGCTGCAGTGAACATTTGCATGCATGTATCCTTACAACAGAATGATTTATATTTCTTTGGGTATATACCCAGTAATGGGATTGCTGGGTCAAATGGTATTTCTGGTTCTATATCTTTGAGGAATTGCCACACTGTCTTCCACAATGGTTGAACTAATTTACATTCCCACCAACAGTGTTAAAAGCATTCCTATTTCTCACAGCCTCGCCAATATTTGTAGTTTCTTGACTTTTTAATAACTGCCATTCTGATTGACATGAGATGGTATCTCTATATTGCAATATATAAAATTATGAGCTCTAGACAACTTGGCAATATGTGAATTGTTCCTTTCTCATTCAATGCCTGCAGTAGAAGTGAGAGCCCTAGATTCATTTTTGAATGACAGCCCAGATGTCATCTATAATTCAAAGGGCCCTGGAATACTCTATTCTCCCAGGAAGGGTATTACATCTGCGAAAAATGAAAATAAATAAATTTGAATTCCCAGTTGCTAAATGAAAACGTCATCTGTGAATTTACAGGTCAAAATATCCAACCACAATCAAGAGTCATGCATAATTCATGATTAAGGCATGACAATTATACATTTCAGCTTGTGGGAGAGAGGGTGAAGGTGTACAGGTGCTGAACAGGATGTCAAAAGCATTCCAGGCAGCCCTCCACTCTCTCCTTCTGGCCACCACAATTAATATACCAGGGTAAACAAAACTGCTTAGAATAGATTTAGATCATTTATTCATAGTTTTTAAAATTAAATGTTTGTTATAGATTTTTAATGCATTAGTAGTTCAATGTTTTCCTGAGTTTTCCGAAAGAAAAGGTTAGGAAAGAATCTCTTTTGTACTTCTCTTTCAATCCAATACCCAAGTGCATTCCAGTACTGAGGGAAGGGGATCATTTCTTTTTCTTTCTTTCTTCTTCTTCTTTTTTTTTTTTTTTTTGAGATGGATTCTCATACTGTTGCCCAAGCTGGAGTCCAGTGGTGCCATCACGACTCACTGCAACCTCCACCTCCTGGGTTCATACGATCCTCCTGCCTCAGCCTCCTGAGTAGCTGGGATTACAGGTGCACACCAACACACCTAGCTAATTTATATATATATATATATATATATATATATAGTATAGACAGGGTTTCACTGTGTTGGCCAGACTGGTCTCGAACTCCTGACATCATGATCTGCCTCCCTCGGCCTCCCAAAGTGCTGGGATTATAGGCCTGAGCCACTGTGCCTGGCCAAGGGGGATCATTTCAAGCACCTCATTATTACAACATTTTCTAACAATGTCAACAAATATGGTCTTTGGCATAATGCTGCTTAGCTATATGACATATAAAATCATACGGCTGAAAAATATAACAAAATTACTAGCTGCTGGCTGGCATTTTTAATACCACAAGAGTGGCTGAGTCCTCTTTCTATATATCTATAAGGTACTACAGAAGGGAATCAGTTTCACTGGTAACACTTCCCCCAGCAAACACATTCTCTCTCTCTGTCATACACACACACACACACACACACACACACACACACACACAGTCAAGGCCTAGAAGCCCTCTTTAAGGTACAAAAATGTCATCGTTGTATCATAGTCTGGAAATAATGACAGATTCCTCAGCAAACCCTGGTGCAGTTACATTATTTACTTTTTAAAAAAATTTCCAACTTTTAAGTTCAGGGGTATATGTATGTGCAGGATGTGTAGGTTTGTTACATAGGTAAACGTGTGCCATGGTGGTTTACTCCACAGATCATCCCATTACCTAGGTATTAAGCCCAGCATCTATTAGCTAGTCTTCCTGATGCTCTCCCTCCCTCTACTGTCCCCTGACAAGCCCCAGTGTGTGTTGTTCCCTGCCCCCATGTATCCATGTGTTCTCATCATTCAGCTCTCATTTATAAGTGAGAACACGTGGATATGGTTTTTCTGTTCCTATATTAGTTTGCTGAGGATAATGGTTCCGGCTCCATCCATGTCCCTGCAAAGGACATAATCTCTTTTCTTTTTATGGCTGCATAGTATACCATGGTCTATATGTACCACATTGTCTTTAATCAGTCTATCATTGATGGGCATTTAAGTTGAATCCATGTCTTCACTGTAGTGCTGCAATGAACATACACGTGCAGGTATCTTTTTTTTTTTTTTGAAACATAATATCACTCTGTTGCCCAGGCTGCAGTGCAGTGGCATGATCTTGACTCACTGCAACCTCCACCTCCTGGGTTCAAGCTATTCTCCCACTTCACCCTCCCATGTAGCTGGGATTACAAGCAGGTACCACCATGACCAGCTAATTTATATATATATATATATATATATATATATATACACACACACACACACACACACACACATATATGTATATATATATACACATATATATGTATATGTATACATATATATGTATATATATACACACACATATGTATATATATGTATATATGTATATATGTATATGTGCATATATATGTATATGTGCATATATATGTATATATGTATATATATGTGTGTGTGTGTATATATATATGAGTATATATATGTTTTTTTTTTAAATGGAGATGGGCTTCACCACGTTGGCCAAGCTGGTCTCGAACACCTGACCTCAAGTGATCTGCCCACCTTGACCTCCCAAAGTGCTGAAATTACAGGTGTGAGCCACTGTGCCCAGCCACATGTATCTTTATAATGTAATAATTTATATTCCTTTGGGTATATACCCAGTAATGGGATTGCTAGGTTGAATGGTATTTCTGCCTCTCAGTCTTTGAGGAATAATCACACTGTCTTCCACAATTGTTGAATTAATTTACACTTTCACCAACAATGTGAAAGCATTCCTTTTTCTCCACAACCTCTCCAGCATCTGTTGTTTACTGACTTTTTAATAATAGTCATTCTGACTGGTGTGAGATGGTATCTCATTTGCATTTCTCTAATAATCAATGATGTTGAGCTTTTCTTCATGTTTCCTGGCTGCATGTATATCTTATTTTGAGAAGTATCTGTTCATGTCCTTTGCCCACATCTTAATGGGGTTGGGTTTTATTTTTGTAAATTTGCCTAAGTTCCACATAGATGTTGGATATTAGACCTTTGTCTAATGGATAAATTGCAAAAACTTTCTCCCATTCTATAGGTTATCTATTCACTCTGATGATAGTTTCTCTTGCTGTGTAGAAGCTGTTTAATTAGATCCCATTTGTCAAATTTTGCTTTTGTTGCAATTGCTTTTGGCATCTTCGTCATGAAATCTCTGCCTATGTCTATGTCCTGAATGGTATTGCCTAGATTTTCTTCTCCAGTTTCTATAGTTGTGGGTTTTACATTTAAGTATTTAATCCATCTTGAGTTGATTTTTGTATATGGTGTAAGTAAGGGGTCCAGTTTCAGTTTTCTGCATATGGCCAGCCAGTTCTCCTAGAACCATTTATTAAACACGGAATCTTTTCCCCATTGCTTGTTTTTGTCAGGTTTGTTGAAGAGCAGATGGTCTGATCCATTGATCTATGTGTCTGTTCTTGTACTAGTACCATGCTGTTTTGAGTACTGTGGACTTGTACTATAGTTTGAAATTTGGAAGCATGATGCCTCCAGCTTTGTTCTTCTTGCTTAGGACTGTCTTGGGTATTTGGGCTCTGTTTTGGTTAGACATGAATTTTAAAATAGTTTTTTTTCCTAATTCTTTGAAGAATGTCAATGGTAATTTAATGGGAATAGCATTGAATCTATAAATTGTTTGGGACAGTATGGCTATTTTCACCATACTGAGTCTTCCTATCCATGAGCATGGAATTTTTCTCCTTTTATGTCATCTCTGGTTTCTTTGAACTGTGGCTTGAGTTCTCCTTGAAGAGGTCCTTTACTTTCCTTGTTAGCTGTATTGATAGGTCTTTCATTCTTTTTTGTGGCAATTGTGAATGGGAGTTTATTCATTATTTGGCTCTAAGCTTGCCTATTGTTGGTGTTTAGAAATGTTAGCAATTATTGCACAATATTTTGTATACTTAGTCTTTGTTGAAGTTGCTTATCAGCTGAAGAAGATTTTGAGCTGAGACAATGGGGTTTTTTAGATATAGTATCATGTCATCTACAAACAAAGACTTCATCTCCTCCTATTTGAATGCCCAGGACCAGATGGGATCAGAGCTGAATTCTAGTGGCACAAAGAAGAGCTGGTACCACTTATAATGAAACTATTTCAAAAAATTGAAAAGGAGAGACTCCTCCCTAACTTATTCTATGGGGTCAGCATCATTCTGATACCCAATCCTGGCAGAGATATAACAACAATAAAAAATCTTCAAGCCAATATCCTTGATGAACAGCATTGCAAAAATCCTCAAATAAATCCTGGCAAACTGAGTTCCAAAGCACATCAAAAAGCTTATCCGGTACAATCAAGTAGGCTTCATTCCTGGGATGCAAGTTTGGTTCAACATACAGAAATTAATGAATGTGATTTATCACATAAAATAACTAAAGACAAAAAACCACGATTATCTCAATAGATGCAGAAAGGTCTTCAATAAAATTCAACATCCCTTTATGTTAAAAACACTCAATAAATTAAGCATTGAAGGAACATACCTCAAAACAATAAGAGGCATATATAAGAGACCCACAGCCAATATCATATTGAGCGGGCAAAAGGTGGGAGCATTACTCCTGAAAACTGGCACACAACAAGGATGCCCTCTCTCACAACTCCTAGTCAACATAGTACTGGATGTTCTGGCCAGGGCAATTAGGCAAGAGAAAGACATTATTTATTTTCAGTACCCTCAATTTGTCGTTGAACTGATTTTTATATCACATAATTTTAATTCTTACTTCACTCATATACACAAATATGGTTAACTTTTTTCCCACTAATTCCAAAGTCTTTCACCAAATTTCTTTATAATTTGCCCCTACGCTTCTTTTCCATGTTAATCTTTCCTTCCTATCATTCAAAATAACAACCTGAGTTATGAAATATACGCTAATTTGTAGGGCTAGATAAATTATTAAACATCTATTCCATAATGAAGTACCATGCACTTTTTTAAAAAATAAAAAAGTTCCATATATTATTATGGATTTACCACTGGGATATATTGTTAAATGAAAAACATACAATCAATATGCATGTTTCTGAAAGTGAGAAAAAAAATGACATCTGCTGAAGAATACAAATAAACTAATAACATTGGTTTCCTCTAGGGAAGAAAGCCTGACAGCTGGAATTTGAGATAAGTGGCACGTGGCAGAATTTCTACTTTGTAACTTTTGTACCTACTGAATTTTGAACAATAAAAATGCATTATCTATTCAAAAAATAAACATAACTGCATTTAATTAAATATAATTTCAAAAACTGAATTCAATATGAATCATTATGTCCTTGGATTACCATTTTAGAACAATGTTTCTCTTACATGCTAGGAGGATGTCTCAGGGAGACTCTGAAATTCAAGTCAGAGGATGCTGTGAGGCTCTCAGCCAGGCTAGACAGGAGGGAAGACAAGAGTAGAGAGAAGTAAATAGGAAATGTTCTTGGGAGCTCACAGTGGGGAACTTCTTCCCTACAACTGGAAAGCATCTGAAAGTTACCCTATAGCCACACCCTCTCTTAATAAAGATCGCTCCCTTCAAATAAGAAATAATAAAGATGAAGGCAGTATCAAAAAATTAGTTCAAACTATCCTTTTAAGAGAGAAGAAGGCTCTCTTTATTCTTTCAAATATTCTTTAAGTCTACTAGAATAGATAGTGAAAAAGAATAACCATTGAAAAGTACATATCAGTATTTAGGAACATTTATATCAATGCCCTTCACTAATGCAGTTTTAAAGACTTTTTTTTCTTAGTGCCATGATCTTTGTCAATATAAGTGAGGAGAGAGGATGAATGTATGTGAAGATTTCTTTTTAAAGGTGAAAAGAAATGATGATCTGCAAGGCCTAGGAAAAAAACAAATAATATACTGTGTTAATAATTGTGCCAGCAAATTGACAAAATTCATATCTCTCAGGAAACCTAAGGAGTGGTAATCCTGATTTCCCTTCTGCAGGGAGATTTTCTTGAGCTCTTTAATTTTTATGTCCTAGGAAATAATTTATTTCTCACATGTATTGAAATTCTTATAGTTGCAAAGGGCTATATCAAGATTGAATTAATTATTTCAATGATTAAGGATATGGTTTTCAATTCACTCTACTTAACTACTTCTTACTGGGATTAAAGCCAGGGAGTCATTTTAAAGGAATAATGTTGTCTCAACCTTAACATTTTAAAAGAGGAGTGTGATGCTGTTACTTTGTCTTATACAAAATCACAGCCACTTAACCACAGAGATATATTTGAGTTCAAATACCTGCCCCAGAAAATGCCAACTACTGTGGAGAAGAGACAGGGAATGACTTGAATACTTTAACCAGCTGGTAAAACATATGTTGAAAATAAAAATGGGAAAAATGGTTGAGAACTCACCATGAACTCAACTTTGGGCCTCACATAGTTTATTAGTTTTCATATTCATTTTCTATTTAGTAAATTATCATTTTTTCCATAATAAAATCCTTATTTTTGATAACCGTTACAATCTTTGACCTCTTCAAAATGTCTTTACTAGACACACTAAAAAACCTTCTAAGAGGCCAACCCTGAGCTAATTTCTAAGAAAAAGAGAACTTCTTCATTTCCTCTCCAGTATAGAAAAGACAAATATCATCAGCGTTCTGCATAGTAGAACCAGTCTATAGATGCCTGATTACTCTCTGAAAGACTCCACACTTCAGATCAGCCACATGAAGCACATATGATGATACCAATTACTACAGATCCTGGAAGATAAGATAGGGTGAGGGCAATCGGACACTTTTCCTGAATTCTCATAGGGTGACTGGGAGGTTACTGTGGCTCTTGTCTGCTATTACTCACTTACAGGAGCATTTGGAGAAACTATGCATGACATTGCACTGACTTCTAGGAGTTAAGAAGAAATCACTTAGGCAGATAGTAAGGGTATGGGAGACTTCAGTAACTTTACTTTTTAATGAAAAGCAGCCCCAAATCATTTTCTAACAAAGAGTAGCCTGTAAAGTCGAGCTGCAACTGTAGACAAGCCAGCTGGGAACTTGCATGGGTGAATGCTGGCAGGAACTAGGGACTAGACATGTTCAAGATGGAAGCTCTATCTTTGCTTCTCTGCCAGCCACGTGTACAGTAAGAAGCAGACAAGATGGCACTGGCCAAGGGAAGAATTCATTTGTGTAATAAGATTATGGTGGGGCAACCAGCCTTCTGTATGCACTATGTAAACATCATACCTGATTGAACCTATCTGTGAGTCCTGTGTAAATCAGACATTGCTTCCTCTCAAGCCAGACTATAAAATCCAGTGCATCTGCCACCAGCCGATCTTCCCTCTTGGAAGTCCCCTCTCCCTTACTAGAGAGAGAATGCTGTTTTCCTTTCTCTTTCTTCTGCCTATTAAACCTCTACTCCTAAACTCCTTGTGTGTGTCAGTGTTCTAAATTTTCCTAGCATGAGATGACGAACCCCAGGTATACAACACAGACAACGTAGCTGTTTCATATTGGGGACCTCATCCAGGATACCAAGTTACAACAGTCATCAAAATGGTGAGTAGAGGAGTGAACTCCAACTCTGTCCTTTCATTTTGGGGCTCTTGGACTCCATTTTAAAACCAAATCAAACCAAATACTGGGCCACCTTTAGCCATTTAAAAATGAGTAGCATGGATGCTAGCCTTATAAGACTTAGGGGACAGGCTTGCTGGGGAGAACATAGAGAATGCCCCAGTACCCGTGTGTTGCTGAGCATGTTGGCCATATTTGTATCAGCTTCCTTTCATGGAAGACAGCCATCACTTGAGGCTGGAAGAGGTTCTGGGGCAACTGAGGATTTCTGGCTACCCCCCGGTGTTATCCAAAGACATCTGGACTGACACCAGCCTCCAACTGCCTTATGGGGTGTCAGCAACAAGATCTCCAACTTTTCTATCATAATTTCCTCCTTTCCTTTCCGCAACCACCATATCGTCTATCCTCTCTGTGTATGCAATGTGTGGGAAGTTTTACGGTTCAGGGAAGTAATCTTGTTAGGCAAGATCAGGGAATGCATAGTAACTGGGGAAGGGAAGGCATCTTTCTGATTTTCTACAGAGGGTCCCCTCCACCACAGTGAGCATCACTCTTTGCCCTTGGTCTAGAGAGCACAAGTCATTTTCAGATTCTCTCTGCCCTCGATCTGGAGAGTGCATCACACTTCCAGGTCTCTCTCTGCAGTTGGTCTGGAGAGCACATGGCATTTCTAGGTATCTCTTTGCCTTTGGTCTGGAGAGCACATGGCATGTCAAGGTCTCTCTCCCATTGGTCTGGAGAGTACATGGCATTTCAAGGTCAACAGCACCACCTAGTGGAAGAGGGAACCTGTCCATGAGGCACATTGTCAGTCCTTTACCTAAATATTCTATCTTCCCAATTATCTTCCCCTTTTGCTCCTTTCTACTAGAAATTAGGCTTCATGTTGCTTCTATAAACCAGAAAATCCTGCCTTCAACAACTAGGAGTAAAATATTCTCCAAAGCCAAATTTTAGTCTTGATACTGTTCCATAGCAGGAAAATGGCCATTTGGTCCCTCCATTCTTTTAAGGCACCTATTCCTCCTCGAATTAGAATGGTACTTAATTAGTAAGGGGATTTTAAGTTTGGAAGTTAACCAGAACCATTCTCTAAGGGTAAATGCTTTAGTATGCTATACTAAATCATATTTAAATTTAGCATACTAAATTATCTGGCTATAATAGCAGGATACAGACCTCAAACCAGTATACTTCCACCATTAAAGAAGGAAGTGCAAAAGTTGCCCAAATGTAATTGTCACATAGTCTCTCCCAAGATCCATTCTTTTGAGGAGCCAGGCGGGTCACACAAGTCTAGGAAGTCAAAGGGAAATCACAGGCAGAGGACTAGATCTGCATGGGTGAGTGTGACTAATCCCAATATCTTAGTTCCTCTGGTTCCATGGCTGGGGGTCACACCTGGAACGATGGGCATTGCATCTAACAAGGTGCGGGGACCCAGGAACCAAGGAAGGAAAACAGCAGGGGGGCCGTGCCCATCGTCTTCCTCTCCACCCTGGGTCACAACAAAAGGAAGGAGACTAAAGGGATGCCTTTTTCTCACTTCTCTTTCTAGATGGGTAAGAGATTATCTTCAGCCTATACCCCTCTGGAGTGCATTCTGAAGCACTGGGATTCCTTTGACCCTATGACTTTGAAAAAAAAAAGTGGCTCATTTTCTTTTGCACAAGGGCTTTACCTTCTTACCCTCTTGAACCAGCCTGGCCTTTGGAAGGGAGCCTTAATTTTAATATCCAACAGGTAGGTCTTTTCTGCAGATGGGAGGGAAAATGGTCCAAGGTACCTTATATACAGGCTTTCTTTGCCCTGTGAGACAACCCAGACTTTTGCAAGTGTTGCACAATCAACCCAGCCCTTTTAGCAATAGTATTAGGCAGCCCCAAATGGAATGATTCCCCAAGACTAGAAAAGCAACTTCTGGGGAAACCACCTGAGGCAGCTATTGAGTCCGCGAGCCCTTCCAGTCCCCCTTATCTAAGACCACCTCCAACAATGCCACCAGCTCTTCCACCTCTGCCATTTCCAAAATTCTCCACTCCCCCACCCTCACTCTGACCCAGACAGGAAGTGCCCAATGGAGGTGATGTCACTAGGATTCAAGTTCCCTTCTCATTGTATGACCTTAGGCAAGTAAAGGGAGACTTAGGCTGATTTTCTGACCCTGACAGGTATATAGAGGCCTTCCAAAATGTAACTCACATATTTTACCTCTCATGGTGGTATGTTACGCTGCTCCTAAGCCAAACTCTAACCATAACTGAGAAGCAGGCAGCTCTGCAGGCAGTAGAGAAATTCAGAGAGGAGCAAAATGTCTCCTACAGTCGGCCTAAGAGGAAAGGAGAAAATAGGGAAGGCAAAGAGATAATGGAAACACCATTCTCAAATGGAAAAGGAAGTAGAAGGAAGTAGTTCCTCTAGACAATGCTAATTGGAACCCCTATGATGCTACAGATGAATGGAAAAGGAAACATTTTTTAATGTGCATATTGGAGGGCCTATGAAGAACTACAATCAATCCTCTTAATTACTCTGTCTGTGATAGATCAAAAGCCAGATGAGAATCCTGCAGCCTTTATAGAAGGACTGAGAGAGGCTCTAATAAAGCACACCTCCCTATCCTCTGAGTCAGTGGAGGGACAGCTAATCCTAAAGGACAAGGTTATTACACAGGCAGCTCTTGATACTAGAAGGAAACTATAGAAGTAGGCTTTAGGACCAGATAGCACTTTAGAGAACATCCTGAAGGTGACTACCTCAGTCTTTTATAACAGGGACCAGGAGGGGGACCAGCAGTAGACCAGGAGAAAGAGAGGAAGCAAAAGAGAGGGTCAGAGGCTCTAGTAGCTGCCTTATAGGCTTGCAAAGCCTAGGATCCCTGAGGTGCATCCACCAGTTGCTATCAGTGTGGCAAGTCAGGGCACATTAAGAAAACACACCCAGGCAGCAAGAAGAAACCACCACAACCCTGTCCAGCATGTGGTGGGGACCACTGGAAATTGGACTGCCCCCAGAGATGAAGGTTACTGGGTTCAGAACCAGTCTCATGGATGGACCAACAGGACTGATGGCTCCCGGGGTTGGAACCCCCAGATCCAGTGGCTCAAACTTCATTACAGCACAGGAGCCCTAGAGGAAATTGAAGGAAGGAAGATAGATCTCCTTCTAGACACTGGAGCCAGGCTCTCTCTTCTCCTCTCTAATCCAGGCCTTCCTTCTTCCCATAGCACAACTGTGAGCGGTGTCTCAGGAAAAACTCTAATTTGATACTTTTCTCAACCCCTTAGTTGCAAATGGGGAAATCTACTATTTGCACATGCCTTTTTAATCGTGCTAGAAAGTCTCACTCATTTATTAGGTAGAGGCATTTTAGCTCATATGGGGACCAGCCTCCTTATGGCCCCAGGACAATCTCTTTGTCTCCTCCTAGTGGAAGCTGATATCAATCCAGAAGTGTGGGCAACTCAATGAAGTCTTAAGTGAAACATGCTGCTTCTGGATCTCTAGTCAAGTAGAAGAAAACCTACAGATGCTTTAAGATCAAGTTAAAAATCACTGACCAGTTAAGAGAAAATGCAAGCTCCAGCCCTGAATTACTACAAAACCTCTTTAATGAATTCCAGTCTTCTTTGTGGAACTGGTCAGCTCCATTATTAAACCCCTTCTTGCTCAAATGTTTTATACTAATGTTTGGACCTTGGCTACTGAATACTGTAACTCAAATAGTACCCTCTCACCTAGAAGCAATCCAACTTCAAATGGTGCTGTAGACCGAACGATGCATGGGCACACCTTTCTTCCAAGGACCCTTAGATCACCCGCAGGAGGAGCCCTCGCTGCTGTTCTCCACACAATGCCCCTTTTCAGCAGGAAGTAGCCAGAAAGAGTCATCACCCAAAACCCCCTAACAGCAGTTACGGTTACCACTCCTGAGGAGGGAAAGCTACAGGAGTTAAGAAGAAATCACTTAGGCAGATAGTGAGGGTAGGGGAGCCCTCAGTTGGGCTTTTCTTTTTAATAAAAAGCAGCTCCAAATCATTTTCTAACAAAGAGTAGCCTGTAAAGTCGAGCTGCAGACATAGACAAGCAAGCTGGGAGCTTGCATGGGTGAATGTTGGCAGGAACTATGGACTAGACATGTTCAAGATGGTGGCTCCATCTTCGCTTCTCTGCCAGCCATGTGTACAGTAAGAAGCAGACAAGATGGCACTGGCCAAGGGAAGAATTAATTTGCATAATAAGGTTAGGGTGGAGCAACAAGCCTTCTCCACGAGCTATGTAAATGTCATACCTGATGGAACTAATCTGTGAGCCCTATGTAAATCAGACACTGCTTCCTCAAGCCGTACTATAAAATCTAGTGCATCCGCTGCCAGCCAGTCTTTCCTCTTGGAAGTCCCCTCTTTCTCACTAGAGAGAAAGCTGCTTTCCTTTCTCTTTCTTCTTCCTAAACCACTGTTTCTAAACTCCTCATATGTGTCTGTATCCTAAATTTTCCTGGCATGAGACAACAAACCCAAGGTATATACCCCAGACAACGTAGCCACTTCAAAACCCACCTATGTCTAGGTAGTGATCCCATGCTGAACTGCCAATTATCCCTACTGCATTTGTTGTTTCTCCCTGGTTTTCTTATTTATAGTTTTGCACAACCAGAGACAGGCCTATTGCTTTTGATGGGCTTGTTGGGCTCTTCAGCTTTTGCTTTTTCACAGCCTTCAGATTGGGTCAGAGCTGATTTACTGACTCTCTCACATTCTCTGTTCTTCCTTTTGCATGAGTCAGAAAATCAGTGAGTAAAAGAAAGTGAGTCAAGATGAGAGACTAAGCTTATATGTCTCTTCCTCATCTCTCCTAAAATCAGATGGTATTTCAGAAACATAAAACACTAAAAACGTTGAAAAAACATATTTTTAGACCAAAAAATAAGGATCTGTAAAATAGACAACAGAAAAAATAGGAAAAGAATCTCTGCAAAAGAAGACTGCTCTGGAAGTAATCTAGTGATCAAGAACCATCAACTGCTGAAGACAGTGAGTGTCATGAATGATAAAAAAGAATTTAATAAACAGAAAATAAAATGATTCCCAAAGAGACTAAAGATAACAAATGATCAAAGATATTAAAATCAATAAATCAATACTGTTAGAAAAAAAGAGATAATGATTGCATCCAATTAAATAAGACAAGAAGTCTTATATAGAACATATTTCTGAGAATCATAAGTAAAATATGAATTAATTGACAAAGGCCATAAAATTGAAAAAAAAGTCATAGCCCAAAGTAAAATTGTCAGATATTCAAAATTTGTGTGTTGAAGGTAAGCTGCAAATTCGTCTAAGAGCTGCTTAAAAGCCAAAGCAAATTCCAAAATACAATTTGATACACAAATTACAGGGCTTACAAAATAATAAAACAAACAATTGATAAAGAGAAATTGCAGCTAGTCTCTTAGTGGAAGCTAAAAGAAAACTCTCCCACAGGTTTTCATAATGATAACATGCTCATCGACGTCTCTACAGCAAATATAATAACCGTGTTCATAAGAAGGTTTGTTAGCACATCCCTCAGGTCAAAAATGATTATTATTATTTGAAAGCATTTTTCCTTCCTCTCTTTAAATTTATATTAGCCTAGTGACCCTTGGCTTTTGTGGGAATGTACAGTATGACTCTACTTAGAAGTTACATTGGTCCTGATGTCAGCTTATAAAACTCTCCTTTGCCTCAGGCTTCCTGTAAAATCCATCTGATCTCTTTTAATTGTCACCATGAATTCCTGATTCTAGATGGTGCCTCTAAAAGAATAACCAGGAGAATGCCTTTAGTCTCTAATAAAAACAGAGTATTTATGTGGAAGGGAAATGATAGAGACCAGTTTTGCAGCAAGTAAATTCTGAAACATTCCCTTATCTAGAATTACTTGGACAACAGAAGAAATTGTTTCTATGGCTGTGTTGATATAATAAAATGTAACTAAGCTTGTTATGATAAATAATTTGCTATCAAATATATACAATTTATTTGAAAATAAGAGGAAAATAAAAGAAAAACAAACCTACATTCCTGTTGGAGTGCTGACAGCTTGATAGTAATACGAAACTATGATATTTCAATTCTTGTTGCTAGGGAGATTCTAGAGAACAGATATAAACACAGAAAAAGTCAAAGTAACTGGCACATTTTTATCAGTTAGCTTTAGTCCCAAAGCTGAGTTTTATGGATGTCAGCTTCCCCAGTCTTTCCCTCTGTTCCACCCCCTGTTGATAAAAAGAAGAGAATTCGGCATTTGGTATTAAATAATCACTACATGTGACATCAACTCCAGTGTATTCCAGAGGTTCAACAAAATTAGCCTATTGCAAGAAAGAGGAAGCCCCGACTAGCTAAGAGAAACTGACCAGTCTAAAAGTCTGACCTCTGGTCATAGCTAGCATTTTGACTTACTTTGTATGGTCAACTCTGCCAAGCTTTAATTTGGTTCTGATATTCAAAGAGAATTAATCCAGAAATGACAGAAGGAGCTCATGTATAAAGAGGAAGAAGGGTCATTGATCTGATCATGAGTTTATTTACAATAAGACATTAGCTTGTGGCTGATGATTCAGGAAAAGATTCACCTTTGCAGGAGGGGATGATGAAAAAGTCTAGGTAGCATGCCTAAGATTGGGCAAGTATACCAGGATTCAGAGACAGATTTGTTTTCTGACTCACTCAAGGTCTAGGATGAATAAGCCACAAGGGAGAGGACTAGTCATATTGAATCCAATAGGGCAGGAAGCTGAGGTTAATTTGATTGGCAGTCCAGGGTCTAAACCATACAAGTGGCACAGCAGATGCTAGGTCCATGGCATCAAGACTTATTCCAGACCTCATGCTTTGGTGTGCTGGAAAACCACTGGTGTATTTCCTGTCCTGGACAGGAATGTCTCAGGAAGTAGGCACGGTGTGACCTAAACACAGGAAGTCCCAGTACTTCTAATTTAGAGGGGATAATAGAGTAGAAACTACATATTATGTCTGCATAAAGCAAAGACTAATAACAGAAAAACCATGCAAGGGTTTTTAGAGGTCAAACAAGTAAAGAAACAGAGACATGGGAAGGGAGCTAGGAAAGGTGGGGGTGGGGAGACTGCCAAACCACATTGTTACATAGCAGTTGAATAAAGGAGAGAATGAAGGTTAGATGGAAGTCACCTAGGTAGTCCCAGGAAAAGTCAGCAAGGTCATCTGTGAGTTCTTGAGCCAAAGTTTAGCAGTCAGGGGAGTCTTGTGTCTCAAAGGAATGGGCCTGCCTTAGTATACCTGCTGTGCTCTATCATCGGCCAGAAGTCCTGAGAAGTGTGGTGTTAGCATAAACAGAGGAATGGATTTCATAGAACAACCAGGGCCCTTGCTTGATGATACTCTATGTTTAGAAGACTGCAAAGACATTCTTACGGTGCTATAGGCTGACTTAGCATTTCTCCTAATTTGGTGACTTAAGCTGGTAGAACAACATCAGTCAAGCTTGCCTAACACCTATTTCATAAATGTTTTGTAATTATTAGGTTATATAAGAAAGTATGTGTAATCTTTAAGATGAGAAAAAAAAGGAGACATAGAAAGTTTACTTACTAGTCCGAGTTGACCTTGCTAGGAAGTGAGCCAGTCAGTATATAAGGTAGAACATCCCTACTCCGGAGCCCACTTGCCGAAACACTGTACCTAATAAATGCCCACCTCTACTTGTTGGAACACCATCTGCTGAGGATAGAACAAAGAACCATCTCACAGCTCTGAATGCAGATTTGTCCCTATTGCTAATCATTATTTCATATCAGAGCAGGTCTTGGCTTTTGAGTATTAACAGAGACCCTGTGCGTGATTCATGAATCATAGGAAATGAGCTTTCCTTTGAATACTGGAGCATTTTGAAGAGAGGGAAAAATCAAAGTTGCCTGTGGTACTGGAGTTCAGTCAGGAATACAGGTTAAAACCAAAGGCTCTGTCTCATCATATAAGGTTATTATTTTCTATGTAACATCAGCAGAAATACCTGGGGGAGGAGATGTGAGCACGAATAGACAATACCATTTTTAAAACAAGAGTTATAACAAAATATGTATTAAACTCTGTTTGTTATACCTATTTTGAAATACACAGAAAATATTTGGCTATTGAATTCAGCATTTATGATGTGATAATGACTTTTAATCACGTTTTCCTCCAATGTGCTATTCCCATAAATTGGGACTTTTATCTCATTTTACTATAGGCTAATTTTTGGTATATTTCAAAAAAAAATAAACCTGAGTTTGATAAATTATTTAGTAAGTGCTGGATAAACAATCTAGTACCCCTGTACATAAAACAACTTTAAATAAATAGTATTTTTGATAAATGAGTTCTGCCTGAATGATTTATCAACCTAATGCGGAATTGTCCTACAATTTCATAGCACTAGACATATTTAACATTTGAAGCTTTTATTGCAGGCTGCAAAATGAAGGCAAAAGTAGAAGTTATTTCCAATTGGAGGTTAAGAATTAGTTTTGTGTAAGTTGACAGCGTATGACTCAAATAACAGAAAATAAAGCAAAAGCAATAAAGACACAAAACTTTACTTAAATCTGGACTCATGAAATGACTCATGTTTGCTGAGCAAAAGAAAAAAAATACCATTAGTATTAACTAAACTTACTTAACACTAAACCAAAATGTGATTCCTCATATCATAAACTTTCTCAGCAGTCTCCTGTCTACTTTTATTTAGTTAGCTGAGCATTAAGCAGCATTAAAGATCTTTGGTACAGTTTGAATAGGAAGAAAATTCTATAGCTAAGAGGTATACCAAGTATACCACCCAAAATCAGCCTCAGGAAGATGAAATTGCAGAAGTTTACAAGCTTAAGGGACTTACTTCATTGGCTCATAGGTTGCTATGACAAGTGAAATGATGCAATCAATTATACAAACTTAAAACCATATTAAACATTACCAATATAAATTGTGAAATAATTTTTAGTCCAGCTAAGGTAACATGCTGGTATCAATTTGGAGTTCTAAATACATAACATGCAAGCTATAAGATACATACTCATTTACTCACTTAATTAAACATGTATTAAAATATTTTCTATGCCTGATACTATGCTAGTCACATGGGCTGCTATGGTAAATAACACAGGACTATTTTATGCACATGTTGAATTTTAATCTAATGGGTGAAACTAGCATTAATAATGGTGTGTATAATAAATAAAAATTGTGCTTCCAAACATAGAGACAACTGAAAATTATGTATTTCTCAATGGAAGTACACAAGACCAGCTATTACTATAATATGCTTATTGCCCCTCAATTGGCACAAATCTGAGAAAGGCTCTGAAACTAATCATCAGTTCAAAGATAATACATGAGAAGAGGGAAATATGTTAAATAACACCATAGGGATACATTCTGCAAAATTCAGACTGCAAGAGAATTTACAGGGCAAATGCACTAGATTTAAGAAATTAATTTTTAAAATGAAATAATATAGGAAATAATTAAGACTCTTCAAAGATATATTAAGTAATTGTAATGCTTGAACTCTTATCATATTGATCATCAAATAAGAAACAGAGAAACTGTCTACATGGTTAACACTAATAGAATATTGAATATTATTAATTTTAGATTTGAAAATGACTTTTTTTCTAAAAAGACATACATTAGAAACATATACTGCCATGTTTATTGATGGAATAATATGATGTCTGAGATTTGCTTCAAAATAGTCTCAAGTTTATTATTGCAGATGAGTATGAGTGAAATAAGACTGACAAGTTGTCAATCACTGATGTTTGATGTTGAATATGTGTAGGTTTATTATGATAATTTATTTTGAAGCTAAGAGGCTTAGTTACACTGTAGATGGAAAATAAAGTATGAAAGAGAGAAAATTGCAAGAAGAGTGTGGATGAATTGTTGGTATCTTAGAAACCTTGTTAAGTATTTTGAGAACACTCTTACAATTAATGAGAAGTCATCAAAAAGATTTAAGCAAGAAAGCAACAAAATTAAATTTAGTTTTGGGAAAGAACATTGTCTCTTTCTTAGCAATGAATTAGAGGAGGGCAAGAATGGAGAGGATACTGCAATACTTCAGGTTAGGAAATAATGATGGGAATACATACATAGTAAACTGAATAGGTTCAAGAGATGCTTAGATAATAACATCACCAGTAACTGGCAGTTCACTAGATACACAGGGTTGTGTAGAAAGAGATGACAAGGGTAATTCCTATGATTTTTTTTATTATACTTTAAGTTCTAGGGTACATATGCACAATGTGCAGGTTTGTTACATATGTATACATGTGCCATGTTGGTGTGCAGCACCTATTAACTCGTCATTTACATTAGATATATCTCCTAATGCTTTCCCTCCCCCCTTCCCTCACCCCACAACAGTCCCCGGTATGTAATGTTCCTCTTCCTGTGTCCAAGTGTTCTCATTATTCAATTCCCACCTATGACACCTATGAGTGAGAACATGTGCTGTTTGGTTTTTAGTTCTTGCGATAGTTTGCTGAGAATGATGGTTTCCAGCTTCATCCATGTCCCTACAAAGGACATTAACTCATCCTTTTTTATGGCTGCATGATATTCCATGGTGTATATCTGCCACATTTTCTTAATCCAGTCTATCATTGATGGACATTTAGGGTGGTTCCAAGTCTTTGCTATTGTGAATAGTGCCATAATAAACATACGTGTGCATGTGCCTTTATAGCAGCATGATTTATAATCCTTTCGGTATATACCCAGTAATGGGATGGCTGGGTCAAATAGTATTTCCAGTTCTAGATCCTTGAGGAATCGCCACACTATCTTCCACAATGGTCAAACTAGTTTACAGTCCCACAAACAGTGTAAAAGTGTTCCTATTTCTCCACATCCTCTCCAGCACCTGTTGTTTCCTGACTTTTTAATGGTCACCATTCTAACTGGTAAGAGATGGTATCTCATTGTGGTTTTGATTTGCATTTCTCTGATGTCCAGTGATGATGAGCATTTTTTCATGTGTCTGTTGGCTGCATAAATGTCTTCTTTTGAGAAATGTCTGTTCATATCCTTTGCCCACTTGTTGATGGGGTTCTTTTTCTTGTAAATTTGTTTGAGTTCATTGTAGATTCTGGATATTAGCCCTTTGTCAGATGAGTAGATTGCAAAAATTTTCTCCCATTCTGTAGGTTGCCTGTTCATTCTGATGGTAGTTTCTTTTGCTGTGCAGAAGCTCTTTAGTTTAATTAGATCCCATTTGTCAATTTTGGCTTTTGCTGCCATTGCTTTTGGTGTTTTAGACATGAAGTCCTTGTCCATGCCTATGTCCTGAATGGTATTGCCTAGGTTTTCTTCTAGGGTTTTTATGGTTTTAGGTCTAACATTTAAGTCTTTAATCCTTCTTGAATTAATTTTTGTATAAAGTGTAAGGAAGGGATCCAGTTTCAGCTTCCCACATATGGCTAGCCAGTTTTCCCAGCATCATTTATTAAATAGGGAATCCTTTCCCCATTTCTTGTTTTTGTCAGGTTTGTCAAAGATCAGATGGTTGTAGATGTGTGGTATTACATATGAGGGCTCTGTTCTGTTCCATTGGTCTATATCTCTGTTTTGGTACCAGTACCATGCTGTTTTGGTTACTGTAGCCTTGTAGTATTGTTTGAAGTCAGGTAGTGTGATGCCTCCAGCTTTGTTCTTTTGGCTTAGGATCATCTTGGAAATGTGGACTCTTTTTTGGTTTCATATGAACTTTAATGTAGTTTTTTCCAATTCTGTGAAGAAAGTCACTGGTAACTTGATGGGGATGGCATTGAATCTATAAATTACCTTGGGCGGTATGGCCATTTTCACGATATTGATTCTTCTATCCATGAGCATGGAATGTCCTTCCATTTGTTTGTATCCTCTTTCATTTTTTTGAGCAGTGGTTTGTAGTTCTCCTTGAAGAGGTCCTTCCCATCCCTTGCAAGTTGGATTCCTAGGTATTTTATTCTCTTTGAAGCAATTGTGAATGGGACTTCACTCATGATTTGGCTGTTTTTCTGTTATTGGTGTATAAGAACGCTTGTGATTTTTGCACATTGATTTTGTATCCTGAGACTTTGCTGAAGTTGCTTATCAGCTTAAGGAGATTTTGGGCTGAGACGATGGGGTTTTCTAAATATACAATCGTGTCATCTGCAAACAGGGACAATTTGACTTCCTCTTTTCCTAACTGAATACCCTTTCTTTCTCCTGCCTAATTGTCCTGGCCAGAACTTCCAACACTATGTTGAATAGGAGTGGTGAGAGAGGGCATCCCTGTCTTGTGCCAGTTTGCAAAGGGAATGCTTCCAGTTTTTGCCCCTTCAGTATGATATTGGCTGTGGGTTGTCATAAATAGCTTTTATTATTTTGAGATATGTCCCATCAATACCTAATTTATTGAGAGTTTTTAGCATGAAGGGCTGTTGAATTTTGTCAAAGGCCTTTTCTGCATCTATTGAGATAATCACGTGGTTTCTGTCTTTGGTTCTGTTTATATGCTGGATTACATTTATTGATTTGCATATGTTGAACCAGCCTTGCATGCCGGGGATGAAGCCCACTTGATCATGGTGGATAAGCTTTTTGATGTTCTGCTGGATTTGGTTTGCTACTATTTCATTGAGGATTTTTGCATCGGTGTTCATCAGAGATATTGGTCTAAAATTGTCTTTTTTTGTTTTGTCTCTGCCAGGCTTTGGTATCAGGATGATGCTGGCCTCATAAAATGAGTTAGGGAGGATTCCCTCTTTTTCTATTGATTGGAATAGTTTCAAAGGAATGGTACCAACTCCTCCTTGTATCTCTGGTAGAATTCGGCTGTGAATCCATCTGGTCCTGGACTTTTTTTGGTTGGTAAGCTATTTATTGCCTCAATTTCAGAGCCTGTTATTGGTCTATTCAGGGATGCAATTTCTTCCTGGTTTAGTCTTGGGAGGGTGTATGTGTCCAGGGATTTACCCATTTCTTCTAGATTTTCTAGTTCATTTGTGCAGAGGTGTTTATAGTATTCTCTGATGGTTGTTTGTATTTCTGTGAGATCAGTGGTGATATCCCCTTTATCATTTTTTATTGGGTCTATTTGATTCTTCTCTCTTTTCTTCTTTGTTAGTCTTGCTAGTGGTCTATCAATTTTGTTGATCTTTTTAAAAAGCAGCTCCTGGATTCACTGATTTTTTGAAGGGTTTTGTTTTTATCTCTATCTCCTTCAGTTCTGCTCTGATCTTAGTTATTTCTTGCCTTCTGCTAGGTTTTGAATGTGTTTGCTCTTGTTTCTCTAGTTCTTTTAATTGTGACGTTAGAGTGTCAATTTTAGATCTTTCCTGCTTTCTCTTGTGGGCATTTAATGCTATAAATTTCCCTCTATGCACTGCTTTAAATGTGTCCTATGATTCTAATTCACACAATCGAATGTTGGTATCATACACCAAGATATAGAAGATGACCTGTTTGAGGGGCAATTCTCATGAGGTCAGTTCTGGACTACAAAATTTGAAGCACATTTATGACATCCAAGTTGAGGGCCAAAATAGTTTTATATAATAATCTATAGCTTAGAAAGAGGTACCTTGGTTAGAAATAGAAATTGAAGACTCTCGAGGAGATAAAATGGCAGAAAAAAATTGTGAATATAAACAGATCCTTCATTTAAGCCCTGAGAAATAACACTCCTTAAGGTGAAGGTGGAGAATTTTCCTTCTCATTAAGTGTCTTAGTCCATTTTGTGTCACTGTAAAAGAATACTTGAAAAGTGTTAATTTATAAAGAGAAGAGGTTTCTTTGGCTCACAGATCTGCAGGCTGTACAAGAAGCAAGGTACCAACAACTGCCTGGCTTCTGTTTAAGGCCTCAGGCTGCTTCCACTTATGATAGAGGTCACATGTACAGAGATGGCAAGAGCAGAAGGAAGAGAGAGGAAAAGGTGCTAGGCTCTTTTTAACAACCAGCTATCATGGGAACTCATAAAGCAACAACTCACTCACTTTCCACTCTCAGGAAGAATAATCTATTCATGAGGGATTTGCCCCCATGAGCCAAACACCTCCCATTAGGACCCATCTCCAACACTGGGGATCAAATTTTAACATACGGTTTGGTGGGGACAAATATTGAAACTATAGCTGTAAGATATAACAAGTCATTGAACTCATTGAGCATTCATTAAACATAAAGTGGGTAACTTATACAAATTATAGTTTTAAAATATTAGAGAATGATGCAGGAAACATGGACTATATGACTCATATTTCCAGAGGGATTATTTTCAAAGACAACTGAGTGTTCTAATTCTTTCCCTGAAGGCATTTGCTGATTGTGTGCATTAACTGAGAATCAGGTCTGGCCCAAACAAACATAGTATATTGGAGAAATGAGAAACCAACATGTGGTTGTCACGTACACCTGAGGTGACAGTCTAGAACCCTGAGTCACCTGAATAAGCACCAGTTTTTCTATTGTTCTCTCCTAAGGCTGTGTGTAGAATGCTGCAGGGTCATGCTAAAAGTGGTATATGATCTCTTGTAATCTTGCCAACTTTTATAGGCAAATTCTTCTATGAGAAGGGTGTCTGCTTCAAACATGTGTCTGACATTGCCATTGGGATTGTTACCAGAGGTGAAGCTGCAGAAGATGGGAAAATAAGACTTAAAGACAAAATATTAGAAGAGCGTAATTAAAAGTCTTTTATTCTTGTAGCAATGAGAAGACCAGTATTTGCCAGGTTATCAAACAAAAGGACAGGAGAGGTGCATATGGAGTACTGACAAACCAAAGTTGTGCTAAATCTTACTGTAATTGCAATACATTCCACATGTATTGGGGAGAGCAGGCTCATGTATTATATAACAGATGAGAACAGGGCTCTCTCTGGAAGGAGATATCGTTTACAGGCTCCACACATCTATTATATACAACATATGGCTTAAAATAAAAAAAAAAAACTACTTGATGGGCAAAAAGACAGAAAAAAAGTAACATTATAAAGATGAAGAAAAAAGCATACTGCAGAAGTAGACTCTCTCGTGACTGAGATATTGGAGTTAGCATACAAGGGATTTATATAATAACTATGACTAAGAAAATAGAGGATGATTACATTAAATGGGAAAAAGATAGAAAATGTCAACAAAGAAATCAGTGTCCACAAGGAAAAATTGAACAAACATTTTAGAACTGAAAAAAATAATATTGGGAAAATAAAACTCATTACCTAGATTTGATAGGCAAATAAACAGAAGACTAGATTAGAAAATTTGAAGCTGGGTCAATGGAAATTTGAAATTGAAACATAAGGAAAAATAATGAATAAAAATCATGTAGTGTAAGCAGCATATGAAACAAGTGAATGAAAAGGTCGTATGAGTATACGTTTTACTGGCATTAAAAGGATACAAAAAACATGTTATGAATAGCTTTGTGCCAGTAAACTCAGCACTCTATATAAATTGATCCATTTCTTGAGGAAAGAAACTTGTCAAATTTGACAAGTAAATTTTTTTTTATAATGAAACAACTTTGTGTCCCTTGAAGAAATTTAATTTATAATGAAAACCTGAACAGCAATGACAACAAAACCAAACTCTCTGAGCCAAGGTGATTTCATAGGAAAAATTTTACAAATATTTAAAAATATATATATAACTTATTTATTCTAGAAGAAAGCAGAATAGAATATTTTGCAACTGATCTTGTGAAGCCAATATACTATTGCTTTCAAAATCTGATAATGTTATGAGTAGAAATTAATAAATTAGTACCTCATAAATGCGTACACAAAAATGCTAAATGAAATAATATTAATCAATAGCAAATTATACCGCAACATCCTCAAGTAAGTATTTACTTTGTGTATTCAAGATGGTTTTCTCATTTGAAAAGTCAATCAGTTTAAGCAAATATACTAACAAAATTAAGGATAAAATATTTAAACATCACAACAAATACAGGAAAGTTATTTTGTGAAATTCAACACTCACTCATATAAAAATGTTGGACATAGTAAGAATAGAGAAAGCTTCCTCTGAGATTAAAAAATATAGGGAAATAAAGGTATAGATACTGAAAAGAAGTCAATTTTGTTCACTTCTGTCTGAAAAACAACACCATGCCTGGTGCATAGATTCTCAATGTTTAATTAATTAATATTCATGCTTAACTTGTCTTGACCTTGGGGTGTCATGTAAGAAGATAAGATATGAAAGGCATTTTCTCTATCAAAACATCAAATGGAATCTTAGAAACTGTTTAAGTTTCCAGAATTTATTTCATATATAAAATTAAACTCAAAGGATTATATAAAGAATGATCAAAAACTCGTGGGGGGGAATGATAGTCTAAAATGCAGATGTTTTCATATTCCAGAATGAGTATAGCTACAAATACACTTTTTAAAGACAATAGTTTAAAATTTCTATAGCAGGAATGAAGAACAAATTATATCAGAAAATTATTTTCCACAACTGTCAGGTACCAATTTTCTAGCAACCAGAAAGGAGGTACAGAATTATCTCCATAGTAACTGCTATTAAATTATTCTAGCATAATATTGCTAACAAAAGATGTATATCAGGCAGGGGATATGGCCTGTCCTACAATTTGTTTCTCTGAGACACTGACCTAACACTTCTCACATGTAATCTGGGAAAGAATAGAGCACAGTTTGCTGTGATGGCTGCCTGGAGAGAGAAAATAATTCTGACTTACAATCACCCCAGCTTCTCCTGGGAAATGTCCCATCTAACTCCATTTTTCAGCATGATATACATGACCCAAAATACAGTGATGAGTGCCAGCTGGGATTTTCATGCCTTTGAATTTGGGAAATTATTTTTATTGCTAAAAATTTTGTTATTATCTTTCACATTAATTTTGGCCATTATATATAAGATGTTTTGATTTTTTTGTTCCCTGTCTGCATGAAAGCAGAAACATTACAGGCCTCTTTTTCTGTTTTCCACAAAAGAAATAATTTTGAAGGAAATTACAAAAATGAATAGTCAAGTACTGCAGGCTGGGAGTAATTATCCATCCCATGTACCCTGGTTGGTCGCCTGTGCTCACCAGATACAGACTAAAGAATCTCTCACTGTGGTGCTTGGGCATTACCATAGCACCAACTGTCATGGCCTCCCTCCTGGTCTCTCTGCTTTCATTCTTGCTCAATGCAACTTATTCTCCACTCAACAGCCAGAGTGAGTTTTTAAAACAAGTTTTATCCAAAACACTTGAAGAAAATATTCCAGGTGTTTAACAGGTGAATGTTTACACAAATGTGGTACATATGCTGGATGTTTCCAAAAAGGAAGCTAATTCTGCTACTCTAGCCATCGACCATTGGACCAGGGACAGGAGCATGAACAAAAAGACTTCACACATGGATTGGACATGAAGGAACCAGACCCGCAGTGGCTTTGTGTGAAAATCTGACCAATGTTAGTTAGCACTCAATTTTTAAGTAGTATCAAATGTTCAGAGACTGTTTGTCAGAAAATAAACTCAATAAAAAATGAAAACAACAATGTGGGTAATTATGAGATGTTACTAATGATATCATAATATCTTTCCTGGTTTACTTTAAGGCCTTTATATAATCCATTCTTGAGAGCACTTGAATCTAGATTTCCTGATAAAATGACTTACTTTTATAGCCTATAGTTTAAAATATTTTAAAATAATTCCTCTCCTATTATTAAATATTTTCTATAAGTGTCTTCCTTGACAAGCTTCTCAGATATCTTACATAAATACATATTTCTAGGACTACCAAGATGCTCAATTTCAGCACCCCTTTTTGGTTTCCATATTTTATTAAGAAGCCTTGACTATATCTTCATTCTTTTTCTGGTATTTTCCTGATTCAAAGACCAACTCTCCTAGTACATGCACTCTATCTCTCCGTTCTAACATAGATAAACACAACTATTATTGTAAAAGTCAATGATCTCTTTAGTGAAGTTACCCAACTCTGTTCTTGGTAATTTGGGTGTGTGTGTGAATCATGCATCCTCAGATACCTTGCCATAAATGTGAGCATGTGATATCAGCAGGCTGATGAAGAGCACACTATACCTAACCCCTTCGTCAACACAGTCTTGTTAACAATGACATTAGAGTCATTTTGTGGACTAGACTTAATGGACATAAAAATTTTACCAAATGATTTGTTTAGGACATAAGAAATTATTCCAGAATCATTAGTCTAAGAAAACCGTTTGGAATGTGGAGCTAAGAGATGCAAGAAACAAAGTTGATGAGATCACCTGAGCCACCAAACCTGTTCCTGAAGTTAAATCCACACTTTGCCAAATCTAGATGCCCTCTTCTGTGACTCCTCAATCCAATCAATCAATCAATCACAGCCACAAAATGGTGCCATTGTAACACATTCTGAAATGTGTCTTGACTCTGTTGTCTGCCCTTTCTCCACACTTCACTTGTTTGTTCTGGCTTCCTTTATCTCTCACCTGTTTCTTGAAATAGCCACTAATTTCCAGTCTCTCTTCTCCCTGTATCAGGCATGTCCTCCATACTATCACCAGCCATTCCTCTGTATCACAAAATATGACTAAGTGTTGGTCTATCTAAAAGAGATCTAGGGCTTCCACTGCCCATTGCAGTGATTTCTAATGACTGGGATTTTTATTTGAGCTATGGAGGGAACAGACTTACATTTCCTTTTTATCTTTGATCCATTTTACCAAAAAAGAGTAAATTGGTCTGGGAAGGGGCTCTGAATTCTGATTTTTAAAAGCATACAGGTGATTTTGATATAGGTTTCCTTCAAATGACTCCTTAGAAAACTATGACTATGGCCTTTTAGAAGAAACATTCTGCCTCCTGTAACTTAACTACTGACTCATAATTCTCCACTGGCTTGTCAATTCTGTTAACTAAACACAGCATTCCATCTAACTCTGAAAGCCCAGTTCATGTGAATTGTGGACTTTCTGAACTAAAGACTTTACCACACATATTTTTCTTGTCTTTGTGTTTGAATCTCTGCCAGATATTTTGTGTAATGTTTCAAAATGGCACTCATGCACAATTGGGTCTGGAAAGGTGAGTTATATATTACTTTACACAGAAAAGTGAATATAAATTTGTAACTCCTTTCTTTGAAATAATTACTTAATATGTGCTAAATTTATTTTAGGTACTAAATTTAAATTCATATATGATGCTTTTATAATTCATATTTGAGATTTTTGGTGAATATTTGCATATTTACATATTTAAAAATATTTCATATTTTAATATTTTAATGTTATTAAATATATTTTTAAATATCCCATCTTTGAAACATATTGTATCCTGTTATATATGTGTCATAATATGGTTTAACTAAAAGCAATATAATCTGATGTGAAAGCATTAATCAGAGAAATGAAGGAAAATTGGAAGATTTTACTAAGAAATAAGCATAATTTCACAGCTAAAATGAGTTGACAGATATAAGCAAAAAGATGAAACTCAGTGAATTAAAGAGGTTAAAATAGAGATCGAATAATCTGTCGAACAGATGAGTTTTCATATATGAATAAAATAAGGAAAGTTAGAGGAAGGAAATGGATAAGAGAAATATCTGCATGACAGTACCATCTATAGATAACAAAATATGAGCTATTACTACCATGAAAGATCGGTGTTTAAAATCTTGAGTTTCTCTTCCATGAGTTGTATGCTAATTTCAGCCTCTTAGATGAGGACAGAAAATGAAGCTGGAGCAGGGAATGGCACCTCGCCAGGGGATATACTGCTCCTACTATGCTTCATTTCTTTCTTACTGGCTGCATTAGTTTTTAGCTTTTTCACTTCTATGACTCCCCATATTGTTTGCAGAATTGCACTGATCTACATATGACCGTAAGGTTTTTAATTAACCTACTGTGAATTCAAACTTCAGCTCCGTATTTGTTTGTTACTTGGGTAATCTTGACCAAGTCATGGCATCTTCCTAAGAAGGTACCCTTGTATGTAAAATAGGTATGTTAATAGTACCCTACTTACAAATGCATTGTGGGGATTAAATCAGTTCATGTATGTAAACATACATAAACCTGGGCCTTCTGTGGGTTAACCATTCTATCAATATTGACTGTTATTATTACCATCATTAGCAGTGACTTGGTTAGAATGCTTTTTGAATTAGTTATCTTGATAAGCCTTTAATTCCTAAAGACTCTTACACCTAAATTTCAGAGTGTTAGAGTTTCTTTAGTTCTTATAATACTCTACTTCTTCACCAGGTTTATCATGTCAGAAAATGTCTTTGTCTTTTCCTCGTTTTCCCCAGTTCTCCTATTTTATCACGCTTTTTGTTTTTCCTGGCCTTGATGTTGGGGACAGTCATTATTCAGCCAAATATGAATATGGTAGAGTTTAAGTCTTTTTTTTTTTTTTTTGAGATGAAATCTCGCTCTTGTCCCCCAGGCTGGAATGCAGTGACTCGATCTCAGCTCACTACAACTCCCGCCTCCCGGGTTCAAGCGATTCTCCTGCCTCAGCCTCCCAAGTAGCTGGGATTACAGGCGCTTGCCACCACGCCCAGCTGATTTTTCTACTTTTAGTAGAGACGGGGTTTCACCATGTTGGCCAGGCTGGTCTCGAACTCCTGACCTCAGGTGATCCACCTGCCTCAGCCTCCCAAAGTGCTGGGATTACAGGAGTGAACCACCATGCCTGGCCGAGTTTAACACTTAAAATAACGGATATTCTCTATTATCTACAGTCTAAGATTGATGAGTATATTATTAGCTTCCAGGAGTATCTGCCAATAAGCAGCAGTGCCTAGGACTCATGGCTGAAACACTGCTGTGATGGTCAGACATTTTTGAAAAGCTTCAGCTAACTGGCTAAAGAACACAGCTGCTGAGCTCAGACAAGAGAGGAAATAACTTCATTTTGCTGAGACTTCAAGATGTGATTTCATGTGTTCTGTGTGGGGTTGAATAGGAACAGCAGATAAAGGCTTTGGGAGTGTTTCAAGTTCTGTCCTTCCCTAAACTCTTCTAATAGCAAGCAAAACCTTGTTTTCTGTGGACAGCTTCACTTTTTAAAGGACTATTTATTCCCACAAAGACTCCTATATTTACAGGCTCCTCATGATTGCCACCAGCCTAGAAAAGTAGTTGTTCTTTGAACTGGCAAGGCTGACTTTTTGACCACTTCCTCTATGTCCTTCTTTAGACTCCTGTCCTTGCACTTCATTAGATTAGGCCAGGGGAAAATAGACCCCCAGCTCCACACAACTTCTCACAGTCTGATACCTGAGGTCAAGATGGTGTCTCTTGTGGGATACCTCAGTGACCCAACCTAGGAAAGAGAGCCCATTGGGACTTTGTCCATTTCCTCAAGATACTTAATGATGCAACTCTGTGAAGATGAAGGAGAAACAAGCTGAAATATTCCAAATATCAAAGAGAGCACATTTTATGGTATGGAGTAAAAATCAATTTAATTCCACTATTTTCTAATTTAGATTGCGCCATTTATCTCTGTCCTTACTTAAGCTGCGATTTAACATAGATTTAAAATTCCTTATTAAAATATGCTTCTAAGAAGCAGCCAGATGGACATAAATTGACTTTGAGGAGATACCCCTTTGCTTTACTTTTGCTTATTGAAGCCGCACACTTGGCAGACAAGATCCCATGTTAACAATTGCACCTCCCCCAGCGCTTGTGCCTTGAAAAAGAGATGGTAACAGTATTTGAAACCAACCAAGAATATCAAATGTGGCAGGGCAATGCATGAATAAACTATTAGAGTATAAAATATTTAGCTTGCATGTTGCCAAGGTGTATGAAAAAGCTGGGGTGGGATGTACGAACCATTTCCTGAAGTTCAGTCCTGCACCACATCCCAGAAGATAGATTATAGGCTCCAGAGCTGAACTATGGTGCTAATCATTTCAACTCAGCTTTTTGCTCTTTTACTGTATAATAGTAAAATTTAAAAAGTGTGAAGATTTATAGACAAAAATTCAGGGTTTTATTGTTGTGCAAATACCCAAAGAATCAGAGCCAGAAAATATTGTTTGAATGACTATTAAGTCATTGTAACAATTATTAAACTTCCTGCACTATGCTGAGGACATTGGGATATCCAGATATTTTTCGAAGAGTGTAAAATTTATATGAGAGTATAAGATTAATCTGAGAAAAAATCAGGAATCAGAAGAGGGTGCAAAAAGACATTAGAGGCTTAAATATAAAAGATATTTGGAGAGGTTGCCTATCAAAATTCTACCAAGCCAGGTAAATAAAGTGATCTCATCTAAAGTCTATGCATATGAAGATGCCTACATTTTCATGAAAGGTGTACATTAAAATGTCAAGTAGTTATAGCAAATGTTATCCCAGATCCCATCATCAATATACTTTAATGCAAATTTCAAAGGGACCTCTGGAAAAGTAGCAATGACTGTTCATTTCTAGCTAGTAAGGGTGAGCATATGCTGTGCTTAGTATTAGATCTATTTGTGTTACGTGGGAGCATCTCCAGAAACTCTAACTATCCAACAAGAAAGTGTATATCCTATGCTTTCATTTCTCTGCACATTTGCCTGTGTGAGACACTCACCAGGAAGGCTTTCATCATTTCCCACTATCTATGAAAACCTTTCTTGTTCTTCAATGTTCACTTCAAATTCTACTTATTAGGAAACTTTCTCAAATGTTAGAACTCTCCATCGTTCATTTAGATTTCCTGTGTTTCGCTTGCCTCCTCAAGCGAATCATATGTGTTTGAAGAGAAAAGGCTATGCGTGGCAGAGATAATGCTAAATGCTAAGTGTTCCCCAAATCTTCTCATTTACCTCCAGGAGACACATGAAAATGACATTCCAGCCTTTTGTCGCTATGTAGGGAAAAATGACTAATTTTGATTAGTGGAATGTGGGGAAAACAATTTTCAAATGTGGCTTGTAAAAATTCCACATCTTTATTTTCTTTCTCTAAAAGAGAAAGAAATGGGATTGTACTCCCATGTTTAGAGCAGTAATATTCAGAGTAGCCAAAGATGGAATCAACTTGTTTGTGAATGGATGACTAAAGAAAATTTGGTACATATACACAATGAAATACCATTCAGCCACAAAAAGAATGAAATCCTGTCGTTTGCAGAAACATGTATGGAAACAGAGGTCATTATGTTAAATGAAATATGCAAGGCCAAACAGACAAGTAACTTATGGTCTCTCTTATATATAGGAGCAAAGAAACATGGATCTCATGGAGATAAAGAGTAGATTGTTGGTTACCAGAGGCTGAGAAGGATAGAGGAAAGGAAAAGATAAATAGAAATTGATTAATGAGTACAAAAATACTCAGTTAGACACAAGAAATGAGGTCTAGTATTTGATAGTTCAGTAGGGAGACTATAGTTAATAATTTATTGTATATTTCAAAATAACTAAGAATTTGAATATTCCTAACATAAAGAAGAGTGTTTGAGGTAATGGATATTCTGATTACCCTGATTGGATCATTACACATTGCATGCATATATAAAACATAACATGATCCCCAACATATGTACAACTATAATGCGCTAATTTAAAACATGGAAAAAATCCTCCCATGTCCTGTTTTCTGCCTATTATCATAGCAATAGAAGCTCTGTGATGAGGAAGGGCAGTGACACAGGCTAGAAAGAGCCTGAATCCCTTAGTAACTTAATGGAGACGTGATTCCCAGAAGAAGTACCCAATAAGTAACTTTTTTTTTTAAGGTGGCATCTCACTCTGTCACCCAGGTGGAGTGCACTGATGCGATCTCGGATACCTGCAAACTCCACCTACCAGGTTCAAGTAATTTTTCTGCCTCAGCTTCCCAAGTAGCTGGGGCTACAGGCATGCACCACCATGCCTGGCTAATTTTTGTATTTTTTTTTTTAGTACAGGTGGGGTTTCACCATGTTTGCCAGGCTGGTCTTGAACTCCTTACCTCAGGTAATCTGCCTGCCTCGGCCTCCCAAAGTGCTGGGACACAAGCCACCATGCCCAGCCCCTATCAGTAACTTCTACATAGGATTTTGAATGAGTGAACATTTAACTCCTAGTGTGTAAAGGTACTGATTTTTTTTTTTTGTATTTTATGAGAGTTGGCATTAATTACTCTTAATATCTAGATATCACAAGACTTATATAGGTTTACACTAGACTTATATAGGTTTACACTAGACTTTTTGATGTTCAAAGAAAGAATTTCTATTGCAAATTAGAATAGTTTTAAGAAACTTCAGGGAAGTCAAGAAACAAAATAGCATAAAGTATGAGTTATACTGCTGTATCGCAAGAAGAAATGACATCTCAGGGGGTTTAGATTATGACAAAAAAAATGGTAAAGAAATTTAATGACATTCTGTTTAGGAAAAAAACTATTCAAGCTGTATTTTTCCTCTGCTCTTACACCGACCCAAAAACAAGCAACACAGAAGACTTCTGTGACCCCAAAATATGTGGTGTTTTTTTTTTCCCATAGCAAGCAATCAATTCTGTAGTGGAAACCATCTGGGTATACCCCAATCCAATTCTGTTGTTGTCTAGCTGGGGTCAGTGTTAGACCCCACAGGTTGAGGACTCAGTCCCCATGAATACCTCCCCCAACATCAGATACTATTAACAAGTATGGACCTCTGGAACTTCTGCCTGACTGACGTCAAATCGGGGTTTCCATGCTACCTGCTTTGGGTTTGATTAATTTGCTGGAGCAGCTCACAGAACTCAAGGAATCACTTACTTACATTTACCAGTTTATTATAAAGGATACAGATGAAGAGATGCATAGAGCAAGGTAAGGGAAAGGGGCATGAAACTTCCATGCCTTCCCCAGCTGCCCCACCCTGTAGGGATCTCCATGTGTTCAGTTGTTCAAAATCTCTCTGAACCCCGTCCTCTTGGGTTTTTATTAAAGCTTCATTATGTAGGCATGATTGATTAAACCATTGGCTATCAGAGATCCACTTGACCTTCAGCCCCTCTCCACTTTCTGGCAGTTGGGACATGCAGCTGAAAGTCCAACTCTGTAATCTTGCATTTGTTTTTCTGGTGACCAGTCTGCGCTAAAACTATCAGTCAACATTAGCAGAAAAAAAGACAACATTTTGGATTCCAAGGATTTTAGGAGTTGTATGCCAGGAAATGAAACCAGGAAGGAAGACCAAATGTATACTCTACAATACCACACATACCATTAAAGATGTTATTAAAGAAAGTAGATATTTTTAGACTACATATTGAAAGATTAGTGAAAAATTAGGGAGAAGATGTAGCAGGTCTCTATAAATCAATCTGTCAAAATACTTCAATTTATCTTTTTTGACCCCTTCTACTAGGTGGAGCTAATAGTGGGAGTCAAAAGGAGCTAAGACTAAGGAGTCATAAGGAGTCATAGGAGATTGCTTTTGGTTTGATATAAGCCATTTGTTCAGTAACCAAAATTGTCCAGATGAAAGATGAGCATCCTACTCCAGGGGGAGTGAGTTTTCCATATCGAAATCATTCAAGCACAAGCTAAGCATTAAATTATAATGGACATTTTAGAGGGATTTAAGATCAACTAAATGCTACTACTATTACTACCATTTCCAAAGCTGTCTAGTGGGGAATGTAACAATATCCAACAGGACTTCAGAGAGAACACGACAGAAAACTCTACCAGAACTTCAATCTTCAACTTTTATATGCCACAACTAGCCTTGGCCTTTTTCTACAGACCCTCTGAGAAGTTGTATCACCCATTTGTGGTAATGACAGAAATCTTTCTTGATGCATGACTATAGGAGGGAAAAAATATTTCTCCTAGGAAGTTATAAATTACTGATCTGAGGAAAGCCCTGGGAGAAAGTAAAATTTTTCCTATGTATTATAAACTACTCTTTAGAAAAATCATTTCCCCCCTCAATGCTTTCAAACTTCACAATTGTTATGGTGAGTCCAGTACTACGATACTCTTACATAACGCCTCCTCTGTGGGCCACTCAAAGCCATTTGTAAATGATACTGGAAACTCATTCTCTTTTTCTGAATGAAGTTCCTTACTTCTAAGGCACTTTGAATCCACCCACCGAATAACCAGTGCTCAGAATTAAGTACAATCGCCTATCCTATTCATTGCCACCTGGTTATTTTCCATTTTTCATCACTTACAAATTCTGACAAATTATGCATTGCACAATTGTCTCTACATTTCAAGTTTCAAGACTGATCTTTCTCTGTTAGAGAAAGAAAGTATCATAGTCTGAGAGAGCACAGATCTCCCTGTTCCTTTCTTACAAACAAGGTCTTATTTCTATTCTTGAGTCCTTTTCCTACTTGAATTTTGGATTCTTCCTGCTCACAAAGGATAGATCCTTTTTCAAAAACTGTGATGTTGCTCTGTTTCAATGTTTAAACTTTTAGCTAATTTTATTTCTTTTCATTTCTCTTGTTACTTATAAGAAAAGAAACTTCTGACTCTTACTTGAAGTGGCTTATTCTGAAAGAGCAATTCATTTTGTATTTTTGGAGCCCAACTCTATGAATGTTATATTTAGATAGCATAGGCTCATCTAAGCATATCAGCCTACAATGTCTTAACGACTCCTGCTGCTTCTTTCAGTTCTGGCTAATCACATTTAGAATGAACTAAGGAACACAGGAGAAAAGTTTAAATCTTTGTACTTGGACTACAAAATATATATTTCTGAGAAAAGGCACTGCTTGATACTTTTATAAATCTTCTTAAATACACTGAATTGGAAAAAAAGCTATAAGATCAGTAAAAAGAACACTGAATTTATTGATTATTCATGAGCTATGTATACATTTATGTTGCTTACTCTCCCTACTCTTGCACTGTTAGTTTGAACTCTTTTGTCTTTGTTGAAATCAAGGAGGCTACTGAAAGATAATGAATTTAAATTTCAAGGTATTTTTCATTATCTAAAAAAGAAAAAAAAGTCTTTCTTCACCTACTAATTATCATATTTCACAGTATATTACAGAAGTTCCATATAATATATTTATGTATTTTTTCTACTGTGGGCATCAGCCATTTTATGATTCTGGCCTTAAAACAGAGTATAGTAATGTCATTATTAGAATGGATAAGAATATCTGTCACTGACTGTAACATTGGAAAACTACTTAGCATTTACAAATCTTAATCTCCATATTTGTAAATTTAAAATAGTGATACAATTCCCATGAAGATTAAATAAGATTATACAAGTGTTAGTTTTGTTGCTACTTGAAACTCAGAATTTGTGTTTTCTATAGGCAAGTAATGGGAGTCATCAAAGGATGGTACTCAAAGGGGTGACATGGTGAGAGAGTTCCCTATAGAAATTGATCTGGCAGCAAGGACAAAGTTAAAATAAGAAGTCAGAAGTTGAGAAGTGTGGTGATCATGTATCTAGAGAGAGTTAAGTGGGAATAAAACTGCAGATATAAATCTGAAAGAAAATGATGAGGTAAGATATATCAAAATCTGCAATTGATGGGATATAGGGATCTCAAAAATTTAAATTTGAAGTGTTAACAAGTGCTACAACTTTTTTCTTTGTTTAAATATATATATTTATATTTGTAGAGACAGTCTTGGTTTGTTGTCCAGGCTGGTCTCGAATTCCTGGCCTCAAGTGATCTTCCTGCCTTTGCTTCCTAAAGTATTGGGATTACATGAGCCACTACACCCAGCCAGTGCTATGATTTGAATATGGTTTGTCTTTACCATAACTCATGTGGCAACTTTAATTTTTAGTGCAGCAATTCTAGAAGGTACAACCTTTAAGAAGTGAGGCTAGATTATTCAGGGTTCTCCAGAGGGACAAAACCAATAGGATATATGTATATGTGAAAGGGAGTTTATTAGGGAGAACTGGCTCACACAATTATAAGATGAAGTCCCACGATAGTACGTCTGCAAGTCAGGGAAGAGAGAAGCTGGTACTCGCTCAGTTTGACCCTGAAAGGCTCAAAACCAGGGAAGCTGACAGTGCAGCCTTCAGTGTGTGGCCAAAGGCCTGAGAACCCTCAGCAAGGCACTGGTACAAGTCCAAGACTCCAAAGGCTGAAGAATTTGGAGTCTGATGTCCAAAGGCAGGAAGAGAGGGTGGAAGCATTCAGCATGGAAAAAGGAAAGAAGCCAGAAGACTCAGCAGGCAAGGTTATCCCACCTTCTTCCACCTGCTTTGTTCTAGCTGTGCTGGCAGCCAATTGGATGGTGCCCATCCACACTGAGGGTGGGTCTTCCTCTCCTAGTCTACCAATTGAAATGTCAGTCTCCTCTGGTAACACCCTCACAGACACACCCAGAACAATGCTTCATCTATCATCTAGGCATCTCTCAATCCAATCAAGTTGACACTTAATATTAACCATCACAGAGGCCTAATGGGAAATATTTGGGCCATAAGGGCTCTGATCTCATGGGTGGCTTGGGACCTTTTTTGTAATAGTGAGTGAGTTCCTGCTCTGGTGACACTCTATCAGTTCTCATAGGAATGGATTAATTTCCAGGAGAATGGTTCATTAAAAAGCCAAGGATGCCTCTTTGGTTTAGCCTCTTCATACATGTCTGCTTTTCCTTTGACCTTCTGACATGTTGTGATGTAGCACAAAAGTCTTTAGTGGAAGCCAAGAAAATGCTGGTGGCATTCTTCTTGAACTTTCCAGCCTGAGAAACTGTGGAGTAAATAAAGCTATTTTTTAAAAAATTACCCAGCCTCAGGCATTCTTTTATAGCAATACAAAACAGACTAAGACAGAAAAATGGTACCAAGAAGTTGGGTGTTTCTTTGTAGATACCTGAAAATGTGGAAGTGGCTTTGGAACTGAGCAATGGGCAGAAGTTAGAAGAGTTTGGAAGACCAGGGGAGAAAAAACTTGTACTGCAATGAAGGAAGCATTAAATGTGATTGTGATGAAGGCTCAGAATAAGACAAAAATGTTACTGAAATGCCAGAGGTTCAGTCTAGGTTTTGTTGCTAGATGCACAGAAAGCTGATCACTGAGACAATCAGTATGGCCAGGGAAGAAAGGGGATGAGTAATGTCGGCTGGGGAGACAGGACATAAATTTCAAATCTATCTCCCCAACCATCTAAAATTGTGGGTTAATGTAGTGGGGGAGAAATACAACTATGTGTGGGAAAACAGGAATTAGAGAGGAGTAAGGAAGCAATCATAACAAATGAGGGATCTGGTGTTTCATTTTCTGGATGTGGTAATCTGGTAAGCTTCAGTTTCTTGATACTGTGAGGCCTGAGGTTCAGTTTCCTGAGAAAGGAAATCAGGTAAGTCCAATGCAAGTTTCCAGTTTTAAAACTGGGAAGGTCAATTTCTGTACTTATTCAAACACAACCATAAACATCAGTTCTATAGGGAAACTGGGTTGGTTTCAAAAAGATGAGAAAAAGATTGGAACTTCTAAGAGATTTGTTGAGTGTTCACGACCAAAATTCTGACTGAAATATCAACAGTAAAGGTCATTCTGAAGAGGTCTCAGAGGAGAATGGGAAGCAAGATATTGGGACCTGGAATGAAGGCCACCCTTTTTATAAAGTAGTTCAAAGCTTGGTGGAACTGTATCTATGCTCCAGGGCTTTATGGAAGTCAAAACATATGCGTGAACTAGTATATCTGGCAGAAGAAATTTCTAAGCAGCAAAGTGCTCAAGAAGCAATGTGGTTACTTTTAATAGGTCATGCCCAGTTATAGGAGCAAAGGAATTGCTAAAGGCAGAATTTGTAATTAAAAGAAAAGTGAAGCATAAAATTTGGAGAATTCGTAGCATGGCCATGTGATAGAGAATGAGAAATGATTTTTCAGGAGAGGAATTCAAGAGTATAGCTGAGAGACTCTTTGCTAAAATGATTAGCATAGCTAAGACAGAGGCAAGTGCTAACGGTCAGAACAATGGGGAAAAGGCTCCTAAGGTGTTTCAAAGATTTTCAAGGCCACCCTTCCTACCACAAACCCTGAGGCCTAGGACTAGAGAATGTTTTCTTGTTTTGTTTTGTTTATTTTTTTGAGACAGAGTCTCGCTCTGTTGCCCAGGCTGGAGTGCAGTGGCAGGATCTTGGCTCACTGCAAGCTCTGCCTCCTTGATTCACCCCATTCTCCCGCCTCAGCCTCCCGAGTACCTGGGACTACAGGTGCCCACCACCATGTCCGGCTACTTTTTTGTATTTTTAGTAGAGACGGGGTTTCACCGTGTTAGCCACGATGGTCTCGATCTCCTGACCTCATGATCCACCCGCCTCGGCCTCCCAAAGTGCTGGGATTACAGGTGTGAGCCACCATGCCCAGCCGGACTACAGAATGGTTTTAAGAAAGAGGACTAGGACACAGCTGCTCCCTTATCTGGCAGTTGCTTCTAGAGCAGCCATGGTTCAAATGACCCCATTTGCAACTCACGTTGATAATCCAGAGATTGCCAGTGGTAAGCATTGGTGGCTGCCACATGGTATTAAGTCCGAAGGCCTGAGAATGCAAAAGCTAGGTAGGCCTGACTTTCTCCACCAAGATTTTAAAGGATGTATGGAAAAGCCTGCAACCCTGGCAGAGACTTGTTCAGGAGTAGTGCCAACGGAGAAAGTCATCTCAAGGGCAATACCTAGTAAAGCTGCAGTGGCAAGGTCACTACTGAGACCCAAGAACAGCCTGAAAAAGCCACAGGCAACCAACTCCAACTTGTGAGAATAGTCACATGGGTTGCATCCAACAAAGCCATGGGGCAGGGATTCCTTGGGAGACCACCCCTAGCAACAGCGTGCCCAGATGCAGGACATGAAGTCAAAGGAGATTATTTTGGAGCTTTAAGATTTAATGTCAGCCCTGCTGCATTTTTGACTTCTGTGGAGTATGGCTTTCCTTTCTTTTGCCTTATTTCTCCCTTTTGGGAAGAAAGTGTTTACCAAATTCTGTTCCACAATTATATCTTAGAAATATATCATTTGTTTTGACTTTAACTGAAAGGAACTTGCTTTGAGTATAAGATGAGATTTTGACTTTTTGACTTTTGTGTTTTGAGTTGGTTTTTTTTTTTGAGTTGTTTTTGTCTTTTGAGTTGGTTTTGTCTTTTGAGTTAAGACTTTGGAACTATTGGTATGGAATTATTATATTTTGTATGTGAAAAGCACATGTGTTTTGAGGGCACGGGGAATAATGCTAAGGTTTAAATGTGATTTTTTCCCCATCAAAACTCATTTTGAAAGCTTAATTCCCAGGGCAGCAATGTTGAGAGGTGGAAACTTTAAGAAGTGTGACTGGACCGGGTGCGGTGGCTCACGCCTGTAATCCCAGCACATTGGGAAGCCGAGGTGGGTGGATCACAAGGTCAGGAGATCAAGACCATCCTGGCTAACATGATGAAACCCCATCTCTGCTTAAAAAAAAAAAAAAATTAGCCAGACATGGTGGTGGGCACCTGTAGCCCCAGCTACTCAGGAGGCTGAGGCAGGAGAATGGCATGAACCTGGGAGACGGAGCTTGCAGTGAGCCGAGAATGTGCCACTGCACTCCAGCCTGGGCAACAGAGCGAGACTCCATCTCAAAAAAAAAAAAAGGAAGTGCGACCTAATGAGAGGTGTTTGGGTCATGAGGGCTCTGACCTCTTGGGTGGCTTGATGCTATTCCTACAGTAGTGAGTTTCTGCTCTGGTGAAACTGCATTGACTCTCACAGGAATGGACTAGTTCCTGAGAGAGTGGGTTATCATAAAGCCACACACACCTTGGGTTTAGCCTCTTCACACATATCTCCTTTTCCTTTGATCTTCTGCCATGTTGTGACACAGCATGAAAGCCCTCACCAGAATCTGAGAAGATGCCGGTGCCATGTTCTTGAATGTTCCAGACTGCAAAACTGTGAGCTAAATAAGCCTTTTTTCTTTATAAATTGTCAGTCTCAGATATTCTGTTATAGTAACACAAACCAGACAGAAAGTTGGTCATTTTCAATCTCGAACTCCATGTTAATTTGGAAATTCAGTTATAGGAGAGAACCCCAAGTTGTCATAGACAAAAACGAAAGGCAAAGAATGAAAGACATGAATGAAAATAAAAATCAGAGATGTGGAAGTACAAAATAATGTAATTGATCAAGATTTACAAGAGCCCAGTGCAGGAAAGGTAAGCAAAATTCAAACTAAAAAGGCTTTGTGTTTGGGAGGTCAATGCACTTTTCAAAAAATAATTATATAATTACATAGATTTAACATAAATCTAATTATAGTCTCAGCAGGAATTTTTGTAGAAATTGACAAATTGTTTCTAAAATATCTATGGAAATACACAAGCAATTCCAGGAGCATTTTAAAAAGCAAACTGGAAAACAGAAGACTAGATTTCTAGGAATTATACTACTGGACATCAAAATATTTATCAAGGTAATATATTGAGTTGTGAAAAAAAGCGTTTTTACATATGATGCTGAAATAACTGAATATTCATTAAAAAAATAAAAACCTTGATTTATATCTTACACTGCACACAAAAATAAATTTGGGATGAATCATATACCAAAATATGTTAGTTAGCTTGATTTAATCATCCCACAATGTATACACATATCGAAACATCACATTGTACCCCATAAATATATACAAAATGGTGTTAAGAAAATGAATAGGGATTTAGAGTACCTACTAGAAAAGTAAATCTGCAATGATAATACATAGACTAAATGGTACAATAGCAGTATTCTCAGGCAATAGAGAGTAGGGATTTCCTGCAAAGGGCGCTACGTGAGTACAGGCATACAGGGGTGAATGCCTGAGTAAACCTTGTTAAGTTATGGCATTTTCATGTAGCTTGGCATAGCCGGGGCATAGTATGTCAACATGTATGTTTTAAGAGATGAGGCTGGATAGGCATGCAGGATTTGACATACAAATAAATAAGACCTTATGAAGGAGATGGGAATTTTTCAAAGGATTTTAATCAAGTGGAAAACATGATTCCATTAGTATTTTAGAAAGACCACTATGTAGCTACATGGTGACTGGAAAATGGTATGAGAATGATGGCAAAGTAGTCATCTAGAGAGAGTGTCAGTAATCCACATGGGCTTTGGTAAGGAGCCACACTAAGGTATATAAAGTATGGGCAAAAGAACTGAGGAGATGGAATGTAAAGCTCTTGGGGGATCAAATTAATAGATTAATAGGAATTCTAGGATCTGTTGAGCCAGGGATTTAGGAGAAGAGCCTACAGTCACTCTTGTAGCAAAGAAGAGTGTTGTTAATTAAGAATAAGATGGAGAGATAAAGGCAAAGTTTAGGATGTAGCCAGGGAAACTGATTCCGAGGGAAATCTAATCACATAACTGAAATGGCAACCCGCAGTGTTCAGGTTGGAACAAATGAATTTAATGAAGGCTGGGGAAGCTAGTGGGATTGAAGGTCAAGGTGCCTCAAAGAGCAGACCCAATGAAAATTAGAAAGTGGAGGTGGTAAAATATGAGGAGATCTCCTCTTCTCAAAAACATGTGACATATCTCCTGTATCCACAACAATGGCACCAAACACAACCTATTAATGACTATAAAACCTAAACTTCTCAGGTCAGGTAAGTCCTGAGTTACATTTCAACCTCCAGAATATTATCTTCAGGGGTAGGGAAGTTCAAACTTTCCATCTTAAGGTAGGAGTCTAAGTCTGCTGAAATGAAATGGCAATAGATAAATTAACAGGAGAAAAGGCATACAAATTTATTAGCATGCATATGCACATGGGAGTCCAGTTAATATGAGACTTAAATTAGGGTCAGATGATTTAAGTCTTCATATAATACAGAAAGAAATAGAAGCTTAGAGCATGGTGACAGGTTATGACAGGGAGGCAGGAGAAAAGGCTTGGCACACAAAGGCTGTCTTTTTATGCAGATGAAATCTCTGAGATAGCAGCTCTCTGGAGGAATGGATAGAAGCCTGTGCTAATAGTTCCTCTGCCAGAACTTCAAAAGCGTCAGACTTTTTATCTCCTTTTCCCGCGAATCAATCTTCTCTAGAAAGAAAGATCTAGAAAGCCTCTGCATCTGCTGTTTACCTCACTAATGTAGATTCTGTTTACAGATGCAAATTTCTTCCACATAGTGACAGTTTTTCAGAGCTGTTCCTGTGTCTGCAGCCCCTTCCAAGAGCCATATCAAAATATGCCACAGAAGTACATTTTGGAGTGGCATGTTTTGGCTTCTTCTACAAGTTATCCCTGGACTTCTAGACTTCTATATTCAGTGGACATCTCACATTTTACCCATTTCAAATCCAATTTATAGTACTAGGTCAGGGTTAGCATTCAAAACATTTCATAGCCAGAGCATCGTACGTTTTAACTAATCAGAACAGATGCCAGTTGACTCTGAATGGCAACCAGACATGAAGAATTGGAGCAAGCCAAACCACAACTTTCTGGCTAAATATCTGACATGTCACAAAACAATTTAACTTCCAAACCCTTTTGTTCTCAACTTCAGTTGATGATACCATCACCTAAGTCACAAAGTCAGATGCCTTAGAGTTATTCTCTATGCCTTTGTTGCATATAAGTGACTTCATGTCTATCTTTTCCTAACTTATCTTGTGGCAGACAATTTATCATTACTGTATCTTCAGTTTCTAGCACAGAATTATGTACTACATTTAGGAAATATTAAAAGCTTCTCTTTTTTAAAAAAGGAAGGAAGAGGATAAGTAAAAAGGAAGAAAGATAAGCTGTGTCTCTCCCTTTCAGCATACTCCACTACCCCACTACGTAATGAAGTAGCTAAAATACCTTCTTTGCTATTATTTTACTCCAAGTCTCAAATTTCAAGTTACTCATTTAAATTAATTCACATGGGACATGCACAGAGCAATTATATGTAGGCCACATGCCTAATTCAGATACCATAATCTAGAGTGCCCTTTTAGTCAAAAGGCAGAGTATTTTTAAAAGGAAAATCCTAGCTGAACTGAATTTAACAGACTTTAATTGAGCAAAGAATAATTTGTGAATCAGGCAGCTTCCAGAGCCATAGTAGCCTCAGAGACTCCAGCGGAGCAACATGGTGGAAAAGGATTTATGGACAGAGAAAGAATAGTGACAGATAGAAGACAGAAGTGAGGTACAGAAACAGCCGAATTGGTTACAGCTTGACTCTGACTTATTTGAACACAGTTTCAACAATTGGCCACCTTTCATTGGCCAAAAGTCACTGACTGGTACAAGAGTAGGCTACAGTCCGTTTACAACTCCCTTAGGTTATAGCTCACAATGTACAGAGAAATCTTCAGGCCAAACGTAAAATATTTTGTTTGATTTAGCAGTATAAAAGACAGTGTTATGGTTAATTTTATGTGTCAAATTCACTATGTTAAGGGATGTCAAATAGCTCATGAAAACATTATTTCTATGTGTGTCTATGATGGTATTTCCAGAAAATACTAGCATTTGAATTGGTAAACCTGAGTCAGGGCCATCTGCCTTCCTAATGCAGGCTGGCATCATCCAGTCCAACCCATTCATGGCCCACATAGAACCAAAAGGTGGAGGAAGGGTGACTCTCTATCTCTCTCTCCCCTCTCGAGATGGGACATCCTTCTTATCCTGTCTTTGAACACACAATCTCTCCACCTCTGCTTTGGGTTCTCAGGCCTTTAGCCTTGGGCGAAAAGTTACAACATCAGCTTTCCCGGTTCTTAGGCCTTTAAACTTGGACAAAATTATGCCACCAGATTTCCTAGTTTTCCAGCTCAGAGATGGCATATCATGGGACAACTTAGCTTCCATAATCACATGAGCCAATTCCCATAATAAATCTCCTTTTATAATCTATATTGTGTGTGTGTCTGGGTGGGGGCATATAGATTTGGATCCTGTTTTATTTTCTCTGAAGAACACCGACTAATAGAGGGTATTTATTCCCCAGACACGTCCAAGGGTGTCATTCTTTAAAAAATATTAACAGAAGCTAAATTAAGGCATCTAGTGGCATCATTGTCTCTGGACTGTAGCAATTTTCAGTTCAGTTTGGAAGACAAAGTTTTACCTGTGTATGTACAAGGAGCCACTCCAAGATAGCACAGAAGAAAATGCTTAACTGAGTAGAACTGATTCTTCTGCCATGAGAACTCTCCTGTGTCCTGAATTATGTGTATAATTTGTATAATAAATCCTGATAGTAGGTGTTTCAAGTTAAGAAAAGGACATCTTTATAACCCTATTAATATCATGGTCCAAATTAATTCACTAAATCAAATTCTGCAGATCACTGTTCATCAACAGTAATGACTGAGCTGTCCAAATAAGCCATAGGAAACAATGAAGAAAAAGTCTTCACCATGATAAATAATGTTGACACTACTTGTCCCTTAGGAACCACAGTCTATAAAATCAGAATCAACCCTCAAATACACCAATCAAAAAATGTGGGGAATCAAGTGATTCCCCACATTTTTTACTTTCTCATTTAAGTCAATATTACATTTTCTTCCCAAATGAGGGATCCATTTCTACAAAAAGAATTTATTTACCTATAAGTCTAAATGCGAAGCAAAAGCTCATCTCATTTTTGATCAAATTATTTTTGTATATTAAGAAATTCAAGCTTATGGGCTTTATTTCAAACTTAAGCAACACACATTATCATACTTAGAAAACTAAAGAAAAATGCAGTTTTCTTTAATAAATTATTGATTTAGCAATGCACAAAATTTACTAAAATCCTGCAAAAATTAATGCCTTGTTGTTAGACTAAAGCAAAAATATAATTAGCAGTCACTTCACAAAACATGACAGTGGTCAGCATTTTAAAAACAAAGTTTTATTTAGGAAATATAATTTTCTTCATGGACTCCACCTTGGCTTTTGACATCTCTTTGTGAGCAAGGACAAAATGTTTGTGAAAAACCAGAATGTTTTGTTATCCTATGCTTTACACTACTTTAAGTGAAATATGCCTGCCTTCTACCACATATTTTCACTATTTCTCCTGACCACAATGATGATGGCAGCATAAAGCACAGGTAATTAAATGCCTTCCATTATAAGAGCTTTCATAATTATTTTTATATTTAAGAAGTAAATGAGAGATTATGAAAATAAAATAGGGTTAAAGCCAAATAGTATTAACAGAATTCTCTTGAAATTTTAAGCATCATGATAAAAGGGGAGGAAACAAAATCATATACTTGGATGAAATGGCCATAAACTCCAAGACAGGCAGATTCAGGTCATGTTTTTGCCCACAGAGCCATCAGATGGGCCTGAAACAAAATAGTAATTAATGAGAAGAATTTTGATATTTTGTGTGTTTGAGTCTCCCTCTTGCAATAAATATTTTTAAAGTTCCCTATTGTTTTTAGAATAAATCACCTGGTAAGCCAAGTTATACAAATCACCAATTTTGTTGCTTCTTCTGGCTTAAACACTGAGATAGAAATTTTGCATATTTCATATCAAAGACTGATAATAATTTCATGCAGTTATTATCCTTAATGTAGCGAAAAAAGTTTTAAAGATATTAATTGTCCTATTATTACACCATGTATAAATGATAAAGCCAGAAACAAGAAATCCAGTGGGTTTAAAAATGATTCCTCATGTTAATTCTAAATCACAATTGTAATCTTGAGGCTGAATAATTTCATACTCAAATCTTATTACTCCCTTCTTCTTTACTCATTGCCTAGATTCATTTTGATTTGTATAAGAATCTACTCAGCTGATAGTATTTTAAGGTCCTCAAAAGCATCTTACTCTTTACTGTGGTCTGAATGTCTCTGCCAAAATCTATGTGTTGTAAATTTAATCCCCCAATGCAGCAATGTGGGAAGTAGGGCCTTTTGAGAGGTATTTAGGAGTTAGGCGGAGCCCTCATGAGTGGATTAAGAAATCCACTATAAAAAAGACCTGTGGGAGTTGGTTTTCTCTTGCCCTCTGCCTTCTGTCATGTAAAGATGCCATAGGAAAGCCTTCCCCAGATGGCAGCGTCTTGATTTGGTATTCTGTTATAGCAGCAGGACACAAACTAAAACAATCTTTTTGTGTCTTTTATTGCATGTCTTCATCTACTTGTGTTGCTATAAAAGAATAACAGAGGCTGGGTAATTCATAACGAGGTTTACTTGGCTCATGATTTTTCAGGCTGCACAAGAAGAATGATGAGCCAACATCTACTTTTGATGAGGGACCCAAGCTGCTTCCCCTCGCGGTAGAAGGCAAAGGGGAGCCCGCATGGAGAGATCACATGGTGAAAAAGGAAGGGAAAGAGAGAGGAGGCAGGTGCCAGGTTTTATCTAACCAGCTCTTGTAAAAACTAACAGAGTGAAGACTTACTCACCCCTTTTCCAATGTGGAGCATGAATCTATTCATGAAAGATCCACTCCCATGACCCAAACATGTCCCACTAAGTCTCACCTCTAATACTGGGCATCAAATTTCAACATGAGGTTTGGAGGGGCAAATATCCATACTACAGTACTCCATAAGGCTGTGGAGAAGGAAGCACCATTTAGTGGACCTGGAACTCTATCCATTGTCTGGCTAAAAGGGTGCTGAGACAAATGGCTAAATCCCACATTGATGTGGTAGGTAGGGCTTTCCATGTAGACAACCATAGTGAAGTCTTTTAGGTGGTTAGAAAGATTACTCACCAAAGGGGCTTAATACATTACTGGCTTCACCAGTGACAGCCTTTAAAAACTAGAGATTTTCCCATAGAGGGTTAGAAAAACCAGCTGTGATTGAGCTATCTAGCATTAAAGACAACATTCATCCTAGAAGCACCATTAATACTGGATTTCTTCTTTTACCCTGGTCATGACCCTAATCAAGCTCAAGTTTAACTATGTCCCTCTGTCTCCCTTCTAAACTTTGAACTGCTCTCTATATTTTTTCTAATGGATCATTGCTCACTGGCCCCTGGTGTCAGAGAAGAATGCCCAGACACATCAAATTTCTTGTTGTTTTCCAATTAGCTGTGCTTCTTTCACACCCCATCTCTCCAAATTTTGTCTTTTCTAAACCAGATGATTTTTTACTCATGTTTCAAAATGTAGTTTGACTATCTTCTTTATGAATCCTTTCACAAATATCATACTATGAAAACATGATTTTTTTCCTGTTTCTGTTCTTTTACTGCACTGAGTGTACATCTCTCTGAGAGCAACTGTCAAATTGAATCTGTTCTTACTTTGTTTTTATCATGTTTGAAAATTGGCTAGTGGATCAGTAAGTAGAAATTGATCATCAAGTAGGACTTAGAGACAGTTATTGTTGCCATCTATTCTGGCAGTGGAAACTAAATGATGCTTTTACAAGAAGATTTATTTGAGCCCTTGTAGATATTTGAAAGGTTCTGATAAAGTTGGGGAATTCTTTCTTCTACTCCCCAATCACAACAGCCTTTTCTACCTCTCACCTTACCATTTTACGCAGTTAGTTATAAGGCCCATGATTGAAACCAGATGATGAGTCTTCCTGGCCCTCAGAAGTGAAGTCCTTTAAAGATCTGTAAAAAGGGGAAAAATTACTAGATATTTCCTACCAAAGCGGTGTTGCCTGGAATTGGATCTAAGTATTTTATTCACTTCGTGGACATTTTATGTTTTTAGATTTCCCTATATTAATTTAATTATCTGCCTCAGGGTAGCTGATTAAAGGCATATTGTGTCCCTTTGAAAGTGAAGACAAATTGCAGCTGAGAGGCTGTTGAAACAGACAGTGAACAGAACATGACTGCTAAATATTTACTAGCTTCTGATGGCAAGGAATCTCTTTGATTTTTACCTCAGTAATATTGGGTGTAGGGGCCTTAATCAGCGGGACTACAGCATTAAGATTGCACCAACTAATTGTGAGGTGCTATTTATCCTTTTCAAGTTTTAGAAAGGAGCAAATTTGGCTTATAATTGTCACAACAGTAGCCATAATCACTATTTCTCTAAATAGGTCTTGCATAATGAGTTTCAATATTGAAGGCCCTGTTTTAATTTATATTGGGCTGTGTTTATTATTTTAACCAAGGAGGCAAGTTCATAGGGTCCAATATTATCAAGCCAATTCGTGTACCAGAAACTTCATTTAATTTTATTTTATTACTCATTGAGTGAGTGTGGATATGCTAACTATGGGCTATTTTAGGGCAATGAATGCTATCACTATGAAGAAATTAGGCAAGATAATAGTTCTGATGGTTCAGATGAGGCTTATCTGTTTTGTGTTTGGTTGTTTTTCCCCTAAGAGTATAAAAAGTATCTTGTTTAAATTGATAGCAATTCCCAGGCATAATGGTAATTTGAAGCCCAATATTGATTAAACCACAAAGTTTTGCCAGATAATACATTTTAGCATATTTTAAAGATGATTCAAATCTAGGCTATAGAAGAGAATAATATTATATAATTATTCATTACATATATGAATCTCACCTGTGCCAACAATTTATATTTTTATCTAATTTTTTTCTTAAAGTTTTAGTTTGTGGAGAAACTAGTTTTGCACCTGTATGGGGGCTCGAGTATCCTTTATCTGAAATGCTTGTTTTGGAAATCAGATTTTTTAAGATTATGGAATATTTGTATTATACCTACTGGTTGAGCATCCCTAATCCAAAACAATGCAAATATGGAATGCTCCAGTGAGCATTTTCTTTTGAGTGCCGCATGGCACACAAAATATTTTGTATTTTGAAGCATTTTGGATTATTGAATTAGAAATGCTCAACCTGTATGACACTCTGATTCCTCTTGAAGAAATCCAAACAACATAGAGAAGTCTTCTCATAAATTTTGCAATCTGCTTGTGGAATTTGGACACATATGTTAAGCAACTAAATGACATTTACAAACCAACTGTTAGCAAGTTCTAAATGTTATTACAAATTAAATACATAAGAAATCCACTTACATTTTTAATGCTCTCTTTAATACTATGTTTTATTGTCTTGTTCTTCTATTTACTAAAGTTGTAAAGATCTTTAAGAAGCATTACAAAAATAACCTGCATCAGAGACACGTGTGTTTTCTCAATAATAATTTTATTGCTTCTCTTATTTTGTTAGTGCAGCATGTGATTATTAAAACCAAGCTCTGGTGATTAAAATAAAGATATAGCATTCTGCAATCCAGGCTGCATCTCACTCACAGGTGAAGAGATTTGTGAAAAATGGTGGACCTTAAGATTTAACCACAATAAGTGACACCTTGGGACGTAACGTATTGTGTTAATATAAGACTCCAACAATTAACTGGAAGTCAACCCCTGGTTATCAACAGATATTCATGGACTCATAAGCAAGGATAAGGAAGGGACAGTTACCATAATAGTGCGTATTAGAATATCGTTACCAAGGCAGGAGCATGGAGCTTCATGATTTTTTAGTGAAGAGTAGAATGCTTTTATAATTTAGAATTATTCATCCCAAAAGCTCATTAGCCATCACATTATCCAGTGCAACAAAATTTACCAAAGGAAAAAAATGGGAGGGGAATAGTTAGCCTATACTTCCAAGAGGGAAATATCAGAATTTGCAATTTTCCCATAAGTTATTATAGTGTTCTCATCCAATATTGTCCCCAGTGATACTGTGCTCTCTTCTCACGGGGCTGTAGGTGGTAATATTTCCCTGAGCCCCTCAAAGACAGGAGGATTCAGAATAACTATAATAAGATCTAGGGCTGTTTTGCAGGCTTCACTTTTTAACTAAAAAATAACTAGAGATGGATCAATTGTTCAAAGAATCCCTGATAACTCATAAGTATACTGACAAATCTCTGAGTCCTTTTGTTTTGACATGGTGACCCTGTCAAAATGACACTGGAATTCTAAAATTAAGAGTTCCACTGTCCAGTTATGATTTTTAAAATAGTGGGATATGAAGCCCTGAAAAATCTACTGTCTTATTAAAAACCTGAAAACACCGATGAATATTGTCAAAATCAACTTTTACAGGATTTCAAAAATGAATAAATGCTTGCAAGAATAAGTAATATTTATTCAAGAAATAATTCTGAATTAAATTATAAGCTTTACACTTGTTGTGCTCTAACTTGCCTTAAACCCATCCCCTTCTCTCCAGCTCTGCAGAAGCCATAAAAGCAGCATCCTTACAACCAGGGAAGTTATGAACAACATGCCTATCAGCCACTGAGGGGAGTATATTACAATTGGAACTTTCAAAAAAGCCCCATCCCCAAAGTATTTTCACTATGTGACTGTTATTGGAAGCAACCTGTAAAAGATGCATTCACAGGATTTATCATTATTTGGCCCTTCCTAAGAATTTACTCAGTGTTAAAAGTTTAATACCCAGGAATTTGAAAACAGCAAAAAAAAAAAAAAAGGAAATTGTTTAACATCATACATGCCTGGGTGGGGAAAAACAATAGGTTTGTCAAAAAAATTAAATACCTTGGAAGTCAGATGTCTATGGGAAGTTTTTAAAAAGCTCCAACATACTCCTTTGAATCTTGTGGGCCACACATATGTGCTAGTATATGCATATGCTTTGAAAAAACTTAAAAAAAACACAATCTTTTGCATATGTATGACTTGAGGTTCTGCATAGGAAAGAAGTGAAGGCTAAAAAAAAGTTGTGAACTGCTGGAGAATTGAAGAGATGTCTCAACACAACAAGAACCACTCGACAAAGGCTGGGAGACTGTAAGGTTACATCAATTAAGGAATTTTCTGTCTATTAAATGAGTATTAAGGATATCAAGTGGAGGCTTAAGCAGCCACATATGACAGGAAATACATGCTTTACACGATTAGACCAGAAAGATCACTAAACAAAGGATTGACAACAGCAAGAAACATCAGCAAACAGCAACAACATGAAACTCTGAAGTGTGTGTGTGGGAGAGAGTTCTGATTTACAATATTGTCATGCTATATTATTTAAATATAATACATTTAATATTAAAATTTAATACTTTAACATTAAAATATTATCTATTTTATATTGTATTATTTTAAATGTCTAGTTTCAACATAAAATTGTAAGACATATAATGAAACAGAAAGTGTTGCTTACATATTTTTTTCACACAGGAAAAATAACTATGATAGAAAAGGTGAATATGGAAGCCAAGATGTTTAGACTTTAAATTTTAAAAAGGCTATAAATCAGCTATTATAAATATGTTTAAAGAAATAAAAGGACTGTTGTCCAAATAATTAGAGGATATATGAGAATAAAATTCCATGAAATAGAAAAGTTCAAAAAAGAAAAATTATTTCTAAAAGAAGCAAATATAATTCTGGATTTGGGAATTCTAGAAAAAAAAGAGGCATAATCAGATAGAAAAAATATTTGAAGAAATAATGGCCACAAATTTTACAATTCGATAGAAAACATTAGTCTCTGCCTTCAAGAACTTTAACACACTATGAGTAGGATAAACTCAAAGAGATCCACCTTAGACAAATTATAATAAAACTATCAAAAGTCAAAGACAAAGGGAAAATTTTGAAATCAGCAAAAGAGAAGTAACTCATCATATACAAGAGATCTCCAATAAGATGAACAGCTAGCTTCTCATCAGAAATCACTGAGCCCAGGGGCAATGGGTTGATGTATTCAAACTGCTGGGAAAATAAACACTATATTAAAAAATCTGTATCTAGAAAAACTATCCTTAAAAGCACGCAGAAGAAATTAAGACATGTCTAGATAAATATGAAGAGCATTTTAACAAACTGTCTCATAAGAACTATTAAAACAAGCATTTCAGGCTGAAATAAAAGAAAAAGAAACAGTGGGAGCAACCCATATCCATACAGAAACATAAAGAGCATCTGTAAAGGTAACTACTTTGGCAAATACAAATAATATTATAAATGCATTTTTATTTGTAGCTCTATTTTCCTATTTTTAAAGACATCTGCATAAGCAATAATTATAAAACCCTGTTGATGGTCTTATAATTATAAAGAAGTAATTTGTATGATAATGGCATGAGAGGGGATAGGGAAATATTATTTTTTGGCAAAATTTCAAATAATATAGAAATTAAGTTGATGTTAATCCACACTAGATAATTTGAAGATAAGATGTATATTATAATTCTCTGAGAAAGCACAAAGAAAATAACTAAAAAATGTACTATACATACAAGAAATTAATATACTAGAGAATACCTAGATAGCAGTAATGGGGAAATTTTAAAATTGCATGAGTCATATGGAAAATAAAAAGCAAAATGACAGATGTAAAACCCACTTTATTAATGATTACATTAAATAAAAATGGGCTGAACACTCCATTCAAGAGACTGTCAAAATAAATTGAAAAAACGTAATTCAACTACATTTTATGTACAACACACTTTTAAAACATAAATAGGGTGAAAATAAAATATTAAAAAAGATGTATCATGCAAAATGTAGTCAAAAGAGAGCTGAAGAGGCTATGCTAGTATTAGACAAAACAGTGTTTAAGCAAAAAATATTATTAAAGAAAAATAGAGAAATTTTATAATAATGAAAATAATAAATTCAGAAGACATAAACATTATAAACATACATGCATCCAACAGAGTCAATAAAACATATCAATCAACAATAGTCAGGAATGGAGAGAAACAATTCACAAATAATAATTAGAGATTTCCATACCCTACTTTTAACAATTGATAGAAAAAGGAAGCATATTATCAATAAGGAAATAGAACACATAAACAATAATGTATGTCTGGTAGGTAGAATAATGAATTCTTGAAGATGTACACATGCTAAACTCCAGAGTCACTGTTTTTATTATGTTACATGACAAAGGGGAATTACGGTTGAAGATGAAATTAAGATTGCTAATCAGTTTACTTTAAGATGAATACGCTATCCTGGATTATACACATATGCCAAATATAATGTATTAGTTAGTTCTCACATTGCTATAAAGAAATATCTCAGACTGGGTAATTTATAAGGAAAAGGGTTTTAATTGACTCATGGTTCCACAGGCTGTATAAGAATTATGGCTGGGGAGGATTTGGGAAATTTACAATCCCGACAGACAGTGAAGGGGAAGCAGGCACATCTTACATGGCCAAAGCAGGAGAAAGAGAGAGGGGGTAGGTACTACACACTTTTTAAACAACCAGATCTCATACTAACACTATCAGGAGGACAGCCTCAAAGAGGAAATCCACTCCCATGATCCTATCACCGCCTACCAGGCCCCAACTCCGACACTGGGGATTACAATTTGACATGATATTTGGGTGAGGACACAGACCCAAACCATATTATTCTACATTGACCCCTACCAAATCTCATGTTCTACTCACATTGCAAAATATAATCATGCCTTCCCAGGAGTTCCCCAAAGCCTTAACTCATTCCTGCATTAACTCAAAAGTCCCAAGTGCCATCTGAGACAAAGCTAATCCCTTTTACCTATGAGCATGTAAAATGTATTTAAAAAGTTCATTACTTCCAAGTTAAAGTGAAGGTATAGGCATTGGGTAAATACTCCCTTTCCAAAAGTGAGAAATTAGCCAAAAGAAAGAGGCTACAGACCCCACGCAAGTCCAAAACCCAGCAGGGTAGTCATTAAATTTTAAATCTCCAAAACTACCTATTTTGATTGTATGTCTCACATGCAGTGCACACTGGTGAAAGCTATGGGCTCCCAAGGCCTTAGGCAGCTCCGCTTCTGTGGTGCAGCAGAGCTCAGTCCCCAAGCTGTTCTCAAAGGCTTGTATTAAGTGCCTGTGGCTTTTCCAGGTGCAAGATACAAGCTGTTGGTGTATCTACAATTCTGGGGTCTGGAGGATGGTGGCCCTATTCTCACACCTCCACTAAGCAGTACTCCAGAGAGAACTCTTTGTGGGGGCTCCAAACCCACATTTCCCCTCCACACTGCCCTAAGAAGAGGTGCTCCATGAGGGCTCCACCCCTGCAGTCGGCTTATTCCTGGACATCCAGGCTATTCCATATGTCTTCTAAAATCTAGGTGGAGGCTCCCAAGCCTCAACTCTTACACCCTGCATACCTGCAGGCTTAACACCAAATGGAAGCCAGTGAGACTTACAGCTTTCACCCTCTAAAGCAGCAGCGCAAGTACTTGGGCCCTTTGAGCCATGGCAGGAGCTGAAGCAGATGGGATGCAGGCAGCAGTGTCCTGAGGCTGCGCAGGGCAGTGGGGCCCTGGGCCTGGCCCCTGAAACAATTTTCCCTTCCTAGGCCTGTTGGCCTCTGACGAGAGGGGCTGCTGTGAAGGTCTCTGAAATACCTTCAGGGCCTGGTTTCCATTGTCTTCGCTTTTAGTACTTGCTTTCTGGCTATGCATATTTTTGCAGCTGGCTTTAATTTCTCCCCAGAAAAATGAGTTTTTTTTTTTCTACCACGTAGCCAGGCTGCAAATTTTCTGAACATTTACACTCTGTTTCCCTTTTAAATATAAATTCCAGTTTCAGGTCACTCAGTTTGCTGATGCATATGAGCATAAGCTCTAGAAGCTGCCAGGCCATTTAGTGAGTGCTTTGCTGCTTAGAAATTTCTTTCCTCAGTTACCCTAAATCATTTCTCTCAAGTTCAAAGTTCCACAGATCCCTAGAACAGGGGAACAATGCTACCAGTCTCTTTGCTAAAGCATAGAAAGCATGATATTTACTCCAGTTCCCAGTAAGTTCCTCATTTTCATCTGAGTCCTCCTCAGAGTGGACTTCACTGTCCATCTCACTATCAACATTTTGGTCACAACCATTCAGCAAGTCTCTATAAAGCTCCAAATTTTTCCTCATCTTCCTGCCTTCTTCTGAGCCCGCCAAACTGTTTCAGCCTCTTCTCGTTACCCAGTTCTAAAGTCACTTTCACATTTTCAGCTATCTTTATAGCAATGCCCTACTTCTGGTACCAGTGTTCTGTATTACTTAGTTCCCACATTGCTATTAAAATATCTGAGACTGAAACTTGGTAATTTATAAAGAAAAGAGATTTAATTGGCTCACAGTTCCACAGGCTGTACAGGAAGCATGGCTGGGGAGGCCTCGGGGCACTTACAATTATGGTGGAAGGTAAAGGGAAAGCAGGCATGTCTTAGATTGCAGGAGTGGGTTGAGGGGTAGCAGCAGGTGTTACATACTTTTTAAACAACCAAATCTCACAACAACTCTCAATCACAAGAACAGAACTGAAGGGAAATACCGCTCCCATGATCCAAGCACCTCCCACCAGGCTCGACCTCCAACAATGGGGATTACAATTTGACACGAGATTTGAGTGGGGACACAGAAACAAACCATATCATATAATCATAAGGGCTCTTAAAATTGGGTAAGGGTAGTACAATAACAGGTCAGAAGGATATAATGTGAAAATTCCACCTGCCATTGCTGGATTTGAAGATGGCAAAGAAAAACATCATGAGCAAGAAGTACAGGTAGCCTGTAGAAGTTAAAAAAATGACAAGGAAACAGCGTATTCCCTAGAGACTCCAGAAGGGAGTGAATCCCTGTCAACATATTGATTTTACTCAAACTCTGCCCTTAAACAATTGTTATATATTTGTGTTGTTTTAAGCCACTGAGTTTGTGGTAATTTTGTACAGCAACATTGGAAAACAAATGTGATAACTAGATCTAAAACATCTATACAGCACTCCACCCAAGAACAGAATACACACTCTTCTTATGTACATGTGAAACATTCTCCAGGCTATAAAATATGTTACATTATGGACAAATCGGTTATAGGAAAAGATTAAAATTATTATATAAAGTGTGTTATTCAACCACAATAAATGTATAAATCAATAATATAAAGATATTTGGGATATTATATATAGGTGGAAAGTAAACAGCAGCATTCTAAGTAATCAACAGGTCAACTAATAAAACATAGGTAAATTACTAAATAATTTTATATGAATAAAATCATATAGTAAAATTTATGTGATGTAGTAAAAGCAGTGCTTAGAGGATATTTATGACTATCAAAACCTATATTATAAAATCAGAAAGGTCTCAACCCATCCACCAAATTTTCCACCTAAAGAAACTAGAAAAATAAAAGCAACTCAGCCAAAGCAAGCAGAAGAAAAAAAATAATAAAGAGTATGATGTAAAAGTGTTGCATTTTCTTCACAACCTCACCAGCATGTTATTTTTTGATTTTTTAATAATAGCCATTCTGACTGGTGTGAGAAAATATCTCACAGTGGTTTTGATTTGCATTTCTTTAATCAGTCAGTTCAACCATTGTGGAAGACAGTGTGGTAATTCCTCAAAGACCCAAAAATAGCACTTCCACTCAACCCAGTAATTCCAATACTGGGAATATAACCAAAGGAATATAAATCATTCCATTGTGAAGACACATGCATGCGTATGTTCATTGCAGCACTATTCACATTAGCAAAGACATAGCATCAACCCAAATGCCCATTGGTGATAGACTGGATAAAGAATATGTGGTACATATATGCCACGGAATAGTATGCAGCCATAAATAGAATGAGATCATGTCCTTTCCAGGACATGGATGGAGCTGCAGGCCATTATCTTTTGCAAACTAACACAAGAACAGAAAAAGCAAATACCACATGTTCTCACTTATATGTGGGAACTAAGTGATGAAGACACATGGATACATAGAGGTGAACAACACACACTGGGGCCTTTCAGAGGGTGGAGGGTGGGAGGAGGGAGAGGATCAGGAAAAACAACTAATGGATACTAGACTTAATACCTGGGTGATGAAATAATCTGTAGAACCAACCCCCATGACTTATGTTTACTATGTACAAACCTGCACATCCTGCACATATATCCCTCAACTTAAAATTGAAGTTAACAAAAGAGTACAATGAAAAATAAATGAGAGAAAGAATAAAAGCACTAGAGAAATAGTACCAAGAAGCTATTTTGTAATAGATTGTCTAAGAAATAAAGAGAAAACCTCATATTATTGAAATTATGAAAGGCAGAACATGAATGCCGACCTTATAAAATTGCATTAGATTGTAAGATAATACTATAAACACTTGCTTGAAAAAAAAAACTTCAGGCCATGCACGGTGGCTCACGCCTGTAATCCCAACACTTTGGGAGGCCGAGGTGGGCGGATCATGAGGTCAGGAGTTCAAGATCAGCCTGCCCAAAGAGAAACCCCATCTCTATTAAAAATACAAAATATTAGCCAGGTGTGGTGGTGGGTGCCTGTAATCCCAGCTACTTGGGAGGCTGAAGCAGGAGAATCACTTGAAACTGGGAGGTGGAAGTTGCAGTGAGCAGAGATCACGCCATTGCACTTCAGCCTGGGTGACAGTACAAGACTCCATCTCAAAATAATAATGATAATAATTTTCAACCCAAAATGAAATGGACAATTCCACAATAAACTATTGAAACTGAATGATGAAGACATTCTAAAGCTGAATAAGCTTATAATAAATACAAAATAATTTTGTAATTAAAAAATACTTTGCACAAATTATGGCCAGGCCAGATGGTTTTACTGGTGAATACTATTCAACATTTAAAGAACACACAATAGCATACCTTAACTATTCCAAAAAAGGGAAATTCTAAACTCATTCTAAGAGGTAATTATTATTCCAATAGCAAAACCAGAAAAAGGCATGGAAAAAAACTCCACACCAACATTCCTTGTGAATATAGACATAAAAATTCTCAAGAAAATGCTAGCAATAGAATCATTAACATGTAAAATAGATTATACACCATGGCCAAATGAAGTTTTTCTCAAGAATGTTTCACCATCTTAAAATTAACCAGTATACTCTATGGAATAAAAGTCTTAAGATACTTAGAACTACAGTATCTTATCAATACACATAGAAAAATCATTCAGACAAAGCCAACACATTTTTCATGTGAAAACACTCAACACATTAGGAATAAAAGGAAAACTCCTCAACCTGTTTAAGGATATTTAAGAAAAATGCACAGATAACATCATACTTAACAATGGCGAAATATTATGTATTTGCCCCCTAAAGTGAGGAGAAAGACAAGATGCCCACTCTTGCCAGTTATATTCAACATTGTATTGGAGGTTCTAGCTAGATCATTAGGTTAGAATAACAAAGAACAAGGTAAGTCAGATCAGAAAGGAACAATTAAATTGTCTCATTTCGCAGAATGGCATGACATTCAATGTAGAAAAATCTAAGAACACCAAAAAATTACTATGAGAAGTATTATACACATTTAACAAGGTTGTACAATAACATTTTCATAAATGAAAGTTAATTGTATCTCTATAAATTGTTAGTGAAAATTATAAAAATGCAATGAGAACACATTTGTGTTTCAATAGAATTATAAATAAAAAAATACTTAGGAATAAATTTAACAAGAGAGGTGTAAGCCTTAGACACTGAAAACTATAGCGTATTGTTGAAAGAAATTAAAATCTACTAAGATGGCAACACAGTCCACGTTTATAAATTGAAGTACTTAATGTTGTTAAGATGACAATACTCCCAAAATAATCTACAGCGCCAATGCAAGCATTAATAAAATCATAGCTTTTTTCTAGCTTAAATTGATAAGCTGACCTTGAAATTTATATAAAATTGCAAGTGATTCAGACAACTCAAAACACCTTTAATAAAAAGAAAGAATAAAGTCAGTGGGTTCACACTTTCTTATTTCAGAACTTACTACAAACTAGCAAATGACATTAATCAAGATACTGTAGTACTACTATAAGGATGGACATATTGATCAATGGATGGTAACTGAAAAGTTCAAGAGCCTATACATTTATTATAAACTGTTATTTGACAAGGTACAAGATAATTTAATGGTGGGAAATAATCTTTTCAACAAAAAAAACTGGTAGGACCAAAGGAGAGGTACAGGCAAAAAAAAAAATTAGACCCTGTTCTCATATCATACATTAATATCAACACAAAGTGAATCATAGACGTATACATAAAAGCTAAAACCATAAAACACGTGGAAGAAAATGTAAATTTAGTGACCTGAGCTAGGTAATGCCGTTTAGAGTATAAGTGATAAAAACAATAGATCAATTGGACTTTAGCAAACTTAAAAATTTTGTATTTAAAGGGCACAATAAAGAAAGTGAAAAATCAGCTCATGGAATGGGAAAAAATATTTATAATAATATATCTAATAAGGGACTTACATTCAGAATATATATTTTTAAGTCCTATAATTCAAAATTAAAAAGACAAATAATCAAATTAATAATGGGTAAAATAGCCGGGCGTGGTGGCTCATGCCTGTAATTCTAGCACTTTGGGAGGCCGAGCTGGGTGGATCACGAGGTCAGGAGATCGAGACCATCCTGGCTAACACGGTGAAACCGTCTCTACTAAAAATACAAAAAAATTAGCCCGGCATGGTGGAGGGCACCTGTAGTCCCAGCTACTAGGGAGGCTGAGGCAGGAGAATGGCATGAACCAATGAGGCAGAGCTTGCAGAGAGCCTAGATTGCGCCACTGCACTCCAGCCTGGGGGACAGAGTGAGACTCTGTCTCAAAAAAAAAATAAAAATAAAAAATAAAAAAATAAAATAATGGGTAAAATATTTGAATAGTGATTTTTCCAAAGAAGATATACAGATGGTCAATAAACACATGAAAAATGCTAAGCCTCATTCATCATTAGGGAAATATAAATCAAAACCATAATAAAATACTTTTTCATACCCACTAGTATGGCTAAATTTTAAAAAGAACAATAATAGTAAGTGTTGGCAAGGATGTAAACAAATTAAAACCTCATATATTGCTAGTGGAATTTTAAAATGATACAATCCTTAAGAAAACAGTTTAACAGTATCTCAAAATATTATATATGGAGTTTCCACATAACACTGTAATTTTATGCTTAGGAATATATACCCAAGAGGAAAAAATGTATTTTCACAAAAACACCTGTGCACAAATATTCATAGCAGCATTACTTGTAATAGCAAAAAAGGTTTAACCATCCAGTGTCCACCAGGCAGTGGATGGATAAACAAAATGTGCCTTATCTATATAATAGAACACATTATTTAGCAATAAAATGAAATCAGGTACTGACATATTCAAAACAGTTTTGCCTAGAATACCTGTAAAAACAGCAGTTATAAATGACTAGATATTTTATAATTCCATGTATATGAAATGTTCAAAAAAGACAAACGCATATGGAAAGCAAGTAGATTAGTCTACTAAAGTTAAGGGAAGGGGGAATGAGAAGCTTAACCATCCAGAGGGCCTTCTAAAGACAAGTCACCAATGTCTAACTGAAGCAGTCCAGTGCCTCTGCTTCATAGCTGTGTTCTTTTCTATCCCTTTCATGAAATTTGCCAATAGAATTAGATGTTAGAATTTTTTAATAGGAATGTCTTCTATTTACGGTAAGTATATCAACTGGCTGCTATCAAAGTTTCATATATACATTGGATTCTTTAACCACTCGGAGTTTAAGGGTGCCTACTCCCATTCATTAGAAAATCAGTGTATAACTTTTGACTCCCCAAAACTTTCTTAATAGCCTACTGTTGAAGCTTTACTGACTAGTCAATTAACCATATCTTGTATACAAATATATACTGCATTTTTATAATAAAGGAAGCTAGAGAAAGAGAATGTTATCAAAATCTATTCATTAAATGGATATGGATCACCGTAAGGGATCACACTGAATAGATTGAAGAAAAGGAAGAAGAAGAGAGGTTGGTCTTGCCGTCTCAGAGGTGTCAGAGGTGGAAAAAAATCTTCATATATGTGAACCTGTATGGTTCAAACCCGTGTGTCTGTGTGTATGTGTGTGTGTGTTTACATATATATACACACACATATATATACATACACACACACATATATGGAAGTTTATTGTTCTCCTGTTAAACTATTTTAATATTTCCTAAGGAAATTATTTGCACATTTCATCTCAAGCCATAAACAACTTATTTTTTGTTGTTCATACGATACTTCGTTTATTTCAGCTGTGATGTTTTTACAATTCCCCTTTTATGGGAATTTTACTTCTGAGAGATTCAATGATTTTCCCAGAGCCAAACATTTATCTGTGACGTACTTCTACCTATCATTTTGTTAATTATTTAATTTAAATTCGATATCCAATTTGGTTACTTCTTAAGGCCAAATCCTACCTGATTTTTAAAGTCACGAGTTTGGGTCTCTTGACAATAACAAGGGTTATACATGAGCGAGTATGACTAATACCTGAATAACACTTTCTTATTTCATCTAAGAGAGTTAGATGAAAGGGTTGTTGATATTTGAAAGAAGTAGTCAAATGATTCCACTAACTAGGAAATTAGTAACAATGATAAACAAATGAAATCTCCAAATCCTTCAGAGATTCTAAACTTACTTTTTAGTTACTTGAATTGACAGTGTTATTTTCCAAGTAAAGAGAAAGCGTAACTATAAGAGTGTGAGGCTTTGATCTTGTGCATAAATTTTGTTGTTTTGTTTTTCAACTTTTCTTTTAGATTCAGGGTCCATGTGCAAGTTTGTTAACTGGGTATATTGCATGATGCTGAAGTTCGGAATACGAATCATCCTGTCACCCGGGTACTGAGCATAGTACCCAATAGTTTTTCAACCCTTACGCCCCTCCCTAGCTACCCCCTCTAGTAGTCCCCAGTGTCTACTCTTGTCATCTTTAACTCTCATTTTTAAGTGAGAACATGTGGTATTTGTCTGTTCCTCTGTTAATTTGCTTAGGATAATGGGTATCAAGTCCATCCACAGGTAAACAAATATTTTTTGACAAGAGTTCTTTTTTTTTTCTCAGCAGGAACAGAAAAAAAGGCAATATATTTTTAATTAGGAAAACACGCAAACTACAGTGTAGACTTCCAAGATAGGCATAATGTTATGAAATTATGAGATAAAGAAAAATATGCTGAAATTACTCCCTTTCTTTTTTAAGTAATTATAAGATCTGTAATGGAGATTGATGGTGAAACTTATCTGGAGGTTATACTTTTAAATTACCAGATTAAAAGCGGTTATGGAATACTTTTAAAATCTAGATGTATTTGGAGCTCATTTGCTCAGCCCATTTTCATCATAATAGGATTTCAAAAGTGAGTGCAGGGGAAGAAAGGACCCATTACAGAGAGGTCACCTGATGCAGCCCTAATGACAATACTGTATTGTTCCTTTTAGCACTGTCTGGAGGGCTTTGTCCAATCTCATTTGAAATTTGCACACATTTCACCTTCCTCATTATTTTTAGCTTGAATACCTATTTTCTAATGGCAGTAATGAGTAGTCTGCCAACACAGTCATCTTCCTCTAAAGATGAAAATAGCAGTCTTTTGGTATGTGGGGCAAAGAGCAGAATTGGTTCACAGTTTCTAGGAGATAAATGAGTAGCTGAAGTTGTACATCTATTTTTGAGTAGAACTCAACTCCCTGAGACAAGCATTATTTTAAGGGAATGAAGAAAACAAAGAGGAGATTCTGGAAGCTAGATAGCGTGTTGTTTGAGCTATTTCAGATAGCACTGAGGATACCTTGGAACCACAGTCACCCGCATCTCTCCTCTGGTTTTCAGATGTGGAAAACATGGAGAAAACTAACTTTGCTTGAGAGATTGTGCTAATATTTGTTATGTTTCAATGTGTGAAAGCATTGTTTCAAAATATGATATCAGTTAGTGCTAGGATTCACTATTATAAATTAAATCAAAATTTCCCAGCTTTCTTCATTAGTAATTATATCACAGAGACATCAAGCCTAGAAATACTGTAGAAAAATATAAAAGCCCAACACGATGTCTCTCACTATTTCTTCATAAAGGCCAGCTATAGCTAAGGCATCTTTTGTAGTTATTATTATTTTTTATCATTTGACGGTTTCTTCTGCAGCCTACCAGCAAGAGCCTCTTGTTTCTACAGGCACCTTTTGATTTCACATTGCCATTTTCTCACGACTCAAGTGAGCACTACCATCTGCCGAGGCGATGGGTCCCTGCTAACCACAGCAGTACAGTAGGCACAGGAAGAAGCAAGGTACAGAGAGGTGAGAAGAAAGCTCTGGATAAAGGCACAGACGTTGCTGAGTCTTCCTTTAGGAGTATTTTAGACAACATCTTCCACAGGCAGGACTTATCTGTATCTGGCAACATACCAGATACATACCTCTCATAGAAGATAGCTATGATACTCTGATGATAAACAACTTGGATAAATCAAATCCTGCATGAATTAATGTTAAAGATCAGGGAGAAGAGACATTGGAAATGTATGAATAGCATATGTGATGAACCAAACTGAATGCATCAAAAAAAATAGGAAATTTTTAAGGAAAGGAAGAGAAATTGATGTCTAGCATTAGACTAATAAGGCCTGATAGCCATTGTGAATCCAACATCAAATGTATCAAAAAATCATACTGTACCCCATAAATATATAAATTTACTATGTGTTAGTGATGAGGAATTTTTGCTCCTTAGTTCAGCTAAAAATGCGTTCTTGTCAAACAACCAGAAAAGATTAGGCACATGGACACATTGAAGGGTGAGGAAAGCAGAAAAAAAGGAGTACTGCTAATAGGCTCCTTCGTAAAATGGCTTTATGTGTTTTCTCTTCTCCTTTACACAGCATCTGTTATCTGGAGACTGGCTGCTCTCAGTGAAAAAAGAAGGAGTACTGCTAATAGGCTTTCACCTCACAGCCTGAATGCCAGGCCACCACACAAGAACTGAAGAGGCCAGGCTCCTCCCCATTCTCCCAGTGTGCAGGTGGGCCCCTCATCCATTGCAGGCATGTGCAGAAAAGACCCTGGGCAGGTTCCCTCATCTGCACAAAAGCATCTGATGTAAACACTTGTGGGGTGAGTCGGAGATTCTCTGGGGACCCTCCCTCATCTGACTCCTGCATCTATCACTACCATTACCTCAAAAACAATAAAAAAGTTAAATTGGCATTTTTTTTTAACCTAAAGGCTAGTGTATCTGGCAACATACAAGATACATACCTCTCATAGAAGATTAAAAGCTTTTTCGTACCAGGGATTGTGTCTTTCACTTTGTATCATTCAACCTAACACAGTGCTTAGCACCCAAAAACTACTCAAAAAACTTAGCCAAGTTCATTATATTCTAAATATTAAATAAATCACACACATACACATATATGTAAAGCTGTCAAAGACCGATTTCTCTCTTCAGTAAGATTGTCATACATAATGAAATGTAGTAAAAATGTTCAGTCATAACTGTCTTCATTCCCTTCTGCTTACAGTTATTTAGAAAACAATATTTGTATCCTAATGCCCATTGAACTCAAGCTAGAAAAATATTAAGAGTGAAAGATTGAAAAGTGAAATGATTTAAGTCAAAGGAGGGGGGAAAATGAGACTTTAATGAATGTAAGTATGTTAGGGTTTAGGTTTGTATTCTAGAAACAAGCCAGACAGTTTTCTATTGTGCCTATATATTATATAAAGAGCTCTAAAATATGCATAAGGTACTAAGTGTCTTTTGAAATATAACAAGAAAAAAATATTTTGTGTGGCTGGAACAACCACTCAGGTAAATAAGATAAGACTTGAGACTTCCAGGAGACACACTCCAGTAACAAAAGATGTTCCTTAAACTGCCTCTATGGGAGTTAATTTGGAGGAGGAGGGAAAAATGAGTAGTCTGAAAAGAAGAATAGGAAGGAGACAGGATAATTGGGGGAATATAAATAGCAGGAAAAACAAAATAGGCACTTTGGAGCACTACCCTTGATATGTATCAACTCTGACTATTTCTGTGTCACCCTACCTACCCAAGATTCAAATTCCTGGGAAAGAATCAGGAGATTTCAGATTTGGCTTGGGGAGTACAGGGAGCCTCTACTGACAGTCTTACCAAGACTTAGAGTAGAAGAGAGTTGTACTTCAAAGGAAATTTTAAAAACTTGTTAGCAATAGCTGGAGGAAAGGGTGCTGTACAAATCTAAGTATCAGATGTTCATTACACATAGTTATGGCACGAAACTATTACTAGTGACTACTTAATAATATCCACATGAATAATGCACTTTGTGGCAGGTTCTGTCTTAAGACTTACTGATATTAACTCATTTAACCCTCACAAAAACTTTCTTTATTCCTCTTTTGCAGATAAAGACACATGTACTTAGAGAGAAAGAGTTGATTTAAAGTTACACAGCTATGTAGCAGCAGAAACAAAATTTGAGTCCAGGATACCTGGCCCCAGAATCTACCTCTACTTCACATGGCTTCTCAAATACATGCTGCCTGGAAAATAGAGCAGCCAGTCTCCAGCTAAGAGATGCTGTGTAAAGAAGAGAAAAAACGTAAAGCCATTAAACCATTTCATTATACCACTTTATTGCATTTATTGAAAGAGTGTTTGAACTTTCATTTCATGAATCAGAATTCAATTCTTGGCCTCAATTTCATGAAAGCTTGGAAGATTAAAAATCTCACTTTTATACATGAAAGTTAAGTGCTTAACGATTCAGTGCATATAATCAAGGTTTGGAGTTTTTCAAAAGTCCACTATCTTCTCCGTCAAAAATCAGAGACTTCAGTGCCTAAATGTTATCAAAAGATTCCTTTTGTCATTTATTCAAAGATTAGAACTTCTTGCTTGAAGTAGGTGAGATCACTAACACCATATCATTTCAGTTCCCTCATCACAATATTCAACAGAATCACATAATTGGAAGCTTAGCCAAGCATAACAGGCATTAACAGGTGATGGTACAATCAGATACCACTCTTATCTTCTTACTTGCAAACCCAGGCCATTTCACACTGGAAAGGATTTATAGTCTCAGAAGGCACACAAAAAAAAAAGCAGCCCGTGAAAAGAGAGTCTTCACAAAGGCAGGGATATCAATACCCTCTAGCAACTGCAGCGATAAGCAGAGTTCAATTTACCCAGGTCCTATGCTGGGCGAAAAAGCAGATGATGTCAAATAAGAGCCTTTCATTGGACTGGCCCCTAGAACAGGCAAATAGCAAAGCTTATGAAAAAAATAATTTGTGACTAACCATTAAACACTGGCTACATCAATTATCCATTAACTCTCATTTGCTAGCAATGAAATTTTGTTATAAAATGGGACCTGTATTTTGAAGACTCCACTCCCAAATCTGTGGCTTTAAATGAAATAAATCACTGATAACACTGATGCAGAAGCTTAATATTAACTAAAAATAACTTCATTATTTTCTCAAAAACTATTCATCATGGACTTCTATGATCGTTATGATCATCTTATTTTTCTATTCCATATCCTATTAGTAGCAGAAAGTGTAGTAGAGTCTTAGAAAATCCATACTTAGATTAAGTATTAGAAAGCCATTTGAGGCAAGATACCTCATCAAAATTATTGCCATATAAAGGAAAGACACTAATCCACATCCATTTGCAGATTCAGCAAATGTCAATGCAGAGAAAAGTCTAAAAGAAAGTCACTATGGGGAGGAGACAATGGACTTAATTATAGTCCAACTTTACAGTAAAGTTGTCTAGTCCGATTAAACAGAGAGAGAGATGCCAAGGTATTATGGTTTCTTTCTATATTATTTACCTCATATGACAAACTTCGAGATGAAGATTAAGAACATTCCTTGTTTATAAAGGAGAGAAAAGATTGTTTGCAGGGAAACTACCAATTCAACAACTGCAGGGACACCACCTAACTGCACACATTTTCAATCTCTTGTTCAGAGATTGAACAAGAGTGTTTGAATCTCCCTAACAAATTTATTGATTTCATGGTACTTCCTGCCATGCTCCCAAGGAGAGAAGTAACCATTCTCTCTCCAGAAAGGGTTCACCTTGTTTTAGAATTTCTTTCATGTAGTTTTTTCTGCATCCTGGTCTGACAGTTTTTTTGAATTTTTTATGTTTTTGGAGTTTATCTAATATGTTTTCATTGTTAAGTCTCTTGTGACTTTGTACCTCTTAAAGGGACCAGAAACAACAATTATAATTCTAAGTGATGTTTTCATTATTACAGAAGTTCACATATATAGAAAATCAACTTTTTTAATGCCTTAGATGGGTATCTGTCTAAATGCAAAGTGAAATAGATCAAATCCTTAGATTTTTTTTTATTTCTTCTTGTATTCACGGTAATGACAACTTAATAAGAACTGAATGTCAAACACTTCACCAAGAAAAGGTTTTTAGGGCTTTATCTTGTAGTTAGTTTGGTATTTTATAACACATGGAGACTGTCCTATTAAAATAGTAGGTAGGTAGGTAGGTAGGTAGGTAGGTAGGTAGGTAGGTAGGTAGAATGATCAATCAATCAATCTAACACTCACAGCATCCTCCCGCATCGTTCTTTATCTTTTCTTAATATTTCTTACCTAAATTGATGAGATGATGTTATCCATAAAATAAACAGAACTATAGTTTTAAAGTTATATCAGGGACTCAGTTTATATTTGATGCAACTTAAATATGGTGAGAAAACATACAGACCAAACTTTACAGTTAGACCAACTGCTTAATTTCTCTAAACCTTCAGTTTCTTCATCTGAAAACTGAGAGTACATTTTTTAAATTTAATTCTCAAAACTGGATAATAGGAGTTACTATGACTGCCGGCATAGAATTTTGGGCAAGCTAGACCCTCAAACATATTAATTAGAGTGCTTAATATATATCACACGATTACTAAGTTCCAAGCCATATGCTGAGTGGTTCACATGCATGATGTCCTCTTTTCAGTGTAACAACCCTGTGGGATATAAACTCTAACTATTCTCAATATTCAGTGAGGAAATCTCTCAGAGATAACTTGCTTAAGGTCACATAGCAAGAAAATAGCAGCACTAGTGACTCTAAGGATAGACTTATAACTACAATTCTATACTGTGCTCCATATACCCTTACCATTGTTTCCCTCTCCATTCCCTTTTGATGCATGATGAACCTGTGTTGGCCTGAATTCTGCTCCAAACAATATGGCATCATCACAAGAAGATTCCAAGATAACACTACAAAATTTTCAACTCCCTTCTGCATAATCTCACCAAATAATTATTCCCTGCCATTTCAATTGCATATCCTTCAGATGATCAGAAAGCTCTTTCACTTCTATTCTCTCATTCTTCCTCTGTCATCCTTCCCAAGCCATCAATACTTGGTCTCTTTATGCAGAAGTCAACTATTTGACTTTATCATTTTGCCTCTTCTCTCTCCTAACCATTTTCTTCCTCATCAGCTGACAAGTTTTAGCTATAGCAATGCTTGGAGAGAAAACCTACTTCTAATGAAAGATTCACAGACATCTTTACTTCCATTTAAGGAGAGAGATACTGATTTCTGAATTCATAATACACAATGTCCCCAAATATGGGGAAAAAAGTTTCAAAAAACTATAGTGTCACTGTGCTTAAAGCAGTGATCACAGATACACGGTTGCATGAACTATAAGTGTAGTGGAAGATGGAACCTAAATCAGATTTCTGGATGCAGAATCACAGAATAGATGACTAGAGTGCATTGAACCACAGGGAGCATTGTGCTACTCATCTCCAGAAATATTTTAATAAAACTTTCTTGATGAAGAAAAAAAAAACTTCATAACACAAAAGTTGAGAATGCTGCCAAAGTTAGCTGTCTCAATTCTATGAAGTTTTAAAAAGTAAATATCAAATGAATTAGGTCCCATTTGTCAATCTTTGTTTTTGTTGCAATTGTTTTTGAGGACTTGGTCAAAAATTCTTTACGAAGGCCAATGTCCAGAATGATATTTCCTGGGTTTTCACTGAAGATTCTTATATTTGACATCTTACATTTAAATCTTTAATGCATCTTGAGTTAATTTTTGTATATGGTGAAATGAAGGGGTCCAGTTTTATTCTTCTGCATATGGCTAGCCAGCTATCCCAGCACCATTTATTAAATAGGGAGTGCTTCCTCCATAGCTTATTTTTGTCAACTTTGTTGGAGTTTAGATGGCTATAGGTACGCAGCTTTACTTCTGGGTTCTCTAATCTGTTCCATTTATCTATGTGTCTGTTTTAGTACTAGTACCACACTGTTTTGGTTACTATAGCCTTATAGTATAGTTTGAAGCCAGGTAATGTGATCGCTCTGAATTTGTCCTTTTTGCTTAGGATTGCTTTGGCTATTTGGGATATTTTTGGTTCTAAATGATTATAATTGCTTTTTTCTAATTCTGTGAAAAATGACATTAGTAATCTGATAGGACTGGTGTTGAACCTGAAGTTTGCTTTGAGCAGTATGGCCATTTTAACAATATTAATTCTTTCAATCCATGAGCATGGACTGTGTTTTCATTTGTTTGTGTTCTATGACAGAAAACACTTCTTTCAGCAGTGTTCTGTAGTTCTTCTTGTAGAGATCTGTCATCTCCTTGGTTAGATATATTCCTAGACATGTTATCTTTTTGTGGCTATTGTAAATAGAATTGCATTTTTTTTTGGCTCTCAGCTTGAACGTTGTTGGTGCTTAGAAATGCTACTAGTTTTTAATGTTAATTTGATATCCTGGAACATTACTGAAGTCATTTATCAGTTCTAGGAGCCTTTTGATGGAGTCTTTAGGGTTCTTTAGGTATAGAATCACATCAGCAGGAAAGAGATAATAGACTTTTTTTTTCCTATTTGGGTTTCTTTTATTTTTTTTTCCTGCTTGATTGCTCTGGCTAGGATGTCCAGTATTATGTTGAATAGGAGTGGTAAGAATGGGCACACTTGTCTCGTCCCTGTTCTTAAGGGGAATGTTTTCAGGTTTTCCCATTCAGTATGATGTTAGTTGTAGGTTTGTCATAGGTGTCTCCTATTACCTTGAGGTATGTTCCACTTATGTCTCATTTGTTGAGGGTTTTTAATCATGAAGTGTTGTTGGATTTTCCTAAAAGCTTTTACCACACCTATTCAGAGTATCTGAAGGAACTGTAAACAGAGAAAAAACACAACTTGCCAAGTGGGAGAAAATATTTACAAATTATGCATCTGACAAAAGTCTTATACAGAATCTATAAGGAATTTAAACCAATATACAAGCAAAAAGCAAATAACCTCATTACAAATGGACACTTCTCAAAAGAAGACATACAAATGGCCAAAAAACACATAAAGAAATACTCAACATCACTAATCATCAGAAAAATGCAAATCAAGACCATAATGTGATAGCATATTACACAAGTCAGAATGGCTATTGTTAAAAAGTCAAAAATTAACAGTTGCTGGTGAGGCTGCAGAAAAAAGGGAATATTTATAAACTGTTGGTGGCAATGTAGATTAGTTCAACCACTTTGAAAAGCAGTTTGGCAATTTCTCAAAGAACTTAAAACAGAACTAACATTCAACCTAGCAATCCCATTACTGGGTATATATCCAAAGGAAAATATATAATTCTACTAAAAGACATATGCACTCGTTATGTTCACTGCAGTACTATCCACAATAGCAAAGATATGGAATCAACCTAGGTGACCATAAATGGTAGATTAGATAAGGAAAATGTGGTACATATACACCATGGAATACTACACAGCCATAAAGAAGAATGAAATTATGTTCTTTTGCAGCAACAAGAATGCAGCTGCAGGCCATTATCCTAAGTGAATTAACACAAGAACAGAAAACCAAGTACTGCATGCTCTCACTTACAGATGGGAGCTAGGCATTAGGTTCACATGGACATAAAGTTGGCAACAGTGGTCACTGAGGAGTACTAGTGGGGAGATAGGGAGGGAGCAAATGCTGAAAAAGTAACTATTGAGTACTGTGCTCCAAACCCGGGTGTTAGGATCATTCATACTCTAAACTTTAGCATCACGCAATATATTCATGTAACAAACCAGCACATGTACCCTCTGAACTTAAAATAAAAGTTGAAATTATCTTAAAAAATAAAGTAAACAAGAAAGCAGAGAGGCATCCCTGGCACAGTGTAAACCCATGCTTAGCTCAAAAGGCATTATATATGATTTGAAGCTACAAATGGCACATAAATAACCAACTCCTTTCTGGAAAGGCTGAGCCTGGAAGACAAACATAAACACAAGAGAAAAGAAGACAAGCAAAAGTGACAGAGTGGCAGCCAAGGCTGAAAAGATAGTGTTTAACCTATAATTCAGTAAGCTCTTGCTACGTATCAGGCACTGTGTGTGTGTCTGTGTGTGTGTGTCTGTGTGTGTGTGTGTGTATGTATATGTGCATATATATGTATATATGTACATAATCTCGTTTAATTTTACAGCATTGTGAGACATGACATATTAAATAAATCATACAGGTGAAGGAAATCAGGTTCAGACTACTAAATAGCAGGCCCAAGATCATTATTTATTAGGAAAATGCTCATCACAATGAAATAAAATCTTATACCCACTACTAGTGTGGCAAAAATTAAAAAGACAATAAGACAATACCAAATACGGTTGAGGATGTGGAACAACTATGTTTTTAAAGTAAGGCAGTATTTATAAGGTAAAATATACATTTGCCCTAAGACCTTTCATTTGCACTCTTAAACATTCACCTACAAGAAGTAAAACAGTATTTTCACAAAAAATTGTAAAATAATACTTATGGAAGCTTTATTTATGGTATCCAAACTTGTAAAAAATGTAAATCAACCAGAAAATTGTTAAATATATTGTAGTATATTTATGAAATTTTATGCAGCAGCTAAAAAAATCAAACAAGTGACAAATCTACAACAAAGGTGAACTCAAAAAACATTATTTTTGAAAAAAAGATATAAACTATGTAACTGCATTTACATTAATTAGAAAGAACTAATATAAAGTGATAGGAAATCAGAACAGTGGTTTTCTATGGCACGGGATTGCCCTTGGTGTGGTAGCTACAAAGGGATTTAAGGGAACTTCCTAGGGTGATACAAATGTTCTATATCTTGACTGAGTAGAGATTACACGTACATACATTTGTCAAAGCTCATTGAACTGTACAATTCCTTTCTGTACAGCTCACTTTATATATTTTTCTTCCTTTAAAAAATGCTAATATATTTGAATCAATTAGCATACCACCTGGTGCAATATGCTCAATAATGATCAGTTATTGTTATTCACATCTAACTCTTGGTATGGGATGGGGAGAGAAGATATGTTAAAGATATGTAAGTAATTCCTCAAGTGGGCCAAGACTATAACCAGAAAAGCAAACCAAATCTCTAGTATTCATTAACTAAGAGTTGGATCATCCCCATACACAGTAATTCTTACACATCCTTTAAAACAAAGATGTTATTATCCTTTTCATTGGAAAATAAAATATTTCTCTCAATTTGGCACTTTTATTTAACAAAAAATACACAAAAATTATTTTCAAAATTAATATAAATTATTACTCTTCATTTCACTTGTTAGGCAATTCTTGTTTCCTGAAAAGCATGATTACTCTTGTGCCATTCCTACATTAAAAATATGATCAATTCCATTAAATCAGAGAACATTATCTGTCAAGGATATTAATATAACATTTATTTATAAGAAGCGGTTTTTGAGCTCTCATACTCTTAATTTTACAAGTGTGCTACAACTTTAGAAAATGTCCCATAAGGCCTATGCTTATAAATGCAAGAAATAAAGAAAGAGCAGGGAGGGGAGAGGGAAGGAAGGAGAGAGGGGAAGGAAAGAAAGTGAAAAGATGGAGGGAGGAATGAAGAGAGAAAGAAAGGAAGGAAACAGAAACAGTATCACTTACCTATGCAAAATTACAAATTACAGAATTAATAAATGAAATAAAAGATATCCAGCCAGAAAAAAGACCAGATGGAATTTATTATAAATAATTCAAACAATATAAAAAGCGTTAAAGATCTCTATCTCCAAGGGTGGGGTCCTCATGGAGCATGTCAAAAGAAAGTATGATGATGTCATCAAGGAAACATTCATTTCAAGAAATACAGTATTTCCTGGACTCAGGCTAAGATCAGGGATTAGTAATCCAGTTTAAGTCAGGATTGTGGGGAAAAAACTGGCTGAGAATTTATGTGGAAAAAATCTGGCTGAGAATTTCTGTACACTGAAAATTCCTTTTAATCACCTCAAAGCTAGAAATGATATATGTGTAAACACAGTATGTGCCACATGCCCCAATATAGTTCATATTATTAAAGTGTTAGCTAACAGCGTAGCTTCCTCATGAGTCCAGACCCAGGGTTTGACTCAATGGTAATGGAAATGATGGAAGGGAGATAGCTCTTTCACAGCATGGCCCAGCACAAGCATTTTACAGAGCAGCAAGTCAGCCAAGTACCAAAGCAGATAGCTCTGACTCCACAGCACTGTCATATGTTAGAGATCACATATAGGGAGCTTATGCCTGACAATCTGCCCTTGAAGGATAATCTTACGGATGCCCCAGTGACATTTATAACTGAATTTGTCAAAACTCACCAAAGCGACATGACCAAAACGCCAGTTCACCCTTTATTAGGCAGCACCTCAGGAGATGCGAGAATTCCTCAGAAGAGTTTGGCATCATATCTACCTTGCTAACATGATACACTTACAACCAGGACTGTGGTAGGTGGACTGTCAGGGTAATTACCTACACGATGCTATGTGGAGTCTCTCCTTTTTACTCCAAATGCAATAGCAAGACAATCCCAAAATACATGTGGAGAAAGATCCTGAAAGAGAAGCAGTGACAAGTTTCAAGCACAGGCCTGAAGCCAGACCTCAGAGGTGAGCAAGATGTGAGAAAACTCCATGAGGTCAACCTAGAGGAGAGGTCTACCATCAAGAGAGTGGGGAGCAGATGAAACCCAATTTGACTGAATCTCTGTGTAATGGGCTGCTCTGCACTCAACTGATGGTGGAGAAGACAAAGGCTGCAGGAATCTAGCAGGCTCATGTACTATAATCAGCCTTAACCCCCTGCACTCTGTGAATAACCCCATTCTAAGAAAGAGAATGCTACTTTCATCAAGCCAAAGGACAATGTTTCCATCTATGGTTGTGATAATGGAGTGAAGGATTTGAATGCTGACATGGGGAAACTCTGAGATATGATGCTCTGTGTATTCTCTCAAAGGATAGAAAAAAAATAAAGATAAGAAGCTTAATGAAGCCATACATGAGTTTTGGATTATAGCAGGGATGCAAATTCCAAAATGATATTCTGCAGAGCTTCAGCTGGAATGTTGTGAAATCAAACATAAAATAGATTCACTAAGACTGGCAGAAATTGTGTAGAAAAGCAAACCACATCTCATGAATCCAATTAATGACAATTTGAAAAAATATTTTTTAAAAAATATGAAAAAATATTCCCTAAATGAATTTTATATATTTTATTACATTTTGATACAGTTTAATAATGCTATATATGTAAATACAGAAATCATTGGTAGTAAAGTATTAAGAAAAACTCACTTCCTAGAAATATTATGTTAGAACTGCTTATTCTTATGTTCATAAGGCAGTAGATGGTATTACCCAACAAGGTTCTTCAGTAATAAAGTAAATAAACCAACTATGAACAGTAAGCAAGAAACCAAGTATAGTGACATTTCTGCTTAATAAGCACTTAAATTTTTAAAAAGTCACCCCGAGTTTCACAACCTGACTATAACCACTGTGGACATTTTGAACATTCTTTCAGACATCATTCGGAAACTGTATGTATCTATAAAATGTACATCTGCAATTTTATACACAGAGAATACTGCAATTGCACCTGCTGTTTGGTGGTCTGGTCCTTTTCAATTAATAATATATTATGGACATACTTTGAAGTTACTACATGAACTTATATGTCTTTAGTTTTAATGGCTATATAATCTTGCATTGATTTTCTTAACTCAGCTTTCCTCTACAAAGCTCCTACTCAGGAAATTTTAGGTTCTTCTCAGTTTTCTGGAATTGTGAAGTATAATAAGTGGAATATCCTTTTATATATGCCATCATACATTTAGTTATTCCTCTGGAAAAGAGATTAATCAGTTTTTGCACAAAGTGCAAAATCTGTTGCTTGAAAAGCACTGAACTGTGAATCAGGAAACCTAAAGTCTAGAGCTAGTTTTCATTTCTTTCACTTCCTCTTTTCTGTCTCAGTATGCATGAAAGAAAATAAGAGAATAAGAAAGATGTCTAAGACTCTTCTAAGCTTTAAACTTCAACTCAACAAGTAAAAATATTCTTAAAAGTAACATATTAAAAACCATTTATATCTGGTTTTATCATGTATTTGTATGAAATTATAAATTTTAATCCATTGATTTAATCAAATACTTTTATTTATTCTCTCATAGGCTCTGTATGTTTGTCTAAATGATGGATGAAAGTCAGAATATATATTTTGTAGTTATTTGCATGTGAAAACCTTAGCAGAGGATGTGGCATGTAAACCACAAACTACTTCCAGTCTTAGATTTTGTTAGGATTTTAGTAACATGATAGATTTTTTAAATACATAAACATAAACATTTCCTATTTTGTCACAAACAACACTACAAGGGTATTAAACTATACACAGACCTTCGGCAGGTAGTTGAAGTCTGAAAAGGATTTGAAAGGTGATCTCAATTATTTTCATAGCATCTCTTGATGATGAGGTACAAATGGTTGGGATTATTCTTACCTCCGTTTTACAGATGAGAAAACTAAGGAACAGGAATGGAGAAACTTGTCCAAGATTGTGCGGCAAGCCAATGTCAGAGACTCTTGGTTGAACTCAACATTCAACTTCCTGATCCAGGACATTAGCTGCCAGCATCAAACATCAGAGAAATCTTAATATCAGTGACATCTACTTGCTGTAGTAGAGGCACAGGTTATTATAGCATCAAATGACATACTATGTTATAAATTTCCAAACTTTACTTTTAATGTTAATACATATTATTGATTATGGAGCATAGACATAGACCATTTATAATATATTGAAAGCCTAAAAACTCATACCATTTATTATGATAAATGTATTTGTATAAATCGGAATTTATGTTGCATATATATTACAAATACAATAAATATTTATGAACATAGAATGCTTAGAAGAGCAAAAACCCCAAGACCCACAGGGCATCATGGGTTACAATATTTTAAAATGGAGATATGATACACAATCCTTAAAAATCAAGATCTAGGCTGGGCGCGGTGGCTCACGCCTGTAATCCCAGCACTTTGGGAGGCTGAGGTGGGTGAATCACCAGAGGTCAGGAGTTCAAGACCAGCCTGGCCAACATGGTGAAACCCCATCTCTACTAAAAATACAAAAATCAGATGGGCGTGATGGCACACGCCTATAATCCCAGCTACTCAGGAGGCTGAGGCAGGAAAATCACTTGAACCCAGGAGGCGGAGGTTGCAGTGAGCTGAGATCGTGTCACTTCACTTCAGTCTGGGTGACAAAGCGAGGCTCCGTCTCAAAAAATAAAAATAAATGAAAATCAAGATTTAGAATAATATTTAATAACAAAAATATTTGTGCAATATTAAGTGAGAAAACAACTTACAAATAGTGGACATTGTAGAATACCAATTTTATAAAATCTAGCTCTAGATAAAGCACCTAGGGATATTCCTAGAACAAAAATGAAGAGTCTACAGAGGAAAAACGATTATTGAGGATTTCCTTCATATATGTATATGAGATATATATATCACATATTTATGATCTTTTTTCTGAATTTTCCATATTTTTACTTTAAATCATTGATCCTGATTATATTCAGTACAAATAATAAGAACATACACCAAATTCTATTTTCCTGACTGTGAATAATTATTGGTATCTTAAATCGATTTTGAAATTAATTACCACTTAGCTAATTGCTTCATATCAGTATCCAAATTCAAGACATATTTTTCTAAAACAGAATCACACTAAAATAAGTTGCTTATCTTGACAACTTTTCTAGTCTCAGATCCTAAGATAAAAATGGCTGCTCCCTCACAGATCTCCTTCCATGTGGCAATGGCATCAGGTTGAAATATTGAGCAAGAGCAATTCCTGAAGCATAATTTACGTACCACAGTCAGTGAGGATTTCCATAGGTCTTCAATACCGCAAAAGATCCCTAGCCTCTGTGCTCAGTACAACCCAAAAATTTCCCTTTGTGGTTTCATCTTTACTGCATTAAACATGCCCACTCTCTACCCGAGACTTAAACTGAAAGTGAAGCTAACTGAATTTCAGGTCATAGCGCTTCTAATTATGGTTTGTCACAATTCTTATATTTTGTAATTATAATATCATTATCAGGAACAAGAGGTCCCTTAGAGAAGAGTGGAGGCACTTACAGTTCAATATCAGTTTGTTCCTCAAATATAGATGGTTGGACTTCCGCTGGGTTTTGCGCCCCTAAGAATGCAATTATTCTCCAGTATTATTTTGTCTGTTTCCCAAGAAGTGTTTAATGAGCTATATAACTGTTCTTAAATACAATACCTCAATTTATTTTTTTATTAATTAACCAAGGGATTTGTCACTCCTGAGTACGAATTCTCTTACTGACCAGAATCTTCAATTTAATTATTTTCTTTAAGGAAGAGCAGAGTTCTCAGTCATTCTCTCTACATTCATTCCACATCTCTGTACTGATTTTACCTTCTCTTTCTGATGTATAAAACAGCAAAGCAACTAAGAACTTGCTGAAATGTGATTCTCTTGGCAGCCATCTTTGCATTATTACCCAAAATAAGTTCCATCCTTTCTCATCATAAGCATCACAACTACTTCAACTACTCCTCAGCTATTAGCAGAACTCTGGGGAGGTGTTATGGCTTCACACATCTTGAAGAATTTTAAGTTTAGTGAAAACTGAAAATGACCAGCCAGATGAGAAACCTAGAAATCTTTTGATATGGTATTTCACTAGAGAGTCAAGGTATTTTTAGAAAAAAAGATCTGGCAAAGACAAAGCAATAGTATCAATAGCTGAAGATTTACAGGAAGATCATTTGAGTCAAAATGAAATATTAAATCAATTAATTCAACCATTGTGCCACACAGCAAATAGATCTGCTCCATGCACTTGGCAAACCTGAGACAATAATTAGAGTAAAACAAATATTGACTTCCTCTAAGAAGAATTTGTTTCAAACCCAGAAATTTAAAAAAAGTAGACATATATCACCCCATCCTTAAAAACTTTCCATCAAAGGCAGGAAATATATGTCAGCAAGGGTATAGTAGAGCTTTTTAGCTGGGATGCGTTGTTGAATTTCATGACCTCTATGACCCATCTAAAATTCTAAAATTAAGAACTTTTCAGTGAAAAGCTTCTCATGTCTCCTTTCATAAAACCAAAGTATTTGAGAACTAGCTAGAAGATGATCCATAGAAGACCAATCTTCTGTATTTCTGCAGACGTGAGTGGCCCTCAGAGAGTGTAGGACATATTTAACCTGTATCTATATTAGAAATCTTACATCCAGGAGATGCTGTAGTATTAGAATAATGTATAGAGGACTAGATTAGGAATCAGGAGGCTGAATTCACTACTTATTGGAGAGCTGGATGACATTTTAATAAATTACTTCTCTGAACTTCAGTTTCCTCAATGTGGTTCTGAGGATAATAGTATCTGCCTGGCTTTCTTCCAAAGATCATGGTTAAGTACTTTCAAAGCCATCAAATAGTACAAAAATGCAAAAGAAAGTAATCACATGACTTTTCTGAAAATTGAGTTGAAGGGACATTTAACGTGGGACTACTACTAAATTCATATTCAAAGAGCTATCTCCCAAAAAAGCAACAATATCAATTTATATCCCAAATAATTGATGCAGCTTATAAAATCACAACATGCTTGACTCATAGTCCACAGAATCTTCCAGTGACACTTGACACAATTGTTTTTACAAAATGAATAAAAAAGCCATGATGTTGTTGGTTTGCACCCTGAAGTTTCCTTTCCAACATCTGCGAAAATAATAAACCAATTAATTATGAAACCATCTGGAACAAAATATTTTTTAAACCTCTCCCTGAATAATTGGCACTATAATAGATGACATGTCAGAACAATATTAACAAAACCATTCTCATTAAAGAAAGAAGGAAAAGAATTTGTATGAAGAAAATAATAACTGCTTGTAATCAAAGTGGGGTCACATGCTGATCCACAGCTGAGATAGGCTGAGCATCCATCGTTATGCATATTTGAGACACAAGCTGAGATTCTCAGCTGGTGCATTACTTAGTGACCTTGGGCAAGACATTCACTCCTACAGGACACTATCCTCTTCAATAAAAACATGAATTTTTAACTATCAGCCCATACTACAGAGCCACAAAATAAATGAAGAAATCCAAGAAAATGTTAGTTGCAAGGCTTTACCCAAGTTATTCATCTAGTTTGAGAAAATAGAAAAAATTCAAAACCTACCACTCACAATCTGTTACTGATACTCTCAGGGTATCTTCTAACCATCTTATCTACTTTGTATGAATAGCAAGATAGTAAAATATGGTAACTAAGAATAAAGTAAATCTGCTTTGAATTATAAATCTCAAAATTACTGTATAATCTTGATCTTGCTAGCTGTTGACATTTCTAATACTCCATTATTCATTTGAAAGTTGAAAATTATTGCAGTAAAATATTCAAAGACTTATATGAGAATTAAAATAATTCATATAACCCTTGTGCCTTTTTCTCTTTTTCCCTTGTGCCTTTTAAGCATGTAAAACATTTAAGCAGAAATACTTGCCATAAAATATTAATCATCTTAATTTTTAATTATTTTCTTATAAAATTATAATAAAACAATTTTTTCTCCTCTTTTGACATCCTTTCTTAAAATTTGTTAAATTTAGAAATCAATTTTCTAATCAAATTTAAAAATCCTATAAAAACTGGAAAGTTATCAATAATTACATTTAAGCAAAATAAAACACATAAAAACAAAATATCTATATACTTTTATTAGGTTAGCAAGAAAATCTCATTATAAGAAAATATTTGTGCCAGACTTGGCTCTGCTACTCAAATGCCCTCATCTCTTTGTAAATTACTTAAATTTTCTCATTGTATCATTTTAAACATGGAAAAACTATGTACTTTTCTCAAATAATGGTCATCAAAATCAAAGACCTATACTATCTTTGGATTCTTTTTTTTTTTTTTTTTTTTTGAGATGGAGTTTTCCTCTTTCACCCAGGCTGGAGTGCAGTGGCACAATCTCAGCTCACCACAACCTCCGCCTTCTGCTTTCAAGCGATTCTCCCGCCTCAGCCCCCTGAGTAGCCGGGATTACAGGTGACCGCCACCACACCTGGCTCATTTTTGTATTTTTAGTAGAGACGGAGTTTCACCATGTTGGCCAGGCTGGTCTCGAACTCCTGACCCTGTGATCCACCCGCCTCGGCCTCCCAAAGTGCTGGCATTACAGACGTGATCCACTGGATTCTATTTAATCTGTATCAAGATCATAGTCACATTTTTAAATTAGAAATAGAAAAAACAATCCTAAAATTCTGCTCTATGAAGAAATGTTTACATATCCAACATAGTTAGAAGATAAAAGACATCAAACAATTATATAATCAAATATAACAATGTAAAACATGTATTGTCTGGAAAAGATGTAAAAATTAAACCAGTTGCATAATAGTTGTAGAGTTTTATATTATAAAATCTTAATAAGCATAAACTAATGTCTTAATGCATTTCTTTTTAACTTTATGTTTTTAAATATAGGCATAGGAATTTACCAAACTAGTACATACAGTCCTTCCCATATTTCCTCAAAGGTAACATCTTATGTAACTATGATACAATATCAAAAATGGAAAATTAACATTGATACAATACCGTTAACTAAACTGCAGACTCCTTTACTTTGCCATGCCACTAGTGATGTATGAGAGTTTCAGTTGCTTTACATCCTTGTCAACATTTGGATTCCCCTGTCTTTTTAAATTTTAGCAATTCTGATGAGTGGTATAGAGTGGTCTCACGGTGGTTTAATCTGCATTTCCCTAATGACTATTGATGTTCAGCATCTTCTCACGTGCTTATTTGCCATTTTTATATTTTCGTAGATGAAGTGGCTAAATATTATGCCCCCTTTTTAATTTTTAGAAGTTAATTGTTAAACTTTTATACAACTGTTTAGATTTACAAGAATATTGCAATGATATTACAAAGTTCCCATGTATCACAAGGCCAATTATACCTATTGTTAACATCTTACATTGGTATAATACATGTGTCACAATGAATTAACTAATATTGATATATTAATAACTAAAGTCTATATTTTATTGAGATTTTCTTGCTGCTCGCCTGATGTCTTTTTTATTGTTTCAGGTTTCCAATAAAGATAATACATTACATTTAGTTGTCATGTCTCCTTAGGTTTCTCTTGGCTACGAAAGTTTTTCAGACTTGCCTTGTTTTTGTTGGCCTGGAAAATTCCGAAGAGTACTTATCATGTGTCTTGTCAAATGTCCTTCTATTGAAATTTCTCTGATCTATTTCTTATTATTAGACTGAAGTTACAAATTTCAGGCTGTCACAGAAGTACTATATTGATCACATAACATATATATAATATTATACTATTGACATGACTTCTTACTGTTAATGCTGACATTGATCCCTTGACCAAGGTAGTATTGGTCAGGATTTTTCACTGTAAATTTATACTTTGTTTTCTCATTTCCATACTGTACTCTTTAGAAATAAGCTACCACGTGCAGCCCACATGGAGTGGGATGGTATGCTTTATCTCTTGAGAGTATAGTACTTACATAAACTATTTGGAAATCTTTGCCATAATAAGTTATTTTTATTATGAAATATTATTTATAATAATAATTATAAAATTTTATTCATTCATTCGTTTACATCACTATAGATTAATGGATATTCATTTTATACTTTGGATTATATTTCAATACCACTTTATTTTATTTTTCACATTGGTCCACTTTGGCCCTTGGAAGCTCTTTCATTAGGCTCCTGTGCCCCTTTGACACACTCCCATCAGTGTATTTTTGTTTAAGAATTTTCTTAATTTCTGGCACCACATAATACTCAAGGCTTATCCTGTACATTTCCTGACCATGTCCTATAATTAGCCATTCCTCTAACTAACATTTTAATGGGAAAATGGTATTTTATTATTATTATTATTATACTTTAAGTTTTAGGGTACATGTGCACAATGTGCAGGTTAGTTATACATGTATACATGTGCCATGCCGGTGTGCTGCACCCATTAACTCGTCATTTAGCATTAGGTGTATCTCCTAAAGCTATCCCTCGCCCCACTCCCCACCCCACAACAGTCCCAAGAGTGTGATGTTCCCCTTCCCGTGACCATGTGTTCTCATTGTTCAATTCCCACCTATGAGCGAGAATATGTGGTGTTTGGTTTTCTGTTCTTGCGATAGTTTACTGAGAATGATGATTTCCAATTTCATCCATGTCCCTACAAAGGACATGAACTCATCATTTTTTATGGCCGTATAGTATTCCATGGTGTATATGTGCCACATTTGCTTAATCCAATCCATCATTGTTGGACATTTGGATTGGTTCCAAGTCTTTGCTATTGTGAATAGTGCCGTGATAAACATACGTGTGCATGTGTCTTTATAGCAGCATGATTTGTAGTCCTTTGGGTATATACCCAGTAATGGGATGGCTGGGTCAAATGGTATTTCTAGTTCTAGATCCCTGAGGAATCGCCACACTGTCTTCCACAATGGTTGAACTAGTTTACAGTCCCACCAACAGTGTAAAAGTGTTCCTATTTCTTCACATCCTCTCCAGCACCTGTTGTTTCCTGACTTTTTAATGATTGCCATTCTAACTGGTGTGAGATGGTATCTCATTGTAGTTTTGATTTGCATTTCTCTGATGGCCAGTGATGGTGAGCATTTTTTCATGTGTTTTTTGGCTGCATAAATGTCTTCTTTTGAGAAGTGTCTGTCATGTCCTTTGCCCACTTTTTGATGGGGTTGTTTTTTTCTTGTAAATTTGTTTGAGTTCATTGTAGATTCTGGATATTAGCCCTTTGTCAGATGAGTGGATTGCGAAAATTTTCTCCCATTGTGTAGGTTGCCTGTTCACTCTGATGGTAGTTTATTTTGCTGTGCAGAAGCTCTTTAGTTTAATTAGATCCCATTTGTCAATTTTGGCTTTTGTTGCCATTGCTTTTGGTGTTTTAGACATGAAGTCCTTGCCCATGCCTATGTCCTGAATGGTAATGCCTAGGTTTTCTTCTAGGGTTTTTATGGTTTTAGGTCAAACGTTTAAGTCTTTAATCCATCTCGAATTAATTTTTGTATAAGGTGTAAGGAAGGGATCCAGTTTCAGCCTTCTACATATGGCTAGCCCGTTTTCCCAGCACCATTTACTAAATAGGGAATCCTTTCCCCATTGCTTGTTTTTCTCAGGTTTTTCAAAGATCAGACAGTTGTAGATATGCGGCATTATTTCTGAGAGCTCTGTTCTGTTCCATTGATCTATATCTCTGTTTTGGTACCAGTACCATGCTGTTTTGGTTACTGTAGCCTTGTAGTATAGTTTGAAGTCAGGTAGCGTGATGGAAGTCAGTGTGGCGATTCCTCAGGGATCTAGAACTAGAAATACCATTTGACCCAGCCATCCCATTACTGGGTATATACCCAAAGGACTATAAATCATGCTGCTATAAAGACACATGCACACGTATGTTTATCACGGCACTATTCACAATAGCAAAGACTTGGAACCAACCCAAATGTCCAACAATGATAGACTGGATTAAGAAAATGTGGCACATATACACCATGGAATACTATACAGCCATCAAAAATGATGAGTTCATGTCCTTTGTAGGGACATGGATGAAATTGGAAATCATCATTCTCAGTAAACTATCGCAAGGACAAAAAACCAAACACCACATATTCTCACTCATAGGTGGCAACTGAACAATGAGAACACATGGTCACAGGAAGGGGAACATCCCACTCTGGGGACTGTTGTGGGGTGGGGGGAGGGGCGAGGGATAGCTTTAGGAGATATACCTAATGCTAAATGACGAGTTATTGGGTGCAGCACACCAGCAGGGCACATGTATACATATGTAACTAACCTGCACATTGTGAACGTGTACCCTAAAACTTAAAGTATAATAATAATAAAATAAAATAAAAAGAAAATTACAGTACAAAAAAAAAAGACAACACCTCTGTTGCTGTAAATCTCTCTGTCCAACTGTCATAAAACATCTCATGTATCTTTGGGTTTACTTACAGAAGAAAGAGAAGAGAAGAGAAGATGGGAGAAAGGGAGGGAGGAAAGAAAGAAAATGAAAGAAAGAGAGGCAGGAAAGGAAGGGAGAAATAAAGAGAAAGAAAGAAAAAATTAACTTTTTTTTTCTAGAGTAAATGTGAAAATGATGCTTTTTCCTCTGCTTTTCCTGAAGTCTCTGTGCAATTGTATCAGAAAATAAAGAGCGATTATCTACTTTTGATTTCACAGAAGTATTTTACTCTTGGTTCTGAGAAGTTTGGGTTTGAATTTATGGACATACATGTTTTATAATTTTTGTCCAACGCAAAAACAAAAATCAGTAATGCAGCACTGATCAAAGTGGCTAAAGTAGTGTAAAAGAAACACATTCTGCAGGTATTAAAAATACATATAAAAGTGAGAATAGTTATTATGGTGCTTTGCAACTATGTGGTAGTAAAAATATTGTATTATTCATAGGTAGACATTTTATTTTTCACTTACTTTGCAGAGCTGATGACATTTGGAAGACACTAAGCTTCCTGAGGCTGGTGGATCTGATAGTTGGAGGTCTTAGGCTTCTAGAGCACCCTGGCTGTTTCTCTAATTTATAAGCTTATAAGCAATGGCCTACTTGCCAAAAATATTTAAAGCGGTTTACAGCACACTTGCTTTTCTACCAAGGCGGTGTTTTGCATGATCCTACGTCTTTTAGAAAACCTGAAGCTGGCCCTATTCATCCCATGAAAGTGCACCTGATGGTCTAGGGTTAGTGAGGGATGAGATGGAGGCAGAGATCATCAGATTACTATTTTGAATGTAAAAATGTATAACAACTAGCAGCTGAATCACTGCACATTTGCATCAACCTCAAAACTTCCAAAATGATAGGCACATTCCAGGCCGGTCATTCTCAAATGTCTGTGTTCCAAGATCGCCTGGGAGCTTGTAAAAAATATAGGTGCCCCAAGCCTAGTCCCCAAAGTTTTCATTCAGGGACCTTGAATGACAACCAGAATTCTCAGTGTTTAACAAACACCTGATGTGCATCTGATGAACTAGAGTCCCATTTTGAGAAGTACTAACAGTGTTCTCTGACTGGTAGGTTAATACCTTTCACATGACTTGTTGATTTTAATCCATTGATCCCATGACACACACCCCCCTCCCCCCCGCCACCATTCTCCTTAAATTAATTTGCTTAGTCTATTGCGTGTGGCTAAATTGGCCCCACCTGTAAAGGTCACTGTACAAGAATACAGAGACCTGTAACTGCCCCCTACACCCTCAGCCATTCAGTAATAGCAATGGAAAGAGAAGCAGACATGGCAGAGATAAAGGGAGATTTCAATTAACCACCACAGAATATTTATAAACATTCGTATTACAACTCCTCTCTTTACTAGTTGAAGAATTTGATGTTCAGAGAGCTCAACTAATTAAGTCAAGGACACACAAATGGGATAGGAAAGACAGCAAAATGAGGAAGGGAGATTATTGCAAACTGGACATTTGTCAAGTCTCAGTTTGAGGGGGCCATTATAGATGTTAAGAAATCATTATTCCCTGAGGGGTCAAAGTTGGCCAATAGCTGACAGTGCTAAATAGTGTGGCTTTGAAAAGAAAATGGTAGTATTTGTTACTAAATCACAAATGAAAGCAACTAAAATGTGAACCTAAGAGGCTGGATTCATCTACTTAAAAAACCCTACCAAAGGGGTGTGTGTGCGCGCACACATTTGTCTATATCTACATGCATATGCGATAAATCTCCAGGCAAAGAGATTACTATCTTTTCCTAACAGAGAACAGCTGAGATGATGCTGATCAAAGGCTGGTACCAGACATGCAGCCTCAATAATTAAAGTTTCCATTTATAACCTTGCTTCTAAGAGAATACAGGTTGATTATAAGTTTCTCAAGTCAAATAAATTAGCTTCACATAATTCTAATTTCCAGGCTCCAGTCCCTCTCAAACCTATCTCTCCCAGCCATCTTGAAGCTAGTGTATAAGATTACCTTGCGTAGTCTGACTGGGAATTGGAATCACGTGTTCTCAGTCAGATGGAGAAATGTAGCCCAGTGTGTTCAGGCATCTCAACCATAAAATATTGCTGGCATTATGCCATCAGCATGAACATAAAATAGCATTTCATAAATTTCAACTTTCATCTCTATGTAAATTTAGCCAATGTATTTAAAAGAATAATTTATGAATATATTATAATGTTTGTCTATAAAGGCTTTTAAAAATTGTGTTTTAAATTATGGTTCAGAAGCACATTATTTCATTTTATAAAACCCAGTAATTGGCTGCATGTGGAGCTACAGAACAGAGATCCATTTCCCATTTAAAGAAAATTGTAACCACTAAAACCTTTCTAAGCTAAAAACCTAAAAAGGGGGTGATGCTGAGCATAAAGGTACCAGAATTGAAATGTAATTTAAAATATAAAATGATTCTGAAAATGCACATTTTAAAAATTATTACATAATTGAGTAATATAAAATATAAAACCAATAATGATTGAAATGCTGATATTTATTCAGAATTGAGTTATATTCTAAGCATCACGCCAATGATCTTATTATTTCCCTCGTCATGATCTAGCACACTCTACAACATACAGTATATAAATTTAAGAGTACATTTATGATGATGGAAACACACATTTCATCATGCTTCTTTTAAAGGATATAGACTTTGTATCAGTCAGGGTTGTCCAGAGAAACACAACCAATACGATGTGTTTGTAGTGACCATGGGAGCTGGCAGTTCTGAAATCCGTAGGTCTGGCCGGCAGCCTGGAAACTCTGGCAGGATTTCTGTTTTAGAGCCTTGAGGCAGAATTTATTCTCTGGGTAACCTCACTTTTGCCCTTAAGGTATTCTGCTGATTTGATGAGGCTTACCCATATTATCAAAGATAATTTCCCCTTTACTATAGTCAACTAAGATAGATTGAATTACATCAACACAAAATTTAAAACTAATAGCTAGTATTTGACCAAATAACTGAGCACAATAGTCTAGCCAATTTGACACACACACAAAATTAATCATCGCAGACTTTGAAGGGGGAAAAAATGCCTCATGTTGAAAACTATTGGGGGTGGAAAGCTTCTGGGACAAATATGCTCCAATATTTTTATAATTTAACAAAATAGAAGCTTAATTTTTATTCTTATAACAGCCCTATGTGTTATTCTAGGTTGATGATTTATTCTTTCTGCACATGGATATTTAAAGATCTAAGTTCCTTTCATCCTTGGCTTCCACATTCCCACAGGGCCTCTTTGTCCTCTGTGGTCAGCAAACTATATAGGAAAGATAATGTTGAATGTGCACAGTCACTTCTTCAAAGCTTTGCCGCAGAAGCTACAAGCATTATTTCCACTCACATTTCAATGGCAAGAAGTAATCACATAGCCATCCTTAGAAGCAAGTGGGCTGGGCAATGTGATTGGTACCTAGACAGTCCATTTTTTTGCAAAATCTCTCTACTCTGAAAGGAATACACATTTTGTTAGCCATCTATACACCTAAGACAGAAAGGGGATCTCAGGACATCTAAACATCAGAAAATTGTTTACAAATGAGACTCTGTGTCATCATCACTGTGTCTAGGGAGTTTATTTTAAAATGCATATTCCTGTGGCTCTTGACTCATGAATCAACATTTAGGAAGTCTGTGGTAGGGTCTACAAATGAGATCACCCTGACACAGCCGAACCAGGCCACTTAATTCAAATCCTTCATCTACCTATAAGTGGGGGCATAGACTATGTCTTGCATGGATACTTATCTTTGAACACAAATACAGTCAAACGTACTGATCATATAAATCCTACTCTGTCTCCAGAAATATTCATTTTAACAAATTTCCCAGATGATTATATTAACTAATTTTTATTGAGCATAGAAGATGTAAGTACTTTCTAGAAGTGTCATATGAATTACCTCATTTGTTCTGCACAGAAACATTACAAGTTAGCTATAATTAACCAAATTTTATGAATGGGAAAATTGAGGCACCAAAATATTAAATTAAATGAAAAAGTTATACTGGCAGATGGCAGAGATGGGATTTAAACCCAGGTAGTGTGACTCCAAAGCCTGCATCTTTCCTAGCACCCGATATCTAGGTAATCCTGAAACACTTTGTCTAAAATACATTGAGTAAAGGAAAGCAATGAAGAAGGTTGAGATTGTACAAGATTTTTGTTGAGAATCTCTGTAGTATATAACATGTTCTTTACTCTTCCTCTCTCACTTAAATCATCCAAACAAGCCCTCTGAATCCCAACTCTGTAACTCCTCTTCTGATTGTTTTAAAAGCACATGTTATATCCTAAAACAAACAGATAATCTTTCTCTGAAAATTGTCTTTTTCCAGTGTTACACATCAAAACAAATGGTTACAACTCCCACAGGTATTACAAGCTTCTCATCTGGGAATCATGTTCAACACATTTTTCACCAACTTTCTCCACCATGTCAATCCAACAATAAATTAGTCTAACAATTTATCTCCAAAATCCTCCTTAAAACCATGCATTCTCCATTTCCACTATCAATTCCCAAGTCTACGTCATCATCACATTGCTTTGGCAACTGCAAACGATTCCAACTGGACTCTAACTCTCCCACCTGCCAATCTATTCATTATGTTGTAGCAAAAGTGATCTTTCTAGCATGTAATACCTAAAGCCCTAAATTCTTAACGTTTATTGGCAAACTCTCTATGTGCCGGCCTTGCCTGTTAATCAGTCTTGCCTGTCAACCCTCCATTTGCCAGTCTTCCAATCAGACCACGCTTCTCATCTTTCCAACTTTAAGCCATCTCCTTTGATGTTAACATCTTTGTATGCAGGCCTCTCTGCCTACAGTTCTCCCTTGCCCTGGTCTGAATGTTGTTTCCCCCCAAAAGTCAAATGTTGCAACCTAATCACCAATGTGATAGTATTGGGAGGTGATTAGATCATGAAGACTGTCTCATAAATGGGATCAATGCCCTTATAAAAGAGGCTCCAGATGACTACCTTGACTATTCTGCCATATTAGGAACACAGAATGCACCATCTGTGAACCAGGAAGTGAACCCTAACCAGAAAATAAAACTGCTGGTGTCTCAGTCTTAGATTTCCCAGCTTCTAGAACTGTGAGAAGCAAGTATCTGTTGTTTACAAGCCACCATCTATGGCATCCTGTTATAACAGCCACAAGGGATGAAGACACCCTTTAATTCAATCTGGATGGTTACTTAAATACTCCAAATGTCATCATCTATAAAATTGGACTTAAATGCCACCAATTGGGAGTGATTAGTTTAAAAATGAAATAAAATCTGTGGTTGGTATATAAAAGGTTTTCAATGATTTTTTTCCTGATACGTTCCAGCTTTTTAAATGCTATCCAACACAGATATAAAATATATATCAATTTGCTTGTTTCTCTAATCATGATTTTATTAAATCACTAAGTTAGAAAGAACATTTAAATAATTTATTTACCTTTATTCAGAAATTTATTAAAATCACAGTGCATCTTTATCTGAAGGAGGCTCGTAGCAGTTTAAAATTACCGTCAAATTAATACTATCTTTAAGCATTGTATCTTTTCCAAATAAAGGTCCTGAACTCCTATCATTTTCAACACAATTGCTTTGTTATGGAATCATTAATAAAATATGCACATCTTTGTAGGCCCTGACATGAAAAAAACAAGTTTCAAATAAGTGAACAGGTTAAAAAATATATTAACTACTGTCTAATTTGAAAGAGCAAATGGCAGCATTCAAATATTTTAAAATGAATTGAACTTTTGTATTAGTATAACAATTGGAAGCATAACCAAATTCTTATTGAGGTAAGATCAATCTTAACCATACACATTGTTAAGAAAATTGGCTTACTGAAGAATCAAAGACATAGTATGTAAGAAATATCCATCTCTGAGTACACCCAACTTGGTAAAGCAAGGAGGTAGAATATTGGAAGAATAGTGTAGACTTGTGAAAAGAGAAAAAGAAGATACTGAAGATAATCAAACAACAAAAGTAATGACAACAATTGTGTTATTTATGCTAAGTTTAAATGATTGGATGTTAGCTGATTTTAGAAAAATCAAAACAAATGATTTTGTTTATGATACTAATAATTGGAAGAATTGAGTTTTCTTTTTAAATTAGCTTCAAGAAATTATAATTATTAAAACACAGTACTTAATAGTATATTAAATTCCTTTGGGGGAGTCTTTGTAATTCTCAATTGCGTCAACTAGGAAGTGTTTAGATGGGTGGAATTATAATTTTAGTGGAGAGAACTGTATACAGATGATGGAGACAAAGGATAGAGCATCAGTCATGATTTCTACAGTACCATGTCTAAGACACAGGGCTTTAGACTGAGATAGATATAGGTTCAATTTCACAACTTACACTTCAAGGCTGTGCGAATTTCACCAATTATGTAATTTTTCTAAGCCTTGATTTCTTCAGCTGGAAAATAAAGATAATGTTACCTATTAATTTGTTTATTTTGAATATCAAATAAGGTTATCATGTAATGTGGCAGAACCAGAATTACTACTGGGGTCCAATGCCAGAACCCCTAGTCGTAAAAGGATGATGCTACACCCACCTTTCCAGTCTACCTACATGATTTGAATGCATGCAAGTGTGCTTGGCACATAGTAAGTACTCAGTAAAGGTGAGTAGAGGCAGAAATACCATTGAACTCAGCAATCCCATTACTGGGTATATACCTAAAGGAATACAAATCATTCTATCATAATCCAGAATAATTTTACATTTGTGGCATTTGATCAAAATTGATCAAGACAAGAAATACCCAACTTTGGTCTAGCATGTCACCTTCAGAGATTGAAAACTGCATGTGAGATCCAGGAGGAAGTCAGATGAGGCTTGGAAAAGAAGAAAATAATTGGTGTGAACATCAGCAAGTTACCCATTTCCCGGAGGCACTTGCAGAGGTAACGTGGTATGTTATAAGCTTCAGTTTTATTTTTTGTCTTTTTATTGCTTTACTCATCCCAAGCAAATGTCAGCCTCTCAAACTAGCACTTCTATAGGGAGTTAAAGTAGCTTGCCCTATGATAAAGGCTTCCAATTCATCTGGTCCTGGGAAGAAGTCTATGGTTTACAAGTCAATCTCACATTTTATACTAATTGAAAAAGTTTTACCCCTACATTTTTGAGAAACTATATTTTATATATGCTAGAGGAGATCATTATTTTAAAAGGTTAAAAGAACTTCTGCACAGCAAAAGAAACTATCAATAAACAGACATACTCCAGAATGGGATAAAATTTTGCAAATTATGCATTAAAGACCTAATATTCAGCATCTATAAGGAACTGAAATTTACAAGAGAAAAACAACCCCATTAAAATGTGTGCAAAGGACATGAACAGCCACTTCTCAAAAGAAGACATACATGGTGGCCAACAAGCATATAACAAAAAGCTCAACATCACTAATCATTAGAGAAATGCAAATCAAAACCACAATGAAATACCATCTCACACCAGTCAGAATGGTAATTATTAAAAAGTCAAAAATAACAGATTCAGGTGACATTGTGGAGAAAAAGGAATATTTTTACACGTTGGTGGGAGTGTAAATGAGTTCAACCATTGTGGAAGAAAGTGTGGTGATTCCTCAAAGACCTAGAGGCAGAGATACCTTTCAACCCAGCAATCCCATTACTGGGTATATACCGAAAGGAAAAGAAATCATTCTATCATAAAAACATATGCACATGGATGTTCATCGCAGCACTATCCAAAGAAGCAAAGGCATGGAATCAACCTAAATGCCCATCAATGGTAGACTGGATAAAGAAAATGTGGCACATATACACCACGAAATATTATGCAGCCATAAAAAAGCACGACATCATGTCCTTTGCAGAAACATACATGTAGCTGAGGGCCAATATCCTTAGCAAACTTACACAGGAACAGAAAACCAAATACCACATGCTCTCACTTTGAAGTGGAAGCTAAATGACAAGAACAACATGGACACATCCAGGGGAATGACAGACACCAGGACCTATCAGAGGGTGGAAGGTAGGAAGAGGGAGAGGATCAGAAATAATAACTAATTGGTATTACGCTTAATACCTGGGTGACAAAATAATCTGTACAACAAACCCCCATGACATGAGTTTACCTATATAACAAACCTGCATGTGTACCCATGAACTCAAAATAAAAGTTAAATAAATAATCCTCAGATAAAACATTTTTTTTAAAGCAACCAAAGTTTTATTAAAAAGTACACATGGGCTATTGTCCATTTGGTTGACTGCTATATTTCCACTATCTGGTACAGTTTGGCACATGCAGAAACATGTCACAAATGTTTGTACAATGAATGAATGAATATATTTGTTTAATGGTGATCACGATAGTGTCTACCTCACATATTTGTCATAAGATGCACTGAGATAATGCACAACACATCTCATGATGTATGGATAAAAAATAAGAGAAGGTCTAATTACACATGAAGGCAAATGCAATGTGCTATGCAGAATAATGTACAATGGGGTCATGTCGTGTGATTATTTTTTTGCATCAGTTATGACTTAGGGAAACATATTCTCCTTAGCAAATTAGCCCCCTCTCTCTTGTATCTCATTTCTAGGAACCTCTCGTGGCTGTAAAAAGGGTGAGGCTAGAACTGTGAAGGACATGGACAATTAACATTTTCCTGAAGAGAAAGAAGAGGAGGATGAAGGAAAGGGGAGATTCAAACAGAAATGAGGAAAAGAAATTGCCCCAGGGAGAGAGACTTTGAAAATATCCTGAGACTCTTGCCTGTTCTGTCTTCTTAATAAGTTTATTTGAGCCCCTTTGATTTTTCAAAGACATAAAGGGACCTGCAATGATAGACTGAGGTAGTCTAAACAATTGAGAAATTTTAATCTTCATTTTTACTCAATTAAATTAATGGGAAACTGCCCCCCTTGCCAACCTATTAGCACCTGACAATAAAGTTATTAACAGAGGCTTGACAGTTGATTATTCTCCTTGAAGGAAACTAACCTGCTCACATTTCATTTTTAGGTTGAGTGCTGATTAGCCTTTCAACTGAATCTTGACCTTGTAAGCCTGAGCTGTTTAAAACTGTCTGAAAAGGAGAAGAGTTGGATACAGACCTCTAGGATAATGCATAGGAAAAGAGGAAGGCCTGTTCCATTTTGAGATGAATGTGTGAGGCTGCTATGGGTCGAGCAAGACCAGATACACAAGAAAATATTGCAACGGGGAAAGTGATGCTGGCAGGAGGCTATCAGCCACTGCAGGCCGGAAACAAACAAAAAAACTGCATCTGGGGAGGCCTGTGAAGATATATGAGTCAAGGGTACACATTACATCCCAACAGGTAACATCTTAAGGAAAATGAGTCCTGTGTCCTCTCAAGGCCAAAGAATGTGGAATATTAATACTGATATTCATTATAAGGTACAGACACATTACTCCCCAGTATGTACTGCTTTCCCTATGTACTGCTGAGAAGGTGTGGGTGGACAGAGTGTGGGTGGCTTGAATATTTAAAGCCAGACAGAGGGCATGGATAGTGTAAGTGCTATTAACGAAGGCAGGTTTTATTCCAGTTTTATAGAAAAAAAAAAGTACACCATTGAGAAGAAACAAAGGAAATAAGAGACACCAAACTTAAATTTCAACAGAAAAACTCAGTGATTTGAACCATGTGAAAGTTTACTTAGTATCTGTGGGCCTCTAATTTATTTTCCCTTACTTTCTAATAGTAATACAAAGACTTTTGTAGGGAATGTGTAACTACAGAAAATAGAAATAAATGTTAAATAGTCTATAAGCTCACAGCATAAAGATGACTGTTATATTTCCTCCTAGTTCTTATCCTATGAATATATACGTGACTATTCCCCCATGGCATGATTCTTTATACATAATCTGGTATTCTAATTTATTCTGAATGATATTACATATCAGATATTTTCACATATAATTAAGATTCTTCAAAACCACAATTTCTAATGGTTGTACAATGATCCATTATATACGTGTAGCATCATATATTTAACTATTTTCATATTTTAAAATAATTACATTGTTTCTTATGTTTCACTATTATATAGCATACCAAGGTAGTCAACTTAAACAGCTTCCATTTCCTTGGGCAAGATGTGAGTTAAAGCTACTCTTTGAAGATTATGATGGTTTCCCATTTCCAAAAATTATTTGATACTCCTCCCATGAATTGGTGGAGACTATGTATCCTTTCCTTAAAATAGGTGGCCCTTTGTGACTGCCTTGATTAATGGAATTTTAGTGGGCGGGGAGTGATTATAATAACTTTTAAGGATATGTGAGCAAAGACCCAGAAGCTCCTTCCAGTGATGGTTAAGAAATCTTCCTCCACCAAATAAGAAGTCAACCCATATTAAGGCTGCCACATGGAAATATCATACAGAGATAACAAAGAGGGGTGAGGGGCGGGGAAAGAGGGAGGTGGGGGAGAGGGAGACAGAGGGTGATAGAAAGGGAAAGTGACCCAAGGATCTCCAGAGATTCTACCACTAGCTGTTTGAATACCAGCCTGGTGCCAGAGATGTGAGTGAAGAAGTCCTTGGGATGAACCTAGTTTCTACATCATTTGCATGAAACCGCAAAACTGATCCCAAGTGAGAACTGCCTATAGGAGTCCAGTCAGTCTCCAAATTCATGAATCTACTATGTTGTGGTATGTTTTTTTCCCCTGCTTAATAATAGACAGCCAGAACAGATTAATGGGGTGCTGTTAAAAAACCTAAAATATGTCATAGTAGCTGTGACATTGGATGGTGGGCAGAGTTTAAAAGAGACCTGAAAAGACTGTTAGTGAAAGCCCATTGGCCCCAAATCATATAGGTGGCTTGTCAGCTATGAGGGATTAAAGTAAAGTAAGGATAAAGTTATTGGGAGCTGGATGTAAGGATAGCTTTGTATGTACCAGCAGTAAAATAATCAATACTGCTGACTGCTTTGATGTAAAAGAAATATAAAATATATATAATGAACCAGTGGATTTGGCTAACAAGATTTCAAGGCAAAACATCAAAAGTAACAATTAGTTTCTTTCTTTTAACTACCTAAGATAAAAATCAAGAGATGGATTAAATAAGGAACTCTTAATTAGAAATTAAAAATGTGCAGGGAACATAAAGGATTGAGGTAGCTCTAGGTCTAAAGACAGTGGAGCACAGTGGCTCATGCCTATAATCCCAGCATGTTGAGAGGCCAAGGTGAGAGGATTGCTTGAGGCCAGGAGTTTGAGACCAGTCTGGACAACATAGTGTGGTCCCATCTCTACTAAAACATTTAAAAATTAGCTGGGTAGTGTGATACACACGTGGGGACCCAGCTACTTGGAAGGCTAAAGTGGGAGGATCACTTGAGCCTGGGAGATCGAAGCTACCGTGAGCTGTGATTGTACCACTGCACTTCGTCCTAGGTGACAGAGACCCTGTCTAAAATAACTAATAAGTAATTAAAAAAAAAACATTTATTGTTTTCAGTCTTGTAGATGGATGATTCTCAAAGTTAAAAGAGGGTCCCAAGTCGAAGATCAAATTCAGGTAGGAGTAAATTTTGTAATTAAGAATTCAGAAATATCTAAGCATTGCCAAATTGACCTTGTCAAAGTACAAAAGACATTCAATCATCAGGGCATCCTCTTTGATCTTCTCATATAGACAAGGAAATTTCAAATCTCAGGGCTTTGTCCCACTGAAGCCTTAGAGAAAGCCCAGGGTAGACAAGTGATTAAATCAACAAGATCTGTGAGCGTGCTTTTGTTCTGATAAAGTGGATTTCAATAATATTCGTAGAAAACACAGACATTTCTTAAGAGAACTATTCTGACAAAAACAGCATTGTTCTTAAAGAAACATACACAATAAAAAATTAAAAGAAGACTTTAGACACCCAAATTAGCATGAAACAGGTCGACAAAAGTCCATAGCTACAAACTCTAGATACTTCTTTTTGAAAACAAGGAATAATGCAGAGGACAGGATGAGGAGTCCAGAGAGCTGACTCTGGGGCAGTGGAAAATTATTCCCAAGTTATGGAGCTAATTCCTAATCAAGGACTTGATTGGTCTAATTTCAGAATTATGAAGGAACAGTGATCGCTGTATTTCTTCCCTTTTCAAAATTTCTGAAGTGTGTCTGTAGTGGTTATCTCATGCCAGTTCCACATTGTATTATTGAGCATGGTTGGGGGGACAGTAGCTTGTCTTTAGTTCCCAAGACTTGAGGCTGAGAAGAACGGCACTCAAAATCCTACCCAATGCATGAGCTTTGAGAAGCTCCCTCTACACCTGCATCTGGTTTATGATTAGATGTTTATGATGATAGATACTACACCTTCAGTCTGATGCTGTAATAGATGACATTTTTTGGTATCTTAGAAAATAGTGAATACATTTTGCGTTTGGGAGGAACGTAATGCGTTTGGGAGGAATATAAATAATTTTGGCAAGGGGACAGTCTTTGGTGGTTTTTAAACATCAGTAAACTGTGGCACTCTTCCCATCAGAAGGTGGATTCCCTTTAACTTGAATAGCTTTTGGGAATGGCTAGATGAATAGAATGTGGCAAAGGTGATGTCGCATGACTCTGAGGCTAGGTTAGAAAAACCAAATTGCCTCTGCTGGTATTCACTCTAGAATGTTCAACTATCATGTAAAAATTCAGTCTATCCTGAGGCTGCCATGTGCAAAGACAAGTGAGAGGTAAGGGAAGGAGGAGGGGGAGAGGAGAACAGCACCCATCTGTCTGAGTCTTCCTAACGCAGTTGTATCAAAATGACTGAAGAAGGCTTTAATGCGACCCTGGGGTCATTGCCTGACTATAATCTAAAGAGAAATCCTGCACCCAGTTGAGCCTCATTAACCCTCATACTTATGAGCAAAATACATGATTGCTATTATTTTAAGCACCCATGATGGGGAGGTTTGTTATGCAAGAAAAGGAGTTTAATGATACAGTGTTATTTAATACAGAAGACATGACATATGGTGCATATTGCAGTTACTTGACCCCTCTTTTGTGGAGTATAAGCAATTAAGAGTTAGAAACAGTTTCTAGAAACCTTTAATTTGATCCTTCTTCCTTTATATATCACCCTAGACAAAAGTGTGACCACGTCCCTCCAGGTGACCACTGTAGAAGAATCTACAACGTTTCCTGGAAGTAAAGGTTTCTGGTTGTAAGGTCTCTCTGGATTTATTACTTTTTCATCCACTTAATTTAACATGAATGTACTGAGCCCCTGCTACATATTCAGGATTATGCTTGATTGATGGTAAGATAAATATAGTGTTCACTTTCAAGGAAGTTTTGGAAATTATATGGCCAGTGCAAGAGCTGCCTCTCCTTAGTACTTCACCTAATTTACGTTTCTAGAGCCACTGTCACCTTTAACAACCTCCTTTTCTCTACTTGTGAGTGTGTATACCTTTGAATGTGTGAATATACTGCGAAATAGAAAGTGAAACATTCATTGAGTTTTCTAATAGTCCCTGTGTTAAGGAGGTTGTATGATTATCTCATTTTAATTATCTCCACAACCCTATGAGTAAGGTATTATTTTCATCCCTATTTATAGACAGTAAAATGAGTGAGGCCCCAAATGGTTAAATAAATGCCCAAGATCATGCAACTCTTACAAGTCAGATTTGGGCATTAAACCTGAGTCAGACTGACTCCAATGCTTACGTTTCTGATAAGAGACTGGAATCAATCTCTCTCAACCTCATTTTGCTCATGTGTGTAATAGAACTAATAACAATAAGATCTTCACTGGATTTCTACAAAGTCTTGCAGTTTAGTGGAGGCAGACAGACCTCAGTTTAATCCTCACACCTACTACTTACCACCTATCAAACGTTAGCAAATTTAATATCCTTAAATCTCCATATCATTATTAGTAAGGTAAATAGAACAATGTCACCTTTATTAGTGGTTACTGTCATGACTTAATGAGGAAATGGAAGCACACTTATCTTGGGATCCGACACATGGTATGTTTTAATAAGTTGTGGTGGTGGTAATGTTTTTGATATTCATCCATCTGGTCTAACTGTTCACTTATCTGTGCAATTTATTCCTGGGTTATTATATTTGTTGACTCCATTAACATGTATCTAGTGTCTGCACCACTGTGGAAACTGTGAAATACTACACAGCCATAAAACAGAATGAGATAATGTCCTTTGCAGGAACATGAATGGGTCTGGAGGCCAATATCCTTTGCAAACTAACACAGGAACAGAAAACCAAATACTGCTTGTACTTTCTTACAAGTGGGAGCTAAATGATGAGATTACATGGACACATAAAGGTGAACAACAGATACTGGGGCTTATCAGAGGGTGGAGGATGGGAGGAGGGACTCAGGAAAAATAACTAATTGGAGCTAGGCTTAATACCTGGGTGATTAAATAATCTGTACAACAAATTTCCAAGATGCAAGTTTATCTATGTAACAAACCTGCATACGTACCCCTGAATTTAAATAAGAGTTAAAAAAGAGAGTCTGCTCTGCTGCAGATTTTGAGAGCCAAATATTTCTAAATGGCACTTCCTTTGCCAAACAATATATGAAGCTGAAGCTTTCAGCAGAAAACAGGCAGGGGACGCTAGTAAGAAGATCAAATGCTGTGCCCTAATAATTGGAGCATATACTTCAAGTATCCTGCCCCTCCCCCTCCCCCTCCAGCACCTCTATGACTCTCCCAGTCAACAAATTATGCCATTCTATCCCAAGAAAGGCATCTTCTTAGGTCTCTTTTATTTTGCCCTGGGAGGGCAAGGGTGTCACAATGTGACAGCCTCCATCATGAAAAGCTTCTCCACCCAGGTTCCCAGAATTCCCTTTCCCATACTTCAGAAAAGTAAGGTCTTGATGGCTAGAAATAAAATAAGCCAATGACAGGATAAAGTGCTCCTCTCCCTGACAGTAAATAGACAGCAATATAAGCAAGTCTTTAATCACTGTGTCAGGCATTCCTCCTAGAAACTTCATTCTCTCCTTCTTGAAAAGAGTAAGACAGACACGTGAATTTTCTATGGTCCATCTGCCAGCACTTGGGGAAATGTGGGGCCAAGTGACTGGATGAGGACCTATGAAGAAATGAAAAGAATATAGGGAGATCTAATTCCTCTTACCACAGGGCTTAAATGGCTGGGAAAGTGACCTCAGGCTCACTTGCTATTAACTACATCATTCTGGCAGCCCCTGACATCTCCCATTTGAATAGCAGGAAAGAGCAGGCTAGGAAAATGTCCTTTAGGGAGCTGTACTCTGTAACAAAGTTCTGATAAATGAAAAGGCCAGAATACTACAAATTTCCTGGTTGACAATTTTTGCTTAAAATATTTTTTAAGGTTCATGAGTTTGGGCCTAGTGATTAGAAACTTCTGTTTTCTCTTGAAAAGTAGAAATGATAATCATGCCTATTTATTGTGCTGCTTGAGGCCAGGTGTGTACAAATCTTGGCATAGAGCTTGACTGGCAATAATTCATACATGTTAGATAATAATACAATCAAACATTTCTCAACGATTAGAAGCAAGTTCTATTTTCAAGACATGGGCATAGACACTGTGAGAAATGACAAGCATCTGCTTCCCAGAAACATCCATGGTATTGGGAGTGAGGGTCAACTAGAAAAATACCAAACAACAGAAAATATGCCAAACCAGGCAGGCTTTGGTACAATTCTGGCATGAAGCCACATTTTAAGAAATCTCAGGATGGCAAACATACATAATTGAAATATTTATTCTCTTTGAAGTCTATTTATGTGTACTAAATGGTGATCCCATTTACAACCCTCAGCAAATCTTAAATTCTCTCTCACTCAATCTCTCTCATTCACACATGGCAATGAGGCTTCAAAATCTTTCTCTCCTTTCCTCTCTTCTTAAATCTCCTTAAAAATACAAAAAAAAAAAAAAACCTTTTTCTAAATCACCCTTAAGCTCAAACAAGCTTTTATGTTATTTTGCGCCCCACCACCGCCCCCAACCCACCACCATTTCTGCCTTGGTTATTTTCATTCACATCAACTTAAGCTTGTTGCTACTTTAAAATTTTCTAAGCATCTTTACTAAGATTCTATGCCCTAAAGAAAGACCCAAGAGTTAACATGGAAATCAACAATGACTCCTCCTGAAAAGTCAGCTGGGAAGAGATTCAATTGCAAACATTTATGAAATTATATATTTTATCCTTGTTACAGCTGTAAAGAAATTTTAGCACTAATATATTCCTTAAAAGTTCTAAAACAAAATGCCATGTGTTGGGACAGTGTTAAAGCAGCTCTGCTGTTTTAAGATGGAGTGAAAAATGTAAGATTAAATATTTGAACCAATTAAAAGAAGAAAGAGAGGATGAAGAGTGGTCCCTGTCAAAAAAGGCAAGGTTTCTTACTTCCAAAGCAAAGGACATTTGGACTGATTAAAATACATTCTTTTTCAGATACCTTCAGAGACCACCCCATCCCAGACATGTTATTAGGATGAGGAACTTTAGTTCACTATTCATTTTATTATTTTATATTATAATATAGAAAACAGTATTAGGAATTCGTTGGAAATTTTGAAGACTCAGTGGTGTGTTTCTATATGGTATTATCTAGCTTTGAGAATTTGTGGTAATGTTCCTTCAGCTACCACATCTGTTATTTCAACAGACAGAATTTAACATACAGATTAGTTAACTAGGTATAAAGTTACAAACAGGTAACCAAACACTTTAAAAGAAAAAAGACACTCCGGTATAATAAAGTTAGTGAATAAGGAAACACTTTCACTTTTAGAGATAAAAGAAAAAAAAAGGAAACTGAGTTTAATTTGGAACTATTAAAATTTTGAAATATAAAAAAGAGGTAAAACTCAGCCCTCTAGAGACAGGAAACATTATGGGACAAGGACCCAAACTTCAGAGGAGAGGCCGCTTGCTGGCCAGTGCTGGTGTCACTGAATTCAGAGGATCACAGAACCTGGGACCCAGACTTCTAAAGATGGGTTGCTGGGCAACTGGTGCTGGTGTCCGTCTGGGAGTATGTGGAGTGCAGTGTGAGAGGATGGTGTGGAAATTATAAAGAAACTGATTATATTAAGTGCTGGGAAAAGTACAAACTGGATTCAGCTGCTGCTGCAGCAAAGAAGCATTTCTGGGGTGATGCTTTTGGAAATCACAAATAGACAGAAGGCAACCTGCGAAGCACCTCCTGTTTGGACAGATTGCAACATCCAGTCACCCCTGCTCATTCTGTTTGTTTACCAAAACCAATACATTTCCTCACTGTGGGCTTACCCTCATCCAACTAAGCTTCTGTGGCATGTTATCATCAGAGTCCTGCCTAAAAGACAGAAGATCCCAGTATTGATGTTTGTGTGTTTACATCTTCTCATCTCTTTGATTTCAGTTCAGGTGTTACCTCCCCAGCGGAGTCTTCCCTGATTATCATATCTAATGTCCACAGTTACTCACTGCTGCACATGCACACTTGTTTTATTGAATGCATAGCCCTGAAGCCATATGTGGTGATCTCATTTGTAGTTTTGCTATCCGTATCCCCCATGGAATGAGAGTACTCTGAGGAAAATACCCTTGTCCATCTTGCTCTCTCCAAATCCGCAGTGCTTACAAAGAAGGCTGCACAACTCAAGCTCTCGACAAACATCTGTGGAATGAGACTAGCAAGAGAAGCTGGAAGCAGATGTCAGTAGGTGCAGAGTCTGGACTTTATTCAGATAAGTCAGAACTGGACATAAATTGCCAGAGCTGTGTGTTGCTAGGGAATTCATCTGGTATGAAGGAGGCAGACGGTAGCCAGGCACAAGGGGCAGGAAGAGCAGCTTAGTAGCACATCCAAGCACTAGGTAATGTTTATTTGATTGAGTGAACGATCTGAGTCTCTGAGACTTCTCTCCAGATGATACTTCACAGCAAAAGAATGACAAATGGTTTGTGACTCTTCCTTTCCTTTATCTCTCTGAACAGGCTGTTCTCCCAGACTTTCAACTTTTGCCAGATACTGATTTGTAACCACACATGAATAGTGTCTTACACATGAATCTGTAACAGCTATCTTCCCCCTAGGTAGCAGCTTTGAAAAGAAGACAATAGCAATGGCTGCTCCATCAGATAATGAAAGCAGAGTGATTCTGAAAGTTCTAGGGCAGAGCCTGGATCTTGCAGGCTGCCCCACTCCAGGGATCCTGAGTCTGAGCCAGAGCAGGCCAATTTCATATCCTGCCACCAGACTTATTTATACCCCAGAATATTCTAGTCCAGAATGAACTATGCCCATTTAGCCTTTTATTGGTTTGTTGTTTTACATACGTCCATATTTGATAAAGGTGGGATCACATTATATGTAGTACTTGGGACTTGTTATTTTTCTCTTAACCTTAGGTTTTAACTTACTTAAGTTGAAATATTTAACACTAGTTCATTAATTTTCATCACTATATGGTTTTTCCGTTGAGTGTATATACTACCAATTATTTAGCTATCATCTTGCTGAGGAACATTTAAGATAATTATAATTATTTTGGGTTTTACATGCAATTTTACTTTGGACATTTTTCCAAATAATTCCTGTGCAAATATAATCTAGGATATATATATACACAGTTACGGTTGCATATATCTCAGATGTGCAACCCTCATTGTCGTCTACGGGGTACACACTTGATACTGTATGTGTGTGTCTGTGTATGTCTATATCCTAGAGAAATCATATCTATTTTATACATAAATTATACATGTAGGGTATATCCATACACAAAAACAAATATATATACAGACTCATCCTTCCACAAGGGATTAGTTCCAGTACTCCATGTGAATACCAAAATTCAGGGATGCTCAAGTCCCTGATGTAAAATAGCATAGTATTTGTGTAAATCTATATGCACTCTCCTGTATACTTTAAAGCACCTCTAGATTACTTATAATATCTGACACAATGTAATGTTATATAAATAGTTGTTACACTGTATTTTTATATTATTTTTATTGTATTTTTAAAAATACTTTTATCCATAGTTGGTTGAATCTATGAATGCAAAATACACAGAGGGCCAATTTTACACACATACATACATATATATATATATATTTACATAAATATATATAATTGCTTGTTCAAAGAAATATAATTATTTCTATTCAACTTTACAAAATAGTTCCAACTTGCAATCTAAATGATTTTACCAATTCACACTCCTCCTATCAGTCTATAAGCATTCTAATTTTCAACATCTTTGCCAGCTGCTCAGAATTTTGCAAATACTCTAAGTACAGAATGATACTTCACTGATATTTTAATTTACATAACCCTGGGAGTTGGAGAGGTGAGCAGTTTTTCATATCTTCATTGACCATTTGTGTGTCCTCCTTTCTAAATGGCATTTTCATATGTCATCCTCCTTTGTTAACTTATCTTTTTCACATGATTTGTGAATTCTTTTTATAATTCTTTGCCAGTTTTATTCATTATAATTACCCTATGTCTGTGATTTGTATTTGTACAAACCTTTTTTTTAATCTTTAAAAAGATTAAACATTATATTTTATGGTTTGTAATTTTTCTGTCTGGTATAAAAAAGTCTTTCTCCGTCCTAATATCATAAATGGAGTCTATTATACCATCTATTTAAAGTGTTAAATTATGGTTTATACTCATAGAACTTCAATTCATCTGGAATTTAATTTTTATTTGCCTTTTTCTGCCTCTTCTCAGGAGCTCCATTCTCAAGTACTTGCATCTGCTACTGCCCTAATCTAAACCCTGATTTCTTTCTAGTTCCATTGTGGGAACTTCCCTGACTGCTCCTGCCCTTGCTGACTTTCTCCTTCCTAGATAGCTAAAGCATCAGCCATTGTATTTGTACTGAATTATTGCTTAACCAAAGGCTGTACACCAATAGACTGCCAGTGCCAAGAAGGTAACCCAAATGGGTGCAATGGAGCTGAATTACAACAATAAAAAGTATACAAAGTGTGGAATATGGGCCCTGAGTTGCAAACCATCTGAAATTCTATACATATAAATATCCTTAGGAATCTGTATTTTTATCTAAAAACTTGATTTGTATATGAAAAAAGTACTTCTACTAGTTTTTAAAGCAATAATAGGCCAGAAAAAAATGTATTTACATTCTTCATCTCTTTGGCCTTCAGTCTGTTCCCTTTGATTTACCTTTGTTTAGTTATCCCATTATTTCTAATCACTACTTGTCTCCTAAATAAAAACTTATGCCATTTGAATAAAGAGACTCTCATTACTATCTATCACAGATCCTATCTCAGGGAAAAATCACAACATTAATTATATATATGTTATATTCGGGACATATTATATATATATATATGTTTTATATATATTATATATATAATAGATCTTAGACACTACTGCCATATATATAATTATATGTAATATATATATTTATATATATTTATGTTACATATAATTTTACATATACATATACATATTTTTATATATATAAATATATATTATATATAATTATTTATATAATTATATATAATAATATTATTATATATAATTATTTATATAATTATATATAAATATTATTATATATAATTATTATGTATAATCTATTTTATATATATAATATTTTGTAAAAATATTTTTTACAAATAGGATGTTACTGTTTTAAAAGTACGTGATTCTATTTTATAGCTGAGACCTGAAAAACTGACCTTGTTTTCTGAAGGGTCTTTGTAATAGTAGCACAGAGTAATTTAGGAGCATCTGGACTAGGTAGAAGTTTCTTAATCTCTGCCTTTGTTACACAGAAACTCTCAGGCACATATACATGGTTCAAAGATAGTTTCACTGACACAGTCATGCAAACATGCTTGGACATCTATGTATATAGTGCCAGAAATAACTTCAGAAACACAGTCCTATTCCAAGGTATTCTCTAGCATAGGCACAGAAAATAAATACATTCACAACATAGGCACATAGACATACACACTCATGCATATACATATATATAGACACAGGTATAGATATAAGCATACAGAGATATACGACACGTAAAAAGACAGACATAGAAACAGATGAACATAATGAGGCTTAGTTGTGTAGACATAGCCCTAAGCACACAGATACACCCACAATAAAGACATTCAAGGGCTAACACATACAGAAATATCCACACCAAGACATAGCAGTTATACATATCTCAGATATTAACTCCCCCAAGACATAGAGGCACTAGATACCAAGCCATAAACTGACATGAATAGATGCACATATACTCAAAAACTGACCTTAGAAATTTTTAGCTTTTTGTTGTGTGCAGGGTATTGAAATGTTATTGAAAATTATTTGCTGCCTCTCTCTGGGTATGACTTGGCCCAGCTCAGTGCAGCCTCTGTGATCTCTCACTGAGATGGGTATTGAGGAAAGCAAGATGGCAACGGTAGCCTCAAGGCAGGAAACCACTCAACATTTTAATGAGAAAGGCAACTTTACTGAAAATTTCCCACTCTCTGACCTGGGATAGGGTGCTGACAGACATTTGAATAGCACAGCAAAGGAGTCTTAAAATGATAATTAAAAAATAATATTTCAATGACATCATACATTTATCAAGTGCATTCCTACTGTCAATCTCATTGTATTATACCTTCATCTATAGAGAGCTTTACAGGTTTGATTTTAATCTCATTTAATCATGTGAACAACTCAATTAAATTGGTAGATTTCTTACCCCCATTTTACAATGGGATTGGAATTGACATTCTGATTATTCTTACTTTACAGAAGAAAAAACAGGTTTAAAAGACAATTAAGTACCCCATTCAAGGGTACCCCAGGACAAACCAAATTCTTAGTTCAGGGTCAACTTCACTGTGACAATGAGTTGTATGGGAACTTGGCCAGGTGTAAAAATGAGTGATTTAACTTACATATGAAGTACCCAGCTCTGGAAATTAAACAGTAATATGCATGCCTCAAATAAACTTAGAACCAAGTGTGCATTCTCTAGAATACAGTGAGGGAGTTAATATCTGAGATATGTATAACTGCTCTCCATAGCACTCAGGCTGATGTCATTTTAATAGATCTTAGACACTACTGCCTTCTCATCTGTTGGGTGTTGAGAAGATCTGGATTTTGGGAGGAGGTGTCTGTTCATTTGCCATTTTCTCTGAATATGGGTCTGGATAAAAATAAAACTGGATGGAAAGGCATTTGGTCACATTGACATGTGGAATTATCTTTTAATCCTTTCCTCTATATTGGACTGTATAGAGAGCTGTGTGCTCAAAGGTGTGAGTTATAAGGATCTCCTGTCAATCAACATGAAACTGGATTTACTGAGCAGTTATCTTGTGATTTTTATATAAAATTTTTCTTATAAAAATTTAATTATTACATCTTTTCTGAGATGAGGCCCAGACATCAGTAACTTTGAAAAGCCCTCCTGTTGATTATAATATAAAGCCAGGCTTGGGAATTAGTATACTGGTGAAAATGCTGAAACTCTTCATAGAAAGCTTCAATGTGCTTTGATTATATCTGACTTTGCTTATATCACAGTGGGGAAAGAAAGAGTATTCAAATAACTTATCTATGTAGAAAACATCTCCCCCCATCACTTTCCTGATGAGGAAGTAAGTGCCCTATCAGACTGGAGCCTGCGAGATAATAGCCCCAGATTAACCAACAGAAACCACTGAGGAGAAACTTTTTCCTCAGCCCACCTCTCTTTCGGCCAGCACTTGTTTGCTCTTATGTATACCTCAGTATAACTAAGAAGAAAAATTGATTTCTTAATTTACATATAAACTCTCCATAGCCACTGTGGGCCTTTGGCAAACAAAAAGAGGATTAGTGTAATAAAACAAGTACTACATAAAAATTTAAATGCATGTTTTGAGATGTCCTTTACATAGCAATGAAAATAGGAAGGAAAATAAATGCATCAGAATTGATAGACCTGAAGAATGAGAATCGAAGGATAGGAGAGACACAGTGATATGGTTTTGCTGTGTTCTACCCAAACCTCATCTTGAATTGTAGTTCCCATAATCCCCCTGTTGAGGTAGAGATCCAGTGGGAGATAATTGAATCATGGGGGTGGTTAACCCCATGTTGGTGTTCTCATGATAGTGAGTGAGTTCTCACGAGATCTGATGGTTCTATAAGGGCCTTTTTCACCCACTTCACTCTGCACTTCTTAATGTCGCCTTGTGAAGAAGGATGTGTTTGCTCCCCCTTCTGTCATAATTTAAGTTTCCTGAGGCCTCCCCAGCCATGATGAACTGTGAGTCAATTAAACCTCTTTCCTTTATAAATTACCCAGTCAGGCAGTTCTTTATTAGCAGTGTCAGAACAGACTAATACAGAAAGGTTGCAATAATTGGGAAGAAAAAACATAAAGCTGCAGGTATTTAACCTTGGGAGACAGGTCTCTTTTTTAATCCTACAAGACACCTTTGCATAAGCTAAAGGCCCCTCAAACCTTCAAAATCCAGCCCCATTTGCCTCCTCAGCAGACACCTTTTTTTTCCAGTAAATATGCTAGAAGCTCAGATGGAGAGGGGCAGCCTGCCTAGTATCCACCTAGCCCTATCCTCTCCTCAAACTCTCATACTTGGGGACCTCTCTGTGGGACTCATAATTTGGACTCTGTCACCCATGAACATAAAATCAGGTGAATAGACAGACTCTTGATTAAGGAAGAAGAAAGCCAGGTTTAAAAACACTCCTCAGTTTCATTACTGTATTTATCTGTAAGAAACATAGTAAGATGCTGAATAAACATTTCCGGAATAAAGAAATGCATTATGTACTGTTTAACAACCTGTCAGAACTGAATGGGCCACTCAAAGAAACTCTCAACTAAAGTCAACAAGAGAGTCAAAAGGGAGCTCAATAACATCAGCATAGTTATCACCAAAGAGATATACCTTGGGAAAAAAATATCCTTGAAAAAGCAAAAGGAAGACATTATTTTTATGATTTTCTTAATTGATACCCTTAACTACCTAATGGACAGAAATATCCATCAGATCAATTTCATTGATGAGAAAAACAAAGTCCAAGAAGTTAAATAGAATTAAGGTCCAGTGATATGTAAGTAGCAAAGCCTGAATTCCAGTTCAAATCACACGACTCTAGAGGCCCATGTGCTTAACAGATACACCACCCATTCTCCATCCACCATTGACAAGATAATAGAGCAACTGAAAAAGTATAGATGAGTCCCATGTCATGTTTTCTCTTATGATGTGCCTCCATGTTACATCATACCCTAAGCTACTGGGGTATAACAGGATGCTTTTTGATCCCCAAAAAGTTGAGGAATGCTTTATTCAGGAAGGTGTGCAGTTGTCTTACTTTGGAGAATTTTCAAAGAAGAAAGATGGGTCAGGCACAGTGGCTCATGCCTGTAATCCCAGCACTTTGGGAGGCTGAGGCGGGTGGATCATTTGAGGTCAAGAATTCAAGACCAGCCTGGCCAACATGACAAAACCCCATCTCCACTAAAAATACAAAAATTAGCCGGGCATGGTGGCATGCACCTGTAATTCCATTTACTCAGGAGACTGAGGCAGGAAAATAGCTTGAACCCAGGAGGTGGAGGTTGCAGTGAGCCAAGATCCTACCACTGCACTCCAGCCTGGGTGACAGAGCAAGACTTTGACTCAAATAAATAAATAAATAAAGTTAAGTTGGCAAAGCCCCCTGGAGGTGGTGCAGTCCAGACCTCTCATATAATTTTGAGGAAACCAGTTTGCAGTGATATAAAGTTATTTATCTCTGGTAACAGAGCTTATCAATGATGGAATCAAAACTAAAGAGTATTCTCCTTTATCTTTTACTCTTTTTAATATATCATGCTGCTTTACTTCCATCTAGAATGTCCTGACAAACACAGACTTATTAACTTTGTGTCTTAATAAATACAGACTTGTTGACCCCATTAACCTTTTCCTGGACTATTCAGCCCTGATACATTCTGCTTCCCTGATCCACATTAAATTTATCAATACAATATCAAAATAATTTTCTCCCTCTCTGAGAAATAATAAGGATTCTTCTTTCCCTTTTCTCTGGATGCCATAACTTTGTAACATGTGGCAAATGCTTCTAAGTATTATTGTGCAAGCAAATCCAGCCATTAAAACATAAACTGAAATTACTCTACAACATTACTTTGGCTGCTAACTTGGAACGATTCCTGTGGGGTCTGTGTGTGTGTGTGTGTGTGTGTGTGTGTGTGTGTCTGTGTGTGTGTGTGTGTGTGTGTAAGGAGGCAGGGTGAATCAATGGCAGGTGCCCACATTTTTTATTACGTCAAATCTCTTTATAAGAGTTGGGAAGAAAATGAAGCAAAAAAGATTAATAAATAAGATTATAAATAAAAAAATTAGGAATATATTTAACCAAAGAAGTAAAAGATCTCTCCAAGGCAAACTATAAAACATTCATGAAAGAAATTGAAGAGGACATAAACACAAACACAAATAGAAAGATATCTCATGCTCATGGATTGGAAGATTAATTTTGTTAAAGTGTCTATATCACCCAAAGTGATCTATAGATTCAGTGTGATCTTTATCAAAGTACTAATGTGATTCTCCACAAAAATTGAAAAAAAATTACAAAATTTGTATGGAACCACAAAAGACGTCAAATAACCAAAGCAACCCTGAGCAGAAAGAACCCAAATTTGTAGAAGTTCATGCAATATTTGGTCATTTAAGTAAGGTCATCATTGGAAGTTAGTAACAGTAACAATCTGGTAAGTTGATTGTGCTCATAGGCATTCAGCTTTTTATCTGACCTGCAGTCTTTCTTCTTACTCCACATACACCGTCCCCTCACCACCACCGCCATGTGTATTTCTCCTTGTGACACTGTGAAACCAAAATTATAGACTGAGACTTAATGTTGAAAAACAATTAGCCTTTAGAAGTAACATTTCAGGATTCCAGACATGCAGATGAAGGAAAGCAACTGCCAGGCTTTACTTTGGCAGTGATTTAAAGGGTGCTTAGAAGTGAGTAATTGTTTACACCGCCTGAAGAAATCAAATTGACAATATTTGAATACTTTGACTCCCTACACCCAGAACTGGACATTTATTCTAAATAAATGAATCAAGTGTTGATGTCTGCTATTGTTTAGCCATTTTCTATGATTTTTTAGAAATGAAAAATTTATAAATAACCAAAAATAAACGCATGATGAATTTTCTGGTAAGGATATTTTATTAGAAAGATTTTAACTGCCAAGACATTTGAAAGTCACTAGAATAGCCTAAAAAGTAAATAATTCAAATTCTAAATTTGTTGGTGATTTGAGATTGTTATTCATCTGTGACAAACTTACCCTGACCTTTAAAAATTTTCTGTTGTTTCACGTGGAACTTTTTAAAGTTAAAACAAAGTTTCTCTCATTAAATATAAGCAAAGGTATCCAAATGCCAAATTGGATTACAGACTATTAAAAAAGAATATTGAAATAAACTGTAATGTAATTATTCAATATTAACACATTCCATATGTAGATTTTTTCTTTTTTAAAAAAATCAATAAACCAATATTTTATATTTTACTTTTTTTACTGCCACGATTTCATATGTGAAGTTCAATTTTTAAAAAATCACTCTCTGCATTTATTTTTGGTCATTATTCTTATTGCTCATTGCACTTATTAAAATAATTTTTTCACATAAAAGAAGGGGCTGTTAAAAAACCTGATCCACTCTGTTGTCAAAAACCTTAGTTGCATCACTGAATTAAGTAGTTAGAGGACCAGATGAAATTCACCCATGGTCCTACTTCTATTCTTCCAGCTTCTCAAACCCTGAGAGCATGTATGGTCATTCCAAGTTAATGTATAGTGAATGAAAAATGCTATCTTGTGCCACGTTGAGGATTTGGTATATGAGTGTTAGCTAATTTTAATACAAGATGATAAGGGATGCTTTAAGCCACCATGCACAAAATGTCCATAAGTTAAGAAAATCTAAGTAGTCTGCAGTTGCTTATCAGCATGTCTCAGTTTTGTACTTTCTTACTCCCGAGATATATGTAATTATGTAGTTATTTCTTTAAAACCTGGGGAAACTACAACCCAGTTCCTGAAAGCCTTCTTGCCAGCAAGTTACCCAGCTGTTGGGGAAGTGAGTATATCAGCAAAGATAAAAGGGCAAGCCTCAATCAACTCAGTGGATATGACCCTCAACGTCTCTGGGCAAGCTTACTATTTGCATCAAAATGCATAAGGGATACCTACAATCTGACCCGGCAGTAACTACAATTGGAAAGTGAATATTGTCTTTAGTTAATTAGCTGTACATGTGTAATTTGTAATTAGCTGTACATGTGTAATTTGTAATCACATTTTTTGACCATTTCTTTGTAGAAGGTAGAACAAAGACCTACATCAAGCACCTTGAGGAATGTGGAGGAAACTCTTAGAAAACCTCCTGTTTGACCAATCTATGAAAAGGGAAAAAAGCCAAAGCAAACCAAACTCAACACTTTTGAAATATTCAAAGACAAGTCTTTGTTTCTTTGGAATACTTTCAATCTGAGGAGCAGAAATTACAGATACAAATAAGAGAGAAGCAGCAACAATTAATAATAAAAAATTAAAGTAGATATCAGTCAAGGTGTTTTCAGCTGCAGGTAAAAGGTAAGCTGATGGACAACTGCTTAAACCTAAGGACATTGACCATTTATGCAGTAGGTCATCGGGGGGAAAGTGGTACCAAATTCGGTTAGTACCTCAACAATATAATCAGAGCCCATAATCTTTTACCATTCTATTTGGCTTTTTCCTACCATCTTTAAATGTCACTTCTCCCAGTGTCAAAGATATTCAAAGCAAGAAGGGGAAAGAGATGGAATGTAAGAACTCTCCTTACACACCTGACTTCTAACAGTAATCACAATGTTTCCCAGAATCCACCTAACAGATATCTCATTTCTCTTTGTCCAGAATTGGGTCACTTGGAGAACCCCAACTTTGCAAAAGAAGCTGGGAAATTAAATATTGGCAAAAGGTAACAGAATTATAACCTCATTCCTTAGAAAATGCAAGTCTGTTAGCAAAGAAGTTGTGGAAAGAAGCAAGGAATGACGGTAGTTGACTATCCTTGATTTATTTGAAAACTATCTCTGATCCACGGAGATGAAAGTTGATGTCATCCTCAAACATTGATGACTGGTTCCTCATCTAACTTATAATTTGAATATAAAACAAGAAAAAAGATACCTAAACAAGCTATTTTCAGTGGATTTTATAGAACAATCAGCCTGCAAGATGGCCCAGAAAAAAAAATAAATGTAGTGATTTTTAATTCACATTATCATATTAAATGCTCTGGTAATCTTGCAGTAAATCTATTAAAACAATAACAATTCTTAAAACAGTGCTTCTCAAATGCATTTATTTTATTTATAATTTATTTAAATAATCTGTTGTTTTATGTGACATCCATGGAATTCATTCTAGAGTACATTTCTCTTTTCATTGTTATCTCAGACTGTACACATATTTTTGCTTGGGAATTTGGTATTTTCTGAGGAAAGACCATCTAATGTTATTGATACCCCAATTAACAGTTCACAGTGATGTCTATCAAAAGTGTTTGAGATATTTTATTTTCTTTCTCTCTGAGCAGGCAAAGTACAAACCTAGAATGAGTAAACAATCATAACTCTTATTTAACAAAGATCTGACAGAAGCATGAGTTTAACCAGGCAAAGGCAAAGCTGAGTACAAAGTTACTGGAAACTAGAATTATCACGTGGTACAAGTAAATACTGTTTGACAGAAAATAATCACTATTTGCTGATAGAGGAATGACAAAAACTGGGGACAGTCAACTCACTTGTTAATTTCAGTGAATGGCTTCATGTGGCATTTCTCTTTCTTCAAATACCTATTCTGAAAATGGTTTTCAAGAAAATAAAGCAAAAAGTCATGGAAATAGACAAGTTTTAAAATTACAACCTTTCCTACCTCCACATACCATTTTCACCTTCCTCGATTCTCACTATTCACTATACTAGAGTTGTCAATTCATAGGTAAGTTTGAATTTAAAAACCATGGATGGGCTCTCATGCGTTCCTAAGGCTCATTAATATTATTTCCAACAGCCGTGGCTTCCAGGCTGATGGACAACACAAAATAAGTTCTCACTTGAATAGACTAACTCCATTTTCCAAAGGAAATTTCTCACTACTATCATTGGCTGGCTCAGGAGACAGTAAGATCAGATTTTATGCATACCATAAGATCACTCCAGAATCTTTCAACACAACCCTCGTGCAGAATCCCTTGCACAAGGCAATGTCTCTCTGGGGGACAGAGTTTTAGTTATTTCCCCATACACTTCCAATGTGATACAGACTCAGAGGCCACAACTCTTCATTATGACTTAAATTTTTCTTCCTGCTAATATAAATCCACTTTCTTTAGCTGTCAAAATGTCTATGTTCCAGGACCTAGCAGCGTTTTACTGCATTCATTATAGCAAATAGGCTAGATAGGAATTTTAGGGCTTGGACCTTATAAATATATACCCACATGTCTGGTTCCTGCAGAGACTTCTAATTCCAAAAGATTCATCATAAATGCTTTTCTCTCCTTTATCTTCCATGGTTGTGTTCCTCATCATGGTACTGTCAGGGTTCTCGAGGTACAAAACCAATAGGATATATGTATATATGAAAGGGAGTTTATTAGGGAGAGTTGGCTCACATGATCACAAGGTAAAGTCCCACCATGGGCCATCTGCAAGCTGAGGAAGAAAAAAGCCAGTAGTGGCTCAGTCCGAGTCCAAAAGCCTCAAAAGCAGGAAAGCTGACAGTGCAGCCTTCAGTCTGCAGCCAAAGGCCCAAGAACCCTCGCAAACCACTGAGGTAAGTCCAAGAGTCCCAAGGCCAAAGAACTTCAAGTCTGATATCCAAGGGTAAGAGAAAGGGGAGGAAGCATCCAGCATGGGATAAAGATGAAAGCCAGAAGACTCAGCAAGCCAGCTTATCCCACCTCCTTTGGCCTGCTTTGTTCCAGCCGCACTGGCAGGTGATTGGATGATACCCACCCACACTGAGGGTGGGTCTTCCTCTCCCAGTCCACTGACTCAAATGTCAAGCTCCTCTGGCAGCACCCTCACAGACACACCCAGAAACAATACTTTACCAGCTATCTAAGCATTCTTCATTCCAATCAAGTTGACACCTAATATTAAATATCACACATCCACCCCCTGTCAACTTGGCACCCATACACATCTCCTGAAATCAGTCTCCAAATAAAGACAACAATATGGTCATAATTACATCTATCATAAGGCAGCTGTCCTTCATATAACCAGAAGCACACTAATCCTTAACCTAAATGTTATTACATAAAGTTAATGACATTTAAATGCTGATATGAAGTCAATAAATCCTATGTTACATGATAAAGGAAAAAGAAAAGCAATAAAATGAAGGTATTTTCTTAGTGCAGGTGTATACATGCACAAACATATTCTTAACAAAATAAGGAGGAATTACTCATGACAATTACAATCTTCATTTCTACAACTGGTCAGTGGTTGTAGCTGTTATTGATGACTACCTACTTCTACTACCCATTCTGTATTCCCTTTGCCTTCAGCAAGCACCTCAGCACATCGTGACTTTTTTCCTGGTGGAGTGACCCAAGCTCATTACTTAAGGGACTGAGTCATTTGTAGCCCTGTCTAGATTGGGCTGTTATAATTTCCCATTGACCTTAATCACAGGGCATGTTAATACTACAAGACACCCTAATGGATCTCCTGTATTCCACACATACTCTTCTTTACCTCTATTGTGGAGTAGTAGATTGATTTCCTCTTAGCCTGTTGCCTTAGAGGTAGGAGGAGCCCAAAGTGGCCAAGTGGCAATCTTAACTTCCAGTTTAATGGAATCTTTGTTGTGTCTCCCGGTGGCAGCATTCCTCCTTCTGGAGCTAAGACCTCTAGACCAGCAGAACTTAACATTGTGGGAACAGGAAGCAAAAATTTTGTTAGTCGGTCATTAGGGGTGCTGGTGAATGGTGCCACTTTCACTTCCACCCCTTGATTCTTGGACCTATGAATCCTGGCTATGGGAGAAACAGTACCATATATTGGATACTGGTTCAGAGTGTACAGGACCTTCTGGAGAACTTTGCATCAGCTCTGCAAAGTATTGTCACCTAGTTGGCATTGTAATTGTGACTTCAAAAGGCCATTCCACCATTCTATCAAGCCAGCTGCTTCAGGATGATGGGGAACACGGTAAGATCAGTCAGTTCCATGAGCATAAGACCACTGGCATACTTCTCTAGTTGTGAAATGAGAGCCTTGGTTAGAGGCAATGTTGTGAGGAATACCATGATGGCAGATAAGGCATTCTGTGAGACCATGGATGGTAGCCTTGGCAGAAGCATTGTGTGCAGGATAGGCAAACCCATATCTGGAGTAAGTATCTACACAAGTGAGGACAAACTGCTGCCTTTTCCATGATGGAACAGGTCCAATGTAATCAACCTGTAATCGAGAAGCTGGCTGATCACCCTGAGGAATGGTGCCACAACGGTGCCACTGTCCTTCAGCGATGTCCCAGAAAGGGGTTATAGTTGGCAGCTGTCCACTTTCTGGTGGTTCCTGCATATTTTGCACAACCATCTGTACACCAGGCCCTAGTCTCCTCTTCCTTTATCAACTGATAATAGGGAACTTCCCAGGAGGCCATCAGTGCAGGCTCCAGGAGGGAAGGCAGGGTGGCAGGAGTGGGAACCATGTGCATTTGAGCCACTTCCTCATGTAAGTTACTTGTGCCCTTAGAACCTGCTCAAGCCCAATCATGTATATACCACTTCCATTTGAGGATGGAATGCTGCTGTGCACGCCCAACTTTATGGCTAGATTGGTCATATAGGCAGTTCAGATCTCATGGTAACTTGGTGAACCATAGTCAACCACTCAGTTTCTACCGAGGCCCAGTAACAGGCCAAGAGCTGTCTCTCAAAAGGGGAGTAGTTATCTGCAGAAGATGGTAGGGCCTTGTTCCAGAATCCTAGAGGCCTCTGCTGTGATTCACCTATGGGGGCCTGCCAAAGACTCCAAACAGCATCCCTATCTGCCACTGACACCTCAAGTATCATTGGATCTGCTGGGTCATATGGCCCACGTGGTAGAGCAGCTTGCACAGCAGCCTGGACCTGTTGCAGAACCTTCTCCTGTTTTGGACCCCACTCAAAACTTGCAGCCTTTCAAGTCACTTGATAAATAGGCTGAAGTAACACACCCAAATGAGAAATGTGTTGTCTACAAAATCCAAATAGCCCACTAGGCATTGTGCCTCTTTCTTGGTTGTAGGCAGGGCCAAATGCAACAAATTATTCTTCATCTTAGAAGGAATATCTCACACTACTGGACCCCTAAAAATTTTACTGAGGTATAAGGTCCTGAATTTTAGTCGGATTTATTTTCCATCCCCTGGCAAGTAAATGTTTCACTAGTAAGTTCAGTGTGGTTGCTACTTCTCACTCACTGGGTTCAATCAGTATGTCGTCAATGTAATGGACCAGTGTGATATCTTGTGGAAGGAAAAAGTGATCAAGGTCTCTGTGAACAAGAATATGACACAAAGCTGGAGAGTTGATCTATCCCTGAGGTAGAACAGTGAATGTATATTGCTGGCTTTGTCAACGAAGGCAAATTACTTCTGTGTGCCTTATGGACAGGAATTTTTAAAAAGGCATTTGTCAAATCAATGGTTGCATACCAGGTACCAGGAGATGTGTCAATTTGCTCAAGCAATGAAACCACATCTGGTACAGCAGCTGCAATTAGAGTTGCCGCTTAGTTAAGCTTACCATAATCCACTGTCATTCTCCAAGAACCATCTATCTTCTGCACAGGCCAAATAGGAGAGTTGAACAAGGATGTGGTAGGAATTATCACCCCTGAGTTTTTCAAGTCCTTAATGGTGGCACTAATCTCTGCAATCCCTTTAGGAACATGATGTTGGTTTTTATTGGCTATTTTTCTAGGTAAGCCAGCTCTAATGGCTTCCATTTGGCTTTTCCCACTATAATAGCTCTCACTCTACCGGTCAGGGAGCCAATATGGGGATTCTGCCAGCTTCTAAAATATGTCTATTCCAATTATGCATTCTGGCCCTGGGGAAATGACCACAAAATGAGCCTGGGGAACCACTGGACCACTGTAAGTTCGACCTGAGCTAAAACTTCATTAATTACCTGACCTCCTTAAGCCCTTACTTGTAACTAGGGGGCCACAATGACATTTTGGGTCTCCTGGGATCAATGTCAACTTAGAACCAGTGTCCAATAGTCCCTGAAAGGTTAATCATTCCCCTTTCCCCAGTGAGCTGTTACCCTGGTAAAAGGCCAGAGGTCTCCTTGAAGGAAGGATGAAAGAAAGATTAATAGTATAAATTATTGGTAGTACAGTGGGGTCCTTCCTCAAGGGGATGCAGCCTCCCCTTCATTCAAGGGGTTCTGGGTCCGTAAACTGGCTCAAGTCTGAAAATTGATTGAGGGGCCATGATTCTCTGTTTTTATAATTCAAAGTAGTCTTTTGTCTACTTTACCAGGAAGTTTTCTGCTTGTACACATTAAGTAAGAATGTAGTAGGATTCTTACCTACTTCACTTCGAGGAACACCATGATTAATTGGCCAATGCCAGAGCTCTACACATGTCAGACTATTCTGATTTTACTGCTTTGCCTCTGCTGGCCATTATGGTAACTAAGCCCACCTTGCCTTTGACCGTTGAGTGTCACCACTTGGCTCCTGCCACCCCAGGATCCAATTATTCCCATTGCATTTAAGTTTTCCAATTGAGTAACTGCAGTTTCCACTGTAAGATTAGGCATACAGAGAAGACCAATCACAAAGCTCTTCATGGTTGCAGGCTCTCTCCTCACAAATCTACTTTGCAAGGTATTGGAGAAGTCTATGTCTTCTGGACCCTCTCAGCTGGGGTGAGTACGTCTAAAGTGACAAATCCATTCTAGAATTCCAATCTCCCTAAGCCTTTGAATCCCTTCCTCTACATTAAACCACAGGAGATCAGGCATTCTGGCTCACTCACAGTGGGCCATCTTTTGATCCATGTTTCACCTAGCCAAGCAAATAAACTGTCAGAATCTTTTTTAACTCCCCAAGCTACAACATTAAATACAAAATCTATGCTTAGTGGGCCCATATCAATAAATTCAGCCAGACCTAACTTTATGTTTCTTCCGCTATTATCCCACATGCTTATTATCAATTCCCATACCTGTTGTCTGGATTTCATACACTCTAGAAGAAATCACTCACTGTTCTGAATTTTCACAGGCTTTTGTATTTTTTCTCTTATGGAATTTACAATTTACCTCACTGTGGAGTTATTGATGCACATCTTATCTCTAAAGGACCATACCCTCTTTGCAAATGCCTTGGTAATTGTTTATCTCCTTAGCCTCCCCCTTGTCTAGAGTAGAACTGGACACATAGAACTAATGTATCTATTCTGGCTCAATTAGAATCTTTAAAGGCAATAACTTAGCAGTCAATACACTGGTGATTTGTCATCATCTAAATAACTTTTAACCATAGAAAATAACATACTTGAGTATTTAAAATTCAAACCTTACTCTCAGGCTGAGGTCTGAGTTCTTGCTTAAGCACTTACAGTGACATCTTGGTTTAGGAATCTAACCATGCCATGTCGCAGTTTCTTTTTTTGTAAAAATGAGAGTACAAATAAGACATGATAAATTGGGGCTTTTTTGTAAGAATTAAATGAGATGATGCCTTCAAAGCTTCGCTTATACCTTTCAATACCCATTTAAAATTGGCTATTCCTCTTTCAGTTAAAAACGAAAGACCAAAAACATAAGTTCTACCTCTTCTTCTCTCACTTCCTCCTCTGCTTCCCCTGCCACCCTCTCTCACTCTCGCTCTCGCTTACTCTCTCTCTCTCTCTCTCTCTCTCTCTCTCTCTCCCTCTCTCACTCCTCACAGAAGTATCTGTAGTTGTCAAGAAAAACAGATTGACAGGCTAGGTTATGCTGCAATAACAAACAACTCTCAAACCCGGGTGGCTTAAAATACTTACTTCCTGCTCTTACTTCACGCCCATCAGCCACAGCTCTTCTCACTGGTGTTCTCAATGTCAGAATAAACACCCTCTAGGTATCTCCTAAGGTCTAGCAGAGAATGAGCAGCATTAGCTTCAATTTGAGAGGGGAAAGAAAGGTCCGCCAGGGCCTTGTCTATCCTCTCTAGATAAGAAACTTTGATTAAGAGGAGAATGTTACTTCCCTGGCTCTTGTTCTTGACCAATGCCCAGAACATTCTGGTCCTGCCTTCAATGTGTAATGTTGGTGGATTGTGAGAAAATTTATTTCTTCCTTTCAAAGACTCCCCCAGTCCCTAGGGAGGATTCTCTGCCTAGACCGAAAGAAGACAGAGCACCAGGTTCACACAAACAACAAACCAGCCTGCCAGCCCACAGCCAACTATGCCATTCTTAAACTCATTATTCTGGGAGACTCTGGGGTCAGCCATGTTGGCTTCAAAACTTGATATGGTTATTTACTAGCTATAACACTTATGTACTGAATGAATCTCTGTCTCAGTTTTCTCATCCCTAAAACATAGAAGATAATGGCACCAACTCTGGAGATTGTTTCTTGTGACAATTAAAAGAGAAAATTCACAGAATTTCACCCCTATATCCAGAGACCCAAAGTGCACTCTTAGTTGTTTATTTATTAACTATGTGAACTCTAGTAAACTCCTTTCTCTCAGAGCCTCATCGGTAAGATAGAAATAACAGTAGTACATCACAGAGTTCTTGAAAGGAAGAGACAAGATCTAGTTATAGATCTTGCCCAGCACAATATAAGTGTTCAGCAAGTATCTGTGTTATAATGTTTCCTGTGAAGTCTAGCACTAAGGAGAGATCACTATACTAGAGATCAAGAGACCCAAGTTCTAATTCCCATGCTGACTCCTGACTTAGGCAGGCCACCTTTACTTTTTGAGCCTATTTTTGCATCTTCAAAATACGGCTTGAGGCCAGGCGCCGCGGCTCACACCTGTAATCCCAGCACTTTGGGAGGCCGTGGCGGGTGGATCACCTGAGGTCAGGAGTTGGAGATCAGCCTGGCCAACATGGCAAAACCCTGTCTCTATTAATAACACAAAAATTAGCACGGCTTGACGGTGTGTGCCTATAATCCCGGCTACTCAGGACGCTGAGGCAGGAGAATTGCTTGAACCCAGGAGGTGGAGGTTGCAGTGAGCCAAGATTGCACCATTGCACTCCAGCCTGGGTGACAAGAGCAAAAGTCTATCTCCAAAATATATATATGGTTTGAGCTGGAAGCCCTCCCAAGTCTTTTCCAGTTCTGATGTTATAAATTCCTTTTAGCAAACAATGTCAAGGTTCTGTCTGCTATTTTTGCTGCCAAACTCTCAGTGGTCCATTCCCTTGAACACTTTCCAGGATCAGGGAGTTGCCTTTGAACACTGATGTCCTGCTTGGGAAGGGCAGCACAAACTTCCTCTAAATCTCACAGTTTGTATTGCAAATATATATTTTTAAAATTGTCAACTTTTTATTTTGTTTTGACATCTTTAAAAGCCTTTCTGTCTTGGGGAAGACTGCCCCTCTCAGAGCTACCAAATCCCCAGATATCCCTACAGATAATAAATAAAAACTTGCCTATCAGTGTACCTTTCATGTACAAACCAATACTGAATTTATACCCCTAGCTACCTCTATATCTAAGTCTCACACACCAAGCCAATATTTCCCCTGCCCTATGATGTCACCTAAATTGTCCCAGGGAATACCTCTATGCCTTAGAGTTCCCTAAAATTATTCAAACTAGCCAGTCCTAAACTGGTTACCTTGCCCCACCCTGCCTTTCTCAAAGAAACCCCAATAAAAGCTCTTGCCTAACTTCTCCTCTGCCTCCTGTCATCTGCCTCCTGACCATCCTGGTTAGGGCACACAGTGACTGCCTCTCTTGGACCTGTGAGCATAATAAACTTCTTTCTTTCAAGCCTCACTCTCCTTTTTTCATGTGGCCACACTGACTTCACCATATCAACAAGTACATTCTTAAAACATGGTGCCTCCAGACACACACCGTATCCTCCACCAGGTAGACAAAACAAAACAATAAAAAATGAAAAGATACATATAAAGATTTCTGGCATCAAAGTATCATGGTGTTTAGTTCAATTGCTTCTCATACAAAATAGATGTTCAATAAATTCCTGTTAATGAGGAACAAATGATAGAAAGAAGAAAGTGACAGACTTCCAACTGCCTACAGCTTGTCTAGCTATCTCTGGGGGGCACCACCATGCTCTTTTTGGATGATTCAGAAGGGACCAGGTTCCCACGGCACTAGATGTTGCACTGTCCTCTCTCTCTTTTGTTATCCAGGGCTGGGTAAGCTACTACTGGCAAATGGGCCATATAAGGACAATGCCTACTGACAATAAATAAAACTTTCTCTGTTTCCCAACTGTAAAGTATAAAGAAATGAGGCTCAAAACTGCCAAGGTGACCAAGTTTCTCTTGTCTTCTCTGTCTTTCACCCTTTCACCTGTTTTTCTTGCTTTTGTTTTTGTTTCTTTTTTTTTTTTTTTAAAGACACAGTCACACTCTGTTGCCCAGGCTGGGGTGCAGTGATATGATCTCAGCTCACTGCAACCTCCACCTCCCAGGTTCAAGCGATTCTCCTGCCTCAGCCTCGCAAGTAGCTGGGACTACAGATGCGTGCCACCACACCCAGCTAATTTTTTGTATTTTTAGTAGAGAAGAGATTTCACCATGTTAGCCAGGATGGTCTCGATCTCCTGACCTTGTGATCTGCACACCTCGGCCTCCCAAAGTGCTGGGATTACAGGCATGAGCCACCGTGCCCACCTACTCTTTCACCTTTCAAGCTTCCAATTTGTCTTCTTTCCTCAAAATATCACCATTATGCATAGTAACTAGATTAAATCATACCATCTACTAAGAAGATCTGTGTCCTACCTGAGGACCTAGAAAATCAGATTATCAGCATGGGGTTGTACTAGGGAATTTTTCCATCTTCTACATTTCTTTCTTTCTTTCTGCTTTTTTTTTTTTTTTAGTCAGAGTTTTGCTCTTGTTGGCCAGGCTGGAGGGCAGTGGTGAGATCTCTGCTCACCGCAACCTCTGCCTCCTAGGATCAAGCGATTCTCCTGCCTCAGTCTCTTGAGTGGCTGGGATTACAGTCGCCTGCCACCACACCCGGCTAATTTTGTATTTTTAGTAGAGATGAGGCTTCTCCATGTTGGTCAGGCTGGTGTTGAATTCCCAACCTCAAGTGATCCGCCTGCCTCGGCCTCCCAAAGTGCTGGGATTACAGGTGTGAGCCACTGTGCCCAGCCTCTGTATATATTAATACCTTGCTGGTGACATTGGTTTTTCTTCACTTGCTGTTTCTGTATATAGTACTGCCCTTGCTTACTGTATCAGTGAAGATTAGTCAGAAAAGCAGAGCCAGTACAAACATTGTGAGAACTAGGGGCTTACTAAAGAAATTAGACCTTGCACATACCTGGGGAGAGCTGGATAAGTGAAGATATGGAAGATAAAACAGAGTATCAGAGAATGTCTTTGTTCACAATGGCCTGAAGCCTGGTATAAATGCACAGGTTGGTGTTTGCAGAAAAACATTAGAACTTGTGTATGCCTTACACTGACATAGAAATGCAAATAAGGGATTCTCTGAAACAACCTACAGTCATGTACTTGGTTGGCCTAGGAACCAGTGTTGATCACAGGAGCCAACACAAAGATAAGCTACAACCTAGAGCCCACTAGACACTGCTGGGTACCTGCCTTACCACTGAAGTCTTTGGATAGTTATGATGGCTGCTTCTTACCTGCCTTCCAAATCTAATGAAAGTTCTCCATTTTGGGAAATGTAGTTCCTAGCCTTGCCAGTGTGACATAACCAAATCCAGTTCCTGATTTTTGTCTCATGCCTGTATTTCTTAATTTATTTAAAGAGAGATAAACTGATTCTCCCAAGCTGTTCCCAATGCCTGGCAGAGAGATGGCACTCAGGAAATACCTGCTAGATGGCAAGTCGGGATCAACTATCTGGACATCACACTGAGGTATCAGTGGACCAATATCCTACCAGAATATAAATCAAACACCAGTCTGGGAGTTGCCTCAATCTTCTATCATCATTTAACTCCCTGATTTACAATGAAAAAGAGATGGCTACTTACAATATATTGTCTGAGATAAAAATGCTATCATTTTAAAATAGGAATGAATGTAAATAAAGACAATGCTTTCTATATAATCAAGAAAATAAAAGCAGACTTTCATTTTACATGAGTGTTTGCCAAGGCTGAAGTTGTTGTATATTTATTTGGACACGGCTTCACCTAGAAAGGCAGGAAGAAACAAAAGCACTGATAATGTGACCCAGAAACCAAGACCTTTATATCTTTCAATGTTTCTGTATTTCTAGAGATGACACAGAGTGAGAGAGGAAATAAAATAAAGGGGAAAAATTCAGCCTAGAAAGACACAGAAGTTAATGAGTAGTTATTTCATTCAACCCACAAAAAAAATGAGAACAGAAGGAAAAAGTTTTAAAGCCCCAAATGAACTGGCAGTTAGTCCAAGATCTGCCTCCCTGAGCCTCCATTATTAATTAAAAGCCCAAAGTTAGATCAAATATTTTATAATCCCTTCTAGCTCTATCTCATGCCATATGACTTTGACTCCAATATTTAATCAAATAAAAATTCAGTAGCAATGGTTTATGAGTTTTCCAAGGCCAATTTTAATTGTCCTCTAATTATAAAATCATGGGCTCAGAGTGTTCCAAAGTCATACTAAAGTCTACCGTGTAGTACTAAATTGAGGTATATGACTTTCTAAGAAGAAAGGAAGGAAGGAAAGACAAAAAAGGTGGATTAAGAAAAAGAAGTACAGGAAAGAAACAGGTAGGGAACCGGGGAAAGAAAAGGAAGGGGAAAATTGGCCATTACTAGAAGTCACCATGGAATGGATTTTTACAAAAATTATTATGCTCAATTATCCTTGCCATCTGATATAACTTGGCTCTGTGTCCCCATACAAATCTCATCTTGAATTGTAATCCCCACGTGTTGGAGGAGGGGCCCGGTGAGAGGTGACTGAATCACTGGGGCGGACTGCCCCCTTGCTGTTCTCTTAATAGTGAGTTCTCACAAGATCTGGTTGTTTAAAAGTGTGTAGTACCTTCCCTTTTGCTTTCTCTCTCTCTCTCCTGCTCTGCCATGGTAAGACAAGCTTGCTTCCCCTTCAACTTCCATCATAATTGTAATTTTTCTCAGGCTTCTCAGTCATGATTCCTGTTAGCTGGCAGAACTGTGAGTCAGTTAAACCTCTTTTGTTCATAAATTATCCAGTCTCAGGTAGTTATTTATAGCGGTGTGAGAATGGACTAGTATACCCAAGACTGTATATCTGCATGGGGAGAAGGAAATTGCAGGAAGAAACACACTGTACATACACACACACACCCCATTTTGAAAACAATACTGGTGCTGTTATGATTTTGAAAATGGGAGAAAGGATTTCATTCTAATTGGTGAGTCTGATTAGATTCAAAGAAAATATAATGTTTGCTTTGGACAAACATCAGGGACAAAGAATATATTGGATGGATTCAAAATTGATTAAAACTCATAAATATGGCAACCTTGAAAGCTATTTCTAAGGTTTGCTTCAAGATTTTTTTTTACTTGACCATGGCTGATACAACATTTAATATTATCATGTCAGAAAATTAACAGAAAAAGCTTTTTATTACATTGAGTTGCAATTTTACGTTTTTTTCTTTTTGTTTTATTTTTATTTATTTATTTTTTGAGTTGCAATCTTAAAACCAAATTAAGTGATCATCATGTTAGGGGGAAAATAATCAAGATTCAAAACAAAAAAATATTTGAAATGACAATTTAGCAATATGTACCCAAAATAAAGTACTGTAAAAATATGCATACCATATAATTCAGTGACTCAAAATTTCAGTATTTTATCCTAAGAAAATTAGGCAAGAGACAATGATATAACACTAAAATTTCTCATTATGACTTTACTTAAAATAGTAAATAATACAACCTGCACACCCAAGAGTACAAAATTAGTTTTGATGTCAAATATTTTTAAAATAAAATGATTTTTGAACCATAAAATGACTATGATATTTGACAAGTGGGGGTTACAAGAAAGCTACAATCAGCATTACAGCATAATGACATTTTCTATTTAAACTTCCTTGATTGATTAAATAGGCACAATCACAAAGGTAGCGGCTCATGATCTCATGGACTTTTACAAGTTGAACCTGTTTAATTTAGCTGTGGGAATTATCACTGTATTCAATGTGGGCAAGGTGTTCTGTTGGCTAAAATTCATAAGATTTATGCAGCAGCATGTGCAACAAGAGAAGCAGGAAACACAGCTAGAACTATAAATCAAGAGCAAAAAACAGTGGCTCATGTTTGTAATCCCAGCACTTTGGGAGGCTGAGGCAGGTAGATCATGAGGTCAAGAGATCGAGGCCATCCTGGCCAACATGGTGAAACCCCATCTCTACTAAAAATACAAAAATTAGCTGGGCATGGTGGCACGTGCCTGTAGTCCCAGCTACTCAGGAGGCTGAGGCAGGAGAATCACTTGAACCTGGGAGGCAGAGGTTGCAGTGAGCCGAGATTGCGCCACTGCACTCCAGACTGGCAACAGAGCAAGACTCCATCTCAAGCAAGAAAAGAAAAAAAAAATGAGCAAGAAACGAAGTGAGCAAAGTTCTGGAAATAAAATAAAAGTGTATGGAACTCAGTGAAAAATAACCAGGAAAGAACCAGGAAAGCATATTATCTGAGGGGAAATAGTGCCAGGCACCCCAACAGGGTGAGCCCCTTTAAGACATTTTAAAATCACGAGTGGAAAGTGTGGAGGGACATTCATTTGAAGCACAAAGCAAAAATACATTAAATACAGATAAAAGAGATGATTTGTGGGTTTTAAATTTGCATGCCATTTTGTGATTTAGAATGTATTGCATGGAATTTTATCTCACATTCATCTGGTGGGTTATGTGGAGCACACATCATCCGACCCACATTAAAATGGGAAAATGCCACTTGCTGTGTTATTCCACAACAACAAAAACAATAGCAATCTCTCACAGCACAAATCTGAGCTGTCCTGGAAAGGCTTTATGGAGGTCATGCAGTTTGGAGAGTCCAGATAGGCTGAGCCATACAGCAACACTGTAAATTCCGTGAGGGTCAACTGCCTTGTATAGTACTGAATCATCAACATTAAAGCAATAACTACCAAATGAAGGAATAAAAGAAAAAAAATACATGAATGAAATGTAGCTGATTATAAATATCTTCCAAGTATTGACTCCTTCAGACCAGAGACCACCATGGAGTCTCTGACCAAGAGGCCAAGGAGCAGCAAACAGCCCCCTGGAGAGCTTGCTTGAATCTCTGCTGTGTGGTCTCCCCCAGCTGTGGTGAGAAGAGATAAATAGGCAAATATTTTTAAATAGGCAAATGTTTATCTAACACGCAGTGAGGAGCAGGCGCTGGCCTGGATGCTTGATTTTCCTGGCCTGGCTCAGGCTCTCTCATGATTCCCCAAGAACACAGCAAGGGCCCTTGTTGCCCTTGATGTCCTGCTGTCCACTCAGTCTTCCAGCCAGGAGGGTCCAGTGAATAGGACCACTCAGTCAGAACCTGGGGTCACCAAGACATCAGGCTCCCTTGTACTTATGAGTGGAAACATCAACTTTCCCTTTCTCTCCATCTGCACACCAGGCTTGAAATAGGGTCAATCTCTGGCAGGAAGCAGAGATGGAATCTTAGTTGTTTCCTCACTGTAGCCAGAATAAGAATCAAAGAAAAATGAAGAGTTGGAAGCAATTTCAGTTGCTTCCAGTGTCAACTGCTTTCAATTTCAGTTGCTTCCAGTTTCAATTTCTTACAGTTTCAAACTTCTTCAGAAAGAGAGACTTGGAGGTGTAAATGGCTTGCCTAAGGCCAGAAGCTAGTAAACAGCAGCCTCTTCCCACTCTCCTACCAATATAATCACTTTCTCTCCACCTCTGAAGATCACCCTGATGGAGCAGAAGGTCATGGAGGAATTGACCCTTTCAAAGGCAGCCACGTGCCTCTCCAGGACCAAAGGACTCTTCACTTAAAATGAAAATGTGCATTAGGGGAGCAGAAGTAGCTTCCAGGCCTGCCCTCCAATACATAATAAACCCCTGGCTGCTCCCTAACAGCTGGAAAAACATGAAACATGAAGAAAACGTGATTTTTAAGAAGCTTCTCTGTCAACTGTTATTTTAACATTTATTTCTAAATGCAGTTTAACCACTCTGTGCTAACAGCTGCAATCAAATCGTGTAAAATGCTTGCTCCTGTCAACGGGAAATACAGTCGGGCCTCTGCACTCACAAGTTCCGCATCCTCAGATTCAATAAATCTCAAACAGAAAAACATTCAGGAAAAAGAAACAGAAAAAAACAGGAGTAAAAGATAATACAAATAAAAATACAGTATAACAGCTATTTACATTGCATTTATGTTGTATTCTCGGTACTATAAGTAGCCTAGAGATGCCATAAAGTACAGGGGAGCATGTGCCTAGGTTATATACAAGCACTACACCATTTTATATCAGGCACTTCAACATCTTTGAATTTTGCTATTCATGGCAGTTCTGGAACAAATTCCTTGTGAATACCAAGAAAAAACTGTATTGTAGTTTGAAGGGAGAAGTCAGTAGTGGGTGTTTCAGGGGACTTAAAAGTCAATTCTCAAAAGTGAGCTACAGGAAAGTTTATACACTTACTGTAAGTTGATGTTGCATCTACAGCTAAACCGGGAATATCAGGGACAAGAAGAAAAGTGAGGAAGAGAACAGTAGGAACAAAAGAAACAGAAGAAGGAAAATGTGCTTCAGATTTAAAGATGATGAGCAGCTGTTCCCATTAAATGCAAAGCTGTATGCTTTAATTCAAAAGTCTGATGATAAGATATGACCTCCTTAGGATTGTATGCAGTTTTAAAAATTTCTCCCCAGGCCAGGCGTGGTGGCCCACGCCTGTAATCTCAGCACTTGGGGAGGCTGAGGCAGGTGGATCACCTGAGGTCAGGAGTTCGAGACCAGCCTGGCCAAAATGGCGAAACCCCGTCTCTATTAAAAATACAAAAAAATAGCTGGGTGTGGTGGCAGGCACCTGTAATCTCAGCTACTTGGGAGGCTGAGGCAGAAGAATTGCTTGAACCCAGGAGGCAGAGGTTGCAGTGAGCTGAGATAGCACCATTACACTCCAGCCTGGGTGACAGAGTGAGACTCTGTCTCAAAAAAAAAAAAAAATACAAATTTCTCCCCAAATAATTTCCAAAGGTGTGATGTTACATAATTCTCACCACAACCCAGAGAAATAAAATAGCTTTCATAATTTTCCTTCGAAAAGATAGTTCTCAGAAATATACAATATGACTTGCCCAAAGTCGCTCCTCCAAGAGATAGTGCGAAAGCTGGGATTCTCACCTAGATCTCTTGCCTCTCTGATCTATGCTCTTTCATCAGAGCAGGGTTAGGCAAACTACTGCCCTGGGCCAAATCTGGCCCACAGCCTCCATTTGTAACATTTTATTGGAACACAGCCAGTCTACAGCTGCTTCAGAGCTACAACAGCAGAGTTGAGTAAGTAATTACTACAGAGATCATTTCATGGTTCACATAACCTGGAATATTTACTAACTGACCTCTTACAGAAAAAGTGTATTGATTGCTGCTGTGCACCCACCCACCAACTTCAGGGTCACTATAAAACCTTTAAACCAGAGGTCCACCTCTGATAATGGCTCAAGGGGTGGTTTGAGGCAGAATAACTGGCTCCGTTACATCAATTTTAAAATCCATGATGACCCCACACATCCTCTCTGGAGTGACTCATTTGTCATCAAGTTTCTTCAGTTCAGCTCACGAATTGAGCCAAGCACTCACTATATCTAAGGGATGGTTTGTACCACTTGCATTTTATTTCTTCAATAAAGAATCATAGCTCTATAACTATGCCTTTCATTTAGCCATATAGATGGCTTATGATTTCACAGATCTGAATCTAGCACCGCTGACCTGGTGCATCCACTTTCTAGCCTGGGGTGTTAGTTTAGGCCACCCTCCCCCGATCCTCCCCATGACCCAGCTGTTGGTCTCTCACTAGGGACAATTTCATTGTGTCCTCCTTGCAGGCTGTAAGACCTTATCACCCAGCTGCATAAGAGGATGCAGCGTGTGATTTTTCCACAGGTTCACAGAGTTCAGCAGTGGGGTCCTCAGATGGGCTTCCTCATTGAGAGGCCAGAGAAAAGGAGGAGGGAATTAAGGGAAGACAGAAAAGGAGGTAGAAAGCAGAAGAGTAAAAACAGAGAGAAGAGGGATTTTTCCCTGAATTATATTCCAACTGTTATGTTTTCATCTGTTTGTCTACCAGACTGCTATCTCCATGAAAGAGAAGACCATGTATGTGCTTTGTTCACTGACTTTCTGCCCTGGAACAGTGCCTGACACATAACAGGCACTCAATGAATACAAGCTGAAAAATGAATACAGTTAGCAGAATCAGTCTTTCCTATGGACTGAGAAGGGTAAATTTAGCCTCAAATACATTTTTGCCAGCAATTACAACCATTGCATCTGTCAGTGTTGAATTTTCTTAAAAATCACAGGATGGAATTTTAAACCAGTCTCAGCAGAAGGGAGATCCAAGGCTCAGGAGGGAAGAAACACTCAAAAAGAAAAACAAACAAACAAAACCCTCAAAACAAAAAACACCATGCCAGCACTATCTTTATGCAATAGCAATACGTTTCTTTTCAAACAAATTCTTGTCTACAAGGACTAGCCTCTCATAGAAGCCAAAATCCAAGTTTAAATATAATTCCCTTAAAGTTCCCTTCCTTGTATTTCTTTCAGAATATTTTTTAAGCACAGGCACAGATTTTGAACAATAAGGGCACATCCGGTCACCACTGCATGCAATGTCAAGTTTTGCAAAGCTGAATGGTTTAACTCAGTAATTTCTCTTACCTTGTATCCCGTAGCCCAGTGAAAGATTTAAGATTTATTTGTCCTCTATTTTGTTTCCTCAGGACCTTCTATGAGATGTTTCAGCAGAAAAGCAGGCAACCAAACATCGAAATCATGAAGCAGAAAAGCTAGTTATCACTCACTCATGTCAGATGGCCAGTTTCACTAATGGGGGCTTTTGGGTGCCAGGTGGCTTGATAATTAGATTAAATGAGCATGAATCATCAGAAAGTACCAGAATGCCAAAAATTAACCTGCAGATTAGCCCTGAGCTGCCACACCTGCTCAGGGTTGTTATCTGCCTTTTCTGGGGTAAAATCTAAGCTTGTATCATTTACCGTGGCTTCTAAATACGAAGCCAGCTTCTATCCAAGGCAAATTCTATACATGAGAAAAGATAACTAAACTAGGTTAAACTTAACCTAACCTAAATATCCATTTGTGAAAATAGAAACAGGTTGTAGAGTAAATTATGGTACATCCAAAAGTAATTTTTTTTAAAAAAAAGAGGCATCCACATCGATAGCACCAAGCCCAGCTGCCCTGCAGATCCCTCTGGGTACTTTCAACCTAATTGAACCCCAGCCTAATTGAATCAGAATCTCTACAGGTGTGGGTGTGGACGTGTGCATTGTTTTCAAAGATCCTCAAATGAATATAATGCACATCACAGGTTGACAAACAACTCTATCCTCTACATACTAACTTAAAAACAATACATGACTGATTAATGAATAAAAAACACAAGTTTAGAAACAATAGGAACAGTTTGATTTCATCAACTGATGAAATCCAACCAATTTAATTGTGGGTGTATATTTTTGAATAAACAAAGAAAAAAACTAAAATATATCAAAATGTCAAGTTTTAATAAAGATGTTTTCTTGAGTGAATTAGTGCCTATTATACTACTTTGTAATAATTTATATATGATAATAATTTCTTTTTGAAGAAAATTGTGTAAATATTATAAAAAGCACATCAAACCTTAACACTGGATACATTTTACATTTTACTTTTTTGAGGCTTCTCTAAATATTGCTGTTAACATTATCTCCCACAGTTATACGGAGGTAACAAAAGGAAGGAAAACATAGAGAAGGTGTCTCAGGGAACATTTCCTTAGGGACAGTCCCTCTTATGGTCCAGGAAAAAGCCCCTAGCTTCAGACTTCCACTTGTCTTTTTTGAAATTCAGCTTCAAATTTTTTTATGCTATCATCACTAAAGATTTGTAGATAGAATTCCATAACCCAGGTACTGAGAGGAAGAGAGGGAGAGCTGGCCCAGGAAAAGACAACTGAAACAGTATCTCAAGAATCTGTTAAGCTACTTAGAAGAAGGAATGATGGGATGTGATAATAAATAAGAAAGTATGCAAATAAAATAAGCATCAGTTCTTTCTAGCTCCTTAGATTATTTTGACACATTCTAAAGGTAACATAATCACAGGTTATGATTATCTCTAGGGTCCTTTCCCAAACTGTTATTTGATATGCATTTTTCAAGGCAAAAACATGGATTCTGTAATAATCATTTGTTAGATTCACATAACGGTCCACTGAGCATAGCCACTCCCTTCCATACTTCACATTTCAGCTAAAAAAAAATTCTCTTTAGAAAGCAGTTTCTTAGCCAACCAACCTAATGTATCCCTTTCTGTCACTTTATGACATCATCCTACTTTATTATCTTTATATGATTTAGCATCATAAAAAATGATCAGTTTCATGTATTTTATGTTTATCTCCTGTCAGTCTAACTAACCTCTTATATTAAACAATGTTATTATTTGTTGAATAAAAGAATGAGTGAATGGGTCAAGTACCTCTCATATATTGATTAATAATTGCAATGCCCTATGGCTCAGAGAAGCGAACTGACTTGCCCAGGACTACTGACTAATTTAATCGCCATATGAATAATGAGATTCAAATTATTCTCTTTGGCCCAAAGCTCATGCTCTTTCCACTACACCACACTTAATCTAAAGATTGACATCTGTATATGTGCCTCACCCATCTCTATCTACTGGCTAAGCCAACATGAACAACGGAGACAGTTGTTACACTGTGTGTTGTGTTCCTACCACACTTGTGTCTCCTCACCTATGTCACCATACAAGTGTCTCCTCTTTCAGACACTGTTCCCATAAAATATTTGTATCAGACCAGGAATCTTATTTGTTTCCGCTACCACTACCAACACAGTGCTTGGCATGCTGGCTGTGCTCAAAACGTGATGAATGAACTCAGTTGCAGTTATGGTCATGGTCAACATGGCATAGACTTTACCACATGTGGGATGTTTTATGCACAGCATCTTCCTAGATTCCTGCAATATCCTTGGACCGATAAAGAAACAGAGACTCAGAAAGCCCTTCTGGGTGGTAGATTGTAAGCTGGAACTCATGTTGTTCTTTGTCTTTAATAAATCAATTTAATTATATTACAAATGTATGTTATAATCTCACTGCAGAGAGTTGAGGAGAAACAGCTGATCTAAGTAACTCTGGGAAACACTGTTTTGGATTGGATACTCTAAGTCTAAATACAAAACTATCTGTATGAAAACACTACACCCTAGTTGGCAATTTTGTTTATCCTAGGGGTATGGGTTAGCAGTGCTAAAACTAATTCATGTATATTTTAGGAAACAATAAGTAAATACATAGTATATAACAGGAGCCAGTTTTTCACTGTTGGAAGAAAGAAGTTACAAATAAGCAAGAATGAAAGGTTAGAATACACGCTGTGTGCAAAAGTAGATTCAGTGACATCTCTCAAAAAAGGAAAGCACCACTCCCTGGTACTTTGGTGTGGGTTGTGCACAGTGATTTCTTTACAAACAATACAATTTGGAAAGGGGGAAAGAGTAAATTTCCAGTAGAGAAACCTAACACACTACCTTAGCTAGGTGCTCAAGATTAATATTGACAGCAATGATTCATGTAAATAGTACATACCCATATCAGGTGATGAAAATAACGCTTTGTGGCCTTCTCCTCAACACACCTAAATAATCATGGGAAAAAAATCAGATAAATCCTAATTCAGGGACATTTTATAAAATACCTAATCAGTACTCCAAAATTCCAAAGACCTCAAAAGTAATGAAAACCAGAGAAAACTGTCACAGTCAAAAGGAATGTAAAAGAAGACACACCAACTAAATGCAGCAACGTATCCTGGATGGAATCCCGGAACAGAAGATGCATTGGGTAAATACTGAGGAAATCCGAATAAAGTACAAACTTTAGTTAATAGTAACTTAACATCATTTCATTAATTGTGACAAGTACAACATCCTAATGTAAAATGTTAGTAATAGGAGCAGCTGGGTGTAGGATATATAGGAACCCCAGCTCTAAATCTTCCCAATTTTTCTATAAATCTAAAATTACTCTAAAATAAACATTATTTTTAAAATATCATAACCCCACTCTACTCCTGGGAAAACATCAAATGCCAGTTGAGGGACATTCTACAAAAGAGTGGACCAATATTCTTCAAAAATTGTCAATATCACGAAAAACAAGAAAAGATTAAAAAACTGTTTCAGATTGAAGGAGATTGGGGAGTCATAACATCTAAATGCAGCATGAGATCTTGGATCGAATCCTAGAATAGAAAGAAGACATTAATGAAAAAAGCTATAAAAAATAAGATTTGTAGCCTAGTTACTACTATTTCATGATGAAAGTTGCCAGGACCAACAAGAAGTCACGTGTGTGAAAACCTTGACAAATGGAGCTGAGGAAGGGCATAAATGGAGAGTTCTCATGCATGTATGCCTGAAAACAGGAGCTATCACTAAAGGCTGCAAAAACCACAACTTTGCACAAAGCCAACCTAACACAGAAAATAATTCTGCAAGGATATCTGCCCAACAACTGCCGAGCTAATCTCGGACTGGTGCCACCCTTGTTATTGATTTTTGTACCTCAGAATAATTCTCTCAAAATAACTTATGTAATCCTCCTCATTTTACCGGAAATATTCCTCCTTGCCTCAACCTCCTTGAATATACACATTGTCTACTATGGTAACATTGCATATTCCAACTGCCATGTTACCCCCAAGCAAATATCACTTTGTTTTAGAGTCTGTCTGTTATTTAGTTTGACAGTATCAATGTTACCCTCTTCTTTTTGATAAATGTACTATGGTTTTATAAGTTATTAACATTTGGGAAATCTGGGTCATTGGATATAGAAACTCTCCTCACCATCTTTGCAACTCTTCTGTAAAACTAAAATTATTTCAAAATCAAAAATTAATAACACATAAAAATGTTGGCCTACAGAACATTCCCATATTATTTTTTTTTAACCTAGACCTTGGAATAAATTCTATTCTTTCATATTAAACATCACATAGTAGGTTCCAGTTTTGCTTCATGTAAATATTTTGAATACATTTTCCACCCAAAGTAAAGAGAGGCACATGCTTCTCCAAGAAAACCATTAATCTTGTATTTGTGTGGCTTATGTTCACGTGAACCACATCCCTGGTTTTCTATTACTTTTGGTTGTTGCTGGAGATATTTGGCCAGTATCTCCTTTTCAGGAAAGACAGAATCATTGTCTTCATTTTTCAGCTAGAGAAATAATATAGTAATTAAGCTAACACAAAAAGGAAAAACAGTATTTTGCATATTAATTTAGAGGAAGAAAATAAATTCTTACTTCTCAACAACTATGTACACCCTGAAAAAGCCACCTCTTCGTATGTTTGGAGTGGTTTCAGAGAAAAGAGATTTCACTATTAAACATGCCTTGGTTCCTCAAATGTTTAACAAATACTGTCCCCTACCATTTGTTCTTTGTCTCAGAAATCTCATCCTATCATTCTCTTCAGATGTTCTAACCCCGCTCCCTCGCCCCCACTCCCGCCAAGAAAACAAACGAACAAACAAACAAAAACCACTGTGATTTAGAGGATTTAGAGCACTTTAGGTAAAAGCCTGGCAGTCTTTCCTGCCATTTCTTAACTGGAGCTATGGATTTGCCAAAGATGTGCTCTCTTCTCCTCAGTCTTTCCAAGATCTTTCTTTCAAGATATGAACAAACACAGAAGCCAAAGGAGCAAGGGTATTTCCCAACTTAGATAGCATTAAAAAGAAAAATTAATTCAAGTCCAAAGTTCTTTCATTCCTGGCTCTGAAGTATTACCTGTTCCACAAATATAAATTTTCTGCTTAAATGCAGAACTTCAATTAATTACCTAAAGCTGTAGGAAAGTTATTAAATTAATATAAGAAGATTCAAGTTCAAATTGGAGGATTAATTTTCAGGGTTATGATAGGAAAGATATGGTGATTGAGTTAAGAAGTGAAGACAAAAGTCTCTCAAACCTGAATGGGAAGAATTTCTGATTCAATTATTTGATTAAACTACTGCTGGGAAGGATATAAAATCAAAACCTCTGACATGAAGGCTGAATTGCAGGGCAACTCCTGCAAATCATCTCATTCTAAATGCTATTATCAAGGTTTTCCTTAATACAATATACATCTATGTATCAAGGAAATAAATGAGCTGTTATTTTGAAACGTATTCAACTCTTAATAAAAAGCTAAAGATGAGTCCAACTAACTCAAGTAGCACTTTTTCTGTAAAGGTGTCTGGCAATTGCATTACAACTAAAATCACAGGGGAAGATATCAGACTGGATGATCTGGGCAGTTTTGAGCGGGTAGACTGAGATTAAATTTGTCTGTGCCTTCGAAGTTTCCTGAACACGGCTTTTGAATGAAATGGAAATAGTTTCATCCTCAGCTAATATTAAGTCCAAGGAATAGGTGAAGGATTTCCTTCACAGCTGCTCTTAAATCCAGAAGCTCCCATCCAGCCCCATCTTCCCTCTAATTCTCCGCGGGCTTGAACCCTTTCCATCTTTCATCTGTTTACACACAGCCCCAATACCTTTTCTCTAATTGCTCTCCCTTTTTAATTTAGTTTTATTTTTAAACAGACCATTAGACCATGGCTTGTTTCTGGGCTGAGCCTCCCGCTGGTGCAGCCCTGCAGATGGTCCGCTTCAGCTACTCCGTTAGGAGGCGGGCAGTTTTGTCTGTGTCTTACTCCTTCCGTCCAGGGCATTCCGCAGACTCCTGCTCCCTTCTTCCTCTCCACTTGCTCTCAATAGAGGGCGCGCTGGGCGAAGTAGGGGCGTGGCAGGAGCCCCGCTCCGCGGATCCAGGTTGAAATTCCTCCCTCCTGGAATCCGACCGTGAGCATTTCTGAGCGGTGGTGAGGAGGAGGCCACCAAGACACCTCCCTCCCGCTGTGCAAAGGAACGCAGGAGCCCGGCGCAGGTGGTGGGCTTACCGCGCGCACGCCTGGCTGGAGAGGTGACGCCGCTGTCTGCCAACCTTTCCCAGCTTTTCCCACGATTGGAGCCAAGAGAGGTCCCCGGGGATCTCAGTTGGGCAATTGTAAGGGAAGGAGCTCAGGACACTGACTTCAAGATGAAGGGGGAGGTCAGCGAAGACAGTTCTAGGGTGGGCGGCGGCCGCTGACAGAGCAGGAGCCACAGCCACCGGGGCTTGGAGATAGGAGCAAGTCGCAGGCGGAGGGGGCTGCGGGCTGGCTGCCTGGGCAGCACAGGACTTGAGGGAGCTGCGGGGACTCCTGGAGTCTCATCAGGCCTTCCAGTCGCTGTGGGGACCCCGGCTGCGCGCGGATCGCCTGCGCCACTGTCCCCACTGACCCGCCCGCCGGGTTTGCCAATTACCAGCGCCACCTGGTCCCGCACCCAACCCCACATTTTCTCTGTCAAGGGCTTGTTTCCAGGGCTCCAGGAACTTTCAAAATGTTATTGGTGTGTGTCGGGGGGGTGGGGGGCGGGGGGGTTGTGTGGGGGCGGGAGTGTAAAGGAGGAGGGAACTCTTCTTTTCTCTTTGTCTTTGTAAATGGACACCTCGATCTGATCTAGGGCATGGTCTGAGTGTCCTATCTGGAGCATCCTAACCGAAGAACACTCCAGAGATGCAAGCCAGGTTTTCTACCTATGTGGGGGGTGGGGGTGCCTCTATGTGTCGGGGGCGGGTTGGGGGGCAGGGTGTGGGGGGAGTGCTGGGCGCGCGCTTCTGTGGCAAACTTCTAATTCCTTTTCAGTTCTCAGAATCATAATATATCTCCATTTAATCAATGAAAGAATCATGCCAAAAATACAAATAACAATTACAATAAAATAACACTTCCAATTTCTAATATTCCGTAACTTTGTCTTTTCTTAGTACTTACACGGTAACCTCACTGAAAATTTAATCCCTGTTTCTTTAACGGTGACACCGTGAAGATCAAGTAATTGCTTCTTATTGAAAATGACAAATTTCAGGTGGTATCTAAAAAAATTAGTTATGACAGATTGTATTTTTTGAAAATGGCTGCAACAATTTTATTCATTCTAAGTGCTGTACCTATCGCATGACTTTGATACTTTCCATAGACAGGCTGGGTCTATGTTCCTTTTTGTTGTTGTTGTTCTGGGAAGGCTGAGGCTATGATAGAAGTGACATTATGCAACTCCCGAGGTTAGCTGACCTAAGACAATACAAGTTCTGCCTGATTTTCTTTGAACACTTACTTTGGAATTCAGCCACCTTGTCACAAGGAAGAGGAACTGAAGCCCACACAACCTAGGCCCTGGCTGAGCTCCCAGCTGACAGCCAGTGTCAACTAGCCAGTCATGTGACTCAGCCATCCCAAATGCGTATTCTCAGTCCCCAGAAAAGCTGCCCCAATTGTTGCCATGTGAAACAGAGCAGAGCTGTTGCTGTCAGGTTCCGCCAAAATTGCAAATTCCTGAGCAAAATTAATTATTGTTCTAAATCATTAAATTTGGAGCTGAAGTGTAACACTAATAAAAAACTGATATGCTTTATGTTACGCCCAGCTTCACAAAGTAGTGTTTTTCAACAATTCTCTTACCCAAAACTAATGTGAATGGAAGAAGAGGAGGCTTCTCAGCTTTTGATATTGGGTGAAAGGAAGGATGAGAAAGTGTTACGTCTGTCATCAGAGGAGCCTGGGATGCGTGTGAGCTTCTTTGTTACCCTTGTCTAATGGCTTATTCTTGGAACCCAGGCCTGTACACTAGTATAAAACTGTTACCACCTGACTAGCTGTGGTCTCTAAATAAGAAAGTGGAACCAGAAAATCTTTCCCCATCCCTCTATCACAATTAATGACAGTTCTTTGTGGAAGCCCAGGACTGCCATTCCCCTTTCCTCTTTGAATGGGTATCAGAGATTTGCAGCACTATTTGCTTAAGGTTTTTTCTTCATGTTCTGCTAACCTCCTTTCACGGTCTGAATAAGTGAGTGGGAATTCCTCTAGGATAGGAAAATATATTAAAAAGTCAAAATTTAAAGAGATACCTGTCAAAATATATGGCTGAAAATGACACGATGAAAAACAAAAAAAAAAAAAACAGTGAATTTGAAAGCAGAGAAACAAAGCTGATTTTGAATGAACACTTAATTATCTAATCCTAAGCTATTATTGACCTTGCATAAGCTAGAAATGTTTTTCCAAAATAAAACATTTCCTGCACAACTTGGTGAAAACGTAGATGAATTTTTGTCTCTCCATAAAGATGAGACCTAATTTCCCAAACACACTTTCCCCAATTATTTCTTAAATGGGGTTTTTAAGATCAATTAAATGTCAATTTACTGACACCTAAAGATTTTTGATGCCTTATGCTAGTTATACATGTGAGGGAAATGTTCACGGATGTCTATTAAATTGGCTTCATTTTTTTTACATCATTACATTTAATTTTATGCATTTCTGCCACCCAATGACTTCTGTCAATGAGCAGAAGTGAAAATATCACAAAATCTCCAAACCAATCCCATTGCCAAACATGAAGAAAGTGAGCTAGTCTAATTAAATGTGTTTTTGATCCATTGGCTTACTAAGTGCCCTCAACAAACTTCAATGAACAGGCATTCAGTGGAAAAACCATTGATGTTATAAGTCCAGAAGTGAGCATAGTCATGTAATTTCTGTAATAAATCTGTCAATTATAAATGAGATTATATATTATATATATTATTTTTATTTCTATAAGGAAAATACATAAATTTATATATACATAAATTTGTTTATATATTTTATATATAAACATTTATATATAAATTAATAAAGTTTATATATAAACTAAAAATATATATTATATATAAATATTTGAATATAAATGTTTATATAAACATATTTTATATATAAAGATTTTATATATATTATATAAACATTTATATACATATCTCTCTCTGTCTCTCTCTCTCTCTCTCTCTCTTAAAATCATTCCCTTTTTACCACCAGAATTGCCAGCACTCTAGTTGACGTTGTCATTTATTTCTATCTGGACAACCACAGGGCTGCCTATCACTGCACCCCCTGCCTCCACCATTACTCCTCTCCAATTCCTTTTCTACCACACCATCTCCAGCATGGGTTTCATTAACTCAGCAGCACCACAGGACAATGGACACAGCATTAAAATAACAGAAATGTTATGTATACGTACTTTTCCCTAAAAAAAATAGAAATTTACTCTTATTATTGTTCTGTTACCTAATGATTTCATTTAATGACTTCAATCTTTCTTGAGTAAAATTTGTTGGAAGCCATTGTTTTGGACCAAGCTTCCATACTAGGCCCAACAGACCAAACAAAAATGGGCCCAATCAAGCTGAGCAGGCATGATAAGGATGTCCCCTCTGCTTTAACCCTTCTAAGGAAGGTAACCTGAAATAACCTGATGTTAACCAATCTACTTCTTTGTATTAAGCTGTTTCCTTGTTGCTGCTCAAGCTACCTTACAAAAACCAAATGTTCTGCGATGTCCAGTACAATGCCTTTCTAATTTATAGATGAGATACTGCCCAATTCACACATCACAAATAAAGCCAATTAGATATTTAAACTCAATTTGTTGTAATTTGGTTCTTTAACAGTTCATATATAATTTAAAGCAAAAATGGAAGATCTACTATTTCAGTGAAGCATTTTAATTGGAGATAATCTGGGGAGAAAACATGTCTCCCAAATTTTATATAAGGATTTCTCAGTCATGGTTTTTTCTTACTTCTAATAAGATAGTCCCAACTAAAGCAAATTGAAGTTTTCATCATATATAATTGTTTTTTACAATTTTCAAAATAAAAAGTACAACATTTTTAAACTTGGAATGTCTGCATATAAATATATATTTGCTATATTATTTAGCAATTGGTTAAAAAGTGCTTTTTTCTCCTGAAGCCATTCATTTCATATCATCATTTTCAAGTGAAACTGAAAATATAACCTATGGATTACTATACTTATAATCTTTCTTTCCCCATCATTATTCTTTATGCTCCAGTGAACTCTTCCAGAGTCAAGTAAAAAGCTATAGTGACAATGATGTGCAAGATTATTTTGTGTTCGTCAATTCAAATAAACTCCTCTCTAGTAAATAACAATGTACTTTGTTAGCAAGAATTAACATCTAGTAAGGACAAATGCTACACAATCACAAGCTGAGCTGATGATATTTTAAATATTAGTCTTTTAAAACAATCCATTATTTCTTTGACATGGTTTGAGCACATTCAGTGTCTTTACTCTCCCCAATGTTTTTGTCATTGGTTTCATCTGAAACTCATCTGAAAAACAATACACTGTCTCACACCAGTACCCATTAAAAACCAATAATTTTGTGAATTACTGAAGAAACACTGTCTTAATTATGGGATATATGATTTAGTGCAAGATGAAGCCAAATTTACTCAGTAAGAATAGACTGAATTATAAGAAGGAGAGAAAAACAAAAGGAAAGTTATGTTACCTAGTACCCACACTGTAGTATGGTATTACATGAATAGTGACCATGTTACTTATTTGATCGTTGTTGTTTCAACACAATAGCAAATTAAAATGGTAATTTTTTCCTTTAGATACTTTGTGCAATCAGATTTGTTTATAAAACACAATTTAAAATAACTCAAAGTGCATATCAGAGAGTCTGGACATAATGCCCCAATAATTATGTTATTAGTTGTAGAAGCAGTATTGCACAGTGGTTAAGCACATATTGTCAGAAACACTACATAGGTTCAAAGCTTTCCTCTTCCACTAACTTATTAGGAGAAATTCATTTAGAGATATGTGTCCATAAAGCAGCAAAAGAGATGTTTTAAACATAAAATGTGTCATGCTACAGCTTTGCTGAAAACCTTTCAATAAATTCCTATTCCACACAATGAAATCCAAGAACCTTACAATGGTCTATGGGATATTGAATGGACTGAACCCTGATTACATCTTCAAAGACATTTACATGATATTTCCTCCTCTCACAGTGTACCTCAGGCTCCCTGGTCTATCAGTTCCTTCAACGTGCCCAGCATTTTTCCCTTCTCATTACATTTGCACATATGGTTCACCTACTTGGATGCTTTTACCCACATCCTTTACACAGCTGTCTCTTATCTGTTAAGCTGATCACTTAACAGATGAGAGACATAGTATAGTCTCATAGTATAAAAGATGAGAGACATAGTATAGAGATGTATAGTAAGTGTCCCCTTCTTATTGATACCATTTCTAACAAACTAGATAATATAAATCACTATTTTCTATGTAAATACCTTATTACTTATTTATAGATTTTATTAAAATATGCAATTATTTTATTTGACTCTGTGTTTTGTTTGTCTTCCATCCAGATGGAAACCTTTTGAGAAGAGAGACCAGGACTGCTTGATCTTAAATTCCCTCTCAGTGTCTGGCTCCCTGTGGTGGTCACTAAATAATGGCTGGCTAAGTGATAGCTCTATAACAGCTCTATCTAAATATTACCACGCAATATTTATCACATGTTCACTATGTACCAGGAATTTGCTACATATTCTACAGGTATTATCTCATTCATTTTTATAAAAATCTAAAAATTATTATGGTTTAAGTAATACTATAAAATATTATTAGTCATATAATAGTACTTATGTACTACTAATTTAAGTAATTGCCCTGGTCACATAGTTGCTTAGTGAAGAAGGCAGGGTTTGAACCCTGGAAGTCTTTCTCACAATGCATATATAACTATTATTATCAGATAACAACTATTGGTTGGTTATTATTTCTAACTCCTTTGATAAGTATTTTGTGTCATTTTTAGTTACTCTGTACAAACAGATCTGGTTGTACAAAGTGTTCAAAGGAAAAAGAAAAGTGCCATATCAATTTGCTCTTGTGTTGAAAGGACAATAATCAAATAAATAACATGGTCACTGTTCATGTAACCCTATGGTGCGGGCACTAGGTAGCATCATTCTCATTTTGTTTTCCTTCCTCTTCGTATAGACTTTTTATACTTGATGGGTAATTTGGCTTCATCTTGCACTTAATTACATAACATGTCTTCTAATAAGAACAATGTTATTATTAAAATTAACAAAATAATTGGTTCCTAATGGGTATCAAAGAGAAAAAGTGTCTTGTATTTCAGATCAGTTAAGAAAAAAAAAATCGTAGAAAACTGGGGAGAAAAAGGACACTCAATGTGCTCAAACCATGCCAAATAGAGGATTTTTTTAGGAGTATTCTTTAAGGTACTAAAGCACTACTTGTGATTATGTATACACTGGTCCTTTTTGTAGATATCACTGGATGTTTCTCCTTGCTAATAAAACAGCTTGTCATTTACTAGTTTGGGGGTTATTTGAATTGACAAAGCACTAAATATCCTTGCTCATCACTGTCACTATATTTCTTCACTTGATTCTGGAAGAGCTTAATGGAGGAAAGGAAATAATGATGTGGAAGGGAAGATTACCAGTGAAATGATCTGTAAACTGTGTTTTCAGTTTTCATTAATAATGATGGTTAAAAAAGGCTTTAAAAAACTACCTTTTTTCTAATTGGCAAATAATGGGGCAAATACATATTAATATGAAGAGTTTCTAACTTAAATAAAGGACATATTCTTTAAACATTTTTTAATGTAAAGAACAACCATTTATGCCTAAATTTTTAATTTAGTGTAGAGAGTATCACCTGATTAAAAATTATAATTGTGTAGGATCATGGTGGATAGGAGGCAGGACTAGACTGCAGCTCCCACTCAGACACAGCAGAGTATGGAGGCTCGCATCATGAACTTTTGCTTCAGAATGACTGCAGACATACATTAGGAAAGCTGAGAGAACCCACAGACCCTCTGAAGGAAGCCGATTGCTCTTGCAGGACCTGGAAGACAACCCAAATACTGTGAGGGCCCAAGCTGTGGAAGTGGGAAAGGGAGATTGTCTGCCCAGGAACACACACCTGCACTAGGGAACCTAAAGTTCTAGATTATGGGAGAAGATTCTTACTTTACCTGGAACTGAGTCCAGGTAGAGAGCCAAGTGTAATACAGGGTAGAGGAAGCAGCAGGAAAAGCCCTGTGAGCTCACTAGGTTCACTAGCAAGCCATTTCTGCCTTGCCTCCCAGGGATCCAGGCTTGCTGGCTGGCTAGATCCAGAAGAAACATAACAATCACTACAGCTTGGCTCTCAGGAAGCCACATCCCTAGGAAAAGCAGGAGGGTACTACATCAAGGGAACACCCTGTGGGACAAAAGAATCTGAACTACAGCTTTGAGCCCTAGACCTTCCCTCTGACAGAGCCTACACAAATGAGAAGGAAGCAGAAAATCAACTCTGGTAATATGACAAAATGAGGTTTTTTAACACCCCCAAAAAATCATCTAGCTCACCAGCAATGGATCCAAACCAGGAAGAAATCCCTGATTTACCTGAAAAAGAATTCAGAAGGTTGGTTATTAAGCTAATCAGGGAGGCAGCAGAGAAGGGCAAAACTCAGCTTAAGGAAATAAAAAAATAATACAAGAAGTGAAGGGAGAACTATTCAATGAAATAGCATAAATAAAAAAACAATAAAAACTTTAGGAAACAATGGATACATGTATAGAAATGCAAAATGCTCTGGAAAGTCTCAGCAGTAGAATCCAACAAGCAGAAGAAAGGACTTTAGAGCTCAAAGACAAGGTCTTCGAATTAACCCAATCCAACAAAGGCAAAGAAAAAAGAATAAGAAAATATGAACAAAGCCTCCAAGAAGTCTGGGATTATGTTAAATGACCAAACCTAAGAATAATCAGCATTCCTGAGGTAGAAGAGAAATCTAAAAATTAGGAAAATATATTTGGGGGAATAATTGAGGAAAACTTCTGTGGCCTTGCTTGAGACCTAGACATCCAAATACAAGAAGCACAAAGAGCACCTGGGAAATTCATTGCAAAAAAGATCATTGCCTAGGCACATTGTCATTAGGCTATCTAAAGTTAAGACAAAGGAAAGAATCTTAAGAGCTGTGAGGCAAAAGCACCAGGTAACCTATAAAGGAAAACCTATAAGATTAACAGCAGATTTCTCAGCAGAAACACTATAAGCTAGAAGAGATTGGGGCCCTATCTTCAGCCTCCTCAAACAAAACAATCATCAGCCAAGAATTTTGTATCCAGCAAAACTAAGCTTCACAAATGAAGGAAAGACACAGTATTTTTCAGAAAAATGCTGAAAGAATTTGCCACTACCAAGCCAGCACTACAAGAACTGCTAAAAGGAGCTCTAAATACTGAAACAAATAACAAATTATTATTGATTATTATCAATATCTACTTTGCTACAAGAACTGCTTCTCTAAGATCCATATAGCCATATCCTTGAGTATAAATCACATACTGAAAGGTATTAAAAGTAAAATTTCGAACAGGCATCAATATACAAATTAGGTTTTTCATAGTGAGGTTTCAAATCATCACAGGTCAATGATAAAAAGCAATCTTGTAAGTAAACTCTACAACTTTTGTATCTCTCAACTAAATAAAAGAATAAGTAATTAGTAAGTGAAAAGAAAAGAGTATTTTTAAAGAAATATTTAAGAAGTGTTTTTCCCTAAAAAGACTGTTGTGTTCTGATTCTCCCACCACCTTGCTGTTCTAACTGTTTCACCTCATCCCCAGTGAGAGAGGTCATCCTGGGTCTACTCAGAATAAATGCATCCTCTGTGGTGGGCATGACTCCTACCAAGGATGGAATAACAATCCAGACAGTGCTACTTCGTGAGACATCAAAATGAGGACTTGCTATGGTTTGAATGTTCGCATTCCTTCAAAATTTATGTTGAAATATAATTCACAATGCAAGAGCATTAAGAAGTGAACCTGTAGAAGGTGATTCACACAGCATTTGTTCTTCTTTTTTTTTTTTTTTCACCTTCCATCCCTTTCACCAGGTGAGAACACAACATTGATCTCCTCCAGGGGAGGTAGCAACAAGGCACTATCTTGGAAGCACAGAGAGAGCTCTCACCAGACACCAAGTCTGCCAGTGCCTTGATCTTAGACTTTCCAGCCTCCAGAACAGTGAGAAATAAATTTCTATTATTTAAAAACTTTCTACTCTGTGATACTTTGTTATAGCAGCAGAAATGGACTAAGACAGGGCAATCAGCCTACCTCCAATAGTTAGTCAGGACAAGGGATATGTAGGTATATCTTACAAAGAGATGAGAATCACCAAAAATGAGAACCAATATGAGTTCATATTGGATCTTTTCCAAATCAGGTCACCACAAGAGATACACAAATCCCAGTAGCAAAAACTAAAGGGGCTTTGCATTTCTAGCCATTGCATAATTTAGGGAAAAACATCATCCACAAAATGATTCATCTTCTTGTCCAAGGCATGTGAACTAAAGTGGGAGAGTCCTATTAAGAAAGCCATAACAAGTCTCTGATAATACCACACCAAAGAATAAAAAAAAAAGAAAAAGAATCAGCTTAAAACACCTCTGAGGCCCAGAGATTATAAAAACAGCTTATTACCATACCATTCAAATAATAGGCTTCACTTTTCTTTACTGTTGTATACTCTGCCTGCCCCAGCTCTGTAGGGGTCAGAATGTGCCCAGCAGGGTGAAGTTAGGGTAGAAAAATACAGATAAAAATTTAAGAAGAAGCTGATCATGCCCCCTTCCCTACTGCAGGCTTCCATTCTAAAGCAAGTTCTCATGGAGAGAAAAGAGAGGTGTTTTTCTTTTTAAATTTTATTTTAAGTTCAGGGTTACAAGAGCAGGTTTGCTACATAGGTAAACGTGTGTCATGGGGGTTTGTGGTACAGATTATTTCATCACCCAGGTATTAAGCCTAGTATCCATTAGTTAGTTTTCCTGATCCTCTCCCTCCTCCCACTCCCCACCTTCTGAAAGGCCCTGCTAAGTGTTTTTCCGTTCTATGTGTGCATATGTTCTCATTGTTTAGCTTCCACTTCAATGCTAAATAAAATTGAGTTTTGATTAATAAGTTGTGTTGGATATTCTGATTTCTGATATAACACTGGTTTGGGACTAAAGTGGGTGTAGAATATCCCATAGCCAAAAAATGAGCATAAAATCACTGTCATGCTTCATTAACTTACTGCCTTCACATGCATTGAGACAAGAAGTTTGCTTTGATTCCAGTCTAGAGAGGAAAAGCTAAGCCGGGGCTGTGCGTTGAAAGCTATTCTGCAGCAAGTCCACCTGTGGAAACAAGTGTAGATGTGGTAAGAGACACTGACTGTGGATTTCATTTCAGTATCATTTGTAAAGTTAAGGAGTCCATTCTCAAGAACAATGTGATATAATAAATCTAGACTTTTCATATTTGATCTAGTACTGTCTTGCAGCTCAAGATCTGTTACCTTTTCTGTAATCCTTAACTTTTATATCTGCAAATTACAGGCTGAACTGACTTGAATTTATTAATGGTGAAATACCAACTTATAAAATGTTTATTCAAAAGAGTTAATGAATAAATGATAAATTCAGTTGCAGTCCTTACCATTAACTTATAATGTGACCTTTGCAAGTTTCCTAATTTCTCTTTGCCTTAATTGACTTTTTTATAAATATCTGCTCTGTATTCCTATAACGTGAGCATGAAGTTCAAATAATAACAATAATAATAGGTGTGAACATTTCTAAAAATTTAAAAACCTTATGCAAATGCAAGATGCAATGGGAATTAAGATGGCTATTCTAAAATTGGGTTAAATGAACACTGATTTGTTTGAAATGTTCCACAATACAACCAAAGCTAGGGAGGGAAATTCAAAACTATTCCACTTCCACATTCCATTTTTCTCTTTATCTAAATGATATATCCTTCCCTTCACTATTTCATGCACAGAAGTTCAGCAAAAACCTCTACCATCAATTTGATAATTTCACAATTCTTATAATTACATCTTTATTTCATTTAATCAAGCTATGTTGATAAAAAGTCAGATGACAATAATTGTTATCATAATTTGTGCTATCAAAAAGAAAATATTTTGTTTGAATATTGAAAGGGAAGAAATTCAACCTTAAACAAGTTAGGAGCTGATAACAAAGTGTTTTACGTTAATTATTCTTGTTTTTATGTGACATCGACTGTTTGCTAGAATTATCGTAATACGTCAGGCTGAAACATGTTCTAAATTGTATTTTGCTAATGGATTTGTGATCACTGCCTACAGAGAAATCAAAACAGGAAAATGTTTTGAATAAAATGGAATGATTCAGTATCTAGAGTGTGTGTGGGATAAACTTAATGATATTACATATACAAAATTCTCTCACTTGACTTATTAAATAGCAATATATAGATTTTTCTTTCACACATGGTTTCTTCTTGGCAATTGATGCATTTGCAAGTTCAGACTCCCTACACTGGCTCAGCAAACTCAATTACATTTTTATCTGACTTTTTTTCTAATAAAAGATTCTTAATAAGATAGAAAATTTGCATATTATTTCCCCAGAATTTTGACAGATCTAGGTCTCCTTTCTTGCTTGTATCTGTGAAATGGAAAACTCTTTGAGCCAGTAACCTAATTTTTCTTTCATCTAATTTCTCTTCCGGTGGCTTCCATGTTAAAAACATGAGATTGGGAGATGCATTTATTTTTTAAGGCTTAGATCATCTCTCCACCTCTGTGAAAGTTTCTGGTGCTTATTACTATTTCCAGAATATTATCATCTTTTGGGAGTAGTGTTATTTGGTATTTGGTCAATATTTTTAATTAGTCCTGAGTAGGACTAAGTAGCATACTTATGTAGCCTAGTATTACTGGAATTATTACTCAGTACTCGCGACATTGTGAGCTATGATATCTACATGTTATTCCTGGCTTCTCATTTTCCTGCTTCTCTTCTTCTTCCCACAGTCTCCTACATATTTGGTCCCCAGTGAAGAAACAATACCCTCCACTAAGAGGTGCGCGTTATCAGTCCTGCAGTATCTCCAGCAGCCTTACCCACACAGCGAGCCTCTCCATCCTGAGACCACTGTACTTACTTCTGTCTTTCCTGCAAGCAATAATAACTCTTGCTGCCATTCCCATAATTGATCCCCTTGACATAAAGAGATAGTGGTTACCACACTTGTCTCAGGCATTTCTCTTAGAGAGAGGAAGGTGTGAAGTGTTGAGCCACATCCTTTCCTACAAGTAAAATTTTTTAAAAAATTCCTAAAGACTTGCAGTCCAAGGTAAGAAAGATTTTTGTAAAATTATAAAAAGCTATTTTCAAATATATTGTTTTGAAAACAACCCAGCTGGAAATAAGTAGCTATGTAATCCAAGAGTAGCTATGTAATTCATATTCTTGACCTTGCACATAAAATTTGTTCTTTATTAAAATTGCTGAAATTGAGAAGTTTTGCTTTCTCTCAATAAAAACTGAAAAAGTGGAATTAGGTACTAATTTAATTGAAGATCTGTTAGTTATTGGGAATCATAATTCCTTCTGATGGAGACAATTAGAGGATTAAAAACATGCCCTCCACACTTTAGTATCAAGGATAGATTGTTTAGAAGTTAAGAGTTTAGCTTCCAGATTCTGCAAACCTTGGACAGAATTTCTGCCTCCTTTCTTCCTTGCTGTACATACTTCAGAGAGTTATTTAATTTCTGTGCCTTCGTTTATTCCAGAGGTATCTAGAAGGAGTCCAGAGGTATAGCCCCCCATCACAGCACATTCCCACAAAGTAATTTCTATTCTAACCCTTTCAAATTTTCTTTCTTTCTTTTGTCTTCCTTCCTTCCTTCTTTCCTTCCTTCCTTCCTTCCTCCCTCCCTCCCTCCCTTCCTTCCTCCCTCCCTCCCTCCCTTCCCTTCTTTCTTCCTTCCCTTCCTTTCTCCCTTTCTCTCTTTCTTTCTTTCATCTCACTGTGTCGCCCAGGCTGGAGTGCAGTGGCATGATCTTGGCTCACTGCAACCTCCACTTCCCAGGTTCAAGCAATTCTCCTGACTCAGCCTCCCAAGTAGTTGAGACTACAGGTGCCTGCCACCATACATGGCTAGTTTTTGTATTTTTAGTAGAGACTAGGTTTCACCATGTTGGCCAGGCTGGTCTCAAACTCCTGACCTCAGGTGATCCATCTGCTTCAGCCTCCTGAAGTGCTGGGATTACAGGCATGAGCCACCGTGCCCAGCCTCAAATTTATTTCTTGATATAACAGTTATGAAGACTGCAATAAAAAGAAAGCTTCAGAGAAGATCTGTGTTTGGTGCATTGCTAAGGCCAGCTGGAGGACAGAGATTCAAACTAGGGAGAAGAACATAATAAATCTTAAGATTTAGGGATGAATGGTTACAGTATTTCTTTCCATAAGGAAGTTACAGTTCAGAGAAAGCAGGATGGTGTTGGAAGAGGTTTTGTCAGAAAAATGGACAATAAAGGCTGTGTTGAGTTTCAACTGGGAAAAAGGACAAGTTTCTTTTGCATTCATTAGTATAGTGAATTTAGAGAAATCTAAACTCTTTCTCAGGAGACAGTTAATTGAGTTTAAGAAGAGTTTAATTAAGAATAATATGTTCAGAGTCTTAATTAGAATAACCTTAGTGCAGAGAGCAATAATAAATAAGTGGTAGTCCAAACATTCATTTTGTAAACCATGCAGTAAGAGTTAAATGCACAAATGTGATAAGATTCTTATTAACAATGCTTTATCACATATTAGAATATCACATAATCTTACAGTATGAAACGGACCATAGTATGAAATAGTGAGCTCTCACTGTCATTAAAACACTCTAGATAATGGCCCATTCATCTATTGAGTCCATGAAAAAACTATGCTATTGGCTTAAGATGGAAAGATTGCATTATTTCTCTGTGTATCTCTGTCTCTGCCCTTGTCTCTTGCCCTCTCTTTCTGTCTTCCCCACCCACCCCCACCCCACTTTCTTTCTCAGCCTTTTGTGACTGGATTATTTCACTTAGTATAATGTCTTCCAGGTTCATTCATTTTGTAGTATATTTCAGACTTTTTTTCTTTTTAAGGCTGAATAATATTTAATTGTTTGTAAACAATTACATTTTAAAGGAAAAGAAGCTAACTATGGCTTGCAAAGCCACCCAACGTCTGCCTTTCCCATTCCATCACTCCAGCCTCAATCTGATCCATTTCTGTTCCATGTTGAATCACCATGATCTCCATTCTGTCTCTTGAATTAGCCACATTATTTTTATCTGCTCATTGCCCTTGCACACATTGTTCTCTCTGCCTGTATTGACAGTGTCCACTCTACACCCAGCTAACTCTTAGTTCACCTTGAATTTTTCCTGAATACCAGACTGGGACTGTGGTCCTTAGTATCATTTCTTGTAGCTACCTGGTTAATGCAGCTAGTTAGTGGTGTTGCTGGAATTCTGGACTAGAAGGGTGATGTTAAACCCTGTGGGCTTAGTAACTCTGTTCTGCTGACCAATCATTAATGCATCTAATTTTATTTCATTCAGGATCTGACAATATAGAATTATATTTTGTCTCATTGTTCAGAAACACAAAGACTAGTTTCGAAACGTTCACTCTAAGGACTCAGACACGAAATGTGCTTCTTGCATAAAGTTTCAGAGCCTTGCACACAACACAGTATCCCTTAGGGTGAATAATTGTGAGCATGAATGAACATTAGAAGAGTAAAAGTAAACAGGAACCCACCATCCTAACAATAGCATTAGACCAAAGGAGAAAAGCCAGTAATAATTCTATTTCTTGGTCCTGGGCACTAGATTAAGGGTCGGCAAAAATTTTTTGAGTAAAAGGCCAGATAGTAAATATTTTAGGCTTTGTGGGTCAAGAGACAAAATTGAGGATGTTATGAAAGTATTATAGAACTAGAGAGAAAACACATTTCTACACATTTTTGATGACAGTCAAAATATAGTAAGAATAATTTAGTACATTTCGAAATAAAAGTTTCTTTTTTCAGAAGAATGACATTTTCAAGGATGTGGTGGGGGGTAATGTTTCACTTAATTTGGGTTCAGAAGTAGTTTTCTCTGCCATCAAAATTAATTGGAAATTTTCATCTATTAATGCTTATCTGCAATGAGATCTTATGTATTTCATTTTTGAAAATGTCTTATTACACAGTTAGGTACTGCATAATACTGATACCAATCCATAAGCATATGATTTTAATTGAGCACATTTATTGTTCAGAGGCATTGATACGATTCTATTGGATTTTTTCTTGATATTCACCTCTTAGTACGCACAATACTGCAGACTAAAATCACTTCCAATTCAAGGTTAGATTGAAGCTATTCAATTACATGGTTAAATAGATTTTGAAATATGAATATTATTTCTGAACTTGCATTGAAATCTGAAACACACTGTTGGAACTGTAGGTTGACCTTGAAAATCTGAACATTTAGACTACAAATTTGTGTGAGAATGATGATCTTGCTTCTTGTCTTAACTTGTTAGCATGGATCATTTATAAGGTGGTTTATTTTATTTTTGCTTCAATCATTAGTGTTTTTGGAAACAGCTTTAAAGTAGCATAGGTTTCACGAATCAGCTTTGTTTTGTCTTGAAATTTTATGTTGAAATCACCAAGAACTATTATCAAGTCTGGAATAGAAGCTAATTTCTAAAGCCAGTCAGTGTTTAATGATAGTGGTTGAGGACAGTTCTTTTCATTTAGAAAAATTTCAATCTTGACCCTGAGCTCAAAAACAGTAATACAATTTCTGCCTGGTAAATTATAGACCTGCTAAGTGGTAAAGAATAAATATTAGTATATTTAGCTTTTATTTCTAGTAAAAATTCATGGAACAGCAATGTTTAAGTCCACTAGAGCAAATTAACTTCACCATTGATACTGCTGGTTCAATACCACACTAAAGATTCAAATACTTTCTACATAGTGCATGCTGATAGATATTATTATAAATAAACATAAAGTTTTAAGCAACTTACATTTTCACAAGCTTTTAAAATCTGTTCAAATAAGATTTTTTCTGCTCCACCCATACTTTTACCAGCATTAGTTATGATACATCTTGGCAGATTCCACTTCAGGTTTTAATGAATTTGTGTTTTCTGAATTAAATATGTGTACCTACTATGTATGCTCAAAAATTAAAAAAAGAAAAAAAAACCTTGCCTGCAGTTGCTCCACATAGGGTATATATAGAGGCCAATCCCTCAGTCATTTCAACCTTAATAGTGACCCCTTGAAAAGACAAAAGCTGTCCACTCATCAAGATTCAAGAAAAACAACTCAGAATCACCCAGCTAACTTTTAATTGGCTATTGAGATAGCTTCTAATGTCCACAGTTCTTCAATTAAATTTTCTCACAGAAAGACTATGGTTTCAAACAAGTTTTATTTCTCAAGATATTTCTTCAGCTGTTGTAATCAAACATGACTTAATTAATTCATCATTGATAAAGAGATTTATTATTTTTTATTTTATTTTTGGCTTGGCTAACAAATGAGTCACAGAAACACTTTCATTAGTTGTAGTTTCATTTTTATTTTTGTAAAGAAATTCTGCTGCAAAGATGTTCTGTTTTAAATTTTCTAATTTTTCTCACCATCACTTTCTAGTGAGTGGGAGTATTTTGGTAAGCTGAGTGCTTACTTTGATCATGTTAATGTCTGCTTTATTCGTTTAGAATAGCTAACATACCACTGCATCATAAACACAATGCTTTGACATTCAATTCAATAACAGAATAATTCACACTCTGCTGTGCCTTAAAATACATTAGAAGTCAATTTTGTTCTTGTTGTGGTTTTGACATCATAAGTATGCAGTACTAATAAAAAACATATATCTTGATATAGCCATATATAGCACACTCCAAACACAGTTAAATTATAACTGCATCCCTGCCGAGTGGTAGTGCGCCAAGCAACAGTGCAAAGTGATGCGAGCACTGTATACGGTCTCTGTTGCAACTACTCAACTCTGCCATCATAGCAGGAAAACAGACATGGACATTACATAATCAGCATTGCTATGTTGCAACAAAATTTTGTATGGATATTGATATTTTAATTTAATATCAGTTTGTGTGGTTAGAAAATATTCTTTTTATTTTTTTCAACCATTTAAAAGTGGCTCTCAGGCTATCCAAAAATAGGTAGTGGGTCATTTTGGCCCTCAGCCTGTAGTTTGCAGATCTCTTGTTTAGAATATGGATTTTGATTTTGGTGCCCCTGTCTCAATTACTTTCTTGGGCAACTGATTTTTTTCAATAGCAAGTCTAAGCTTTAATCTCTTTATAAAATGGGAATAATAATGACCATCTAATAGGGGCATTGTGAAAATTACGTAAAAGTGTGTAAGTTAGATGTTCACCTTGGTGCCAGGTACATAATAACATACACTGAAAATAATTATTTTTCACTTTTGTCCCTCTTGACTACGAACTTGGGGGTTGATTTAATGGGTTATCAATTAGCCCAGGCATAACAATTACTTTATTCCACAGGATTTTCTAGAAAGATGAAATGCCTAATGTTTAAGCCTCAATTCTTATTTCATTCCTGTTAACCAACAGACAGGAAAAATACCTGCCCAATGTTGATGAGAATGGAACATGTGGGGACACATTTGTGGAAAATGTATACCTGATTAACTCCATTACTTATATCGTAAACTACACAATGGGAATCTAAAGCAGTCCTTCCTGTTCACTCACAGCAGTGGCCAGATCACATCAGGGCACCTCTTTTTCAGGAGTCTACGAGCCATAAATTGTTTTAGCTAAGACCATCTCAACACTTTCAGCAATTGTTTATAAATAAATTCAATAGACAACTTCAGTTTGCAAAGGTTAATCTAATATACTCAAGCTGTATTTCTTCTGTGTAAAATGGTTGGACAGAAAATTAGTTGCTGTGGGACACTTATTTTGAAATGTCTAGTAGGTCATGAGTGGAAAATAAATGTAGAAGAACTTTATTTATTGTTTCTATACAAGACAAGGAAGCCTGGAAAAGAGTTATTCAGTCCTTTTTGGTTGGTGTAAACTGTCACAGAAACAAGTGTCATCCCTAGTTTGATCATTAGGAGTATGTTTACAGATTCATCTTAATTACTGCTGAAAGAAGAGTAACCTGGTCTCCAAAATTGGTGACATCTAAGGGGTGACCTGGGAAACCTGTAACTACAACAAGCCACACTCACCTCTCCAGTCCCAAACTACCTCAATTAATTATACAATGTAGATTAAAGCAATGTCTGATGTGCAAATGCAGCTTCAATACAAGTCTTAAAGTCCCAGCTTCCAGGCGCATTGCCCCTTTGCTGTACAAAAAAACTCCTTAATATTTTAGCAGACACTATATCCAACTAATATGAGAGTTCATAGAGCAGCCAGAATGAAACCATACACACGTTGCAATAGACTATAGTATTCAAAAGATCACAGGAAGTGTAAAAAAGGACAGGACATGTACAAAAAGACATATTTGCTTTGCTAATTCATTTTTAAAGATTATTTTACTTCAACTTAGACTAGTTCAATGTAGCTATACCAGTGATAATAGTTTGAATGCAATTATAATTATTCATCCTTCATTGCCTGAGCCCTAGCATAGTTTATTTATAATCAGTTTATATCATTTCGTCTCCCTCCGTTTCGAAGATAGGGATGGAGTTGGTGGCTGTCAATAAAACTAAATTGCACAACCCAATCCATTATAGTATCCAGGGAAACATAAACAGCATTAAACAGAAATGCACATTACGGTAGCTCAAGTCCAGCCTAAATTGGTGAATTTTCTATTCAAGTGCTGTTATTACCATGATCATAACTGTTTTAATTTGCTAGTGTGAATAGATAGCTTTCCTTAGAATGAAAGTGTGGCTGTAAATATAAAATTAAGATGACAAAGTTCTCTGAGTACCCATTTGGAGGGCAATTGATCAGGCAGCATTGCATTCAAGATGCTTGCAGCAATGTTAAGCAGAGCATGGATTCTTACAAGTTGGGAGGAAGACGTGGAAAGGACACCAAACTTGAAAACAAACTGTCATTGAATTCTTGCACAATATCGGACACGGCATTTGTATTAGTCTGTTCCAACACTGCTAAGAAAGACATACATGAGACTGGGTAATTTGTGAAGGAAAGAGGTATAATTGACTCACATTTCCACATGGTGGGAGAGGCCTCATAATTATAGCAGAAGAGTAAGGGACCTCTTCCATGGTGGCAGGCAAGAGACAGCTTGTGCAGGGGAACTCCCCTTTACTAAAACCATCAGATCTTGTGAGACTTATTCACTATCATGGGAACAGCATGAGAAAGACCCACTCAACAGGTAATTCAATTACCTTCCACTGGGTCCCTCCCACAACACGTGGAAACTGTGGGAGCTATAATTCAAGGTGAGATCTGGGTGGGGACACAGCCAAAACATATCAGTATTCCATGTCTATGCAATTTGTTTCACATATATTTGTACTTAATGCCGCCATGGCTTTGCTTAAGCTCTTTCCTCTGCTAAGAATGCTCTCTTTCTTTTCACCTAAGATCCACTGGGTAAGCTCTTTCGCTCCTTTGAAGTTTTAACTTAAACATCATCTTTCATACATGCCCTCACATCTTTTCAGGTAGAGTTAGCCATATAAAGCACTCAATGTATAAAATTCTGGATCACAAGGTGGTTTTCTGCCATTTTAGCACTTTAAATATACCATTTGTTGTCTGTTGGCCCTCAGCTTCTGATGTGGAAGTTGCTGGAGTTCTTATTTTTATTATTTTCTATGTAATACGTGTTTCATTCTCTTTCTGTCTTTAAGAATTTTTCTACATCTTTAGTGTTCAGCAGTTGACTATGATATATGTTAACAGATTTTTTTGTTTGTTTATTCTGCTTGGGTTCCACTGAACTTTCTGGATCTCAGAGATCTTTCTGGATCTCTGTTCTTGATGAAATTTTGAGGAAAAAAAAAAAGTCAACCAACATTTGCTCAGTTAGTTTTTGCCCCGTTGTCTTCCTTCTGTCTTTCTTGAGTTTCAATTTAATGAATGTAAACATGTTCAATATTTCCCCACAGGTCACTGATGCTCGATTCATTTTTTTATTTTTTCCTCCATATACTTGTTACTCTATGTGTCCTATTATTTGGTCATTACATTGATTGTTTATTTTATGTATTAATTAAATTTGCTTATTTTTTCTCTCTCTCCTGAAACTCTTAATCTCTTTCCTATAGATTCATCATTTCCCATGTACTATGAGTTTACTTATTAAAGTTTTTTTAAAGTCTCCTAATTTTTAACATCTGGGTAATTTGTAAATGTTTTACTTTAGAGTAAAATTTTACTTCACTCTGGGTAATATTTTCTATTTTATTTTCATGTATGGTGGCTTTTCAATTTTTTCAAGGCATTGTGGGTAATATATTAATGAGAGTGTGGCTTCTGTAATCACTCTCAAAAGAATAACAATTTTGCTTTTCTATCAGCCAATTAAAATATTAGCACATCAAACTCCTCATGTAGAACAGGGGTTAGTAAGCTATAACCCTGAGCCAAATCTGAACCATCATCTATTTCTGTAAACAAAGTTTTATTGGAACACAGCCACAGCTGTTTGTGTAGGCATTATCAATGGATGTTTTGGGGCTAGAACAGCAGAGATGAGTGACTGCTACAGAGACTTCATGGCCTACAAAGCCTAAAAGATTAAATATCTGACCCTTTGCAGAGAAAGTTTATCAATCCCTTTCTACGGTATAAGCGTTATAAGTAGATTTTGGAATAAAATAGTATTTCCAGATAATTCTAATGCATAGCCTGGGTAGAAACCACTCCATTAACATATTATAGTATCCTTAACATTTCTGAGATTCTTTAATTCTAGTTATCAGTGTTTATATTGGAGTATAACATCACAAAATAGCACATGCAACTTTAATCTTAATGAGTCAATATTCCTCTTCTCCTGTAAGTATGGTCATTCTTATACCTTTACTGTATTTAAAATATGAAGAACATTATTCAGAAGGCCAGGGATTCAAGAAAAAAACTTAAATAATTTAAAGATAGCTGTGGTCTAAGATTCAGATCATATTGATCATATTTTAGTTTTTGTTTGTTTGTTTGCTTTGCTTTATTTTGTTTGGGTTTATACCTTTTACTTCTTCCTCAAACTGGCTATTGTCTGCACAGCCAAGAAGGCAGCACTTGGCCCTAGGAGGCAGAGAGACATCCCAACCAGAGAAGACACTCCACATAATTTACTTTGAAACAATGTATGAGAATTTTCAGATGTCAATTGCAGAGATTTTGGACATAAATGAGGTGGGAAATGCTCATTAATCAAGCTCAAGCTGCCTATTTCTCAAAGGACATAAAATCAATATAGGTCAAATTTTCTATTTCTCCAAAGCCTATCTCACTAAACACCTTGAAAGAGATGTTATAGTTAGTTTTCCTGTAGATATACTGCTTGGCAATGCAAGAACATCAACCTCTTTAAATGTTGGACAGAGAGCACTTTAAAATGTGGAACAAGTAAGCCTGACTGAAGGGTAAAAACAATCAAACACCAACTCCATTCTGTGGAAATTCATTCTGTAATAAGATAGTAGATTTGGGCAGGTGAGCTTTGAATTTTCATGTTGCAAATATTGATTTTGGAAAGAATGGTTCTATTTCCCTTTACCCCTAAAATAAATACATAAACAGATAGAAGGACTTTTAACAACACAAAAGATAAAAAAATCACATAAAAGATTGGATTTATACATGAGAAAGAATTATTATACTAAATACATAAAAAGCTTCTACTGTCAATGAGGAAAAATAAATATTAAATAGCTTAATATGTAAAATATATGCACAAGAAAATATATTAAATACCAATTTTTACTAATGTTAAGATATCTTATATGCCCACATTTATTATCATTGTATGATATTAGTAATAGCACCATTGTTAAGGATTTTCCCCCCAAAAAGACACACACACTCACCTATGTATATATATATAAATTATGGTACATCATTTTCAATGGAATTCAAAGTAATTGCTATAATATTAAATATTAAAAATTTAAGTTATGCTGCTTTTTTCTCTGAAAAACATAGCTAGCTGGAGAATTTATGTAGTATTATATGTCATTATGTATCATTACTTATTATTTTATATGTATAAATGCAGAGCCAAAAATATTTATATCAGAAGGTGTTCATGTTTGTGTGATGAGGTCATAATGATTTTTACTTTCTTCTATGTGTTTTTATTATGCAGTTGCTTTATTGTCTAAACTAAACATCAATTTCCTTTATAATTACTCAAAGGTAACAAATGCATTTTTACAAACAGGATAAAGCCTATTTCCTTCATGGAACTTTTCCTGTACTGTACCATATCTCTCTATTGCTCTTTCTTAATGGCAAAGGTCAATGGGAACACTCTCAAGTTAAGAAAAGTAGAGGCATTAATGAGACCCCTATATTCAAAGTTCCTAAGGGTGTCCAGAACCTATTATGACATTCCTGGAAGAAAGAAAATGTAGGTTTCCTTAGGATGAACTTGGGAGGTAAGCTGGGGCAGGGGAAAGGCCATTGTCTTTAGAACTGAGCAAACTTTATACCTCAATTCTGCTACTAACCGGGAAAGATAGTTTGCAATCAAAAATTATAAATGTTATTGATAGAACAACTGTGGGATAGCTCATCTTCAACATCTGGTAGCTTGATTTCTCAGTAATTGTGAAAAATCTCCAAATCTGTTGAACTGTTTCAACCTCTTGGCACTGTCACATGCTTTCTTCTCTCTCTAAGCTACTGCCTTCCTCTTACAAGGACATTTGTGATTACACCGGGCCCACTTGGATAATCCAGGAAAATCCCACCATTTGAAGACTCATAAATATATCAGCAAAGACCTTTTTACCATGTATGGTAGCACAGTCACAGCTGCTGGCAATTCGGACATAGATATCCTTAGGGGGCTTATTCAGCTTACCATCCATATAAAGAAGCAAATTTCTCTAAAGTCTCAAATTCAACAATATTAAACTATTATCTAGCTATCATCTATCTATCTATCTATCTATCTATCTATCTATCACTTATCTATCTATCATTTATCTATCTATCTATCTAAGATAATCACTCTGTCACCCAGGTTAAAGTACAGTGGCACAATCAGCTCACTCCAGACCAGCCTCAAACTCCAGATCAAGGCTCAAGTGATCCTCCCACCTCTGCCTTGTGAGTAGCTGGGACAGCAGGCTTGAGTCACCAAACCTGGCTAATTTTTAAAAATTTTTTGTAGAGATGGGGTCTCACTTTGTCACCTAGGCTGGTTTTGAACACCCAGCTTCAAGTAATCTTCCCATCTTGGCCTCCCAAAGTACTGGGATTATAGGCATGAGCTATCATTCACAGCCACAGATATATATTTATTATAAATTTTATATTACTTAAACACATATTGACCAAACAAATGGAGTGGTTTTAAATTAATAAATTAATACTATAATCCCAAGAGGAATTTCCTTTGAAAAGCTCAGAGACATTAATGAATTAATCCTATTTTATTGCAGGAAGACATTTCTCTCTATGAGATCCACCTGCTGCAGTCTCAATGCATTACAAATTGAATACAACTTTCATTCAAAATAAGACTGTGAAACTGGCTCTGGAGCAAAGCCTAAACCCTGAGGGTTAGATGGATGTGAATATATTTAGAACTTTCCTCTTTCTAGGAGCTCATGGTTTACAAATCTCTCCTCCGTGCACAGCACCTTAACTGGTAAACTGACTTGCAACAACAATTCTTCACAGATTCCACTCCCCTAATATGGACTGGTCTTTTCTGATAGATTGCCATCATGTAAAAAATTTTTTTTTCTCCTTGCTCTGCAGTACAGAACAAGAAGGTATATAAAATTCATATATATATATATATATATATATATATATATATATATATACATGTAAACATAAATTCATCAAAAATTCAGTAAATTTTAACATATTAAATGTCATTTCTTGGGAAATTGTAATAATAAGTGAAAACATGTTGTTTAGGCTCCAAACAGATTTATATGTATTTCTTTCTGAACTATTAAAGGATATTATAGAAAATATTGCTCTTGCACACCAGCAGTTTCTTTTGTTGTTGTTTGAGTTTTTGTTTGCTTTTCAGATGAGAAGTTTTTCCCCAAAATTGGGACAGGACTTAAGCAGAATTATGATCCCTTTTGCTTGAAACTGTGCTAGGTCTGAGAAATGACCTGAAAGTTTTTTTCAAGGAATATGAAACTCAGGAAGGAAGAATCAATTATACAAAATCATACAGTGAATCCATCTAAAGCCAGGATTCTAATTAGGCCTTTTAATGCTCTCACTCTTACTCAGTAGCTCAAATTTATATTTGGTTTCATATTCATTCCCCTTAGGAGTGTTCTGCTTGATCCTTATTCTAGACTACAAATGCTTTGTGGAGAAAGATGCTATCTTACGAAGGTTATGAGTAAATATGTCTTAGCACAAGGCTGAGCAGACTAATAGCCAATGCCTAATGCATTGCAGAATGGTTTTGTTTAATAATCCTCTCATCAAAGATGTCATTAAAAGAATGAAAAGGCAACTGAGAGAGACAGAAAGAGAAATAGTTGCATATATATACTGTATGTCTATATACTGTATGTCTATATACTGTCTACTGTATGTCTATATACTGTCTATATACTGTATGTCTATATACTGTGTATCTATACTGTATGTCTATATACTGTGTATCTATACTGTATGTATAATATATACTGTGTATCTATACTGTATGTATAATATATACGGTATCTATACTGTATGTATAATATATACGGTATCTATACTGTATGTATAATATATATGGTATCTATACTGTATGTATAATATATACTGGGTATCTATACTGTATGTATAATATAAAGGTATCTATACTGTATGTATAATATATAGGTATCTATACTGTATGTATAATATATATGGTATCTATACTGTATGTAGAATATATGGTATATATAATATATACTGTATGTGTAATATATACCGTATATTATACTGTGTAATATATACTGTATATATAATATATACTGTGTAATATATACTGTATATATATACACTATATATAGTGTGTGTATATATATATATTCAGTAGTGCTGCATAATTACATTCTGGTCAATGACAATCCGCATATACAATGGTGGTCCCATAAGATTATAATGGAGGCAGGGCACAGTGTCTCACATCTGTACTCCCAACACTTTGGGAGTGTGGCCCAGGCAGGAGGATCACTTGAGCCCAGGAGTTCCAGACAAGCCTAGGAAACATAGTGAGACCCTATCTCTACAAAAAAAGAAAAAAAAATTAGTCAGGCATGGTGGCTCATGCCTATAGTCCTGCTACTAAGGAGGCTAAGGTGAGAGTATCGCTTGAGCCTGGGAGGTTGAGGCTGCCATGAACTATAATCATGCCACTGCACACTCCACTCCAGCCTAGGAGACAGAGCAAGACCCTGTCTCTTAAGAAAAGAAAAAGAAAAAAGATTATAATGGTGGTGAAAAATTCCCATCACATAGTGATGTCATAGCTGTGCCTGTAGTGTGATGATGCATTCCTCATGTGTTCATGATGATCCTGGCATAAACAAACCTACTGCACTGCCAGTTGTATAAAATTGTAACATGTATAATTATGTAAAATCCATAATTCTTGATGATAATAATAAACAACTATGTTACTGGCTTATGTATTTACAACCTTATACTTTTTATTGTTATTTTAGGGTGTACTTCTACTTAAGAAAAAAAATATGTTAGCTATAAAACAGCCTCAGGCCTGTTCTTCAGGAGGAATTCCAGAAGAAGGCTTTGTTGTTGTAAGAGTTGACCACTTCATGCATATTATCACCCCACAAAACTTTCTAGTGGAATAAGATGTGGAAGTGAGAGACAGTGTTATTGATGATACTAGGCCTGTGTATACCTAGGCTAATATGTGTGTGTTTTGTCTTAGTTTTTACAAAAATGTTAAATAAAAATAGAAAAAATGTCTAGAACAAGTATACAAAGCAATACAATATTTTCGTACAGCTGCATAATGTATGTCTTAAGTTTTATTACAAAAGACTGAAAAAGTAAAAAAAAAATTAAGAAGTTTATAAAGTTAAAAAGTTACAGTAAACCAAGGTTAATTTATTATCGAAGAAAGACATTTAAAAAATAAATTTAGTACAGCCAACAAGTACAGTGTTTATAAAGTCTACAGTAATGTATGGTAACGTTCTAGGCCTTTGCATTCACGCACCACTCAGTCACTGAATCACTCAGAGCAACTTCCACTCCTGCAAGCTCCATTTATGGTAAGTGTCCTGTACAGGTGTACCATTTTGTATCTTTTATGTAATATTTTTACTGTACATTTTCTATGTTTAGATAAACAAATACCATTGCATTACAGTTGCCAAAGTATTCAGTAGAGTAACATGCTGTATAGGTTTGTAGCCTAGAAGCGATAGACTGTACCATGTAGCCTAGGTGTGTAGTAAGTCACACCTTCCAGGTTGCATTAGTACACTCTGTGACATATACACAATGAGGACATCACCTAATTATGCATTTCTCAGAATTTATCTCCATCATAAAGCAACATATGATAATGTGTTTGTGTGTGAATGTGTATTTAGCCCCCAAAATCCCAATAAATAAAAAAGACAACCCAATAAAAATACTGGGTAGAACCCCAAATAAACAACACCAAAACCAACTTTTACAGGCATTATGTAAAAGAGAGTATCTAAATTACAACTGAATCTATGAAAACTTCCTCAGCCTCGTGAATTATCAGGAAAATTTAAACAAAATTACAATGCAAAATCTTTGCATATTCCTAAGAAGAGCTGATAGAAGAAGGTGGTGGGGAAGGGCTGGAGGAGAAGAAAAATGAGAGGAAGAGGAGAAACAGAAAAGGGAAGTGGAGAAGAAAGAAAAATTTTAAGTAACAAAAGCTACCAAGTTGGTAAGGATTGAAGCAACTATAACTCACAAACAATACCGAAGGCAGTGTAAATTGATATGCCCACTTTGGAAAACTACAGGAGATCAATGGCATTGCTGGCCTCATTTCAGCACCCCACCTTGTGCTAATGTCCTTTGCCAGCGAGAACCAAAGTATGATACCCTACCTTTCAGCAATTTGTTCATCTACCTGACTTGCTTCAGACAGTATTTGTGAGTGTTATACAAGCAGAATCTTATAGAAAGCATTTGCCATTTCCATTTATGCCCCAGTGTCTCTGCCTGTGTAATGAGAACATGACTGGACTAGGTTGCTGAAGGGTGAAAGTTACACGGAAAGATTTGCGTTACCTTTGTGCTAGCCAAGGCCATCCTAGATGAGCTAACAGCCAGTCTAACCCTACATACATGAATCAGCTCATCCAGGAAGAGTAGAATCACCTAGCTGAACCTCTGCTGAACAAATGCATTTAAGCAATACATGCTTATTTGGGGATACTGAGATTTTTATAGTTGTTCATTACATAAACTTATCATAAAAATAAGCAACTGATACAAACTGTTTTGTAATACTCCTAAAGCTAAATATATATGTACCTTATGATCTGGCAATAGTCTTCTAGGTATATGCCAGCAGAAATGTATCTATTAATATATTAACATACGAAATAAAATGTTTATAAAAGCACTATTCATAATAGCAAAAAACAAAACAAAACAAAAGTAAATCTAGAACTACCCAAATGCCTACCGTAACCAAACATATGAATAATATGTGGTACATTCGTCCAATGGAATATCATGCAGCAGTGACAATGACAAATCTACAACTACAAATTATTGAGCAAATGAAACCAGACATCCACACACCCACAACATCTATGCTGTTAGCAGCTAGGGTAGCAGATATCATTGTGTAAGGGTGGGGTGGGAATAGAAGGAAGAATAAGAAGAGCTTCAGTTACGGGGGAACAAATAGAAATAATCTACTTCTTCAAGTGATTGTAGGTTGCGTGAGTATTTTTAATTTGTGAAAAATTTGTGCTAGACTAGACCTCTATTTCCTTGTAGGTTGTATGAGTATTTTTAATTTGTGAAAAATTTGTGCTAGACTAGACCTCTATTTCCTAAAATACGTTGTTCAACTTGCAGCAGGACCAACATAAAAAAAGCATTCTATAGTCAACAGTGTTTGAGAAATGGTACATACTGTACATGCACTTGGAGATTGATCTTTCATATTTTTTAAGCTCTGTGAAGTCTGACAGAACAGTTATGTGCTCTTTCTGAGTAACATCAATTCATAATAGGCCCATAGGAGAAATAGTCTTTGAGTTCAGTGCAGAAATCTCAAACCCCAAAGTGTATCTTAGCTCAATAGTTTATAAATTCATGGATTTTTTTCATATAATAAACTAGAGTTTAATATTTGTTAATAGTTCTTACATTTAAGAAAAATTTTCATACAGTCAAATGTACAAATCTTCAGCGTAGAAATGTGAATTGAAAATACAGTGTGACTTCTGGGTGGCAGCTTCCTAGTTTATGAAAACCCTATGACACTTGAGCTTTAGGGGACATAGAAGAATATGAGCCTAGAAACCAAGCTGCCTTCTAAACTCAGCTTGCAACGGGCTGTCATAATACTGGTCTAGGAAAATTATAATATCCTATACCTTAATTTTCCCATCTGAAAAACTGAGTTGATAATATCTGCCTAGTCTATATTATGAGGGCATTATATAAATAAGGTTGCAAAGTAAATAAAATATGTAAACTGTGGATTAAAATTTACTTTATATCCTAGATAAATTAAAGCAGAATGAAGAGCTGGGTTTGAAGGCTGTAAAAACTCGAGAAAGACCAGAAGAGTTGACATCAGACTTTGCACTAATTTTGAGAATTTGTTCGGAGATTTTTGAGGGAGAACAGCTACTCGTATACCCTTGACCAAAGACCGGTCCTCCTCTATCAGGGATAGTCATCGTATTCAACAGAGTGCTCAGCTTCCAGAGAGACACACATGGAGCAGTGAGGGGGGAAGGGGGACACCTGCCTAGGCCAGCTAGATTAGCCAGATCAACCCTGCAATCAATGGGGTGACAGATGAAGCAGCCAGATCATCCTTACATCCAGACTTTGCACCAATTTTAGAAATTTTGAATATCAAAATAGATTATTTTGGAATGGATGAAAATAATTTTCTTTTTTCCCTCACTTTATGTGTTTTTTAATATATATATCATATGTATCATTATCTATATACCATATATATATCATATGTATCATTATCTATATGATACCATATATATATATATATATATATATATCTCATATATATGATGGTCTTAAAAATGAAGTTCTAAAGTTCTTTTAGGTAAAAGAGGGATACACACACACATACATATGTGTACATATATATATATACAAAATATATATATATATATATATATACCTTCCTCTCATATATATGTGAGTCAATCACGAATGAAAATACTCCAGTTGATTTTCAATGGCAGCCCTTGCTTTTAGAAGCTGAATCAAGGGAATCTCAGAGCTTGTGAATAACTTACAGGTGATCTACATTTTTTAAAAAAAATATTTCCTATCCAATTCCACACAAATAGTTGTCAATGTGACAGCCTAGCCCTCCTATCATATTTCTCTTTGCTTTTTGTGAGAGATGGATTCTGCTCTTGAGCCAATAAGTTATTAAACAAATATGGAAAAAAAAACATAGTCACAAAGTGTTCTCCAAATACAAAATGCATGATTGATTTATACAGTGCCTCTCACTATCACAAGTCTATGAGAAGTAACACATTGAAATATGACACAGAATAAAATTCACTCTTTGTGAAAAAATTTTGGTGATTGTAAAAAATGTGTGAAATAGCCACACTTGAAAAACAGCACATGTCAAAATAATGGTTATCACTGCATCCTGGGGAAAAAAGAAAAAAGTAAGAAATACAATGTGTTAATTTTTATTCAGTGCTCGTACTAAATGTTGTCTATAGGTTTTGCCTTAGAGAAAGGTCATGTGTCTCCTATTGTTGCAAGCCCCGCCTTGCTTTTAGACACAAATATATTTTCCATTATTAAAGGTTTAACTATATTTTAAGATTCAAGTAGCATGTGAAATCTTTGAAGGTAAGGATTATGCCTTAATTTCTTCTTTTATCCTGGTCTCTAGAGAGGAGCTTGGCAAAAAGTGGAAGCTAAATAGAATTTATTGAGTATTTATTCTGTCATATCACACTGGCCACTGATCTTTTAATTTCAACCTAAATAAATAAGTATATGGATAAATGGATGAATGGGTGACAAAATGGATACCTCAGATTGTTTTAAAATTACAACATAAAATATCCAGGCTAATATAATGAATGAATATGAAGCCATGATTCTGATTCATATAGCAGACGCCTGGGTGCTCATCCCCTTCCTCCCCTAACCTAACCCATTTACCGTCTTCAGCCTCTTTCTCAATGGAAACCGCTGCACTGAACTTGGTGTTTATTGTATCTGTGCATCTCTCCATGTTAATGGATAAAATCCTAAATAACATACGGGATTATTTTTGCTTCTTTTATGAACTTCATACAACCATATCATAAAGTATTATTCTGTGACTTGCTTTTTTCCAGTCATGAATATATTTGAGAAATAAATTAATGTTAATACACTTGTCCTTTCACAATTTAAAAGTATTACATTATTTGAAACCATAATTTATTTCCACTCTCACATTGACGAAAATGCAGATTGCTTCAGTAGTTTATTGTCACCTTCAATGCTGCCGTGAACATTTTACCCACAACTGTTTGTGCACATGTGAACAGAACTTTGCCAGGCCCATCCTGATGAGTAGAACTTTCTGGCTTATAGGATGTGCATTTCCTAACCTTTAGTAGTGATCACTGGATAACTATCCATAGTCATTGAATCAAATCAAACTCCTGCAAATCCTGATTTTTATCTAACATGAGTTTTCCAAAACCAGGGTTTGGCTCTTTGGAAACTGAAATATCTAAATTACACTGCTTATTTTACATGAGCCTAAAAACAAACAAAAAATGACTTGCCCTAGGTCACCTGTGGGGTTGGTGCAAGAAATAAGGCTCGATTTAGGCCTTCTTTGGATTTAGATTTAGGCCATACAGTATTCATTCTGTCATATCGCACTGCCCACTGATCTTTTAATTTCAACCTAAATATGGCAAGGATGTAACTGATCTATTAAATGATGTCTCACTTTTTCTAAATATGGAGGTCAAGACTCAAGTTTGCAGATTTTCAGCCCATGTTGAATTCCTTCTTCATGGCACCTATCTACTCTTGAAACATTTTATCTCCACACACTGGCAGATGATTCTTAGATACAAAGACTGTTTTCAGTCCATGTGAGTGAAGATAAAGAATGCAAAGAAAAAATAAATCATCATTCATGAGAGTTCACCCACTGGAAGATACCTAATTATGTAGCATATTGCATCATATAAATTAAATATGAGAGAAATACCACAACAAAATTCAGGTTTATGCCATTTGTGTAATTCAAATCAAATGAAATTTCATACCATATGCTAGAATCTGAATAAATTCAATACTTCCAGCTCTACTGCTTTCAAATGCCTCCAAACACAATGTTCAGACTCAGCACACTTTTTTCATCTCCAGCACTTAGCACAGGGTCTGGCACATAGCAAGCAATAGATATTTGCTATATGAGTGAATCTACATCCATGACCCAAGTTTTCTTGTTTAGACTGGCAGAGCCCAATAAATTATCTCTCAGTTTAAATTTATTCCAATTTAGTCATTTTTTCATCATGACAAACAACAATCATTTTTTGTTTGTTTGCTTAAAGCTGGTCCCATTAGCCTACTTTCCTTGGCTTAAATCATTTCAATGGACAATTGATCATTCCAAAGCCTCCACTACCCTGTACTTCCTATCAGAATTTAGATGCTTGTCAGAATCTTCCTCAGTAGAGTGCTTCAGGAAGCTGCGTTTGTATCAATTTCATTTTTATTCTTAAGAAAACCTTCATGCTGTCCCAATGATCTCAACTTCCTGAATTAATATCACTCCAAATGGTAAGGGATTTGTGCCACAGAAGAACTAAAGAAATAAGATTCCTTTTTTTTTCTTTTAAGAGATAAGGTCTTGCTCTGTTGCCCAGGCTGAAGTTCAGTGGCACAATCATGGCTCATTGCAGCCTTGAACTCCCGGGCTCAAGGAATCCTTCCATCTCAGCCTCTTGAGTAGCTGGGACAACAGAGGCACACTACCATACCTGCTAGTTATTATTATTATTATTATTATTATTATTATTATTATTATTATTATCTTATTATTTGCAGAGAAGAGATCTTGCTATGTTGCCCTGGCTGGTCTTGAACTCCTGACCTGAAGCAATCCTCCTGCCTCAGCCTCCCAAAGTGCTGTGATTACAGGCATGAGCCACTGTGCCTGGCCACATTCCCTCTTCAGATGTTATTTCCATCAGGTGTCAGGAAGATTGAGTAATGGAGGAGGAGATGAAAATGGGAATAGGAAACAATTAGAAGAATATTGTTCTGTTACTGACAGAAGGGAACTCTCTGGGAGGTATTAATAGAAAGAGGAAGTTTAGGTGAAGATTTCAAAGAAATACTCTTAAAGATATCAACGGCTTCTTCTGCTAACTCCATAACTTACCAGAGATGACTGGGAGCTTCTGGAGCCTCCATTTGGACTTAGTTTAGATATCTGGTTATCTTTGTCACCTTTTTAGAATATTCAAATTTCGACTTCATGTGGTAAATAGATGCTTTCCCGAAGTCACCATACCTCAAAGTGATTTCCAGTGCATTCTTCCTCTTGACTCTCTGGACTGTTTAGTGAGGAAAGAGAGAGCCCTCTTTCTGATCCAGGTGGCTCAGGGTTGGGGGTTGTTCATATGCAATAAACCAAAGAAATAATGCTTGGATCTTAGCAACTTCTTTCCTTACTCTTGAAATTTATTTATATCTGCCTAAACTCCTCTAGGGGTTGCAATTCATTTACTGACAAGTTTTTTAAGCAGAGGTTTCATTTTTTAAAGTCTGGATAAAGCTAATTGGTGGTACTTAACTACTTTATCCAATTTTCTGTATTTTCTCTATTAGCATCTGCAAGTGTCTAGGGTTCAGATTTCAACTGAACTTTGAAACAGGAGCACTGGCCCATGGCTTTAGGTTGATGCAAAGAGTACATGCAGAAAGTTCATGACAAATTTATACTCTGTGATAATTTGAGCTTGCCTTGGTTATTCTATTATTCCAGAAATATCAGAGAGTATTTCAGGTCTATGAAGGAAAACAGAAAAACAGTACTCTTGGTGATGCAAATATATACTCCACTGTTTACTATCCACATAAAATTCAAAGCCTCATTGACAAAGTTCACTGTATTGCTTATACAGAAACTTTATAGGACTTACATTGTAATATATAATGAAATAATTACACAACTCATAATATAGACTCAGCTGGAGCCCTGAACATATTTTCCTGCAACTAGATGGTCCCATCTGGGGATCTGGTGGTGATGGGAGACAGTGACAGATCATCAGGTATTTGATTCTCATAAGGAGCACGCAATTTAGTTCCTTGCATGCACAGTTCACAGAAGGGTTTGGGCTCCCATGCAAATCTAATGCTACTGGTGATCTGACAGGAGGCAGAGCTCAGGTGGTAATATAAGTGATGGGGAACAGTTGTAAAGACAGATGAAGCTTTGCTCCCCTGCTGGACAAAGATTTGATGAGAAAAACGTCAGAAGCAATTGAAACAAAAGCAAAAATTGACAAAGGGGATCTAACTAAACTAAAGAGCTCCTGCACAGCAAAAGAAACTATCATCAGAGTGAACAGACAACCTACAGAATGGGAGAAAAATTGTGTAATCTATCTATCTGACAAAGGTCTAATATCCAAAATCTACAAGGAACTTAAACAGATTTACAAGAAAAAAACAAACAACTCCATAAAAAGTGGGCAAAGGACATGAACAGACACTTCTCAAAAGAAGGTATTTATGCAGCCAACAAACATAACTCAACATCACTGATCATTAGAGAAATGCAGATCAAAACCACAATGAGATACCATCTCACTCCAGTCAGAATGGCAATTATTAAAAAGTCAAGAAACAACAGATGCTAGTGAGGTTGTGGAGAAATAGGAACACTTTTACACTGTTGGTAGGAACGTAAATTAGCTCAACCATTGTGGAAGATGGTGTGCCGAGTCCTCAAACACCTAGAACCAGAAATACCATTTGACTCAGCAATCCCATTACTGGGTACACACCCAAAGGAATATAAGTCATTCTATTATCAAGATGTTCATTGCAGCACTGTTTACAATAGCAGAGACATGGAATCAACCCAAATGCCCATCAATGATAGATGGGATAAAGAAAATGTGGTACATATATGCCATGGAATACTATGAAGCCATAAAAAGGAACAAGATCATGTCCTCTGCAGGGACGTGGACGGTGCTGGAAGCCATTATTCTCAGCAAACTAACACAGTGACAGAAAACCAAACACTGTATGTTCTAACTTATAAGTGGGAGTTGAACAATGAGAACACATAGGCTCTAATGTGACCATAATCATCTCCTTTGTCATATTCAGTGAAATATCTAAGAAAACCATTCAGAACCATGAATATGTCTCATTTATTATTGGATGAGATCCAAGAGTAAGAAACCACATATGTTTTTGTTGCCACCAACTAGATCTGGGACTGTGAAGGCCTATGCTGGAAGTAGGGTATCATCAATTCAAAAGGCAATCTTGAACCTGGGAGCCCAGCATGAAGACAGGAGTTAGAACAAAGCAAAGTCAACCATGGGCAATCAGTCAAGAGAACTCCCTGACATTACAAGTCATAGCCAGCCTCAGAGTTGGAAGCATCCTGTAATTTTACCGAAACCAGTGGCAGGCTCTCAGGTCTTCAAACTACCTAGAACCCAATGCGAGTGCAGGATTTACAAAATGTCAGTGATGGATCTCTAGCAGATGAACTAGTAGACTTGAAAAGTTTGACTTGCAAAATACACCACAAGTCAATTTATATTACCGCCTTTCTTAATTTTGACCAGATGTGTCCAAATAGTTCCCAATGATAGGCCATGGATGATATTCACAGGTTTCAATTATGGTCCGATTTCTTGGTCCCTAATTTTCTTTCTAGAGAAACACCTGGATGCTCTCCATAAACTTGCTTACCAGATTCTATTTTTGAGGGATGTTGATTGAGAAACAGAGTGGAAATCATCTGTTTTCCTAGAAGGTTATTCTGAATAATATAAAAACGTAATAATCATATTGCCCTACGAAAGGAAAGAAAAGCATATAGGAAAAAATGAATATCAGAAGCACTCTCTTTCTACCATGAGCTAATAGTGAGGCTGGAGAAGATAAGACTCAGCCTTCAATCTGCAACTATCATCTCCACTGACAAAATGTTTATCACTGTTAAGTGACAAGAAATTCAGTAAGTAGATTGTAGTAAGTTTTAAAATAGGAAAATGTCTGTATTCCAACTTTTCTTTTTTGAGATTGTTTGAGCTCCAGGGTCCCTTGACTTTCTATACACCTTTTTTGACAACTTTTAAACTTATGTAAAAATAAATAAATCAAGTAAGTAGAATTTTGATATTGTATTAAACCTGAAGGTCAATTTGGGAAGTACTGTCATCTAACAACATTGTCTTTCTAACAATCAACATAGAAAATGTTATAATTTACTTAAGTTTATTTTAATTTATTTCAATAACATTTAGTGGTTTTCAGTGTACACATATTGAATTTCTTTTTCAAAATTTATATGCAAGTATGTATTTTATGTAACTGTAAATGAAATTGGTTTACTAATTTCATTTTTGGAATTTTCATTGCTAGTGTATATAAATGAAATGAATTTTTGTAAATTGATACTTTATCTTGCCATCTTAGTGAATCTGTTTAATGGCTTTTGGGTGGATTCCTTGGGACTTTTACATACAAAACCATATTATCTGCAAACAGAGATTGGTAGATTTCTTCCTTCCCAATATAGATTTTTTTTATTCATTTTTCTTATTTAATTATGCTGACTAAAGCTTCCATCACAATATTGATTAGAAATAGTGAGAATAGACCTATTTTGTGTCTGATCTTAGAAGAAAAGCTTAAAGTCTTTTTAACCATTAAGTTCGATAGTAACTGTGGGCTTTATGCAGATGCTCATGATCAGCTTGACAAAGCTTCTTTTTATTCCCAGTTTTTTTAAAAAAATCTTTTAGTATTTTTTTTAATCATGAAAGAGTATTGGATTTTTTCAAATAATTGTTCTGCAAATATAGAGCTAATCATATGGTTTCTGTACTTTATTCCATTGATGTGGTGTATTACATTAATTGATTTTCAGATGTTATGCTAACCTTGCATTCCTGTGGTAAATCCCAGTTGGCTGTGGTAGATAATTAGTTTATGATAATTTTTTATGTTGCCATATTCATTTTACTAGTATTTTGCACCTATATTCATAAAAGATATTGGTTTGTACTTCATTGTAATATATTTATATGGTTTGGATATCAGGTTGAACTGGCCTTATTAAGTGAGTTGGCAGTATTAAGACTGGAATTTACTTTGTGCAATGGTTTTTGATTACTAATTTGATCTCTTTGCTTATAATATGTCTATTCAAATTTTCTATTTCTTTTAGAAAAGTTGCAGTAATTGCTATTTTCCTAGGAAGATCATTAAATAAAACTTATTCATTTCATCTAACTTACTCATTGGCATACAATTGTTCATAGTACTTCCTTATAGCTTTTTATTATTCTGTAGGATTGGTAGCCATGGCCTCTCTTTCATTCTTAATTTTTGTAAGTTTCAATTTTATTGTTTTATCTATTTTTTTCTATTCCACGTTTTATTTATTTCTGCTCTAATTTTTGTTATCTCCATTCTTCTTTAGTTTAGTACTTTCACTTGCCCTTGCTTTTCTAGTTTCTTAGGCTGAAGATTCTATTGCTACTTTAAAATTATTCTCCTTTTAAAATAAGCATTCCCACCTATAAATTTCTCCCCAAGCATTAGCACTGAAAGTGCTAGCTAGAGCAATCAGGCACGGGAAAGAAATAAAAGGCATCCAAATAAGGAGTGGAAGTCAAATTATCCCTGTTTGCAGAGGATATGATTCAATACCTAGAAAAACTTAAAGACCCCACTAAAAGGCTCCTATGACTGATGAATGACTTCAACAAAGTTTCAGGGTACAAAATCAGTATATAAGAATAAGTAGCATTTCTAAAAATACTAATGTTCAAGCTGAGAGGCAAATCAAGAATGCAATCTCATTTACAATAAGCACAAAAAACTAAAATATCCAGGAATACATCTAACCAAGGAGGTGAAAGATGTCTATATGGAGAACTGAAAAACACTGCTAAAGGAAGTCACAGATTACAAAAACAAATGGAAAAAACAGAAGTAGGCTTCAGAAGGTGGGTAATAACAAACTCCTCCAAGCTAAAGGAGCATGTTCTAACCCAATGGAAGTAAGCTAAGAACCTTGAAAAAAGGTTAGATGAATTGTTAACTAGAATAACCAGTTTAGATAAGAACATAAATGATCTGATGGAGCTGAAAAACACAGCAGGAGAACTTCTTGAAGCATACACAAGTATCAACAGATGAACCTATCAAGCAGAAGAAAAAATATCAGGTACTGAAGATCAACTTAATGAAATAAAGCATAAAGGCAAGATTAGAGAAAAAAGAATGAAAAGGAATGACCAAAGCCTCCAAGAAATATGGGACTATGTGAAAAGACCAAACCTACATTTGATTAGTGTACCTGAAAGTGATGGGGAGAATGGAACCAAGTTGAAAAACACTCTTCAAGAAATTATCCAGGAGAACTTCCCCAACCTGGCAAGACAGACCAACATTCAAATTCAGGAAATATGGAGAACATCACAAAGATATTCCTCGAGAAGAGCAACCCCAAGACATAATCATCAGATTCACTAACGCTGAAATGAAGGAAAACATGTTAAGGGCAGTCAGACAGAAAGGTCATGTTATCCACAAAGGGAAGCCCAGCAGAATAACAGTGGATCTCTCTGCAGAAACCCTACAAGCCAGAAGAGAGTGGGGGCCAATATTCAACATTCTTAAAGAAAAGAGTTTTCAAACCAGAATTTCATATCCAGGCAAACTAAGATTCATAAGTGAAGGAGAAATAAAATCCTTTACAGACAAGCAAATGCTGAGAGATTTTTGTCACCACCAGGCCTGCTTTACAAGAGCTCCTGAAGGAAGCACTAAATATGGAAAGGAAAAACCAGTACCAGCCACTGCAAAAACAAAGCAAATTATAAAGACTATCAACACTATGAAAAGACTGCATCAACTAACGAGCAAAGTAACTAGCTAACATCATAATGACAGGATCAAATTCACACATAACAATATTAATATTAAATGTAAATGGGCTAAATGCCTCAATTAAAAGACAAAGACTGGCAAATTGGATAGAGTCAAGACCCATTGGTGTGCTGTATTCAGGAGACTCACCTCACGTGCAAAGACACACATAGGCTCAAAATAAAGTGATGAAGGAATATTTACCAAGCAAATGTAAAGCAAAACAAAGCAGGTGTTGCAATCCTAGTCTCTGATAAAACAGGCTTTAAACCAACAAATAGCAAAAAAGACAAAGAAGGGCATTATATAATGGTAAATGGATCAATGCAACAAGAAGAGCTAACTATCCTAAATATATATGCACCCAATACAGGAGCAGCCAGGTTCATAAAGCAAGTTATTAGAGACCTACAAAGAGACTCGGACTCCCACACAATAATAGTTGGAGACTTTAACACTTCACTGTCAATTTTAGACAGATCAACGAGACAGAAAATTAACAAGGATATTCAGGACTTGAACTCAGCTCTGGACCAAGTGGACCTAATAGACATCTACAGAACTCTCCACCCAAAATCAACAGAATATATATTCTTCTCAGCACCACATCACACTCCTTCTAAAATTGACCACATAATTGCAAGTGAAGCACTCCTCAGCAAATGAAAAAAAAAAAAAAAACAGAAATCATAGCAAACAGTCTCTCAGACCACAGTGCAATCAAACTAGAACTCAGGATTAAGAAACTCACTCAAAACCACACAACCACATGGAAAATGAAAAACCTGCTACTGAATGACTACTGGGTAAATAACAAAATTAAGGCAGAAATAAATAAGTTCTTTGAAACCAATAAAAACAAAGACACAATGAACCAGAATCTCTGGGACACAGCTAAAGCAGTGTTTAGAGGGAAATTTATAGCACTAAATGCCCACAGGAGAAAGCAGGAAAGATCTAAAATCGACACCCTAACATCACAATTAAAAGAACTAGAGAAGCAAGAGCAAATTCAAAAGCTGGCAGAAGACAAGAAATAACTAAGAACTGAAGGAGATAGAGACACAAAACCCCTTCAAAAACATCAATGAATCCAGGAGCTGATTTTTTGAACAGATTAACAAAATCGATAAGTCACTAGCCAGAATAATAAAGAATAAAACAGAGAAGATCAAATAGACACAATAAAAAATGATAATGGAGATTTCACCACTGATCCCACAGAAATACAAACTACCATCATGGAATACTATGAACACCTCTATGAAAATAAACTAGAAAATCTAGAAGCAATGGATAAACTCCTGGACACATACACCATCCCAAGACTAAACCAGGAAGAAGTCAAATCCCTGAATAGACCAATAACAAGTTCTGAAATTGAGGCAGTAATTAATAGCCTACCAAACAAACAAAAAAAGCCCAGGTCCAGACAGATTCACAGCTGAATTCTACCAGAGGTACAAACAGGACCTGAAACTATTCCAAACAATAGAAAAAGAGGGAATCCTCCCTAACTCGTTTTATGAGGCCAGCATCATCCTAATACCAAAACCTGGCAGAGACACAATAAAAAAAGAAAATTTCAGGCCAATATCCCTGATGAACACTGATGCAAAAATCCTCAATAAAATACTGGCAAAACGAATCCACCAGCACATCATAAAGCTTATCCACCCCAAACAAGTCAGCTTCATCCCTGAGATGCAAGGCTGGTTCAACATACACAAATCAATAAACGTAATCCATTACATAAACAGAGCAAATGAAAACAACCACATGATTATCTCAATAGATGTAGAAAAGGCCTTTGATAAAATTCAACACCCCTTCATGCTAAAAACTCTCAATAAATTAGGTATTGATGGAATGTATCTCAAAATAATAAGAGCTATTTATGACAAACCCACAGCCAGTATCATACAGAGTGGGCAAAAGCTAGAAGCATTCTCTTTGAAACCCAGCACAAGACAAGGATGCCCTCTGTCACCACTCCTATTCAACATAGTATTGGAAGCTCTGGCCAGGGCAATCAGGCAAGAGAAAGAAATAAAGGATTATTCAAGCAGGAAGAGAAGAAATCAAATTGTCTCTGTTTGCAGATGACATGATTGTATATTTAGAAAACCCCATTGTCTTAGCCCAAAATCTCCTTAAGCTGATAAGCAACTTCAGAGAAGTTTCAGGATACAAAAATCAATTTGCAAAAATCATAAGCATTCCTTTACACCAATAATAGACAAACAGAGAGCCAAATCATGAGTGAACTCCTACTCACAATTGCTACAAAAAGAATAAAGTACCTAGGAACCCAACTTACAAGGGCTGTGAAGGACCTCTTCGAGAATAACTACAAACCACTGCTCAAGGAAATAAAAGAGGACACAAACAAATCAAAGACCATTCCATGCTCATGGATAGGAAGAATCAATATTGTGAAAATGGCCATACTGCCCGAAGTAATTTATAGATTCAATACTATCCCCATCAAGCTACCATTGACTTTCTTCACAGAATTAGAATAAAACTACTTTAAATTTCATATGGAACCAAAAAAGAGCCCATATAGCCTAGACAATCCTAAGCAAAAAGAACAAAGTTGGAGGGATCATGCTACCTGACTTCAAACTATACTACGAGGCTACAGTAACCAAAACAACATGGTACTGGTACCAAAACAGGTGTATAGACCAATGGAACAGAACAGAGGCCTCAGAAATAACTCCATGCATCTACAGCCATCTGATCTTTGACAAACCTGACAAAAACAAGCAAAAGGGAAAGGATTCCCTATTTAATAAATGGTGTTGGGAAAACTGGCTAGCCTTAGGCAGAAAACTGAAACTGGACCCCTTCCTTACACCTTATACAAAAATTAACTCTAGATAGATTAAAGACTTAAATGTAAGACCTAAAACTGTAAAAAACCCTAGAAGTAAATCTAGGCAGTACAATTCAGGACATAGGCCTGGGCAAAGACTTCATGACTAAAACACCAAAAGCAAGGGCAACAAAAGCCAAAATTGACAAACAGGATCTAATTAAAATGAAGAGCTTCTGCACAGCAAAAGAAACTATCATAAGAGTGAACAGGCAACCTACAGAATGGGAGAAAATTTTTGCAATCTATCCATCTGACAAAGGGCAAATATCCAGAATCTACAAGAACTTAAACAAATTTACAAGAAAAAAACAAATAAAACAAATGAAACAAATGAAACTCCATCAAAAAGTGAGTGAAGGATATTTACAGACACTTCTCAAAAGAAGACATGTTGCCCACAAACATGAAAAAAAAGCTCATCATCACTGGTAATTAGACAAATGCAAATCAAAACCACAATGAGATACCATCTCACACTCGTTAGAATGGTGATCACTAAAAAGTCAGGAAACAACAGATGCTGGAGAGGATGTGGAGAAATAGGAACACTTTTACACTGTTGGTGTGAGTGTAAATTAGTTCAACCATTGTAGAAGAGAGTGTTGGCGATTCCTCAATGATATAGAACCAGAAATATCATTTGACCCAGCAATCCCATTACTGGGTATATAACCAAAGGATTATAAATCATTCTACTATAAAGACACATGCACACATATGGTTACTGCAGCACTGTTCACAATAGCAAAGACTTGGAACCAACCCAAATGCCCATCAATAATAGACTGGATAAAGAAGAGGTGGCACATATACACCATGGAATACTATGCAGCCATAAAGAAGGATGAGTTCACGTCCTTTGCAGGGACATGGATGAAGCTGGAAACCATCATTCTCAGCGAACTAACACAGGAACTGAAAACCAAACACTGCACGTTCTCACTCATAAGTGGGAGTTGATCAGTGAGAACATATGGACACAGGGAGAGGAACATCATGCACCGGGGCCTATTGGGGGGTGGGGGGGTTAGGGGAGGGATAGCATTAGGAGAAATACTTAAAGTAGATGAGGGGTTGATGGATGCAGCAAACCACCATGGCACGTGTATACTTAGGTAACAAACCTGCACGTTCTGCACTTGTATCCCAGAACTTAAAGTATAATTTAAAGAAAAAACAGCCAGGCGGGGTGGCTCATGCCTGTAATCCCAGCACTTTGGGAGGCCGAGGCAGGCGGATCATGAGGTCAGGAGATCGAGACCATCTTGGCTAATACAGTGAAACCCCGTCTCTACTAAAAATACAAAAAAAAAAAATTTGCCGGGCGTGGCGGGGGGCGCCTGTAGTCCCAGCTGCTCGGGAGGCTGAGGCAGGAGAATGGCGTGAACCCAGGAGGCGGAGCTTGCAGGGGGCCGAGATCGCGCCACTGCACTCCAGCCTGGGCGACAGAGCGAGACTCCATCTCAAAAAAAAATAAAAATAATAAAAAAATTAAAAATAAAAAAACACCCTTTGGGAGGCTGAGGCAGGTGGATCACGAGGTCAGGAGATCAAGACTATCCTGGCTAACATGGTGAAACCCCATCTCTACTAAAAATACAAAAAATTAGCTGGGCATGGTGGCGGGTGCCTGTAGTCCAGCTACTTAGGGAGGCTGAGGCCGGACAATGGCGTGAACCCAGGAGGCGGAGCTTGCAGAGAGATGAGATTGCACCACTGCACTCCAGCCTGGACATAGAGTGAGACTCTGTCTCAAACAAACAAACAAACAAACAAACAAACATTCCATGCTCATGGACTGCAAGAATCAAAATTTTGAAAATGGCCATACTGCCAAAAGCAATCTACAGATTCAATGCTATCCTATCAAACTGCCAATGTGATTTTTCAAATAATTAGAAAAAAACTTCTAAAATTCATATAGAACAAAAAAGAGCTGAAATAGCCAAAACGATTCTAAGCAAAAAGACAAAAGCCAGAGGCATTACATCATCTGATTTCAAACTGTATTATATGGCTACAGTAAACAAAACAGCATGGTAAGGGTACAAAAACAGACATATGGAACAATGGAACAGAATAGAGAACCTAGAAATGAAGCAGCACACCTAAAGCCATCTAATCTTTGACAAAGTCAACAAAAATAAGGAATGGAGAAGGGATATCCTACTTAATAAATGATGCAAGGACAGCTGTCTAGCCACATGCAAAAGAATGAAACTGGGCCCCTACCTTCCACCATACACAAAAATTAACTCGAGATGGATTAAATATTTAAATATACCCCTTAAACTAAAATAATTCTGGAAGAAAACGTAGGAAACACCATTCTGGAAATCAGCCTTAGGAAAGAATTTATGACAAGTCCTCAAAAGCAATGGCAACAAAACAAAAATTGACAAGTGGTACCTGATTATACTGAAGAGTTTCTGGCCAGCAAAGAAAAATATCAACAGAGTAAACAGACAACATAGAGAACAGGAAAAAAATATTATCAAACTATGCATCTAACAAACATCAATATACAGAATCTGTAAGAAACCTAAACAATTGAACAAGCAAAATCAAACAACCCCATTAAAAATGGACAAAAGACATGAACAGACACTTCTCAAAAGATGACATACAAGTGGCCAACAAACATATGGAAAAAAATGCTCATCATCACTAATCATTCAGAGAAATGCAAATCAAAATCACAATGAGATACCACCTTACATCATTCAGAATGGCTGGATGAAATTTTTGTAACATAGAGCTTGGTTAAATGGAGTAAAGGTGTGAGTCATGGCTCAAATGTCCAGACTCTCACAGTAACCACTGAGAGTTAGTAGATTTTCTTGAGTGAATGTTTCTCCATTTGCTCTATGCCCTTAGGACAATATCCAGGGTTTGCAAATGACTTGTATTTGTTTAAATATAATTTTCACCCATTAAACTTTTGTTTTGCTGGAAGGAGCATCTGCTGAGCAACTTAGTCAAGCTCCTTACGCAGTCAACCTAGAAGTCCTGCACCTCCTTCCTTACTTCTTACTTGAATTATTGCAACCTCTTGACTTGTTTCCCTAATTCTATCGTCACTTGCTGCCAATTGGTTTAGCCACAGTTCCTCCATAGTAAGCTCCACAAATGCAAATCTGACCTTGCCATTCCACTGCAAAGAACTATCCACTGCAAAGAACTAATTCAAAAGTGCACTTCAACACTTTTCCTGGTAATAATCCATACTCTATAATATGGCTTGTACAATCCCTGCTGATTTAGCCCTCTCCTACCTTTAGAACATAGTTATTAGCCTCTTATTTTTCTCTTTTCTCACATAGCTCTACTACACAAATGTGAGAAACAATTATAATTTGTTACTTTTACATTAATTCCCTTCCCTTCTGTTTTGATATATGAGCCTTGGTGAAAAGTAGACCTTTTGGAAACAGGATGGGTTTGAATATCGTGTCCATCACTTACCCTCGACTGACTTTTCACTTTCTTATCCGTAAGATGGAGATAGTAATAGTAGTTAACATAGGATGACAGGGCTTGTACAATCCCTGCTGATTTAGCCCTCTCCTACCTTTAGAACATAGTTATTAGCCTCTTATTTTTCTCTTTTCTCACATAGCTCTACTACACAAATGTGAAAAACAATTATAATTTGTTACTTTTACTTTAATTCGCTTCCCTTCTGTTTTGATATATGAGCCTTGGTGAAAAGTAGACCTTTTGGAAACAGGATGGGTTTGAATATCGTGTCCATCACTTACCCTTGACTGACTTTTCACTTTCTTATCCGTAAGATGGAGATAGTAATAGTAGTTAACATAGGATGACAGGGGGTATGAAGTTCAATGATGTATGCCTGGTAAGCACTCTACAAATGTTGGCTATTGTTATTAATATTCTCCTTTTCTCTTGCTCATCTCACAAATCCATATTCATTTCTCAACATGCAGACTAGATATTTGCAAACATCTTTTCCTGAATGACCTTGCCCCATTCCACACCATGTTCATTACTCCACTTTTTTCCTGTTATACCCAGGACAAACATTTACCGTAGCTCTTACCAATAACATGGTAATAGTTTATCTCTGCCTTCCCTCAAACAATTGTGAACATCTTAAGGGCAGAGACTGGACCTTTCTTTTTTGAATCTTTAGTGCCAGCATCTAGTCTGAGGAAGAAGTTCAGTAAACACAAATTTCCTTTTATGAATTTTGGAAACATCAGGGTTCAGCTGTAGCAGAGACAAGAATGCATAGCCATTGCGGAAGATGTCAGAGGTGGAGATTTCTTGGCTCAGGAAAGGTTATTCACTCAGTTGGCTTCCACATCAGTGCCTGGAAGGGCTATTTTGCCAGCCAGCTGAGTTCTGACTAACACAAAGAACTGGTAATCCAGGCATCCTATCAGGTTCCTACATCTGAACAACTGTGATCCAGCCAAGCCTTCGTTCATTCCAACTACAGCTAATTTTGATTCCAGCCTCTTCATGTGTTCATGAACTCTTTCTCTGCTAAAGAATTCTACATAAAATTGTTCTTCAAAACAGATGATTTATCGGTAATTGTGAAAAAAAAAAAAACAAAAAAACATTTCCCTTGAGCAGCCAATATTCGAGCTGCATATCAGGGTTTACCCTCATCAAAATCATGATGAAAAAGTGAAGGCTTTGTTTTGATAAATCTGCCAAATTTTGTTTTATCTTTCCACAAACCACAAATCTGAGCGTGGAACATGCCGTGCTTTTCCATCTGGAATTTCAAAATAGCCCCTTATTAGTTTGGCCACATTTTTCTTTAGGAAAGATTGTCATGTCCAAATTTAGAAATATAATATTTAATCCTGAGGCTATTTCTTCTGTTTTAAGCTCAGTTCCCACTGTAGAGGAGATTCCTTTCCCTTCATTTAATTATTTTTCTCTGAATACCCTAAAATTAATCATCAGTTAGAAAATACATGAGAGGTTCAAACACATATACACATTCCTACACACACACGCACAAATTGTCCATCATAACAAAAGTCATCTTTATAAACTCTTGCCTTTGCATGTAGACAATGCGTTACTCTTTAGATTGTTTGGCAATTACTAGTACAATTTTTGTGGACAAAGATATTTAAATGAAACCTGCATTTTGGCTTATAGTATGCAGTTTGACTCTCACATCCTAGCTCTTCCTCACCCTTTTCTTTCTTTTTTGTCTGACTTAAACCGCTTCCAGGACAATTCTTTTTTCGGTGTTGCCTTGACCTCAGAGCATGTAGGTATTATGCAATACCTAACTTTTGTAAAACTGTTCCCTTTCTATACACAGATAATTGAGCTACTGTTTATACAAACATATATTACTGCCCCCTGGGATATTTTGATAATCCTATACACTAAATGCAATAAGATACCCAGTTAACAAATTCCAAGTGGTTCTACTTATTGATTCGTGAACATTCACTTGGATTCAAAATATTAACTTAGTATAAGTGATGAAACCATTTAGAAAGAAAAGTCAGTTATAAAATATTTTTAATAAGCTTTCAGTAACTCACAATTCCATATTGTGTTTCTGTTTTCTGATGTGCCATTAGTGAGGCTTTCTGGTGGTAGAGGTGCCTCATTCTAGTCAGGTGTTAGAGGACATGGAGCCATTCCATCACACAAGAATAAAAATAGTATACAATGAGAATTCAGAACACCTGCTCAGCATTAAATATTATTACATTAGAGGTCACAAAAAATGAGGTAGTTAATAATAGTTGGCATGCACGGGCTGGTTGACATAACACAGTTTATTGAGATGCTCAACCTCAATGGAGACTCTCAGTATTTCCAGATGCCCAACTTCAATGGAGATTACATTTTACAGCTGAAAAAAATGGAGGAAAAAAGTTAAAGGATATTCTTTTATCACCTGTGCTTCTGTCACCAATCTGTTTGTATTATTTTCAGTCAAATAAACTATCCTTCACAGAATATTTGAAATTGAGATTATACACGATTACCCATAACACAGCAAGCAGGGTTCAAAACTGATCTCACAACATGGAGTGATGAGTTTAGAATAAGAACATCCTCAGTCTCCAGAATGGGAAAACACAGCCCCATCCCCTTTTAGGCACAGTATGAGAAACCATGGGAAAGAGGTGATCTACTTGTGAATGCAAAGCAATTAGTTACTAGATATCCAGGAAAAAAGTCCATCTTGCCACGGAACAAAAAAGATCACCTTTGTGGTGCAGAACAATGCACAATTAAATGGATATTATTTTATTTACAACCCAAAGAATAAACTAATCAGGCACTGAGACATTATCTAAAGAGATATGAATCTTCTTTTTTATGACCCTCAATATTATGCTTTCTTAGACTTTTTCTGGACCAAAGCCAAGGGTTAAGCACGAAGAAAAAATTAATATGGTTTTCAATGATATCAATTTGTGCCAATAAAAAAAGTTCAACTGCATATCTCCTTCATCATCCATGAAATAGTCTCACCAATTTCAATATCTGTTAGTCAAAAAGCTGAAGGATGGAGATCAAACAATCCTGAGGGTCAGAAGTAGACATCACAACCCACAGACACCGCATTCATGACTGAGGTGTGATTGTGCCTTCAGGCTTAAAACTCTGAAATAATTATTTAAGATGCAAGCTATTTAAAAGAAAATAAAGGGGCATTTCATCCTGATGATCCGATGTATTTATTTGTCTCTATTTTCCTGTTAAATTTAATAAAGTTCCTGAGGTAAAGAGGCCCCAAATAATCAATAAACCAAACACATTCTCCATCTCTATGTGACCCTATCCCTAGGTAAAATTTCCATCTGTACATTTGGAATACTTGAGACTTCTTTTGTAAGAAGCGGAAATTATATTAGAGGGACATGTCAATGGAGACCTGATAAATGAAAGGTACACTCTGCTGGTAGATAGCAGAGCTTACAATAAAATTGATACTTGGCTTTGGGATACATACTTACAGGCTTCACCTCAAACTTCCTCATGTTTCGCCGCTAGGACAGAAAGCATTTTCCTCAACTTAGTTCATTGTGAAATCAGTTGTTATAAACAATAATGACTCTTGTGCAAACTGAGATACTATACCTGAATGAGTCCAGTCTCATTCCCTTGTACCTAAGTGCCAACTGGAGAGCTGCATTTTAAAAATCAGAATTTTTGGCCAGGCATGGTGGCTCATGCTGGTAATCCCGGCACTTTGAGAGGCTGAGGCAGGTGGATCGCTTGAGGTCAGGAGTGTGAGACCAACCTGGCCAACATGGTGAAACCCCATCTCTACTAAAAATACAAAAAATTAGCCAGGTGTGATGGCAGGCACCTGTAACCCCAGCTAGTCAGGAGGCTGAGGAACGATAATCGCTTGAACCCAGGAGCCAAGATCACGCCACTGCACTCCAGCCTGGGCAATAGAGCGAGACTCTGTCTCAAACAGTATAAATAAATAAATAAAAATTTTTAATTGAACTTTTTACATGTAGAGGCCATTCTTTTGTTGCAATACTGACATCTCACAATTTGTCAGTTCTTGACTTTTTACATGTTCTTTTTCTTAAATCTGAATTAAATAATCAGAATTTGGAACTATTGAAAAAGACACATAGTCATAACTAAAATCACCAGCTTTCATATTCTCCCAAATTCTTGCCCTTCCTGGTGCTCAACCATGAATACCTTGGCTTTCAACTTAAAATCAGCTTTAACTTTTTCCTTAACCAATCAGTTGCCAAAATGAATTCAGTTTAGTAAGTATTTATTGGGAGCTTACTATATATCTGGCATGGAGATAGGCAGAAATTTTACCTGTAAATTGAGTGTCAAAGGCAATATCACCTTTCTACTTTTACTACCCTATTGTAGTAATCTCCTAGTGAGTCTCATTGTCTACTTTCTCTCTTCCCCTATTTATTACATTTACAGGGACTTAACTCAATTTATCTTGAGAGGTAACACACATATTGTGTCATAAAGAGGACATCAAGATAGCCCAAAACCTCAGTAAAGAAGAAATATGATGGTGTGTCTTAGATCCCATTTGAATTCCTTGTTGATATTATCATGTAACTCCAAGACCCAAAACAATTAACTAAGTAGAATTGTTCACCACCATGGTCCAATTGTTCTTTTCCAGAAAGATCATTAACTCTAAATTTATAGTTTGTTTAATTATGCCAGTGTATTTACAGTGCTTTCAGCCAATATGAATGTGTGTGTGAGTGTGCGTGTGTGTGTATGTGTGTGTGTATTGAACTTGTCTCAGCTATTTGCAATTCTGAAACAGATTATATGCATCACTGGCCCTTTCTCATGACATCTTCAAGCATCTCTGTTAAAAGAACTGGAAGCAACAAAAACTAGGCATTAATTTCTTGAGAATGAATAAAAAGAGTCAAGGCCAGGGAACCTTTATAATCTGGAGCCCATTTCAATTTAGTAAAATGTGGTCTTCATTTTATGAATGGAAATTTATTCTCATTTGCATTGGCCTATGCTGGAGAAAAGGGTAAACTAGAGAAGTAAACAAAACTCTGCTCTGCCTTGCTACAACTGTAGAGACACTAAAAATTAAAATGTTTAACACTGCAGGCACAGCCCCACTTCCTTCTGAAACAGGTCATCTTGCTTGTGTTTGTATTAGTAGGTTTTTTTCATGTTCATTACAGAATTCTGTGTGGCCAAGGACAGAATTCATTAAATGTGGGCAGGTGGCCTAAAGGATTAATCAGATAAATAGTATTCCATTTAGAAAATACTTTTGTTTGTTCTTGTTGCCTCATTTCTCTTCTCCTTACCCTTGACCCTGGATTTCATTTAATCATATATTCACAGATGTCAGCTCAGTGCTAAGGGGTAAGGTGACATCCACAATTATTCTGTTTGAGGAGAAGGACATTACAGAAGCTGGTGCTTGAAGATCTGTCATAGGTATTAGTTATTATTCTCTTCCTGGGAGTATCACCCCATCCAACACCTGGCCAGATCCCTGTATCCAAGAGCATGTTCTAAGGCACAAAGAAATGAATACTAAGCCTACAAATTAAGGTATTATGGAGTAAATCTCCAAATTCAAAATTTTACTCCCTCATTTACCCTATAACCTCATGGTTACCACTTATATAACTTCTTGAAGACTCCTTTTTAGCATTTATAAAACAGTAGCAATGAGTGAGCATAAGATGAAATATAATACAAGCAGCCAGTGCCTGGAACAAAGTATTCCCTCAATAGACGTTAATGATTTTTTTTTTTATTCTTTTTTGATAATCTTGGGGGTATAAGAGGTTTATGGAGACCTACTCCAGTGTTTCTGCTGAGAGCTGAATGCAACAGAATCACCCAGACGTGTTTGATTAGAGTTACCCATTTTTTATCGCATACATAGTGAATCAAATGTTATATTTAATACATGTCTAACAATCTTTCTAGGTAATTCTGGTGGCAGTCAAACTTAGAAACCACTATCTCATTCACTCAACCCTAAATTCTATTGTTCAATTTCCCCTTGCAATATTGCTGCCAAGTGTTTCTGTAATCTTTGTTTAAATACTTAAAATAACAGTGAGCTCAGAATGTCTACTGAAGCATCTCCATCTGTATACAACCGCTTTGATAACCAGTATCTTCTATCCAAACAAAATTTCTCTCTAGTATCCTTCACTCACTAATGCAAACTCAAACTTCTGGAGGCATATAGGAAAAAAATATTAATCTCTGTAACTGGTAGCCATCCACATATTTGAAATCTCAGTTCTTCTCCTCCAAGTCTTCTTTCCTGTAGACTAATGCATTGTTCACCAAATTGCCAATCTCCATGTTCCAAACTCATGTTTACCTAATCATTGTTAAATATCATAGATTCAGTTTTTTTGAAATTGTTATTGCTTTAATTTATTTATTTATTATTTATTTATTTATTTTGAGACACAGTCTCACTCTGTCACCCAAGCTGGAGTGGAGTGGTGCGATCTCAGCTCACTGCAACCTCCACCTCCTGGGTTCAAACAATTATCCTGCCTCAGCCTCCTGAGTAGCTGGGACTACAGGTACACACCACCATGCCCGGCTAATTTTTGTAATTTTAGTAGAGACAGGGTTTCACCATGTTAGCCAGGCTGGTCTTGAACTCATGGCCTAAAGCCATCCACATGCCTCGGCCTCCCAAAGTGCTGGGATTACAGGCATAAGCCACCACACTGCACCTGGTCTGCTTTAATTTAAGCCAATATTTAATAGTTAGTAACTATCAATTAAGCTAACGATTCCTGGATTTTCCTGAAAAATGGCAATTGCAATTCTGTTCCTGCCATCTCACATAGCGGCAATGTTCTGGAGCGTCCCCATAGGTCGGGTTCATGCTCTTCATTTTACCTGCCTATTTTTATCTTGTAATACAAAAAAGAAAGAAAACTTATCCTTTTTATTTCCAGTTCTCAGCTAAGTAGATATCATCCTTCATCCAGGCTCTGAGGTTGCATTAGGAGTTGAGACAATGCATAAAGCTGATGTGTGAACTGCAGATGAGAGTGACAATACATGCACTGTGGGGGCCATACTGAATTAGCCAGAGGTAACTGGAAGGATTTGTCCTATGGGAAGGGATGCTTTACATCTTCATCTGTGCTCTACTACATCTTGCAGCAAGGCCAAAATCCGATTTCACCTCTAGTGGAAGTACTATCATCATTTGTTCTTAGGTGCTGGCCTGAGTATCACCTTATTTCCTGATCATACTTCATAGGACTGCCGAACATCGGTGTATGCTCATCACCGTATATACTTGTTGGAATTCAGATTCTCACATTTTTGGGGGTGATCAACCTCCAGGTTCAGAGAGGGGCATGTGAAGTTGGCTTAAGCCAATTAGCACAGTTCATCCCTCTGGATACAAAAAAAACTGGTTCAGCCTTGTAACAGATCTCAAATGTAGACAATCAGAGCTGATTTCAGAACTTCGCTGGTGTGCTGGAAGAAAGATTTTCCTTCCTTTCGGATTTAACCCACAGTGATGTAGCTTGGACCTGCTACTGAAGCTCCATGCCCTGTTATGGTGAGAGGCTTTCTGAGAGTGAGACCAATACAAAGGCGGACCCCAGATATAGAAAATGCACTGATAATATAATTTAATCTCATAATCAAGTTATTTTGGAAGCCAAACTAACTCCAGACTTTTTCATTTTCTGGTCTGTGAGTAAAAATACTACTTGACGCATAATTCATTTTTGTCATTGATTAAAAAGGTTTCAATTGATCTAATTAGGTGTTATGAGTCAAAAGCGTTTACCTACATTGATGTTTACAAACCATTTCAAAAATACCACAACTTTCTTTGAAATCTATATTCTGCCTGCAATAGTTTGTTTCATTTTAGCTCAATTGTTTTTTAATCTCCCTTTGATCCTCTTCCTGACAATCAACTATAAACAAACACTTAATATTTAAAGTTGCCACTTAAAGAGCCTCCTAGTTTATTGTAAATCATAAGATCTTTTTGAAAATTGATAAACATCTACTTATGCATCATTTTTGTAAATCTTCTTTGCATATGCTACATTTCCTTAAGCTAGGGACCTCCTGTAACATTTTTGCATTTCTGAACCTTGGATATTGATTCTCCTGGTCACCCAGACACCATTTTGCCATCTAAACTGAAATAAATAAAAAATACATTTCTTAAATAATGAATGCTACCCACAGAATAAAAACAAGTATACCACAGGTTGATTTTTCGTATCTGTATCAGACCAGGCTTTATATCTGTGAATCCAAAGGCCATGGAAGAATGCTAGGATATTAAAGAGGGATACAAATAAATGCTCACAACAATAACATTATTTCTTCTGAGGCTGAAATGAGGTTATAATATGACAACACAAGGCACACATCTATACTAGTTGGTTAATCAAGAATAAAGACAACTTCTCCAATCAAGAGTATAGCACAGATTTAAAAGACCTGAAACCTTTATCTGGCTGTTTATTAATATTATTATAAGGAGAAACAAAAAAAGAAGTACAGGCTTTAAGAGCAGTTGCTTGGAAAACACAGGTCCAATGGAATCATTGGTCCAAGGCCCACAGGAGAAACTTCACAGAATTTTTGTGAGAAGGCAAATGAGAAATGCTATGTAAAGTGTCTGGCACACAGATAGGAGGCAGTGAACTCAGAGACATCGGAATGGGATACTACTGGGCTTGAAATTTACCTCTGTTACTTGTCACTTAGAAAAGCTACTTAAATTGAGGCTCAATTTCCATATCTATGGAAGGGGTAACCTACCAGAGATGGAAGAACTTTGGAGAAGGTCTACTCCCTTCTCCTCCTACAGCAGTTCTCCAATGTGCCTGCCAGGGCTGAGGTTTCCTTTTTCAATTAATCTCATTTTGCTTATCATCTATTTAGGAGTCTTCACAGTTGCTCATCCATTGAAGGCTATCTTTCTATATTCAAGAATGCTTATGGATTTTCTAAATATTCTTTCTAGCATTTCAAAAGATTTGAAGAAATTGAAGGAGTCTGTATTTTATACTTAGATCTCTGTATTGAATCAGTTCCAAATGTGTGCTTCAAATACCTTCAATTTATACTCTTTTCTAAGACTGGTGTTGCATTCCCTTATAAGGATTTCCTCCTAATTGCATATAACCATTGCCTTGTAAAGAGATTAGCATATGTTGTCTACAGCTGTCCTCTCCTGCTATAAAGAGTCTCTCATTTACATCCTAATTAACTGGCTTCTCTGGAATGAGCTTCTTCAGGATTTTAAATCAAATTTTAATCCTACTTTTGATATATCCAGAGTGCAGGACAAGCTGATGTGATCTCATGCTCTTGACTTATAGCCTCAAATTTAGCACCAGCAAAAGCTGCACATAGTTAATAAACTGGGAAAAAAAAAAACTGAACTAGGTTTGATCTACCTGAACACAAGTGTCACCTTTGGTAGTGGAACCTCCCTTCCTCGTCAGCTGATTATAGGTGGGCAACCACTCAGTCCTCAAACTAAACTGTCTCAGTTAGCCTTCAGTAAAGTTGAATTCTGCACACTTCTGCCAAGGCTTACAAACCCAAATTAGCTCAGTGTCAGACTGCTAAACATATAGGCAAACACAGTAGCAGCCAGATATAGCAGCAAAAGAAACTTCAAAAGCCTCCAGCTCAGTAATTCTTGAGACAACTTCAATAGCAAAAACTTCAGAGCCACACTGCAACTTTCCCCCCTTTAATTGTTAAACTTTTTAATTATTATATAAAACATATGAAATATATATATATATACAGTAGACCCTTAACATGTCTTTGAACTGTACTGGCCCACTTATACATGGATTTTTTTCAATAAATACAGTTGGCTTCCATATCTGCAGGTTCCGCCTCAACAGACAAATACAGATTAAAAATAGAGTATCTGGGTGATGCAAAACCCACGGATATGAAGGGTCAACTTTTTATATAAGTGGGTTCCACCGTGGGATGTGAGCATGCACAGATTTGATATACATGGGGGTACTGGAACGACCCCATATGGATAGTGAGGGATGACTGTAGTATTCTATATATAAATGTATCATATCAACTCACCAGTGAGCATAAGTCGAAAAATCTAATTATTCAAACAAAAAGGGTAGTTTGACTTAGAATCCAACTGAGAGTTCTCTTTGAAGTGAGGTACCTCAGGGTACAAAATATGTTAATGTATACACATTTTGTATACAATATTGTGTATTGTATACAGTGAACTTAGAGAGGCCCATCGTCAGTACTCTGGTTTCTCTTCAGATCGTATAAATCTTTTGCCTTTTAGAAAGGCCCACAGTCCATTACTCAAGGCTTTCGTGTTATCATTGACAGGAGAAAGGTTAGTAATGCACACCCTGATAATTTATGCAGGGTTTCATTCCACTTCAAACCCAGAAGAAAGAATGACCTGTGTTCTTTGGTCCTGTTAAAAGTAAAGTTCAGCTCAAGCCTGTAATCCCAGTACTTTGGGAGGCCGAGGCGGGCGGATCACGAGGTCAGGAGATCTAGACCATCCTGGCTAACACGGTGAAACCCCATCTCTACTAAAAATACAAAAAATTAGCCAGGTGTGGTGATGAGCGCTTGTAGTCCCAGCTACTCAGGAGGCTGAGGCAGGAGAATGGCGTAAATCCAGGAGGCGGAGCTTGCAGTGAGCCAAGATTGCACTACTGCACACCAGCCTGGGTGAAAGAGTGAGACTCCATCTCAAAAAAATAAATAAATAAATAAATAAAGTAAAGTTCAAATGTATGTTCTTTCTCAAAATTATGTGCCCTAACTTTGGAATTTGTGTCATTTCAAAAAACCTGCAGAACTAGATTAACCGACTTGATGTGTTAAGATTCTTAAAGAAAGACATCAGTGAGGTAGTCTGAGGTTTACAGGCAATTAATTTGCAGTCTCCTGTGTCAGGTGCCAACTTTACACTTCCCCAGTCTATACCATCAAGGTAGCATATGGTGATTTGTGGTTTGGGAGGCAGCTATTCTAGCTGCACATGTACAGACGTCCACTTTTAAAGGATTCATTGCATTTGCAGGATCATTCATTAATTTACAAATCTTTTTTTGTTTTCATTTCATAGTATTCTACTAAGTGCTGGGCATGGTATGTTCCTGTGCCAACTAAGTTGTGGTTAGAATGAATGCCAGTATGGGGTTGGTGAGAAGTAACTGGAGTCACGCAGCTTCCCTAATCAAAAAGCAGCTCCCATTGCCACTCCAAAATCTCTTACTGAGATTTGAATTTTACAAATATCAATTCCTTTAAAAGTATATAGAATGCACTGAAATCTACAAATAAAAGGAGTTATTTATACATCTGTGATAATACGAAAATGCCCTTGGAAGAGGTAACATAAGAAACTTACCCGTTCTTAGCTTGCTGGAGTGAATCTGGGTTTTGTTTTTGTTAGTTTTTCAGCTGGTTGAGGGTGAGGCATCTCTGAGACTTTGAAGTTTTGAGACAGAGAGGTTATTATTCACTACAATGTGGAATACAAAGAGCAAAGAGCAAAAAGAGCCTCACAGAGGAGTGGAACAGAGAAGGGGGATATGTCTTTTTTTTCCACTTTGATTTTAAGATGTTCATGGGCATAAAGTAGGTGATGTCAGGCCAACAAGCAGAAGCAGAGGTCTTCACTGTAGGACTGATCGGCATTGGAGACTCAGGTGTGAAGTCCTCAGCATACAGAGGGTGGCAGAAACGAAGCATGTGGCTATGTTTAACCAGGAAGAGTTTTAAAATGAGAAGAGATGCTCAGAAAAAAATTTACGAGGCAGGCAATATGTTCCTATCAACAGGAAAATTAGCCACAGAGAGGGTATTTAATATTCTGTTTCACACATGGTTAGTGATAAAGCCAAAAGTCCATTCAAGCTTTAACTCAGTATGTTTTTCACTGATTCATACTGTATCCCTGGTCCACAAATTTTTGTTGACTGTCGTCTTCCCAACCTGTATAAGCTACATACAGAAAATAAAGTAAGAATAAGGCAAAGCCCCTCGCCAGTCTGAAACGCTGTTGCACATATGCTATTTGATTAATTGCTAGTGGAAATGCTAATCCCCAGGCTTGGAAGCCCCTTAGTCTATTTTTCACCCTTCTAATCCCTGGTCATTTATTACAATCCTCTTAGCTATTATTTATTCTTGGAAGCCTTCTTGTTCCACCACTCCATGATAATTTTGGAGCAGATATTTTTTAAAACTAATTTGATACAACATGTAATGTTAATTATCTTCTTACATGCCATATCTTATATCCCCAATTAGACAGAAGGATCTTCAAGGATCAGAATTCTACTTCAGATGTCCTTAATTGATCTCTTTCTAATACAGGAGATTAGTTGGAAAAATATTTATCAGAAGAATGAGAGAATCATAGACATTGAAGTGTCAATATGAAGTACATAAAACAACAGAGACATTTATTAATGATGTGACCAACTGGTAAAAGGTCCAGGAAGCTTTTGTTGTAATACAGAAACTGACTGAAGGAGTAAGTTATAGCCACTACAAACTCCAGAGTTATACTGTTCATAAAATGAAAATAAAGCTACTTTTCTTGGCCTTTGGGAAGAATTGAGGAGGTGAAAATAATTGTAATGAACGATACAATCAGTCTATCTTCTTGGCACTCCATTCTCTGCTAGACTCATTGAAATGTTTCTAGTTTAGACATTTAAAAAATTCTGCAATGTACTTGGGTGGCAGTAGCTTACAGAAGTCTCTAATTTTGGCATATATTAAAATGAAAGGTTACTGGAACCCCAGGAGGAACTCTTCTCAGGAAGTCAATTAGCATAGCTCCAACACATGACCCTATCCGTTCAGCACTTTAAGATCATTATGATATTCCCTTTCATATATTCATGATCTGAAATGATCTGAAATTAGTTTTTGTTTAGTATAATATCATAACTATGAGAACGATTTAGCTGCAATATCAGAATCACTTGATGAAAAGTTTGTTCTGGGAAAAGAGGAAACTAGGTGCTTAGAGAACCTCAGGATAAAACATCCAACTCTCAGGGATATGTCACTGATTCAAGAATAAAAATGAACCTTCTTGTGGTAGTGCCCAATAGGACTCCCTCCATCATAGGTCCTGAAAGTGCAGAGACAGAACTGGGTTTTGAAAAGCAACCTAGTGCTGTCCTTGGTCCTGAAATGCCTGTGACCCTCTCCCCACCACCTAAGAACAGAGAAGGGAAAGAAAGAGCTACATATAAGGGTATGGTGGTAGATAGAACTGGTCATTGATAAACAATAAAGTTAGGTCCAATTTGAGATCTCAGTTTCTGCATACTGAATCACCCCCAATCCGCACCTTACAGACATTTAATGATGCCCCCTCCACATTGCTTTGTTCTCTAACCCTACATTTGTTTGAAAGCATCTATGACTATGTCACTTCTCCCTAGAGTATAGCCAGTGATACTCATTCTTTATCTTGATTTTTGTAAACCTTTTATTTTGTTTCTAGCATTTGCTTATCAAGCTGCTGAATTCTATGGAGTGTGCTGCCCTCAAAGACCATTATAGACTTAATAAGAGTAACGGGAGAACAATATTTGTGGCTCTCTGACTGCTGAACATCTCATGCTATAGATACACAGTTTTTCATATATTTAACATCTATCATAATTGATGGATAATACAAATATTTTCTCTATATTTTAAGATGCAAAGGCTAAGATTCAGAGAAGTCAAATGATGTTTTTCAAGGCCACATATTTGTCACTAGTAAAGCTTTGATTTAGCACCAAGTCTGATGACTTCAACGTTCATGTCCAGTCCAGTGCACCATATATTTATAGGTAACTATAACAAGTGGTTTGCAAAATAAAAAATAAATACCAACAATTGTAAGTGAAAATAAAGATAACAGTGGAGATGTAACCCAGATAATTTCTTTTGCCAAGCCATATCCCAGGTGCCTGAAATAGTGTCTTTAGAGGATTAAGATTTAACATGCATTTATTAAACTTCTGATACATTTGATAAATTCTGGCTGAAAGTAACAGGAGAACAGAGTTTTCAAAGAAGTCTGTTGTGAGTGTGTGTGTGTAAGTAGAATTTGAGACTGGCCTTACAAAATGAGAAGGGTATGCAAATATTAGGAATTAAGTGATGGGAAATTATTTCCTGACACATGTGAACAGAATAATCTAAGACACTGTGTAGGAAGTAACTAGAAGATTTTTAAAAACATAGTCAAGTCTAAATGAATCAACCCTGAAAGTCAGTACATAAATTCTAATGTTAGAATTTTAGATCTTAGCCTACCTGTATCATAGAGAGAACAATGGTTTTAGAGTTAGAACCATTCTATTCTACCAAGAACCTCTTCACATACAGAGTGTCTCAGGTAAGTCTAACTTTGGAGATTCTCTACCAGTCATCTTGGGTGACCTGAGGTAGCCACATGAAATGGCCAGGTATGAGTGAGCCATTTCTTCGAGGTGTCTGTTTATCTTTAAAATACCAGTGTATTTTTGCATTTATTAATATTTGGTTTAGTATAAATACATTTCCCAATATCATTGAAAAAAATAGGCACTCTTGGGAAAGTAGACTGTATGTACCTGTGGCTTCATGTGTTCTATGACAAACTACCCCTAACCATGAAGCTCTACATTAGTTGCTTGAAGTCTGTCTTTAGAGAGATTTAACTTGATGGCATATCTTCTTCTCAGAACAAAACAAAAGAAAGTAAAATGAAAGGTGGTGTATAGTCCCTTCTTGCACTACTGTAAAGAAATACCTGAGACTGGGTAATTCATAGGAACAAAAAAGAGGTTTGATTGGCTCACAGTTCCTCAGGCTGTACAAGAAGCATGACAGCAACTGCTTTTGGGGAGACCTCACGGAACTTTTACTCATAGTGGAAGGCAAAGCGGGAACAGGTGTCTTACTTGGCAGGAGCAGGATAAAGAGAAAGAGAAGCAGGAGGTGCTGCATGTTTTTTAAAAGCAAGATATGTGGCACATATACACCATGGAATACTATGCAGCCATAAAAAATGATGAGTTCATGTCCTTTGTAGGGACACGGATGAAATTGGAAATCATCATTCTCAGTAAACTATCGCAAGAACAAAAAACCAAACACCGCATATTCTCACTCATAGGTGGGAAATGAACAATGGGAACACATGGACACAGGAGGGGGAACATCACACTCTGGGGACTGTTGTGGGGTGGGGGGAGGGGGGAGGGATAGCACTGGGAGATATACCTAATGCTAGAGGACGAGTTAGTGGGTGCAGCGCACCAGCACGTCACATGTATACATATGTAACTAACTTGCACATTGTGCACATGTACCCTAAAACTTAAAGTATAATAATAAAAATAAAAAAATAAAAAATAAATAAAAAGCAAGATCTCATGAGAACTCACTATCATGATGAAAGTATCAAGGGGCATGGTGTTAAACCATTCATGAGAAGTCAATCCCCATGATCCAATCACTTCCAACAAGGCCCCACCTTCGACATTGGGGATTACAATTCGACATGAGATTTGGTGGGGACACAGATCCAAACCATACTAGGTGGTACAATATTTATTCATCACATTTAGAGATTTTAAACACATTTTGAGACTCTAAGGAGATAATTGGTCATGCTGTGGGCTTATAAAAATTGGATCTGGAAGCGTTAGGCTTAAAGAAAACTTTAGAGAGAGAGAGAGAGAGGTGTCTGTGTGTGTGTGTGTGTGTGTGTGTGTGCATGTGTTTTGGTCCAGAAGAGTTTAACATTCAAATAAAATTGTGTTGTGAACAAATTCTAAAGACAACAAGCGAGCAAACAAACAAAATACTGTTCTACAAAGAAAAGGACAGAAGAGAGCATTATGAGAGAGGATATCACTTCTCCCAGGTGCATGTACTCTCTAAAGCTCTAAAGCACACCTGGTTATTTCTTGAACTGACAGAATCCTTTCCGTACTCCTGGCAGAAAGCAGATGCCCAGAGAAAGTCTTTTGAAGAAGCCGCATCATCTATAAACCAGTTTTACCCTTTTCTTCTTGTTTTTTCTCCAACCCATTCAGACAACCATTAAGTGAGCTCCACTGCCTTGGGTCCTTGTAAGTTTTCTAAGCATGAAGGTGGACCAAACAGTCACAAGCTACTCACCCGATGGCAGCACAAAAATAATAAGTCATAGAAAACAAGATGTTTTCATTGAGAAGAGCTGAAATTGGGAGTTCATTTTATTTTTGGCTAAACATCATAACAACACCTGGCATTAAATCACAAATTCTAAAATAAATGAAAGCATGAAGTAATTATTCAATCAATAAGTGTGTTTTCCTTATCTTCCTTCCTTCCTCCCTTAAAGCCATTTTGAGCACCTACTATATGGCAAGCACTGGTAGAAATACAATGAAGAACATACTTCCCCTGTCCTCAAGGACTGTATAATATAATAAATCAAAGGAGATCATCAGGAATAATGTGACCCATGACATAAAATAAATGGAAAGGGTGATCTAGGGGTACAGCTTTCCAGAGCAGGGGAAAAATCACTTCACGAAAAGGCCATAGTGGTCCTAAAAAAACTATCAGGTTGACAGAGCTAGGATTCTAATCTTCATTTTAGGTGAATCAACTGAGGCTGAGAGGCACTAGTTAACTTGTCCTAGGTCACATAGCTAAAAAATGGTGTATCCAGGATTAAAAACAGCAATCTACCTTCCTTTTTATCACTCCACACTCTGTCTCAAAAATCAAAAGGCATATTTTAAAATGTTAATTTTAAGACTAGCAGAATATAGCAACAAGTTATGCCTGCTCCCTTCTAATTAAAAGATTCAGTGCTAATCAAGTCTAATTTGTGAATTTTGAATCAGAAAAGTTTATTGATGCAGAGATAATCTTAAAATTGAATATCAAATATTAATATTCTGTAATGCACAACTCCTTTTTCTTCTCCAGATTTGACATCATCCCTCTTCTGTGCCAGAAGGAACAATTAGTCCTTCCATAAATAGATCAATATTTGCTCATGCTGTAGACTATGGAATCCAACCTGTAGTATCCTTTCTGCATGTTGGCACCAAGCCCACCTCATGAAACCAGCAATGGGCATTTTTCTAATTCTACTTTCAAAGGTGAGGAACCAGTCTTAGGGATCTATTAACCAGTGTGACTTGTCTCACGCAGTTGAAAAGTGGTAGACAAAGGTTGTGAGCAGGTCTCTGGGAGTCCAAAGGTCTCGTCCTTTCACTCTATCATTGTTCATTTTATCTTTATATTCTGTTTGCAGTACAATTACAGCTAAAGATTTTAGGTGCTTTCTGTGCTACTTCTTTTTCATAAAACCTTCCTGATTCTACAAAAATAAAAATAAAAACATCCTCAAAAATGGCCCCATTTTCTGCCGTGTGATGCTTCATCCCTGAGTTTCACTATCTTTTAGATGGAACAGCAGTACAGCTATGGCAGAGCACACCCACCGGGTTTAGGAACAACCTCCTTGCCTTTTCAAGCAGGGCTCATCGCAAAGATGTGCAGATGCAACTGGCTATTGCTCATATTTTGGCTTTATTTTCCAAGAAAATAAAATCTGGTTATAATAATGTCTGAAATGGAAGATTTGTTTATATGACCTGAGCCTCCTTATGTAAATCATTGACCATCTCTATATGAGTTTTCAAGAAATGTATTGAAGGTCGACATATAATTTTACCACAAATGTCAGAATAAAGAAGGGAAACTTGCAAAGCAAATTTTAATAAAAGTAATTCTTCTTGACCCATATTCTCTAGATAATATTTCTCTGGTGGAGGAGAGAGGTGGCCCCTGACTATTACTTTAACTTTCATGTACTATTTTTAGCTCTTACCGTAACTGATAAATAATGGTAGAAGATAAATGATAATGAAGTACAACACAAATGAGTTCCATAAAATATTTATATGCAGTGAAGTTGTGTTTGGTGGTATCTGAACATAAAGAAACATAAACAGGACATTCCATTGCATACAAATTTTCTATATGATTCCTTCTCTTTTGCATTTGTATTTAAAGGTCCCATTATGGGTAATAGAAAAGAACATGAAAAAGTCTATACCTTTTTTTTTCTCCTGCCATTTTCCAAAAGTTCATCTTCAAAAGGTAAGTATGATAATACTTAGCACTTCATAGTAACTGTGTGTTTATGGATCTAATATTCATTGTTCTGAAAAATTACTAATGACACCAAGGGTTGATTTTTATAAATAATCATGGTCCATCTGCATTTTTTTTTTTTTGGTGAGAATAAACCAGGAAATATAGAACACCCATGCAATAGCTGTTGTGAAAATTGAGAGAAAGAATGCCTGGCACTTAGCAAATGGTCAGTAGATGTTGAGCTTTTGTTACATGATTAAAGATTTGCAGAAGTCTATGAAAATAAATCAACTGTCCTCTGGGTGATTTAACGCCAGTATGTGACAATCACATATCTCCAGGCTCTATGACATCTGATTGCTATCACAGGTTTTGAAAGCTTCTGTATACTTTGGTCTATTTTTAAATACTTAGTTGGCAAATATTATGGCTCATATGTAGTCACTCTTCTCCCCTCTGTCTATGATGGTCAGCACTAATCAGCAGTTTCTAGCTGAGTCTATACAAGGTTTAAGCATTCTTTTTAACACATACTCTGAATGATACTTATTAAATTACTGGAGTCAGCACAAGAAATGTAGCAAATATGCCATTTGTCATGCCAAATTGCCGTGATTCCTCTTCTAAAAATACAACCTAACGACATCATTCTGAACTGCAGTTTGAGAAGGGAGTCAAGTTGTAGGATAGGACTTAAGAGTCAGTAAAAAAGACAAACAATGACTGATGCTCCTTTTAGCATCTGCTAAGCCCATTTCTTGTCATAAACACTTATTCTTTATTACCCCAGCATGGTGATTTACAAGAACATAAATTACAACATTGTGGAAATTTGTCAACATAAGACTCCAATAATAAAATATCCAGATTCATGCAGGTGCTTCTGTAAACATGACAGCAGCATTTATCCTTCAAATGGCTGGGAAGGAAATAATAAAGAGAATGACAACCAACAATTCCTTTTAACATTCTGAGAAATATTACTGCACCTCTGCTCTTACTGATAGGAAAGTTAATTAAGCTTTGATGCAGAATTTACAGGGAAAAAAAGATAGATCAATGTATAATTTATATTGAAGTAACTGAAAATATGTGTATGTTCTTAGCATATGATCCTTTATTTGAAGAGGGTGTGAAGGGGAGCTTTGTCTTACTGTATCCCTCTAAGAAGACAAAGGGCTCCAAATTAAAATGGAATGTTTTCACATGTGAAATGAAAGTGTGGGATAAGTGGTGAAAGGGTCCCTAGTATCTTGTTCTCCAGAAAGGTAGCATAAAACCGTCCTGTATTATGCCTCTCTTGTGACTCTATTCATGTAGCAATTACTCATCACAGCACAACCACATCACCCACATGAACTGAACAAAGCCAAAAAGTGGGAAAATTGGCTGGGAGATCACTGACAGTCTTTTGATGAATGTGGAAAGCAGGTCTGTTTCACCTTATGTCTGTGCAACTCATGTCCATTTTCCTTGAGATGTCATCCCAGTTTTGAATGGCTGCCTCATCCACAGGAGTGGTGTTCTAGTCTGTTGTGCAACTCTGACTCTCTGGCCAATCTGGATTGAAACACAAGTGGATGCTTGATCCACTTGATTCTCTTATGATGATCTTTAATTGGGTTTTAGGGAATTCCTGAGAGCCAGAATGTACATGTTGAGAGTAAATTATGTACATTTTAAATTTTGAGGGGCAGTCATTTTCTACCATTGCATTGCTTTAGTAGCAGAGAAAATTGTTCTAAAGAGAGAGACAGAGGCAGATTAGCTGAGATGAATAGAGATAGGAATGAAAAGGAGCCATTGTCTCAAGGTTTCTCAAATGCTTTCTTTTTGAGGATCCAATATTTTGGACTGGATTCTTGGTCACTATGACTGATTACAGTGAAGCTGACCTAAGGGAGTCACAGCCTGTTACCAGTGCTTTAAGGACTGGCTTTGCCTTTTTAGAGAAGCACTGCAATGGTGGTTATATGGTTTGGCTGTGTCCCTAGTAAATTTGTACCAGGAGTGGGGTACTGATATTAAGATACCCAAAAATGTGGAAGCAACTTTGGAACTGGGTAACAAGGGGAGCTCGGGACAATTTGGAGGGCTCAAAAGAAGACCGGAAGATGTGGGAAAGTTTGTAACTTCCTAGACACTTATTGAACAGCTTTGACCAAAATGCTAATACTGATATGGACAATAAAGTCCAGGTGGAGGTGGTCTCAGATGGAGATGAGGAACTTGTTGGGAACTGGAGCAAATGTGACTCTTGTTATGCTTTAGCAAAGAGACTGGCAGCATTGTGCTCCTGCTCTAGAGATCCGTGGAACTTTGAACTTGAAAGAGATGATTTACGGTATCTGACAGAAGAAATTTCTAAGTGGCAAAGCATTCAAGAGGAAGCAGAACATAAAAGTTTGAAAATTTTGCAATAGAAAAGAAAAACCCATTTTCTGGGGAGAAATTCAAGCCTGCTGTAAAAATTTACAAAAGTAACAAGGAGTCTAATGTTAATCACCAAGGCAATGAGGAAAATGTCTCCAGTGCACATCAGAGACCTTCACAACAGCCCCTCCCATCACAGGCCTGCAGGCCTAGGAGGGAAAATGGTTTCCTGGGCCAGATCCAGGGCCCCCTGCTGAGTGCAGCTTAGGGACTTGGTGTCCAGTGTCCAAGCTGCTCCAGCCATGGCTTTAAAAGGCCAAGGTACAGCTCAGGCTGTTGCTTCAGAAGACACAAACCCCAACCCTTGGCAACTTCCATGTGGTGTTGAGACTGCAAGTGCACATAAGTCAAGAATTGAAGTTTGGGAACCTCTGCTTAGATTTCAGAGGATGTATGGAAATGCCTGGATGTTTTCATATATGGAAACATGTGCTATGGAAACCTCTCCTAGGGCAGTGCAGAAGGGAAATGTGGGGAGGGAGCCCCCGCACAGAGTTCCCACTGGAGCACTGCCTAGTGGAGCTCTGAAAAGAAAGCCATGATTCTCTAGCCCCCAGAATGGTAGATCCACCAACAGCTTGCACCATGCACCTGGAAAAGCCACAGGCACTCAATGCCAGCCCATGAAAGCAGCCTAGAGGGGGAACTGTACTTTCCAAAGTCACAGGGGTGAAGCTGTTCAAGGCTGTGGGAGCCCACCTCTTGCATCAGCATGACCTGGATGTGAGACATGCAGACAAAGGAGATAATTTTGGAACTTTAAGGTTTAATGACTGCGCTATTGGATTTCAGGCTTGCATGGGACTGCAGCCCCTTTGTTTTGGCCAATTTCTCCCATTTGTAATGGGTGTATTTACCCAATTCCTGTACCCTTATTGTGTCTAGGAAGTAACTGACTTGCTTTTGATTTTACGGGCTCATAGGCAGAATGGACTTCCCTTGTCTCAGATGAGACTTTGGACTTGGACTTTTGAGTTAATTCTGGAATTAGTTAAGACTTTGAGGGACTGTTGGGAAGGCATAATATGTTTTGAAATGGGAGGATGTGAGATCTGTGATGGGCCAGGGGCAGAATGATATAGTTTGGCTGTGTCCTCACCGAAATCTCATCTTGAATTGTAGCTCCATAATCCCCATGTGACATGGGAGGGACCCAGTGGGAGGTAATTGAATCATTGGGGAGGGTTTTTCCCATGCTGTTTTCATGATAGTGAATAAGTCTCATGAGATCTTATGGCTTTATAAAGGGCAGTTCCCATGCACATGCTCTCTTGCCTGCCACCATGTAAGACGTGACTTTGTTCTTCCTTGGCCTTGTGCCATGATTGTGAGGTCACCCTAGCCATGCTAATCTGTGAGTCAATTAAATGTATTTCCTTTATAAATTACCCACACATGGGTATGTCTTTATTAGCAGCATGAAAACAGACTAATACAGGTGGTCATGGCCTGGTTCTTACTACTTTCCAAGAGTCACTGCTTTTTTCACCATATCCATCACCATCTCCTTGGAACTTAATCCCACTTTCCAAAGATAAATGTTTATCAAACCTCAATTAACATGTCTATGCAGTTTCACCAAGCTTCTACAGAGGGTCATCACCTGTGTTGATACGCTTTTCCTGAATTAATAAACAATCAGTCCAAATTTTCTAGCCAATGTGAAGAATGGGCCTAAGATGAACACACATGCTTTCCATGGAGCTATCTCCATAAGCCTCCACTTCTTGATCATGCCTAGTTTTTTGTTTGTTTGCTTGTTTTTGTTGTTGTTTGTTTTTTAAGAGGGAGTTTCACTCTGTCACCCAGGCTGTAGTGCAATGGCTTGATTTCGGCTCCCTGCAACCTCTGCCTCCTGGATTCAAGTGATTCTCCTGTCTCAGCCTTCTGAGTAGCTGTGATTACAGGTGCCCAACATCATGCCTGGCTAATTTTTGCATTTTTAATAGAGACAGTGTTTCACTATGTTGGCCAGGCTGGTCTCGAACTCCTGACCTCAGATGATCTGCCTGCCTCAACCTCCCGCTTGCCTGTTTTTTGTTTTGTTTTGTTTCTACTAAACATTATGACCAATGCTTATACAAGTTATAAGTTTTATATCTCTCTGTGTGTGTGTGCATATGTGTGTACATACATTTTATGTGTGGGAAATGAAATCTCATATCAGTTAAGAAATGGGACAAATGCCAAATAGCTGCTAAGTGGCCAAATTGAAATTTTAAATCAGGATTATCTGATCCCAGAGTCCAAAATTCCTTGCAATTCATCAGAATGCCTTGTTCATTTTCTTCTAGACTAGCAAATATCCTCAGATCCTTTGCTTAACAATACCCACGTCAAGTGAAGTAAATTTACCTTATTCAATGCCAAAACATTAATTTTTCTGAGTACTTTTTCTAAACCAACGCAAAGGACTATCAGCTTCCATCTTGGCATGGACAGACATACGGGTTCTTCTGTTTGGTAGAAAGCTTAAGGACAAATGTGTCTCTTAGATTCCTCATAAATATATATGCCACATAGAGTATGATTATCTTTTTTAGGTTTCTCAAGCTGTTGGGTTAATCTCACCTTGACAACTCAATTTTTCTCAGTTTCATTTCACAAGTAACCCCCCAGTGTGCAATGAGTAACATGTTTTATAAAAAAATCTTCAAGGTTGGAAAGTGGGATACCTCAGAGTCTGAACATAAGCTCTTAAGTAGGGCTCAAGATAGAAGTTATTGAAGGATAAATCACTAAAATTCTCCCTCAAGAAGTTTCTGTGGCTTCCAATTCAACTAATAATAATGATCAGAATGAGTACTTTCCATAATATAAGTCCCCTAAGAACTACACATGAATTATTTAATATTTATATAAACCTAGGTACAATATAATTTTCACATTTTATAAGAAAATTGAAACTCATAGAGGATGAGAAACTTAATTTGAATTTTGTAGGTGCCAAAACTAGATGTAATATTAAAGACTGCAAAACTCATGCTGTTACCACCATTTTATTTCTCCCCAACTGGAGATCCTAGTCCTCATCTCAGCTGCTCTATTTCCTGTCTTACCTTCCAAGACATAGCTGGGTATGGCAAATCAGCTTGCTTGCTTCAGCCTTGTAATACTTTTGGGAATAGATGGGTTGTAAAAAAATGATAATGAAGGGGAAGAATAAATTGGTGATGCGAATTGTTGCCAAAAACAGAGACTTGTGCAATAACAAGCATATTCCAGCTTTTCAGCCATGTACCTGACTTTAAGGAGTATAACAAACAATCTTGTAAATACTGAGCACCAGCTTCCATACACTCATGCCTTCATGCTGTAGATTTTCCACTTTTTAGCATGTATTTTCCTTCTTTTCTCCTTTAAAATTGTTGATGTTCATTTTACCCTGTAATTCACTTGCATCCCTTATCTTTGCTTTTCTAAGTGTGTTCTGAAGAGCAGCAGCTCTGGCATCACCTGGAAGCCTGATATAAATGGAGACAATCAGCCCCAAATCAGTGGCATTAAATCAGAATCTGATAGTTAATTAGATCCCCTCATGATTCAATGCACACTGCAGTTTCTGGCCTTTGCTCAAAGCCTTAATCCTACCCAGGATATTCATGCCTCTCCCTTGTTTATTAATTCTTGCTCTTTTGCTTTATCCTCCCTCTTTTTCTCTCCTTCTGTGCAATAGAATCAGAAGCAGTTGACCTACATTTCAATATGCCTTCATCACAAACACTTTCTCAAACCCTGGTGACTGTGTTGAGAAGAAATCTTGAGGACATTACGGAACTTCTAAGAATTTTCACGGATGGAAATTCTTCCTTTCTAGGCCTTAAGACAGAAAGCTTCAGTTTCTGTCCTCTGCCATCCACTCAAAATCTTTCACATTTACCTGTCAGAATGTTTTCCCACATGCTTAATATGACTTTTCCATATGGATGGCGAGGGCATCTATTCTTGCTGCAATCTCAGTTGTTATGAATAACACCTGTATACCAATTTATCTTCTATAAACCTCTTACTATTGGGTCACTTTCTCATTTTTTTTCCCTCTCCAAACGATGAACTGATTTAACTAATTCCATTGCCTACAACTCTCTTGAGATCCACACTGCTAGTGGCTGCAGTGGATCTTTCCAACCTCTTTATAATTTTGAGGACACATGAAGGCAGATTTGCCTATATGCAGGAATGCTCCTCACCTGCTCCCATCCTTCACTGCTCTCTTCTTCAAATCCCTGAAGTGATCTTGAAATAGCTGCTTACAAAAATGTCTACGTGGTTATGTAGCACTCAGTCTCAGGCTGGTCATGATAAAGAACATTTACTAGAAAGCTCATTTGTGTGTGTGTTTATGAGTCCTGATGCCCTTATTTCATTGGTGCCTACACAGAACTCCAGTCTGGCGGGAATGATAAAGCATTACTCTCATTAAAAACCACAATTTATCTTCCTTCTACCCATTCCCTTGAACTTTATTACTGTAAGTCATGATAATCAGAAATCAGAGGAAAAGAGAAAAGGCTGCCTCTGTTTAAGATGTGAACACAGGAAATTCCACCGCTTTCTCTTTGGGGATAAGGAATTGACATTCAGGAGATGCATAAAACCTGCATTGCATTCCTTTAAGAAGATAATTGGCAGCACTAGATTGTTTACCTAGTTCAAGGTTAGAGGTTTCTCTCTCAGAAGATTTATCTCCTTAAGATGAAAAATCATGGAGAAGGGAAAGGGAAAGGAAGCTATAAAGACAAATGACTAATTGGCTGATTAATTGGTAAAGAGACAGAGGGGCATGAGAAAGGACGGGGGAAGCAGCTCTCTTGAAAACAGCTAGTGCAAACAAAATAAATGATGTTTGGGTCTAGAAAAATGCATCACTTCCCGGCTTCCACCACTATAATGTATCTAAATCAGTTAAAGTGGAAGAGCACTCATTTTAAATGTTTCATAATAAATATTAGTCTTCTCCTGCTTTATCTTTTGCTTAGCTTAGTTAGAAATTCGCAAGCTCCCTTCATAAGGTAAAAAAAAGAAAACTCAGTTTCTTCCTACCAAATAAAGAGGAAAATAAGGTCACCCCTGAATAATTTCCCCACCCCTACTGCTGGAGAGATCCTAAATTTGCCCCTTCCTTTTTTCTGTGCTAAAATCATAACTGTTGATTACAGTGTCAAAAACCCAATTTAAACTGAGTCCTGAGTCCCTTAAGCTAAAACAAGAAAACAAATCAACTGAGAAAATACCTTCGGTAAGGCTGGATCTAGAAATTCAACAAAACTATTAGGTATCTTCCTGTTTCTAACACTTGCCTCTGTAGCCCCTGCTTTGACAATGAAATATGTGTATGGAAATTGGAAACTTAGGGATTATACAAATTTGTATTTATGTTGTCTGGACATCTGTAAAGTCATGATAATAATACAAACTACATAGACTTGTGTGGGAGGAGTATTTAAGATACAGTTTGTTACATACATAAAACATAAGCATGTTATAAATAAAGAATACACATCTTTCCACATTAACTCATTCAGTTCTAATCCAATCTTTCAAATATCAAAATATGTCACAGAGATATACAGTTGACCCTTGAACAATGGAGGAGTTAGGGATATCAACACACTATACAATCAAAAAAATCCACATATAAATTTTGACTCCCCCAAATCTTAACTGTTAAGAGCCTCCTATCGACCAGGAGCCTTACCAATAACATAAACAATTGATTAACACATTTTGTATGTTATATAAATTATATGCTGTATTCTTACAATAAAGTAAGCTAGAGGAAAAAAAGATGTTATTAAGAGAATCACAAGAAGAAAAAATATATTTCCTATTCATTAAGTGAAAATGGATCATCATAAAGTCCTTCATTCTCATTATCTTCATGTTGAGTAGGCTGAGGAGGTGGAAGAAGAGGAGGGGTTTGTCCTGCTGTCTCAGAGGTGGCAAAGCCAGAAGGAATGAAGTTGGTAGAAGGGGAGGCAGGAGAGGCAGGCTACTCAGTGTGACATTTATAGGAAAATATCCACATATAAGAGGACTTCTGCGGTTCAAATTTGTGTTGTTCAAAGGTCAACTGTAATTGAAAAATTCACCTTCATGTATTCTTTAGGTATTGTCCTTGCCCAATTCTAAAATATTTCTTTTATTAATCTTCTTTAACCCTACTATTCCATTGTAGATGTTTCATGTTTATGAATAATAATAGGCTTCCATGTATTATTGACCTTTCACATGTTTCTTCTTGATTCCACAACTACTGGATGGTAAATACATGAAGAAAAGGTAGCTAGTCTAATGCACTGCCTCTGCCCTCCATCACCTTTCATAGCTGTGCCTACTAAATACTGGGACTGCACATCTAAGGGCTGCATACATTGTATCTATTATTTTGTATAGTTATCTAAAATATGGAAATGATTTACCCAGTCTCATATGGCTTAGTATGAGGAAAATTTAAGGTCAAGTAAAAAAAATACACATATGTGTGTGTGCACACACATACACACAGTGTATCACTTATTCAAAATGTTTAGGACCAGAAATGTTTTGAATTCCAGATAATTTTGGATTTTGGAATATTTGCATATAAAAAATATACAACATGAGATATCTTGGGAATGGGACCCAAGTCTAAACATAAAACTCATGTGTGTTTTATATAGACCTTACACACGTAGCCTGAAGGTAATTTTATACAACATTTTGAATCATTTAGTGCATAAAACAAAGTTTTGACTGCAACTTTTCACATGAGATCGGGCGTGAAATTCTCCACTTGCAGAGTCATGGTGACACTCAAAAAGTTTTAAATTTTGGAGCATTTTGGATTTCAAATTTTCAGATTAGGGATGTCCAATCTGTATTTATTTTGCAATAAAATAAAAAAAAACAGAGCCGTATTTTTTATGTTCTTGTTTCAGTTCTCACCACCACGGGCTTTTAATGCCAAATATAGAATACAATGGGCCAAAGGGCCATTAATATGAGTATATGACTAACCCATTCTACATTCAGGTTCTTCTTCTTTTGCCAGTTTTTTATGATAACATGTTAAATGACTGCTACCATAAATATTCACTTACAAAATTTTCTTCCTTAAACTGAGTAGAAATGTAAAGGATTTTTTTTTTTTTTTCTGAGACGGAGTTTTGCTCTTGTCACCCAGGCTGGAGTGCAATGGTAATGGCACAATCTCAGCTCACTGCAACCTCCACCTCCTGGGTTCAAGCGATTTTCCTGCCTCAGGCTCTCAAGTAGCTGGGATTACAGGCGCGCGCCACCACGCCCGGCTAATTTTTGTATTTTTAGTAAAAATAGAGTTTCTCCATGTTGATCAGACTGGTCTGACCTCAGGTAACCTGAATCAGAGTTCAAATTGAACTCTGACCTCAGGTGATCAGCCCGCCTTGGCCTCCCAAAGTGCTGAGATTACAGGCATGAGCCACTGTGCCTAGCCCAGGTTTTAATTTTTAAATGTACAACTTGAGGTTACAGGGAAATGTCTGGAAGCACATTACATAAACATATGCAAATAGTAGAACATATACAAGTTCTTCCTGGCAGTCCTCTCTCTGTTTCTGGCCTCTAAACATTTATGAAAGTTAGCTCAAAGGGCAGGCTGGAGTGGAAAAGGGAGGTGGAGAGGAATCCGAGATCCCAGGGCAACTCTAAGAGAATTTGCCTTTTTTTTTTTCTCCTATGAGTGGTTCTGTGGAGAAATAACAAACTCCATTATCTTGTAAACATATGAAACTCAGAAATAAAAATAACTACTTCTATTGTCAAAAGTTTGATGAGAGAAAAAATAGAAATATTCCTTGCTCCAAATATTCTATTTAAGTTCAAGACATCAACACAGAGGTTACTTTATATCTTGGACTTTTATTTGCCTATTACTGTGAGCAAATATTTCTAAAATGTAATGAGTAACTGTAATATTCAATTCTGGAAACATATAGGAATAACTGAAACAAATTCTAACACAGAAAAAACTAATAAAGCAACAACAGTTTGTAACAAGAGAGGTAGAAAAGAAAGGTCACCCTGGGGAAGCATTTTGATGTTTAAATATTTGATAATACTTTATTATGGCAGCCTTAGAATGAACAAAACTTGGGCCTATTTTTGCTGGACAGAGGTAAAATTTAAGGATAGCCATCAATATGCACTGTGGGTATATATTGATGTTGGGGAGCTATATATGAAATGCAAAAACATATCCTTGCTCTACTGATTAATTTGGTAATACACCACATAAAGGATGCAGTAATTTATCTCATTTATTTTATCAATTTGGTAGTGAATACAGAACAGTGGTGAAAGAAATACACTTTGAAGTCAGACAAAACTGATTTTGAGCACTGGGTTTCATCATTTCCTAGTTGTACATCTTTAGGAATATTTCCTCTCAATTTAATTTTTCTCATCTATGAAACTGAGATACTGCCATTACCTCTTATTGTAAGAACACATGAGAAAAAAATATACAATGTCTTTAGCATCATGTCTGGCACATAACATGCACTGAATAAATGTTGGTGATGAACTCAGATGCAGATGATTGTTAATGATGATAGTGATTATGCCAGATTTTGCACCTATAATAAGACCTATCCCCTTAAGGAAACATTTTTGGAGGAATGGGAACTTTTAGAGATGCTCTGTAAGATTTTACAATAGTTAAGACATTATAAAAACATTATCTGAAACCCATCAAAAACATTCATAGAAAGTTGTAGAGGCACAGGATTCTAGGACTAATCAATGTGACTAGTAAAGGGAAGCAAAACCACACATCTGTATTTTGTAGGAGTGGAAATTGAGAATCACAATCTAATTAGCAGCACCTGTTCCTCTAGACGCCTAGTCCAGTACTCTTTGAAATGTAATAAGTTGAAAACTATTCAACTATTCAGTGAACTCCCAAAACACTGTGACAAACTCTCTAACAGATGAACTTAATAGAGTTAGCACCATGTGGACACAATCAGAGTCAGTACCGATAGAAATATGGTGAAAAATGAACAACACATGAATAGACAATAAGCAGGCTCGGGTGCTCACTGCCTTATCCAAAGAATGAGGATCACAGAGTTGAACACGCCAGCCACAAGGCCTGCAGAGCAAATGCTTTCCCTTGGTTATTTATAAAACATGACAAGTTTTTCATGGAATGTCTACATCAATGACAGTATAAATATTTCATAACATACATTTTAAAAATTCACCTTTCCAAATAAATTCCCTTCTGCAAAGGGAAATACTAGCTAATAACGGTAGAAAGAATGGTAGCATTCAAAAATTAATATTTTGTAATCAGCAGTGTAATCGATGTCCAGCAAGTTTGTCCAAGGATAGTAAAAGAAGCTGGGAAAGTTAGGAAAAGTGGTGATCTTTGTGCACATCACATATGCTCTCATCTATATTCTACACTGTGACCGAATGACAACAGTTACAAGATAACTGTTGAGGATCTGAGCTGCAGCCTGGGGCTGGCCAGTAACTGAAATGTATCACTGTACTCTCAGAACTGCATACCAGCCACGGACAACTTCATCTATAATCGCATCTTTGAGCCAGAATGTTATCATTCTTATGAGTCTGGGAGAAATGCCCGAACCAGCCAAGGATATCTGAGAGTATTCGCAATGAGCAGCTGCAAGCTGTGCAGCGGACACTGAATGATGCCCTTCCCTGAGACCTGAAGAGTGATAGCAACAGTTTCTTAGGCTCAGATGAAAATATTCAGGACTTTATGTTCTGACAAAGAGATATGTGTCTAAAGTACACATATTCAACAGCTTGTCCCTCCCCTCTCACCTGAGCACCTCTTCCATCACCCTGATAGTTCTGTCCTATTAGCCCCATAATGAAAGGAGAACCAGGACTAAGCCTGTTTCCCTATTTGCTGTGAATCCCCCTGGTACTTGACAAAGCACATAAGTGAGATTCTGCTCACCTCCATAGGCCTCCCTTCCTGCTTGAATGAACACCCACAAATCCAAACAGTGTTAAAGGATATTGATGAACTGGATGACTTTCCAAGAATGATGGCCCTGGAGGAAAACAGAAATAGCACATAGTAAGCAATCAGGAAATGTCAGTCGGCCTTAGAGAAACCCTTCAAACACACCAGAGCACTGAGACAAACATGAAAACCAATGGAGTGTTTGTGAAGAGATGTGTGTTTGCTGAGAAAAGGGAGGTAAGAAATGAAGTGAAAAGCCAGGCAGAAGGGCTGTGTGTGTTATTTAGGGGCTGATAGCATGGTAAATAAAGAATACAATTCACAAGCTGCCAGTCTGTAGAAAGGGCTAGAAGGTAAGTGGAAGACAGAGCGAATGCTTGATACTTTTTGTCCGCCTTGTGCTCATTTTCCCTCTAGTTATAGCCCCTAATTTTCCTTGGTGAACTGCCTCTCCATTATTTTCTTCACACTGTGTTGAGGTAGAGAGGGTTTAGTCCCATCCAATTATCAGGCATTACAATGTCAGTTAAGAACATCCAGTGAGAATGTCACAGACTCCTGGTCATAGTGATTGATTTAAATTTAGTCATATAACCCAAACCAGAACAATCTGGGTCAATGAGACACAATTCTAGATCTTTAATTGCAACTCTTGGGACATAGAACATCTTTTTCTATGGAACTTACATAAAGGTCTTCTGGGAAGCAGAGGTCAAGATGAAATTAGACATATTATGGACACACACACACATATGTGTGTATATATACATACATGTGTATATATACATATATACACATTTATATATCTGCATTACACACACATATTTATATGTGTATATAACATATTATATAATATCTATATATACATATATAGATAGAGATAAATAAATATTTGGAGAACTAAATGGAGAAAGAGCTGGGAAGACTGACAGACAGGACTCTCCGCTTGGTTGCACCAGGCTGTTGTGGAATAGTGCCGTCAGGATACTTAGAAGGCCCTCTATGTAACTGAAATGTCCAACAGGGGATCAACGTCAACATTTCAAAGATTGTTAACAAGGAGTATATACATACACCCTTGATTTGTTCATTGACTCAACCTTTATTTCACCTGAAAAATTTTCTACTTTCTGGGAAGACTAAAGATAAACAGTTTTCCAACCAGGCGAGCCCTATTCCTCGTACAGCTTCAAATGTTGCTGGCAAACCAAACTGTTTCTTCTTTAGTTCATTTCCCTCTCTTCCTACTTTTCACAGGCAGGAAAATGAAGCCAACAGGCACTAGAAACATCCTGCATGGAAATCATTCAAGGCTCACAAGTTTATTACGTAAATGTTGTAGCTGCCAGGTAACCACAGGTGAAACTTTCACTTACATAATTTGGGTTGTCATTTTTTCCACCTAGATACTGTCTTTTTCTCACTGCTTTTCTGACTTTATTAAGCCATTTTTCACCATTTTTATAGCCTTGGCTAACATTGTTACAGGATTTAGTTCAAATCTGGATTTAATCTCTAAACTCGGTGGATCATGCCTCTAGCTTAGCAAAAAGGCTGCAGAGAGGGCAATGTCAATGAAATGAAATTAATTTGCAACATGCTAATCAAGTGGAGACATCTCAGTATCTTTAAAAGCTATTATTCTGACCCATATTTTTTTCCAAAATCACTGTTTTCCACAAGGATCACACCAACAGTAACGAGGCAGAAAAACTATACATGTTAAGAAATTAATGTGCTCCATAATGGGTTATAAACTTACACCTCTTCATTGTTCATGCAATTTCGATAAGCTTGACAAATTTTAGACCTCTTTAACTTAAAATACGGCAGCTTTTGTTCTTCAAGTTACAGTGGAAATAATTTCCCTATCTATCATTAGAATGGCTCCATACATTAATTAATTTACAAAAAAAATTGTGCAGAAAGTGATTTTTTATCTACTCCAATCATTCATGTAGCCTGCTTCAGAAAAGAAAAACAGCAATTTTCTGAAGACCCCAAATCTAGACTTAAGACAAGTACCTCCATAAGGCGTCAAAACTTCAGAGGCAAGATTTACAGATAGAGCTGCTATTGTCCCTAAGTCTTCCTTGGCATGAGTAATGCCATTTGCTTTAGGTGAGACCATGACATCAACATTGCAGTAGGATACACAGCACTGCTCCAGGACACAAAACTCCTTTCTCGTCAATACAACACAGGTCCGTGGAGTTGCTCATTTCTCTCTGGTCCTTCCCTCAGTGACACCATCAGCTGTTTGCCAAGCTGATGGGCTACTTTTGAAAATATTCAGATGAGACACATCAGAGAAAGTTGTATCCACTGTTTCATGATAAGCTCCACCCACAGTCCTGTTTTTGTTTTTTAAGTAAACTGATCATTTATTAAGACGGCCCTCTATTTCTCCAAGCAGAACATTTAGATTCAAGTTTAAAGTATATCAGAGAGAGGCAAGCCATGTCTGCAATAATACAGTATTAAATTTGTCAGTCCACAGGTTGTGTGGGCCTCATGGATCCTCATCATGGATGATTTTCTAACAGCGGTACAGTATAAAAGACAGAGTGTAATATGTAGGAAAAGGCACTGAGAAACTGGCAGACTGTCAGAGTTCCAAGCTGCGAGGCTCCAAAAATAGAAACACATACTGTACTAGCAGAAAGCGTAAGCAATTAGTCCCCATTCGCAGCCTAAAATTTTGTGAATGATGAACCTCAACTTTCTAAATAGTGGTGTACTATTGACCCAGAATTGTGAACTTGGGAGAAAAAAATCAAAGAAGTGAAGGTAATTATATTGTGGTAAAGAATGCACATTAATATTATCTCCTATCACTATTGTAATAGTGGTGAACAATGCATATTTTCCCCTACATCACTAATTATAGCAATTATCTATTGCTCTGTAATAAAACACTTCAGCATTCAGTGGCTGAAAGAATTTACAAGTTCAGAAGTGTGCAGGGGAGCTGGAGGCTATTCTGCTAGTCCGGGCTGGGCTGTTCCAGGCCTTGCTTCTCATGAATTTATAGTCAGCACCAGATTTGGCTCAGGGCTAACCGAACTAAGATGGCTCAGCTGGCACAGCCGGTCTTTGCCCCATATGGTATTTAATCCCTTAAAAAATACTATGCACTCGTTCAAGAGATCTTAGTGGTATAAGTTAGAGGAGCAAGAGTGGAATCAAACAAAGCGTCTTAATGCCTGGGTCTCAAAACTCAGAACAAAATTGCTTTCACCATATTCTATCACCTAAAGGAAATCACAAGCCAGTCCATCTTTAATGATCAGAGAATTAGATTCCACTTTGGGATGTGAGTAGATGCAGAAAATTGTGGCCATTTATGTAAATCCTAATCTGGCCTCAAATCCTTTTCTGTGATGGAATGAGAAAGCCTCAAAATCTTTGTGAGTTCAGCCCTCCAAGCAGCCACTCCCAACTTTTAGACAAGACACAAATTTGTCATCCATGGTGCAAGACAATAACTAGTGTTAGTCTGCTCATTTATGAGTAGAATAATCACAGATATGATTGCTATAACCTAATAAAATGATATATCCTAATAAAATGATATATTCTAATATGGTAAGTTCTAATCATTTGATAAGTTACTAATGAATGGAAAACTATTTTTATATAAACTATCTAGAGGCTTTTCTTCTCTTTGTTGTTAGAATAACTTCTTTAAACTACATATTTATCATATTGTCATGTACTACCATCAGTGCTTGTCTTTCCCTGTATCAAAATGAAAATGTGTGATATGATATTTTAGAAATTATGAAGTACTTTTTATATGAATTTACTTCTTTGTTTTATGAAATAGGCAAGGCAGAAATTATCATTCTCATTTTAAGATTTAAAAATATAATGATTCAAAAATTTTAATGACTTTTGAATTTAACATATTTAGTAAATGGAGAGCCTAAAACAATTCAAATCTAAATACAGCAAAGAGCTTTTGTATACCTTACTGATTGGGGAGTTTTCTCTGGAGGAATTTTTAAAAATTAGCTACTTAAAGAGGTTGAAAAATAGGAAAATAAATAATACATAAAGTTATTTACAGGTTCTAAATATCCTATGGCTAAGGTCAGAGAGAGTTTTCTCAGTTTTCTTGAAGTCTTAGTTGTGACCTATTTGGAATCGAAAGCCAACTCGACAAATCCAGAAATTCTGCCCCTAGCATTAACAATATCTCAAAATTCTAAGAGAAGAAAAACCAGAAAATAACGCTGTAATGTACCATGGGAGAGGAAATTAGTTTCTGGTCCTCCAGGCATTTGTTACTGAAACAAGAAGATTTGAATACTCTCTAAGCTGTCTTATGGAGAATGGCTGCAGATATTAGGCACTAGGAAATTACCTGGCCTTTCTAAAGCTGCAGGAAAAATGTTCCACCTAATCATGTCCTATGGTCATGTATCACTGAAATGAGCCAAACCACTGGTAGTCACAATGCCAGGTCCTGGTCTCAGGAAAAACCCAGAGTCAAAATTAATGAATTGTATTCTGCTCCTCTAGCCAACAGGTGGGAAGGTGAGCTAATATCAAGCCTCAAAAGCAAGAAGGATTTAGAAGCTATAAACAGAAAATTTCTAAATTTTAAGTTAAAATAAAAAGCTGAAATACAAATCTCTGATGCAAGTCATCAAATTTTAGAGCAATTTGAAGAAAAGGCCTGAAGTCTTCCTTGGTCTATGTTTATTAAGTGATGATAGTCTAACCAACAAAACATTTAGTCATTTTCAACTTCAGGCACACCACCACCTTCATTATCTAGTATGTGCAATTACTTGAATAACTCCTCTGTGTAAGGCACTGCACTAGTCATGTTTCATAAGTATCACATTTATCCTTATAAATGTGATAGGAACATTATGCTCAATGTGAAATAGGCACATTATCCTCAATTTATAGACAAGATAACTGGGATGTTTGCAGCCAGAATTCTAACTGAGGTCTCCAGGAAACCCTGATTTCAAAGCCTGGTCTCATATTGCCTGTATCACACTATCGTTCCAGGATCTTTCATCAGAAAACAATGATCTGGATAGCCCAGATTATATGAGGAGCGCTAAGCATGAGACTGGTCACCACACTTTAAGAAAGAGTCTTCATAGACAAACAAAAATAGCCTACAATAAAAAATCAAATGGAGAGATGGGGTGTGGTAGCTCATGCCAGTAATCCCCGCACTTTGGGAAGCTGAGGTGGGTGGATCACCTGAGGTCGGGGTTTTGAGTCCAGGCTGTCCAACATGTCAAAACCCCATCTCTACTAAAAATACAAAAATTAGGTGGGTGTGGTGGTGGGGACATGTAATTCCAACTACTTAGAAGGCTGAGGCAGGAGAATCACTTGAGCCTGGGAGACAGAGGTTGCAGTGAACCAAGATTGCGCCATTGCCCTCCAGCCTGGGCAACAAGAGTAAAACTCTGTCTCAAAAAAAAAAAAAAAAAAACAAATCAAACTGAGAAAGGGCTTTGGAAAGTCAGTCTCAGGCAGAAAGTCATAATGATAGTAAAATCAAATAAAATGATTGATTTTAAAAGTTGAGGCCGGGAGTGGTGGCTCACGCCTGTAATCCCAGCACTTTGGGAGGCCAAGACAGGTGGATCACGAGGTCAGGAGATCAAGACCATCCTGTCTAAGAGGTGAAACCCTGTCTCTACTAAAAATACAAAAAAATTAAAAAACAGAGCAGAAAAGCTGAAAATTCTAAAAATCAGAGTGCCTCTTGCCCTCCAAAGGAATGCAGCTCCTCACCAGTGACAGAACAAAGCTCGACGGAGAATGACTTTGATGAGTTGAGAAAAGGCTTCAGACAATCAAACTTCTCTGAGCTAAAGGAGGAAGTTCAAATCCATCGGAAAGAAGCTATAAACCTCGAAAAAGATTAGACGAATGGCTAACTAGAATAACAAGTATAGGGAAGTCCTGAAGTGACTTGATGGAGCTGAAAACTATGGCACGAGAACTACGTGATGCATGCACAAGCTTCAGTAGCCAATTCGATCAACTGGAAGAAAGAGTATCAGTTATTGAAGATCAAATGAATGAAATGAAGCAAGAGGAGAAGTTTAGAGAAAAAAAGAGTAAAAAGCAACAAAGCCTCCAAGAAATATGGGACTATGTGAAAAGACCAAATCTACATCCAATTGGTGTACCTGAAAGTGACGGGGAGAATGGAACCAAGTTGGAAAACACTCTGCAGGATATTACCTAGGAGAACTTCCCCAACCTAGCAAGGCAGGCCAACATTCAAATTCAGAAAATACAGAGAACGCCACAAAGATACTCCTCGAGAAGAGCAACTCCAAGACACATAATTGTCAGATTCACCAAAGTTGAAATGACGGAAAAAATGTTAAGGGCAGCCAGAGAGAAAGATTGGGTTACCCACAAAGGGAAGCCCATCAGACTAACAGCTGATCTCTCAGCAGAAACTCTACAAGCCAGAAGAGAGTGGGGGCCAATATTCAACATTCTTAAAGAAAAGAATATTCAACCCAGAATTTCATATCCAGCCAAATTAAGCTTCATAAGTGAAGGAGAAATAAAATCCTTCACAGACAAGCAAATGCTGAGAGATTTTGTCACCACCAGGCCAGCCCTACAAGAGCTCCTGAAGGAAGCACTAAACATGGAAAGGAACAGCTGGTACCAGCCACTGCAAAAACATGCCAAATTGTAAAGACCATCGAGACTAGGAAGAAACTGCATCAACTAACGAGCAAAATCACCAGCTAACATCATAATGACAGGATCAAATTCACACACAACAATATGAACCTTAAATGTAAATGGCCTAAATGCTCCAATTAAAAGACACGGACTGGCAAATTGAATAAAGAGTCAAGACCCATCAGTGTGCTGTATTCAGGAAAACCACCTCACATGCAGAGACACACATAGGCTCAAAATAAAGAGATGGAAGAAGATCGACCAAGCAAATGGAAAACAAAAACAGGCAGGGGTTGCAATCCTGGTCTCTGATAAAACAGACTTTAAACTAACAAAGATCAAAAGAGACAAAGAAGGCCATTACATAATGGTAAAGGGATCAATTCAACAAGAAGAGCTAACTATCCTAAATATATATGTACCCAATACAGGAGCACCCAGGTTCATAAAGCACATCCAGAGAGACCTACAGAGAGACTTAGACTCCCCCACATTAATAATGGGAGACTTTAACACCCCATTGTCAACATTAGACAGATCAACGAGACAGAAAGTTAAAAAGGATATCCAGGAATTGAACTCAGCTCTGCACCAAGCAAACCTAATAGACATCTACAGAACTCTCCACCCCAAATCAACAGAATATACATTCTTCTCAGCACCACTTTGAACTTATTCCAAAATTGACCACATAGTTGGAAGTAAAGCACTCCTCAGCAAATGTAAAAGAACAGAAATTATAACAAACTGTCTCTCAGACCACAGTGCAATCAAACTAGAACTCAGGATTAAGAAACTCACTAAAAATCGCTCAACTATATGGAAACTGAACAACCTGCTCCTGAATGACTACTCGGTACATAATGAAATGAAGGCAGAAATAAAGATGTTCTTTGAAACCAACGAGAACAAAGACACAACATACCAGAATCTCTGGGACACATTTAAAGCAGTGTGCAGAGGGAAATGTATAGCACTAAATGCCCAAAAGAGAAAGCAGGAAATATCTAAAATTGACACCCTAACATCACAATTAAAAGAACTAGAGAAGCAAGAGCAAACACATTCAAAAGCTAGCAGAAGGCAAGAAATAACTAAGATCACAGCAGAACTGAAGGAGATAGAGACATAAAAAACCCTTCAAAAAATCAATGAATCCAGGAGCTGGTTTTCTGAAAAGATCAACAAAATTGATAGACTGCTAGCAAGACTAATAAAGAAGAAAAGAGAAGAATCAAATAGACCCAATAAAAAATGATAAAGGGGATATCACCACCGATCCCACAGAAATACAAACTACCATCAGAGAATACTATAAACACCTCTATGCAAATGAACTAGAAAATCTAGAAGAAATGGATAAATTCCTGGACACATACACCCTCCCAAGACTAAACCAGGAAGAAGTGGAGTCCCTGAATAGACCAATAACAGGCTCTGAAATTGAGGCAATATGTAATAGCCTACCAATCAAAAAAAGTCCAGGACCAGACGGATTCACAGCCGAATTCTACCACAGGTACAAGGAGGAACTGGTACCATTCCTTCTGAAACTATTCCAATCAATAGAAAAAGAGGGAATCCTCCATAACTCATTTGATGAGGCCAGCATCATCCTGATATCAAAGCCGGGCAGGGACACAACAAAAAAAGAGAATTTTAGACCAATATCCGTGATGAACACTGATGCAAAAATCCTCCATAAAATACTGGCAAACCGAATCCAGCAGCACATCAAAAAGCTTATCCACCATGATCAAGTGAACTTCATCCCTGGGATGCAAGGCTGGTTCAACATATGCAAATCAATAAACATAATCCAGCATATAAACAGAACCAGAGACAAAAACCACATGATTATCTCAATAGATGCAGAAGAGGCCTTTGACAAATTTCAACAGGGCTTCATGCTAAAAACTCTCAATATATTCGGTATTGATGGGATGTATCTCAAAATAAGAAGAGCTATTTATGACAAACCCACAGCCAATATCATACTGAAGGGGAAAAACTGGAAGCAATCCCTTTGAAAACTGGCACAAGACAGGGATGCCTTCTCTCACCACTCCTACTCAACATAGTATTAGAAGTTCTGGCCAGGGCAATCAGGCAGGAGAAAGAAATAAAGGGTATTCAATTAGGAAAAGAAGTCAAATTGTCCCTGTTTGCAGATGACATGATTGTATATTTAGAAAACCCCATCGTCTCAGCCCCAAATCTCCTTAAGCTGATAAGCAACTTCAGCAAAGTCTCAGGATACAAAATCAATGTGCAAAAATCACAAGCATTTTTATATACCAATAACAGACAAACAGAGAGCCAAATCATGAGTGAACTCCCATTCACAATTGCTTCAAAGAGAATAAAATACCTAGGAATCCAACTTACAAGGGATGTGAAGGACCTCTTCAAGGAGAACTACAAACCACTGCTCAATGAAATAAAAGAGGACACATACAAATGGAAGAACATTCTATGCTCATGGATAGGAAGAATCAGTATCGTGAAAATGGCCATACTGCCCAAGGTAATTTATAGATTCAATGTCATCCACATCAAGCTACCAATGACTTTCTTCACAGAATTGGAAAAAACTACTTTCAAGTTCATATGGAACCAAAAAACAGCCCCCATTGCCAAGACAATCCAAAGCCAAAAGAACAAAGCCGGAGGCATCACGCTACCTGACTTCAAACTACACTAAAAGGTTACAGTAACCAAAACAGCATGGTACTGGTACCAAAACAGAGATATAGACCAATGGAACAGAACAGAGCCCTCAGAAATAATACCACACATCTACAACCATCTGATCTTTGACAAACCTGACAAAAACAAGAAATGGGGAAAGGATTCCCTATTTAATAAATAGTGCTGGGAAAACTGGCTAGCCATATATAGAAAGCAGAAACTGGATCCCTTCCTTACACCTTATACAAAAATTAATTCAAGATGGATTAAAGACTTACATGTTAGACCTAAAACCATAAAAACCCTAGAAGAAAACCTAGGCAATACCATTCAGGACATAGGCATGGACAAGGACTTCATGACTAAAACACCAAAAGCAATGGCAACAAAAGCCAAAATTGACAAATGGGATCTAATTAAACTAAAGAGTTTCTGAACAGCAAAAGAAACTACCATCAGAGTGAACAGGCAACCTACAGAATGGGAGAAAATTTTTGCAATCTACTCATCTGACAAAGGGCTAATATCCAGAATCTACAAAGAACTCAAACAAATTTACAAGAGAAAAACAAACAACCCCATCAAAAAGTGGGTGAAGGATATGAACATACACTTCTCAAAAGAACACATTTATGCAGCCAACAGACACATGAAAAAATGCTCATCATCACCGGCCATCAGAGAAATGCAAATCAAAACCACAACGAGATACCATCTCACACCAGTTAGAATAGCGATCATTAAAAAGTCAGGAAACAACAGGAGCTGGAGAGGATGCGGAGAAATAGGAACACTTTTACACTGTTGGTGGGACTGTAAACTAGTTCAACCATTGTGGAAGACAGTGTGGTGATTCCTCAAGGATCTAGAACTAGAAATACCATTTGACCCAGTGATCCCATTACTGGGTATATGCCCAAAGGATTATAAATCATGCTGCTATAAAGACATTCACTCATATGTTCACTGCGGCACTATTCGCAATAGCAAAGACTTGGAACCAAGCCAAATGTCCATCAATGATAGACTGGATTAAGCGAATGTGGCATATATACACCATGGAATAGTATGCAGCCATTAAAAAGGATGAGTTCATGTCCTTTGTAGGGACATGGATGAAGCTGGAAACCATCATTCTCAGCAAACTATCGCAAGGATAAAAAACCAAACACCGCATGTTCTCACTCATATGTGGGAACTGAACAATGAGAACACTTGGACACAGGAAGGGGAACATCACACACCAGGGGCCTGTGGTGGGGTGGGGGGAGCGGGGAGGGATAGCATTAGGAGATATACCTAATATAAATGAGGAGTTAATGGGTGCAGCACACCAACATGACACATGTATACATATGTAACAAACTGCAGGTTGTGCACATGTACCCTAGAACTTAAAGTATAATATAAACAAATAAATAAATAAATAAAACTATTTTAGGAATAAAAAAAAAATGAGCATAGTGGTGGGTGCCTGTAGTCCCAGCTACTCAGGAGGTTGAGGCAGGAGAATGGCGTGAACCCGGGAGGCAGAGCTTACAGTGAGCCGAGATCGCGCCACTGCACTCCAGCCTGGGCGACTGAGTGAGACTCCATCTCAAAAAAAAAGAAAATTGAATAAATTTGTCTAAATGAGAACATTTAGAAAGAATATATTTTGCAGTCATTACATGGGCCTAGAGTTGTCCATCAGATGGCCTGTTTGTATTTTACCGGGAGGCAGAGGAAACAGCAGTTGGTGACAGCCATAGGGAAGTAAATTTTACCTCGCCTCACTCTAAGCAAAAAATTGTGTGTGTGTATCTGTGTGTATATATATATATATATAAATATACACACACATACACACATACATATATATGTATATATGGAAAGATAATTTATCTACCTACTATCTATATGCATATGTAAAATAAAATAGATCAAAGTAAATGGGGTCTTATCAAACAGAGAAATTCCTATCTTGAGAATCTTCAAACCAAAATAAGACAATTAAGTACCAATACCAAATACCAGGAAGAATTTGAGGAAGAGAGTATAATAATACCAAAACCAACAAAAACTCAATCATATAGCCATCCAATTATTTAAATTAAGAGAGTCATTTGCTGGACCAAGAGTCAGTAAACTTTTCCTAGAAAAAGCCAGATAGTAAATATCTTAGGTATTAGAGGTCTCATATATTCTGAACATATTTTTTTAATTTATTTCAGTCCCTTGTAAACATAAAAGTGATTCTTAGTTCATAGGCTGTAGTGTGCCAACTCCTGTGACAGTGTGAGCGTTCTTCAGCTGTGCACGTAAGGAAAGCCTGCTATCATCCCAGACTGAACCATTATCTTGCAATTAAATTGTAGAATCATTAACTTTCTCTTTTGTAGCCAGCTTCACACGTTTCACTTTAGATCACTCATAAATGAATTTCTTTTTTAAAGACTCATCAGAGAAGTGGGGCTGTTTCCCTAAGTAAAGCATCACTTCACTATGTGCAAAAAACAACTTTAAGAACACAGATAATTTAAACATCAAACACAAGCATTTTCCCTATTTTGAATAATACTGGCAATTACTGGTGGTCAATTTTAAAAGTGACTTCATTTCAAAATGTCAGCATCGTCTAACCTGGAACCAAATCTAACATGCCTGATACATTCACCTCAATGATTTAAGTGCACCTCAAACCTAATACCTCCACTCCCCAAATGCACATCTCTTTCAATTTACTGTTTTCTTTTTGTCCCAGTGTTAATCATGTGTCACAGTCTGAGTGATCTCTATAGTTAGAAACCTTGAAGGGGTCCTCAATCCCCAGCTCCTCCTTTTATTGCCTTCAATAGATCGATCATTAAGTGTAGTCATTTGTACCTCAAAATGTCTCCAAATTCAGGTGTTCCTTGCTAAGTTGCAGTGGCAATACCCAAGTAGGCCCTGGCCTCTTACACTCCCCTAACAGGCTTCTCTCTGATCCTTCCAATTTCAGTAAATCTGTTCTAATGTGTCTACCTAATATTGGCGACATCCCCTCCAGAAATAGCTTCTTCAAAATTAAAACGAGTCTTGAAAGTTCATTGTTAGAAATTGTTTTGGTTTCCCTGTGGCTGAATAATTAATCCAGACATGGTAAGACATAGTACAAGGCCATGTGCATCTCTCCTGTTTCTACCTCTCCAGGTCCCCTTCCTGGGAGGATTCCTTGAGGCACCAGCAGAGCAGCTTCCAGAACACAAGTCGTTAAGGAGCACAAAAATGTATTTCAAATGTAAGAAAAGGAGTGCTACATTTGGTTCAAAAGAGTGTTTTGCAAATCATTTTGGGGTAGGGGGTAAGACTTCTAAAAGGAAAGCAGAATTATAGAATGTGGTGATAAAACTTCTTTCTTTTTTAAAAAATTTTACTCTAAGTTCTGGGATACATGTGTTGAATGTGCAGGTTTGTTACATAGGTATACATGTGCCATGGTGGTTTGCTGCACCTATCAACCCATCATCTAAGTTTTAAGCCCCATATGCATTAGGTATTTGTCCTTTTGCTCTCCCTCCCCTTTCCCCCCACTCCTCAACAGGCCCTGGTGTGTGATGTTCCCCTCCCTGTGTCCATGTGTTCTCATTGTTTAACTCCCACTAATGAGTGAGAACATGTGGTGTTTGGTTTTTTGTTCCCGTGTTAGTTTGCTGAGGATGATGTTTCCATCTTCATCCATGTCCCTGCAAAGGACATGAACTCGTTCTTTTTTATGGCTACATAGTATTCCATGTTATATATGTGCCACTTTTTTTTATTCAGTCTATCATTGATGGGCATTTGGGTTGGTCCCAAGTCTTTGCTATTGTAAATAGTGTTGCAATAAACATACGTGTGCATGTGTCTTTATAGTAGAATGATTTATAATCCTTTGGGTATATACCCAGTAATGGGATTGCTGGGTCAAATGGTATTTCTGGTTCTAGATCCTTGAGGAATTGCCACACTGTCTTCCACAATGGTTGAACTAATTTACACTCTCACCAACAGTGTAAAAGCATTCCTATTTCTCAGCATCCTCGTCTGCATCTGCTGTTTCCAGACTTTTTAATGATTGCCATTCTAACTGGTGTGAGATGGGATTAAACATCTTTCTAAAGATTTTGTTGTGCTGAGACAGGAATGCATATTTAAGGGTGAAACAGACTGCTAAGAATAACAGATCCCAAGAAGTCCCACAACAGTCCTCTTTGTCAACCATGGTCTTAAAAGATTATCAGTGAATCCCTTTAAATAAAGAAAGAGGCTTCATGTCGGTTGAAAGGAACATCGCAATATTTGACTTCACCAACATCCTCTTGTCCTGTCTGGCTCTAGTCGAGCAGTACTGAAAATCTCTCTTGCCGTAAAGGAGCTGGGTCTTTTATACTCCCCTGCCTCTGTAAGGTTGTTCTTTGTTCCTGGAAGTATTTCAATTCCCACACTCTCCACCTTCAACCCCCCTCCCCATTCCACAGGCACCAATATCAGCATTATCTTTCTCATGCTCTAAACAGAACTATAAAGAAAAAAAGACTTTCTTGCTGGCTCTTGGCAAGTTTTGCTCCTTCCTCTACAATCAGCACTCAGATTCATACCTTTATAATATCACTTACATGTTGATTATAATGTATTTGCTTACACATCTATTTCCTATAGTAATCCCTGAGTTATTGAGGGCAAGTGGAATTTCTTATTTATTTTTGAATGCCCAGTTTTTACCACTACCTATCACCAGGGATTGGCTCAGTAAATGTTTGTTGATTCAATTGAATGAATTCGTTCAGAGAGAGCCTGGATTGCATTGCCTCTCAAATTTTATAAAATGAGTTCCAGTCCCAACTGAGTCACTAGGCAGGTGTTTAACCTCTACTTTTGAGCTTAGTGTTTGGGGAAAAGTAAGAAAAATCTCTAGTGTTCTGCCTAGTTGAAATGGTTGTTTCAAGAATAAAAATGGGCTAATGTGTGGGAGAATGCTACAAAAATAGGAAAAGACCCTATGTACTAAATTGCTCTTCTCTGGTGTTTAACATCGTGCTAGCATACTCATTAAATTGTTGTTAAATTGAATGATGTGTTTCTGTCATTGATCAAGGTCTATGCTATGACAGAAGACATTAATATAAAAGTCTAAGACTCTGGCTTCTGCCAAGGAGAAGGACAATCAGCAACTACCACATTTTGCAACCTTGATTCTTCCAATAAAATTGCTAAAGTTTGTATCCATTTCCAATAAGTATAATACAAAAAGAGAAGTATATAAGCATAGTATAGTGTAGGAGCATATTCTGAGAAATTCTGTGAAGAGGAATAACGTTTAGGGAGTTGAATTTGAAAGGAAAGGTAAAATCGGGCAGTATCAGCAGAGAGAGAAGAAAAGAGAAACATAAGCTGCTGAACGTTGAGATAGTTTGTTATGCAGAATAGATCCCTAAAACAAACAATGTTTTAGTCTACACATATTAAATAAAGTGAGACAATTAGGCACGTTAAATCTAGTCATCTCAAAATAATTTATTATTTTGCACATTGTAAGGCTATCTTACAACCATTCATTCACTCAATCCTTCACATTCTACAGATCTTTCCTTCAACACACAGCTACAAAGCATCTGCTATATCAAAGGTGAGTAGAAGATATTAGAGATACAACAGTGGAGTGACACAATTCTTGCCCTTAAAGACTTCAGAGTCTAAAATAGCGTGAAGATGAGTAAGTGAGCAATGACCATAAAATGTGGAAAATGTTCCAAGGGGTTACATGTGAGATTCTCGGAGGGCATTATGTCGCCCATCAAAAGAGTCTTTCTGCCAGGGACAGCATCCAATAACATATTTTTTTTTCCTAATTGTATTTGAATAAAAATTGCAAAGATCTAGCCTAGACTCTCAAAATCAAAACTTTTGAAGTCGGGGCCTTCAGGCTAGGCATGATGGCTCCTGCCTGTGAAACCAAGGCTGTGGATCACCTGAGGTCAAAAGTTTGAGACCAGACTGACCAATATGGTTAAACCCCATCTCTACTAAAATATAAAAATTAGCTGGGCATGATGGTGTGTGCCTGTATTCCCAGCTACTTGGGAGGCTGAGACAGTAGGATCCTTTGAATCCAGGAGGCAGAGGTTGCAGTGAGCCAAGATCACACCACCCCAATCCAGCCTGAGTGACAGAGCAAGACTCTGTCTCAAAAAAAAAAAAAAAAAAAAGGTAATAATAATGAAGTTAGGGCCTCCAAATATGCATTTTTAATAGATTCTGGTAATCTTTCTGCTAAGGAAGTTTGAGAAACACTATTCTAGATAACTGGCATTAATGCTGAGACCCTCACGACAAGTAGGAGTTAACGAAGCTCTTTTTCATTATATATACAATAACTTAAAATCTGTAAGAGAATGCAAGGTAATGAAGGTAATATACAGAGAAAATTATGAATTAAATATAAGTTATTGACCAAATTTTAGAATAATAATTAGCAAAAACCTACTTCCAACCTATCACAATACTAATCACAACCCAGAAGGTAAATAGTTCAAACCTTGCCATCAAACTGTCTGGTTTCAAATCTGAACTTTGCAACTTACCAGGTATGTAGTTTTGAACAAGTCACATAACATCTCTATGCATCAGCTTTCTCATTTTTAAAATGTGTGTAATAAAACATCAGTACCTACCTCACAGTTAGGATAAAGTAAACAACATAAGTACTGAGACACCACCTGGCACGCTGTGTTAGATGTCATTATTAATCTCCCTCTGCTTATCTGTTCCCTCTCTGGGCCTAACTTTGGCTCACTGCTCATTCCAGGTCAATTCTCAACATTTAACATTTCTTTTCCTGCAGTTATTTTTCCTATTGCTTTTTCTAGTGGTACATAATGAACATTGAATAATGTTCTATTGAAGCACATGAGAGAGACCTGATCTTCACCCAAGAAATGTTTAAATGAGATATTTGTTTTTCTTGAAGTGTTAGTCAGTCTTACTTAGGATAGTCTTTGGCAGTCAGGGAGGGACAGGGAATGCTATAAACTGAACATTTAGGTCCCCAAAATTCGTATGTTGAAATCTTAACCCCCATTGTAATGGTATTGGGAAGTGGGGCCTTTGGGAGGTATATTAGTCTGTTTTCACGCTGCTTTAAAGAGCTGCCTGTGACTGGGTAATTTACGAAGAAAAGAGGTATAATTGACTCACAGTTCCACGTGGCTGGCGACGCCTCAGAAGATTTACAATCATGGCAGAAGGCAAAGGGGAAGCAATACATGTCTTACATGGTAGCAAGTGAGAGATGAAGGGGAAAGTGCTGCATTTTTAAACCATCAGATCTCGTAAGAGCACGATCATGCGACAGCACTAGGAGGATGGTGCTAAACCATTAGAAACCACCTCCATGATCAAATCACCTCCCACTAGGCCCCACCTTCAACACAATGATATTTGGGTAGGGACACAGAGCCAAACCTTACCAGGAGGTAATTAGGTCATGAGGGTAAAACCCTTTCACATGGGATTAGTGTTCTTATAAAAGAGGCCCCAGAGAGCTCCCTTACTCCTTCAACCACATAAGAACACAGCAAAGAAAGGACTTTCTATGAATCAGGATGCAGGTCCTTAGCAGACACTGAATCTGCTGATGTCTCAATCTTGAACTTTCCAGTCTCCAGAACTGTGAGAAATAAATTTCTGTTGTTTATAAGCCACCCAGTCTATGGTATTTTGGTATAGTAACCCAAACAGACTAAGACAGGAGGTAATCATTCGATTTTGTTCTTAGGAGAATGTAGATCTAGAAATCTGGATTCATTTTATTCTCTCATAACCAGGAAAATAATTCTCCTTTCCATTCAGTGGCACGTTATCCATCCATCAAAATTAAGTAATTGGAAGAAATAATTTACCAAGAATAAAATATTAGGAAATTGTTGCTTAACTTACAGCAGTCCTCCAATGTAGTGGGTGCAAATTACCATTTCTTTCTCTCCTTTACCTCATATCCCTAATTACTTGTATTTGATTAAGTCATCCTCTCCTCTTTTTATCTTCCATCAGTTTGTATCTCCTAACTCTTCACCAGGTAGCTTATTAAAGTTCTCCACATTGTGTAAATTCCTTTTACTTCCACAAATCTTCTGATAAAGGGCTTGAAAACAGGACCTGGACAATTTGCAATAACATCACGTACATGACTACTCTAAAACTCCATAAAATTAAAGTGCAATTAAATGAGTTTAAAATTATATAAATTGAACACTTAATGATCCTGCCCAAGAGCTTTTAGGATGCATTTTTATAATGTGCATTACTTTAAAAATTAAGATATTTAAGTTAGTGGGGAGATACTTTAAAGCTATGGTTAAAAGTACATTTATATTAAAATATAGTTAAAAGTTAGAAAACAATCATTTACCCAGTCTGAAAAATCCCATGGAAATAAATGTCTTCTGCACCTTAGATATGTTTTACAGCAGCAACATTGTGCTGAAGGAACCATACAAATATTGCAGCTAAATGAGAACACTGAAATTGATTAAAGAGTTTTTCATGGAAGCTAAATGTATTACAATTACAATAAGCAAGTAGAAGCATAATTTCATAAGTTTTTAAAGATAATTCACAAAGGAAAGTTTTTTAATTTGGAATGTTTACAAATGTTAGCTAGGATATATTTGGAGTAACTAGTACTGGTTATCCTGGAGAAGAAATAGCCATTGAGCACTTCAACAGAAAGCATCTTGATGAATATTACATTATTTATGAAATTAAAGTTGTAAGTTACAGTTCTGAAACACTCTCTGATGGCTATAACTACCAAGATAGTCAACATGATTTTATGTTATGCTGTTTAAGAAATTTGAAACACTTTTTTGGAACAAAGTGAAAGTAAAGAGAAAGTGAGATAGAGATGAGAGAGAGAAAGAGAAGAAATCAAGAATTTCAAATGTCTGAAATATTCTCAACATTACACGAGGTACTAAGGGAGTACAGGAGAACCAAACAATTCATGAGGTAGTTGGAAAGATCAAGTTAACAAGCCGGAAGAAATGCATGCTGTTCTGTATTCAATAGCTTGCCGTTTCTGAGCTGCCATTAATTAGCAAAGAAAGAACAGAAAAAGTAAAATTTAGACATCAAAACATGACAAAACTCATCACACTACTTTATATGGCGTCCAAATAAAGTTACTTAAATAAACAAAATTATCAATAAGTAAAAAAGTACTGTCTATAACATTATGAGATATTCTGTAAGGACCAAAATGTACCATGTATTTTGAGGACTTTATACCAAGAAATGCAAAATTGCTCATTAATATTTTTACATTGATCACAGGTTAAATGTGTAAAATAATATTTTAATTTTTTATCTATATTGGACTAAATGAAATACATGATTAAAATTAATTTTACCTATTTTATTGTGACTACTAGAAAGTCTTAATGAAATAATTGGCTTGCATTATATTTCTACTGAGCAGCACCGATCTGGAAGTGCTTACTTCTCTGCATATAACAGTGATGAATATAAATATTAACTTTAGAAATTCAGTAAAGAAGAGAGATAAGAATAGAGACAGGATAATAGGAAGTCCTCCTAAGGACATAAGGCTTAGGCTGGGCCTTGTTGATATCAAGGGAAGGAAAAATGGAAGAGGGCTAAGCCAAGACATAAAGATGACAATGAGTTTGACATAGGGTGATGGCTATTTGGCAACCATTATTATCGCACCAAATAGCATCTGCAAAAGATCAAACAAGAAAGAATGAGTTTGGATTTTTTTTCAAATGAACACGAGGGAATAAAAATGTTGACGTGTATTTCTAATTTGACATGGTAATGAACAACCAAAACTAATCAGAGAACAGCCCTGAATTGACGAACATCAGTTTCCAGTTTGAAAGTCTACCAAGGACTCAGCACAATGAATGAAATGAGAAAATTAGGGTGAATCTTTGTGCAGTTTCAGAATCCCAGAATACAGTAGTCCCCTGGTATCACCAAGCATTGGTTCCAGGATATCCCCAATACTAAAATATTGGGATGCTCAAGCCCCTTATTTAAAATGACATAGTATTTGCATATAACCTATGCATATAACCCAAATAATTTCTAAATTAGTTAGTATTAAATTAGTAATAAATTACTATTATCTTAATACAGTGTAAATACTATGTAAATAGTATTTATTATGTAGTTATTATGTAGTTATGCCGTATTTTTATTATTTTTGTATTGTTATTTTTGTTTTTTACCAAATATTTTTGATCCACAGTTGGATGAATCCATGGATGCAAAATCCATAGATACAGAAGGCTCTTGTAACGAGAAGTCCTAAAAGCTTTCAGAATCCAAAAGAGTAGAAACTCAATGATATCAACCTTCTCAATCACAGCATTAAATAGTAAAAGCTCACAGCGATAGGCTTTCAATCAATTGCCAAATAACAAACCACCCTAAAACTTAGTGGCTTCAAGCAACAGCTGTTTGATTATGCCTAAAAATTTATGTCAGGGCACAGCAGTGATGGCTTTGCTCTTCCCATGATGACTGAGGCCTCAGCCTGGGAGCTTGAATAGCTGAAAATAGTTGGGATAGGTTGACTGGGTTCATAACCTAGGACTTCAACTTTGGTTGTTAGATGGTTTTTGTTTTTGTTTTTGTTTTTCCTTTCTTCAGTCACATCCACTGGCTAGAAATGTTCAAGATGACTCATTTCCACAATATCTGGGGTCTGGGCTGGGATGGCAGGAACAGCTGGGGACTGCCCAGTCATCTCTTGTTCCCTGCCTCCTCTTTACATGGCTACCTTGGGCCTCTTCGTGACATGGTCATCTCAGTGTATTGCTTCCCTAGAGCAAGAGTTTTAAGAGGGAAATGTGGAAGGTGCAAGGGCTTTTAATGACCTAGTTTCAGAATTCCTAGAATATTTTGGCCTCATTCTATTAGTCAGGTGAATCACTAAGACCATCCCAGACTCAAGGAGAGGGTAATTAGATTGCATCTCTCAAAAGGAGTTGCAAAAAATCTGCAGTTGTGTATAATATCCACTAAAAAGAAAATTATTTTTAGTTTAGAATGATATATTCAGCTTAGCTTTCAACTGAGTGTGAAAATAGACATTTCATGCATATAATAACTTGGTGTTTTGCTCCAATATGTCATTTCTTTGGAATCTACTGAAGAACTATTACATGCCAAAATAAAGGAAGCTGATTAATAAAGAGAAAGATGCAGAATCTAGGAAACACCAGCTATGAAACAAACATAAAAACCCACTAGTACAAATTGTGTAGTGAATTGAGCCTCACGAACAGAGGAATTCATGGGAATTAAATAAAGAAAAAAAATGAATAGTAGATGTTTGTGTGTTTGGAGTAAACATTGATTAACAGGCATTTGATAGAGGCAATAAAGCTAACTAATTACAGGTATATTGAAACTGATCCAAATAACACATATTAACTAAAGAAAAACAAAACTATATCTAAGAAAAAAATATAAAAATATTTACGATAAACCTACTGAGAGAACAGAAGAAGCTAACTGGAGATGAGGGGCTGTGTAAATTTGACAAAGCAAGAAAGTTTCATTTAAAAGCATGATAAACATATTATTTAGAAATATGGAGATAAGTATCTAAATAAACAACTAAAAGAAATAAAAACAGGTTTCCTCTGCAGAAAAAAACTGATTTCAGGGTCACACTTTAAAGAAAAACTGAAATGTATAGGAGCACATCAGAGCAAAGTGAGCAGAAGGGAAGCATGGCTCTGCCATAGCACATGAGAAATTAGCCACATGGGCTACATCCCTAGGGAATCTGGTGGCTTTGAGTATCTGAAGACTGTACTGTGGGCAAAGACCTGACTTAATTTTTTGTGTCTTTAAGGGACAAAACTGGAACAAGTGAATGAAAGTTACCATTCTCCTTAAAGAAGATTTTTTCCTATAAGGAAAACTGTCTGAAAATAGAGGTGCAGAAAACTCTCTGCCCCTAGAGTTGTTCAAGTAAAGCCAAAGAGCTTTGATCAATTATGCCTTTACAAAGCTCCCAAAATGTAACCCCAGATATGAATTAAAAAGTAAATGACAGGGCCGAGCTCGGTGGCTCATGCCTGTAATCCGAGCACTTTGGGAGGCCAAGGCGGCCGGATCACGAGGTCAGGAGATTCAGACCATCCGGGTTAACATGGTGAAAACCCGTCTATACTAAAAATACAAAAAAATTAGCCCGGCGTGGTGGCGGGCGCCTGTAGTCCCAGCTACTAGAGAGGCTGAGGCAAGAGAACGGCGTGAACCCAGGAGTCGGAGCCTGGAGTGAGCCGAGATGGCGCCACTGCACTCCAGCCTGGGCGACAGAGCAAGACTCCATCTCAAAAATAAATAAATAAAGTAAACGACAACTGGGACCCTCGATTTACCTTATTCATTATATTTTCTCTGCCAGGAATATGTTAGTGTCTTAAAATATGCGGAGTCAGGCTCAGCATCTTCCTCTGCTAAGAAAGAGATTAGGTTTTATTTGTCAAAGGGTACCTGGGACAGTGGGCTGGCTCTGGACAAGGGATGGCAGATACATGCCACCACACCCCCTTCCTACCCATGGCAGACATCACTATACCCACAGGAAACTGTCCTGCTGCCTAGGTGGGAATCCTGCTCAACATAACATTCAGTGATTATCAACTGTAGCTGGCATATAAAATGAATCCTGCTTGTCCTGTCTGGTCTAGGATAAATTTGGCCTCTTACTTCATGTCACAGCAGCACCCTTGCCCATCCTTCTGACATTTCTTTTTTTATTCTGTTTTGTTTTTACATGGATGCCTATTCTGCGATGTTGATAATCCTTGCTTAGATATTAACTGATAAATATTATTTTATGTGTTTACCATCTATGCTGTTCAGATTGTATACTAAAGATACATGAGGGGAGGCATTCAAATGTGCAATCAATATAGATGTAGATGCATTACATTTTCTTTAGCAGATGAAATATGAAAGGATCTTTTTTTCTTATTTGCACAAAGGTTAGCAGTGAGATAGTTTGAACATATAAGTGATTAACTGGTAATGACATTTTACTAGAAGTGGTTCTACAAGTTTAGAGCTATGTATACTTTCAACAGCATCCAGACCAACTCGCTGTTTATAAATATAGAAACTAAGTCCCCAAATTGGTAAGTAGTTTTGTGTAGAATGGAACAATGAATTGGAGCCAGAACAAGAAATCAAGTCTACTTGAATAGAATTTCGTGGCCTTTCTACTATATAGTGATCTTCCAACAGGGGTCTGATCCAGAAAATAACAAGATATATATTTTTTAATATGTACTTAGCAAAAATTTGTAACTGGAATGACAGACAGGAAGGTTTACATTTTGTGTCAAGAAGCCAGTCTTAGAAAACATCACTAAACAACCTCACAGCCCCTTTTGCCCGGAAAGAGAAATTCATGAGTCCAGGCTGTTGGTAGGTGAGAGGAGAAAGCTGCACCCAGGAAATAAGGCTCCATAAGTCAGTTGTGGGTATTGTAAATTCTGAGAGAATAGGACTAAAAAAAAAAAAAAGAAAAAAAAACCCACTAAGTCATTAAGAAGCCTTTTCAAATGTGTTAGAAAAAAAGATGAAATTAAAAAAAAAAAAAGAGGAAAGAAACAGGGTATTACAGGTAAGCCGTGGGCAATTTATGTTCATGACTTAATTAGTTTTATGCTGAATAATATCATTAATGGCTTAATGTGATATAATTAATGCCAAGATTTAGTAATTATACAGTGATTATAATTAAACCCAACAATTAAATTTATGGGCAAAAAATGAGATAAAGGAAGTAAGATGCATGCTTCATCAATGAAAATATTCCTTAATGAATAAAGAATCAAATACTTCAAAAATGATGTTGTTTGTAGAAAGTCTTCACACAGTTACTTCTCACCTCACAATTCATGCATATAAATTTTTATGTACACCTGGCATGGTGGCTCACGCCTGTAATCCCAGCACTTTGGGTGGCCGACGCCTGTGGATCACCTGATGTCAGGAGTTTGAGACCAGCCTGGCCAACGTGGTGAAACGCCATCTCTACTAAAATAGAAAAATTAGCTGGGCATGGTGGCGTGTGCCTGTAATCCCAGCTATTCGAGAGGCTGAGGCAAGAGAATTGCTTGAACCTGGGAGGTGGAGGTTGCAGTGAGCCGAGTTCCTGCCACTGCTCTTCAGCCTGGGAGACAAAGCGAGACTCCATCTCAAAAAAAAACTTCATGTACAGCAAGTAAACACAGAAATGAGCACTGAATCTGTCTAACCCCATTATGTAGTCAATGCATCCAAATAATGAATTTGTTTCATAGTTTGTGAATTTTATATTAATGGCTACCACCTTGTGATCAGGCACACATTTATCATGTACACATTTCTTAAATCATTAGATCCTCCCAAAAAATCGGTGGGATGTATTATATTCCCTTGTATTATTTCTAGAGATAGGTAAGGAAACTGATACTCAAAGGGCCTGTGGTACTTGGTCAAGATCTCAGCAGGCAGTGGTGGAGTCAGAATTTGAAACTTGGTGACTGTCATGCAAAAGTCTTCTCTTTTCTAAGCACCCCAGTTCCTTCCCTTATTGCCCCAGCCTCAGTGTTCCTGTATTTACAAGGCTTTTCTAATTTGCCTTCTAGATTCTCAGAGATATCTTAGTAAACTACAGATGGCTTTAAACTGTTGACTCTAGACCACACTCTCAAACCAGAGTCTGCTAATGCCTAGCATCTCAGGATCTGAAGCTGTGGAGGGGGAGTACAGGGTGGGGTGTGGCTGGGGCAGGAAGTAGAATGATGGAACAGTTTGGGGGTGACACAGGAACAAAGGACTCTGCCTGTACTTTGATTGATTTGTTTCTTCTGTCATGATGGGTATAACTTTGTGTTAGAATTCTTCAGAGAAATGGAACCCATGGTATATATTTATATATGTGAGTGTGTGTGTGTGTGTGTGTGTGTGTATATGTATATGTATATGTGTATATATGTATACGTATATACACACATATATACACATATATGTGTATATATGTGTATATGTATATGTATATATACTTATATGTGTATATATACATATATACATATATGTATATATGTGTGTATATGTGTGTATATATGTGTGTGTATATATATACATATATACATATATACACACACTCATATATATACACACAAATATACATATATACATATATACACATATATAAATATACACACACACATATGTTTATGTATATGTTTATGTATATATGTAGACAGAGAGATTTATTTATTACAAGGTATTAGCTCATATGATTATAAAGACTGAGAAGTGCCACAATTGATCAACCACCTGGAATCTGCAAGCTGGAGACCCAGGAAACCCAGGGGTGTAGGTCCAGAGTCCAGAGGCCTGAGAACCAGGGGAGCTGATGATGTAAATTCCAGTCTGAATCCAAGGGGAGGAGGAGGCCTATGTCCCAGTTTCTCAGTTCACAGTAAATTATCCCCTCCTCTGCATTTTTGTTCTATTCAGGTCCTCAATGGATCAGAAGATGCCAGCAACATTGGGGAAGGCAAGCTGCTGTACTCAGTCCTGGGACCCAAACACGAATCTCATTCAGAAACATTCTCCCAGACAAAGCCAGAGATAATGTTTAGCCAAATATCCTGGCACCCCATGACCTGGTTAAGTTAACACAAATTAACCGTTACACATGTGCACATACCTCTATGGCTAACAGTCTTCTGCCCCAGTTCTTAGAAATAGATTCTGCCCTTTCATAAGAACTGTCTTCTCCAAAGCTACATGTGCTCACTACTTTTGTCTATTTTAATTTACACAAAGGGAAATCCTTGGCCCTTCATATATTCTGGATTGTTTATTGCTTGTTTATATTTGGAGGGATATTTTTTCAGGGTTTTTAGAAAATTCCAGGACGAATTTTCTCATTGTATCTCGGACACAAAAGAAGTCTGACACCCTGGAGACGCAAGCCAGTTAAATAAACCATACTGTTGCTGTCTTCCCAGTGTCCTCTGATATCTACTGCCATTCAACTTTAAGAGAGGAGAGGGCTGGGCGCGGTGGCTCACGCCTGTAATCCCAGCACTTTGGGAGACCGAGGTGGGCAGATCATGAGGTCAGGAGATCAAGACCATCCTGGCTAACACGGTGAAACCCCATCTCTACTAAAAATACAAAAAAAAAAAATTAGCTGGGCGTGGTGGCGGGCGACTGTGGTCCCAGCTACTCGGAGAGCCTGAGGCAGGAGAATGGCGTGAATCTGGGAGGCGGAGCTTGCAGTGAGCTGAGATCGCGCCACTGCACTCCAGCCTGGGCGAAAGAGCAAGACTCCGCCTCAAAAAAAAAAATAAATAAATAAAGGAGAGAGGCTGCAACTGCAATGTACCCAATCAAAGCCCGGCCACTCAAGCAGAGAACACAGAGACTCTGGAAGATCAAGCAGAGTGGGAAGCAGGCTTGGAATGCCAAATACCTATATGGAGGAGAGTAGACGGGTATTTCAGTTACATCAGGAGATGGATTTGTTCCTAAAACTGCACCACAATGAAGGTTTAGCTGGCAGCTATAATATTCCATATGTTCCCTGTTGAGAAAGAGCCATCCCAGGTTAAGAGTTTAGTAAGCCAGAGAGAGTTTTCCTCTTCAATAATCCAAAGTTTTGAGTCAGGCGCAAGTCAGTAATGCTTTACTACCCAGGGTGAACACATACAATGACACTAGGAATATAGAAAGGCCAAAATGAGAACTAGAGACAAAGACAGCAGGAAGTTCATCAGAGAAACAGCACAAAAGAGCAAATAGCTCATTGTGATGATTTGCGCCAGGTTGACTGAATTTGCTTTTAAATGAAGAATCGTTAAAACTGCCACTTAGAGAGAAAACAAGGTGACAATATAAGATCTTTGCAATCTTCTTAAATATGTGGGTTCATAAGAATGTGTCTGCAGAGGGTTTGATAACTGAGTACTCCTTTGAGAGACTTTGAGTTTTTTGGTTTGTTTGTTTGTTTGTTTTCCCGAGACAGAGTCTTGCTTTGTTGCCCAGGCTGGAGTGCACTGGTGCGATCTCGGCTCACTGCAACTTCTGCCTCTTGGGTTCAAGCAATTCTCCTGCCTCAGCCTTCCAAGTAGCTAGGATTATCAGCATACACCACCACACCTGGCTAATTTTTGTATTTTCAGTAGAGACGAGGTTTCACCATGTTGGCCAGCTGGTCTCGAACTCCTGACCTCAGGTGATCCAACCACTTCGGCCTCCCAAAGTGCTGGGATTACAGGCGTGAGCCACCGTGCCTGGCTGGGATTTTTAATAAAAATTCTTCCTAAAATTTTGTAAGGAAACTTATAAGATATTAAAAAGAAGAAAAGTACCAAGTTGTGTGGAAGTCACCAAATCACGTAGTGCTAACTGACATCAGCAACATGGAAAGATGAGCTAAGAATATTCACACATCCCCATTTCATTTCCCAACTACCCTTTCTGTTCAATACCTCAGAAAGCTACAAAATGGAAAAATGCACATTTAGCTTCCCTAGTAGATTTGGAGAGGTCGATGTGATATAGTCCTGGCCAATAGTACATATAAGAATTGTGCAGTTTCTGCTTCTTGCCCTTACTCATCCTTGCTGGAATATATGATGCCTGGAGACACACTAGCCATTGGGAACCATGAGGTGACAACCATGAAGATAAGAAGCCAAAAAACTAAGGATGACAGAGTGGGCCAGAGAAAGGCCCCTGATGGCATCACTGAGCAGCTGTACTAGGTTTGGACTGCTGACATCTGAAATCCCTCTTAGTTGAGAAAAATAATATTTTAAATGTTTAAGTCACTTTAGGAACAATGACGATGTTTGTTCCTTGCAGCCAAGAAGATTCCTAACCAATATGACATTTAAAATGTTATTAATGTCCTCCAACATTAAGATGATTATTTTTTTCCCAGAAGAGGGCTGTTAATTGGTTTTAACTAGGAAGAAGCCTACTTCTTTTTTTATTCTAAATAAAAATACACCTCCCTCTTTTGCTCTTTATTTTCTTATGAGTTGACTTATTAGGGCTGTACTGGCCCCACCTCTAAAAGAAACTCAAAAGTGTAAGGACCCTGGCACTTCTTAAAATAAAATAAAATTCCAATCTTAAAAGGCTGATCAGGGAGGGAGAATCCTCACCCAGTGGCAGAGATGAGAGGAGGGAGATTCCTTAGGGATTAGGACAATCTTATGTGTAGGATGTGCATGAATCAGATTTCAGCGTTTAATCCATCATCCTTCTCTGAGTAGAGATCCTCCCTCATTAAGGGGCCTTGTGAACTTAAGTTTAATTTCACAAAGAATGCAGATGAGCTTCTTTATGTAAATCTGTAAGAATCTGAGAAGTGAAAACCCAAACTCCTGTTTAGATGCAGAGAGTCCAAGATACCTATATAAACTTCTAAGAGGAATTATAAAACTAAATATAAAAGAACAAGGGGCACAATAAAAAATTTTGTTCTAATCCTTCTAACTGGAAATGAAAAAGAGCCCAGAATCTGGCACAAAAAAACAAGATCCATTTTTTCCAGAGCAGAGGGGGCTTTGTAAGAACGTCCCCACCTGTAAGGCTCTGCCAATGCGACGTAGAAGCCCCTTGAAAACAGTATTTTAGGCCGGGAGCGGTAGCTCACGCCTGTAATCCCAGCACTTTGGGAGGCCGAGACAGGCGGATCACGAGGTCAGGAGATCGAGACCATCCTGGCTAACACGGTGAAACCCCGTCTCTACTAAAAATACAAAAAAAATTAGCCGGGCGTAGTGGTGGGTGCCTGTAGTCCCAGCTACTCGGGAGGCTGAGGCAGGAGAACGGTGTGAACCCAGGAGGAGGAGCTTGCAGTGAGCCGAGATGGCGCCACTGCACTCCAGCCTGGGCGACTGAGCCAGACGCCATCTCAAAAAAAAAAAAAAAAAAAAAAAAGGAAACAGTATTTCCACCTCTCTCCAATTCCAAGCCTGCATGGCTCCCTCAATATGGCTTATATTCATGAAATAGTTGTTATTAAAGATGATGCAAAAGGAATAAAACATTAGCTTATTTATTTTGATTCTCCCAACAAGAAAAACTGATAGCCTGATAATTATAAGGAAAAAGGAAAAAAAAGTTGTTTTTTTTTAAAAAGCATTTTTTCACATATTTCATATAAACAAATCTCAGTCATAAAATGAAATATAAATCTTTTATGTGCATGACCAATAGTTGGATGCAAATAACTGCATTCTGAAGCGAGATAATTTCATCCTTCAACCATACTGCTGAATAGAGAAATTGCAAATATTAACTTTCTGTGACAAACATTAACAATTTCATAAAGAAGGAATAGATTAATATTTTATCAAAAATGAGCTGAATATTTTCTTCCACTATTTCTTCAGCTAAGCAGAAATGTTGTCTGAGTTGAGAATCAGCCTAAAACAGATGCTTTGTTATGCACATCTCATTTTTTTAAATATGACTAATGTTATTCATTGTATAGAAGCTACTGAAGTTCCCACTGAAATAAGATTGATTTTGAATTTCTCTCAAGAAACTTCCTCTTTTATCAGTATTAATAAAATCGCTGTGCCTTAAATAATTCAATTTCCGTTTATTTTCCACCTGGAGAGCTTTAGAAACTTAAAAAAATCCACTAATTTTAGAAAACATAAGCATTGTTCCATTGGATAGTTTTTTTTTTCCTACTGTAGTTTTGTAAAATACATATTCTAAAAAAGGACTCAAGGACAAGGAAGCATTATAGTGTCTTCAAACAAATCCTTTTTGAGGAATAGAGAGTAATGACTTAAAGAATTTTGTGGAGGGTTCTGTCTGCAAATTGCAGCTAAAGTTGAACATGACTCTGGAAATAATTTTAGTCTCTGCTGGAAATTGGAAAATACAAGATTTTCTTACTTCCTATGCTCATCAGAATAAAGCATCTCTACAAACTACATTCTTAATCTTTTCTTATAATATGGCTGTATTGCTTTTATACGACATTAATAAATGATTTACCTTGCCACAAATAGAAGCTTAATGCAATGCTATTCCATTCATTCAATCTTTCATCAAACATTTATTAAGCATCTTCTGGCCAGGCACGGGGGTAATCCCAGTGCTTTGGGAGGCAGAGGTGGGCAAATCACAAGGTCAGGAGTTCGAGACCAACCTGGCCAACAGTGTTGGTGAAACCCCATCTCTACTAAAAATACAAAAAATTAGCCAGTCGTGGTGGCGGGTGCCTGTAATCCCAGCTACTAGGGAGGCTGAGGCAGGAGAATCACTTGAACCCGGGAGGCGGAGGTTGCGGTGAGCTGAGACTGTGCCGCAGCACTCCAGCCTGGGCAACAGAGCGAGACTCCATCTCAAAAATAAAAGAAAAAAAAAGTTCTCCAAATGTAGATTATTGACCACGAAGCATACTTCTTCCTGACAAATAGCTACATAAACAATAACTTAAACCCTACTATAATCTTTCCTGTATTTTGTGTGTGTGTGTGTGTGTGTGTTTGTGTGTGTGTGTGTGTGTATTATACAATACCCGCCTGTGTGATATAAAACAAATTTCATTATATGCAGAGGATGTTATTCAGCAAGTAACACAACCTCTTTGGACTTCATTTTCACCCATGTAAAATGAGAGAAACAAACTTAGAGTGTTGTGATGATTAGAGTTAATTTACTTTAAGTTTCTGTCATCTACTGGGTAGGCTGTCACAAAATTCTATCCTTATCTGTAAGTAAGAAATGTCTGACTTAAATTCTGTTGCTGATCTATGGAGCTGGGTGGGAGAAGGTTAACCTTTATTGTATATTCATTGCATTGAATGTCTTGGAACAAGTTCCTCTGTAAGAAATCCTTCTATAATCTCAAACTCAGAAATGAGTCCAATTATTCCATTCATTATCAAACATGAATATGCCTCCATCCAAGACTGATCCTTTTAGTAATACACTCAAGTAAAATGTTATATACTGATCTTCCTTGGGGAAGGGTGTAGAGTTTCAAACTACCAAGTGATTTTTAGCATTTGGTCTTGATTTCTCACAATGTCTTAATGACAGAAGGAGAATGACAGAAGGGGAAAAAATGTTTCTTTTCTTTTGTTGTTTCATTAGAAGCAAGTAATACCATGAAAAAATGTTTCAAATCTTCCTCTTAAATATTTACCAAAACACCTACATGATTGATGTTCTCTGAACGTCTCTGAATGTATCTGAATGTCTGAATGTATCTCTGAAATGATTAACTGCTACTTCTCAGGAATTCACAGATGGGCTCAGAAGGTGATGATGGGTGCATGAGACAAATTCTAAAAATGAATACATAGATATTATCCCATGAACACAGAAAATATATTTTGATAATAAGTGATATTTTATGTACCACTTATAAGTTCCAGGTGTCCCAAACAGAAACTGATATAATGCATAAACTTATTTGGAGGAATATATAGTTCATACGACAGCATTTGGTTGATTTATTAAGGCACCTAGGTAAAGTCACATGCAAATTCTTGTCAAGAAAGGAAACACCATAATCTTTAAGACCATCACTTAGAAATAAAAATAAATTATATAAGGGATGCTATTTGGGCAAAGGGTTAAGGCTATAAATTTGAATATGTGGCTAATATTTCTTAAATTATTTTTCTCTAGGCACAACTGTAATGCCTTCTGCATTGAGACATGTCTACAATAAACATGGTCCAACTGGATTACCAACTGCACCATAGACACAGTACCTGAATTAAATAGCAGAAGATAAGAGACTTGAATATTTGTAGCCTTTGAACATATTCTTCTGAGATAGGACATTCTTTGTTCCCTAAACTTGTATGGGACATTAGAGTTTCCTACCCAGTATGTCCCAGTGCTCAAACTATTTTTTATTATCTTCAGAGTTTTTCTTTCTGTCTTAATTAAAAGAGTAGTTTTTACAGAGCTACAGAATAAATAAAACTCTGACGTATTTTCACATTCACACGTTGAACATTTCATGTACGTTTGACAGTTCAATATTAAACCTAAATTCCCTTCCCCCACCATAAATTATGAAGCATATATTGCCATCTAGCGTCCTTCTGAAATGACACTTCTGCCAAGATTATGAAATAAAACATGTTCAGCCAGACAAAGGAGATGTAAAACTTTTGCAAGGGGATATCTTGGATTTGTATGTTTCAAAAATATTTTTGCTGAAACTCACAGAATGATCCAACGAAAGTGTCGTAAGATCAGTGTCTTCATCATCTCACTGAAAGATAGAGAGTTCCAGATTTGGTTACTTAGGAAGCATAGTGATGTCAACTATGATTCAGGTGCTTCTCTTTCCACTCAAATCTTGAGCACGTTGGCTTAAATCCTCAGGCTAACGCCCTCATAATCACCAAATGCTGCTACTCCTCCATGTATCATATTTTTGCCTAATCATACCTGAGGGAAGAAAGTGGGCAATCCCCTTGTATATGTCTTTGCCAGACAGTCTTCCATCCTCACAATTGTACCTTTTCCCTTAGGTCTGACTGCATGGATTAGATCACTGTTTATGCCCTAAAGCCAAGGAAATCTGAGCAAGCAAATGCACAATCTGGAATTTTCCATCTATCATAAGCGCTTATTAAAGAAGAAGTAGAGGTTAATCACCCATGTTGGAAAGAGTAAAAATGACAAAAGAGAGAAAGAAACAGTTTCAAGTGGCCTAGGTAATGAGCTTTACTTTTCGTATTTCAACATTCCATAGAAAGGGTCCTGGACATATTACTGAGATGTGTACACTGGGGAAAGGGTGCGTACTGAGAAAAAGAGAAAGGTACAAAATGAGATAGACCTAGAAGGATCCCCACAAAAGCATTTCTATGATGGAATATTGCATTTGGCCAAGAATAAAAAAAATGATCCTGAAACATTCAAAGGACATGAATTACTGGGACTCTGCAAAAGGCCAAGTGAACTGCAACATGAGAGTCCATGCAGTGTCCATTTCTCATGGGTATGCCTGATTTAATACACAGAAAACTCAGCAGTGAAAGAGACCTTGGATGCAGCTCACAATCTGCATGGCAACTTGGCAGGTACCAGGAAGTTCTGAATTCCTAATCTTGCACTGTGTGTCCTACATGTAAGACACACAAAAAAGGGGCTTTGGCACTGGCATTCAGATGGTCAGTCTATACATGTGAAAATTGAGGCCTGAAGAAATCAACAGGGTTTCTGTCAAAGATTAGCATTAGCGGCCAGGCACAGTGGCTCACGCCTGTAATCCCAGTAATTTGGGAGGCCGAGGCAGGTGGATCACCTGAGGTCAGGAGTTCAAGACCAGCCTGGGCAACATGGTGAAACACCATCTCTACTAAAAATACAAAAAAAGTAGCTGGGCATGGTGGCACGTGCCTATATTCACAGCTACTTGGGAGGTTGAGGCAGGAGAATCGCTTGAACCTGGGAGGTGGAGGTTGCAGTGAGCCGAGATTGTGCCATTGCACTCCAGGCTGGGTGACAGAGCAAGACTCTGTCTCAAAAAAAAAAAAAAGATTAGCATTAGCTTATTTTTCAAAAGTAGTTGTTCTGTATTTCTGTATTCATGCATTTAGTGTTTTATTCCAATGACTGAAAGTAGTGTTTATCTAAATTTCTTCTATTTACACTATGCTCTGGGGACTGGAAATGTCTTGGGATAGTTTAGAATTTGAAAAGGTACTCAGACATATTTTGACATAAAACAATCACATAATCATACAGTATCATTCTGAATGAAAACAGTGGTAACAAACACCAATTCTCTTATGTGATATAGAACAAAACTTCAGCCTTGAGAAAGGCATTAACTCATCCAGTGTCCCTTGGTGATAAAATAGAGCTGCTGGGTTTAAAATTTAGGTATTTTAATTCCAATCCAGCACTCTGTTCACTACGTTGTCTCCAAAATTGTACAGGATATTTGTTAAGAGTTTGGGATTTGGAGACAGACTTGCATATGAATACTCAGTCTGCCACTCAGTGTCTGTTGATTTAAAATGACAAATTTAATGTCTCTGAGATGTGGGTCCATCATCTGTCAAATATGAATGTAAATAAAAACTATCTTGTAGGAAATTTGAGAAAATAAAATGCAGTCTCTATAATATGGCATTGGAAGCCCACGCGTATGGTGCTTCCAAATGTTAACGTTAGTCATTAGCTCTGTCAGGACTCTATTTTCAGGAGTTGTGTGTGGCCCTTGGGGATTCTATGGGAATTTAGGGCCTATCTAATTTAATCCATAACCATTATACCGAAGTCCTGTGGCTCAGTGTAAAAGTATGATTATGTAGCCCAACCGTGTGGATGCCTATATTAGTGGTGCCATTTTTTATTTTTACAGATTGCAAAAGTAACTTCGAGCAAGTGATTTAACCTCTCTTTGCCTCAGATTCTGGAACTCTCAAATGAGTATTATAAAAGTATCTATTCCATAGGGTTTTTGCAGGGATTACATGAGTTAATAATGTATAGAGTTTAGAACAGTGCTTGGCAAGTGGTAGGTTCTATATAAGTACTATTTTTGCTTTTTGTAGTTAATATTATAATCAATTATGAAACTATCTCATTGGCATCTTCACCCTAATTCCAGAATGGACATTCTAAATTGCAATTTCTATTAAAACAAAACAAAGCAAAACACTCAAACCTTCATGGATGAGCAACTCTTTTTAGTTCTAGGAGCCTCCAGTCCCTACAATGGCACACACTGTGTAATAGGGGAATGGTAGCACGGCACGGTCTGTCCTGGGAAGCCTCCTCAACAACCTGCGATCCTCTGCCCACAAGCACTGTTGATCTCAGCTGTATCAGACACATCATTGCTTTGGTTCCTCCTTCATACACAGCAGCCCTGGATCAGACAAGTGTCCAGATTCCAGAAAGCCTAGATATCAGCTGAGGAAGTACAAACTATTCTAAGACAGAAAGAAACATCTGTAGTCGTCAGCTGGTTCATTTAAATACACAATAAAGTATCCCAGAAAGACTTGTAGTGAGGCTTAACCTTGAAGAATTAGAAACTTTAAACTATTCCACATTAGAGGGTAGGAAAAAATACTGCCCACCTTTTCTTACAAGCCACACTGGGCGTGGTGGCTCAGATCTGTAATCCCAGCACTTTGGGAGGCCGAGGCAGGTGAATCACTTGAGGTCTGAAGTTCAAGACCAGCTGGCTCAACATGGTAAAACCCTGTCTCTACTAAAAATACAAAAATTAGCTGGGCGTGGTGGCACACATCTGTAATCCCAGGTACTCTGGAGGCTGAGGCAGGAGAATCGCTTGAACCTGGGAGGCAGAGGTTGCAGTCAGCCGAGATCGTGCCACTGCACTCCAGTCTAGGCAAGAGAGAAAGACTCTGCCAAAAAAACAAACAAAGAAACAAAAAGAAAACACCACACTAGCAAGACTTTATGTCTGAAGTGCTCATTTTCTCACTTTAAAACAATGCATAAAATCCATTATAAGCTGATTATACTTCTACATTAAGAAATGAGGCACCACTATAATTTTTTTCCAAGTTCTTCTCTGCCTAAAGGTCAGTGTGGTCAGGGGTGGTATTAGATAGTGAACCTCAGATGACAGAAGTCATACTTGGCATCCTGAGTTACAGCTGCCAGATGAGTGCAAACATGCTTCCATCTGTAGACGCTGACATTTCCCATCCTGCTGTAGAATTTTCATATCTAGGTTATTGTGAAATGAAAGTTGAGTCCCTCTTGATTTTCAGGCCTTTGAAACTAAAACTACCAGAAGACTCTTTCTTCTTTCTTTTTTTAATGGACAAACTTGGCCCACTTCCTGTTTTCTTTTAAATAAAGTTTTGTTGAAACATATTCACATTCATTTGCTAATGACTGCTTCTACAACAGCAGAACTGAATAGCTGTGACAGAGACTATCTAGCATGAAAACACTAAAATACCTGTTCACTTAAGAAAAGAGTTTACTAGCCCCTGTTTTAAAAAGGCTAGCATGCCTTTCATCCAAAAGTTCCAGTTCTAGGAATATATATTAAGGGATAGAAGTAAAATATAAATTCTAGACATATACACTAAGTGGGTAAGTGAAAAAGAAGGATATAGACAGTGAGATGTTTATTGCCATGCTGTACACAACAGCAAAATATTTGAAATAAATCTAAAGTGCATCAAAAATAAATTATAAATATTAATACATATAAGATGTATAAGGTACATAAAAATAGTGAATGTTATAAAACTGTTTATTGCCATGCTGTACACAACAGCAAAATATTTGAAATAAATCTAAAGTGCATCAAAAATAAATTATAAATATTAATACATATAAGATGTATAAGGTACATAAAAATAGTGAATGTTATAAAACTGTTGAAAAGGATAAGATATACCTATTCAGTTTGACACAGAAATAGATGAGCAACAATGATAATAATAATCACACTTTTATTCAGTGATTAACATGGGCCAGATACTGTATTAATCCTTTTTTATCTACTATTATCTTCAATTCATAGAAGAAAATATTGAGGTTTGGAAAGAGTGTATTGTTGTTCAAATCACACAACTGACAAATGACAAAGCTGACATCTGAACCAAGATTCGCCTCTTTGCTCAACTTCAAAGGAAGAGGCAGAGAAAGAGAGAAGAAGCCAGTGCACACTAGCTGTTAACAGATTGCAGGTCAAAAAAGAAGCACTGGACACTTCAATTTACTCTCTATTGCTATAAAAAATGGCTTAAATACTTAAACATAAGACCTAACACCATAAAAACCCTAGAAGAAAATCTAGGCAATACCATTCAGGACATAGGCATGGGCAAAACTTTATGACTAAAACTCCAAAAGCAATGGCAACAAAAGCCAAAATTGACAAATGGGATCTAATTAAAATAAAGAGCTTCTGCACAGCAAAAGAAACTACCATCAGAGTGAACAGACAACCTATAGGATGGGAGAAAATTTTTGCAATTTATCTATCTGACAAAGGGCTAATATCCAGAATCTACAAAGAACTTAAATTTACAAGTAAAAAACAACCCCATCTAAAAGTGGGTGAAGGATATGAACAGACACTTCTCAAAAGAAGACATTTATGCAGCCAACAAACATGAAAAAAAGCTAATCATCACTGGTCATTAGAGAAATGCAAATCAAAACCACAATGAGATACCATCTCACGCCAGTTAGAATGGCCATGATTAAAAAGTCAGGAAACAACAGATACTGGAGAGGATGTGGAGAAATAGGAACGCTTTTACAATGTTGCTGGGAATGCAAATTATTTCAACCGTTGTGGAAGACGGTGTGGTGATTCCTCAAGGATCTAGACCCAGAAATACCATTTAACCCAGCAATCCCATTACTGGGTATATACCCAGAGAATTATAAATCATTCTACTATAAAGACACATGTGCACATATGTTTATTGCGGCACTGTTCACAATGGCAAAGACTTGGAACCAAACAAAATGCCCATCAATGATAGACTAGATAAAGAAAACGTGGCACATATACACCATGGAATACTATGCAGCCACAAAAAAAGGATGAGTTCATGTCTTTGCAAGGACATGGAAGAAGCTGGAAACCATCATTCTAAGCAAACCAACACAAGAACAGAAAACCAAACACCGCATGTTCTCACGCATAAGTCGGAGTTGAACAATAAGAACACATGGATGCAGGGAGGGAACATCACACATTGGGGCCTGTCAGGGGGTGGGGGGCAAGGGGAGGGAGAGCATTAGGAGAAATACCTAATGTAGATGACGGGTTGATGGGTGTGACAAACCACCATAGCACGTGTATACCTATGTAACAACCCTACACATTCTGCACATGTACCCCAGAATTTAAAGTATGATTTAAAAAAAGAACACTTCCCCCCCGAACCAATTGAGAGTAAGTTGCTGAACTGATATCCCCTTACTCATACATACAGCCATCTTATTCCAATAAACAAAAAATATATGATTTTCTGCATAATTACAAACAATGATCACCATTAAAGCCATAAATTAATGTTGATGCATTACTGCCATATAGTACTCAGATATCAATGCTCCCAATAATGACTTTATGACAAAAGGATCCCGTTCAGAATCATTCGTCATATTTTATCGTCATGTCTGTTTAGTCTTCTTCATTTTTGGAACATTTCCTTTCTTTCTTTGACTTCCATAACTTTGACACTTTTGATAATTGCAGGCCAGATATTTTGTAAAATATATATCCCTTGTGGGTCTGCCTGCTGTTCCCTCATGATTAGATTATATGCATGTTTGGTTCTTTGTCCTTTCCCTTTAATCTTATCATGCAGTGGATGATTTCAATTTGTCCCATTACTGATAATGTTCACTTCCTCATTACAAATGATGATGTTGATTAAGTAGTGCTTCTCCACTCTGAAGTTCCTCTTTTTTTCTTAAGTATTTTGTTTCAGAAGGGTCACTTTCAAACTATTCAAAGATTCTTTTCCTCTTCAAATTTACTTATTTATTCATTTATTTAAACATGGTTAGACTGATGGTTTCCTATTTTATTCAATGGGTTATAATGTGTTACTAGTATTACTTATTTTGATGCTCAAATTATGCTCAATTTGGCACAGAGAACTTCTCCTAACTGGCTTCTGTGTCTTTTTGATACATTCCATCATTATTTATTTATTTACTTTCTGGCACACACGCACAAAAATATTCCTGGTTCCCATAGTGAAAAATGTATTTAGAAGATAAGATACGGGCAGAAGGAGTGCTCCTATTTTTAAAAACACTTTACTGAGGTATGATTGACATATAAAAACCTGTACATTTCAATGCTTACAACTTGATGACTTTAGAAATGTGTAAACTCATAAAATCATCCCTACAATCTATGTCATAAACCTATCCATCACCTCTAAAAGTTTCCTATTCTTTTTTAATTATTATTATTTATGTGTGTATTTGTGTACTTGTGTGTAATAAGAACACTCAATGTAAGATCTTACTGCTATAACTGCTCTGAGGCCCTTTCAATTAATAGAGCAAACAAATAAAGGAAACCAAACAACACACATACTGCTATGGTTTAAATATAGTGCCTTCTGTAAAACTCGTGTTGAAACCTAACCACCAAGATGAAGGTATTGGAAGGCAGGGCCTCTGGGAAGTGAATGGGTAAAGAAAGACCCACCCTCATGAATAGAATAATGTTGCTATGAAAAGGGCTTGCAGGACCTAGTCCATTTTTCTCCATTCATCTGCCCTGTGTGGACACAGCAAGGCCCTCACCATCCCCTCCCACTTGATCTTTGGCTTCTCAGTCTTCAGAACTGTGAGAAATACATTACTATTTTTTTTAATTACTTAGTCTGTGCTATCTTGGTACAGTAGCACAAATGAACTAAGAAACACACACACCCTTCCTTGAAGTCATACTGATACTTCAAATTCCAATCTACCAAAACTGAAAAGATTCCTTTTAGTTTTTACACTTTTAACATTTGATCTCCCTTCTCTAACAGTGAGAAACTGGGCTCTCGTTATCCTTAATTTATTGTTCTTCCTTTCCTTCTATCCCTTTGCACATAGCCAATATTTCTTCTTTGCAAAGCCCCACCTTACCTGTCTTTGGTTCCAACATGCTATGTGGGCCACCCTTTGACAGGAAAGCCCTCAATCCTCACCCCTCACCCCATTTCATAACCAATACTCCAAGCTGGGCCTGTCTCACCACCATTGCATGCATGTCCCCCTCACCTATTCCAAGCTGTTCCCACTTGTGTGTCTTACTCACCCTGCACAGAACGAGGTGAGGTGCTCCTCATCCCTGCACTACGCCCCTGCAGCTTCCCTTTCCTCCCAGGACAGCCACTTATCTTTTTTATTATGCCCAATTAAATGGCTTCAGGAATTAATTGTTCAAGAAGAGAAGAGTAAAGAAAGGAAGGGAAGGAAAAAGAGTGGGAAGAGAAGGAACAAAGCAAGATAAAATTTAATACCATGCAGTATAACTCAAAGTGGGGAAGAGAGAGTGAGGCAATATATCCATGAAACAGATCTTTTCCAAGGACTAAGAAAATGAGAATGACATGGAGCGAGCAATCCAGAAAGATAACAATGCAGCAGTGTCAATGGCTAATGAAACACTCACTACAAATAAAGAGATGATTAAGGAAAACAGAATCTCTGGGCTTAGTGAAAGAAAAATATTTCTTATTCACAGTAGATTTTTGATAGCTTTGAAAATAGTGATATCTCCCTTATAGATACTGTGCGTTATAAATATGGGGCCTATAAAAATCTTGGATTTTCCAAGACAGTCACAATTATAGATAATTTTATTCTTTTCCATTAGGCCGCTTTGATAAAAGCACAACTGAATCCATTTTTAACGGTTGGTAAGCCTGTGTTGTGTGTTTGTGTGTGTGTTGTGTGTGTGTGTATGTGTGTGTTGTATGTATTTATACATATTCATACATCAGAACAAAATTTTTATCAAGTGAGATGATCCTATTGTTATGGTTTGGAAAATAAGATCATTGTAACCACATTATTTTTATTTAACAATTGACTTTTTAGAATGATTGCACAAATATGGGAAAAATCTAATTATCCAATATTTTCTGAATTACTCAGTATCTACATCTAAATCTCACTTTCTACTCCATGTTGACCTCACGATAGGAATGCAAAGAACCCATGCTACCTCTGCAGTAATTCATATTGTTATTATAAAACAATAATTACCCTTCTGCATTAAACTTTGTGGTAAGTAGTTTGCATGTATTCTGTCAAGCAATATACAGCTCTAGAATATATGTACTCTCATTTCCACTTATAAAACAAGAAACTCATGTAGTCAGTTATGTAACTTTAAAAAAAAAAAAGCTTTTAAGCAGAGCAAGGAATTCATAGTCTGGCTGGCTGACTGAGCACTTCTGATTGAACCAGCATAGAACACTACCTCACCATGCTGCCAAAAGAAAATAAGGAATTTATTTATAAATATTTCATGCCATCAGGAGCAAATGCCATAGCAAAGAAAACAAGACTTCCCTGAAGCTTGCCAGGATATTCATCTCTTATTTTGAAAGAGAAATTGGAGGCATTTTGGGGTTATATCTGGGGACTTGGAATCACAACAATGCATAGTGGTTAGAATGTAGCTGTGGCAGCAAATAGACAGGCTCAAAGCCCAGCTCAGCAACTTACTTGGGACCTCAAGTGAGTTATTAAATTTCCCTGTGCCTCATTTTTCTCATCCATAAATGGGAATGGTAATGAATATCTCCTTTATTCTAAATGAAATAATACATAAAGTACTAAGTGTGTGCCTGGCATATGGTAAGTGCTCAATAAGTATCATTAATTTTTGTTACTATTGCTGTTGATGATGATGCTATTATTTCATAGCCTCTAGCTGTGCCTTACATGTGCTGCTTTTTTTCTATCTTAATTAACATCAGTCTTAAAAAAAGTGAAACTTGAGAAATGACAATCCTTGATAAGAATAACTCAACCCTAATTATGAGAGCTTATAAAATTCTATTGCGTATATTCAATCAAGCCAATTAATGTGCAAATACACCAAGAGCACCTCCTATGTGCTAGATGCCATCTTAGGCATTAAAGATCCAGTAAGGAAAGATAAATAGGTCCTTTGCCTTCACAGAACTCTCAGTCTCAGTCATTCTTTCGTGTGCTTCATGCCATTAGTAACTTAAAAAAAAAAGTGAGCTGTAGTGTCTGTTCTCTTGCATGCATAGAGACATAGAGACATAAAAATCATACCTAATGAGGTTAGAAACAGATGTGATGATAAGCCACAATAACAATGAATCTTAAGCACAACGGTCCTGAGCTGGATCCAAAATCAAGGCTGAGAGGGTTTCTGCTTCTGGAACAGCTCCTTGAAAAGAAATAAAAAACAACAGCCAAAACAAAATACATAAGAATTCAGTCTGAAAACCAGAGGCAATAAGAGGGCACTCCTTTTGTTAGTGTCCCACTTGTGTTTGTTATTAGAAAAAGTTCAAATCCACTGGGAGTATCAACATATACGATGACCATCTTAACACATGCCTTGCAGTTTAAAGAATAAAACATCATCTATCAATTAAAGCCTTCTCAATATCTATGATTATCACAGATGTATGGATCTGATCACTTCCCTAATGAGGTATAACTTAACTTCTTCAGGATCTTCATGGGTGAGCTCATTTAAGCACATCAAGCTTGTAAATGGCCAACCACTTACCAAAATAAATGCTTTCTAGTGAAGCAAAATAACTTTACATGAGCGAAAATGGTGCTCATTGTCTGCCTTTGAAGTAATTCTAAAGCTCAGAATCAAGCCAAGCTCACCTACTTGATAGCAGGCAAAATGCCAGACACACTCACTAACTTTGGTTGATTTCATTTTCCCCAAGTCTTATAATTTTCTTCTTTGGACAGCTAAGAAAACCACATCTCCATGAGATGGCCCTTGGGCACCTGGGTGAGTGCGAGAGCTGCTGGTCACACTCAGTCCGCCGGGCTGCAAGTCACTGCTGTCTCTGTCCTCATCACCATCTGTCCACGGTGCTTTGAAAGTTTAGGCTTCATGGATATTTTAAACAAACCTCCAGGCGGAACTGGCTTTGCCTCATACTGTCTTTAAGGCTTAATTTCCTCATCTGCAGAATAGAGGTGAGGTTAACATCCATGTTTTAGGATGTTTTGCTAAAAATATTAAATAATTCATTTAAAGTGCTTAGCACAGTGCCTAATACATAGTAGATGCTCAGTAAATAGTAGGTGCTACTGTTCTTTCCCGTGGGAAGAATAAAAGGTTGTTTGAAAACTCAAAAGAAAACTGCACAGTGCTAATCCTTAGATTCTACCAGGCAAGTGAATGAATTTGCTCAGGAGGGGATCAACACGGACACTGGGTGTGGGAGCTGCTCAGAGAGCACTGGCCATCTGTAAGAAATGCCGTATTTATGCATGTGTTCCACCCACAGAAGACCATTCTGGAGTAACCGTGAACCAACCTCTGACACCATGGCTTTCTCATTTCACTACCACAGCTCAGCATGTCTGTGCCTCTTCCCACACAGGGCAAATCACATTCTGCTTCAAATGACTATGGCTAGAACCACGGAGAAACCTGTGACTCCCACAGAGGGAGTTTCAGTGGAGGGATTAGAGTGACTTCATCAACAGCATTGTCCCTGGGTTACAGACTCAGTTAAAAGATGGGAGTTTCTTTAGCTCTTGTCAAAGAAGCAACACACTTCACACTGTTAAGAGGGGTGAATCTAATTCCTTACTATTTTCTAAAGAAACTCCTTTAATGCCTCAGCTAAGGGAGTTTTTGAAAAGTAGACTATTTCAGGGACGCATGTTGGTGATGGCTTTGTCATCCTAAAGCAAAAATGGCTTTGGTGTGAAAAACTCACAAACTATTTGAAACTGGTATTTTAAATATAAAAAAAAAAGAAGAAGGAAAGGTAGAAGGAGGAAGAAAAATAAAGAGGAGGAGGAGGAGAAGCAGGAGGAAAGAAAGAAAATGCACTATTTCCTGGCAGACTACAGCTATTGTGGTTGTCTCGGGTTTGCTATAACATAATGTGTTTGCAAAGGAAATTGCTGAGAGGAAAGTTTTCCAGATTGAGATTCAATTCTGAGGATTTTATTTTGTCTTCCCTGAAGGGGCTTTGGTGTGTTCTTAAAAATCAGCTTGTAGAGAGTCTTTTGCAGACTCACCAATATGTGTGCCAATCTTTTTTTTTTTTAATTAACTCAGTGACATTTTTACAAGAAGCATGAAAAACTCTATATAGAAAGAGCCAACTTTCACAAACCCCACAGGCCTTTCCTTCAGCCAAGAACCATCTTGGCATGAGCAGGAGTGTTTGATGGAGACGGGTTTGAAGGATTCTTTCATGTGGGAAGTACAGAGAGATGCATCAGCACATCCATGACCTTTTCCTCTGACACACTTTGATGCAATCTGATTCATATTCTGACTTTGCAAGAGACTTCTTTGAATTTTCCATCACGATGGGTGGACCATAACCCATTTGCTGGAACCGCAGGCCACTGATGACCCCTGAGTTACCTCAAGAGAAAGCAATTTTATTCCTGTACTCATGAGTGAGGGTTGGCTGAGCTTCTGTACCTGTACACTAAGGGATTTCTTAGCATGAATGACAAAGCTTAAGGCCCACGTTTCCACAATAACCCAGCCTGCTACTCCACCGTTGTTCCACATGCACAGCCCAGCTGGGCTGTTATTTTCTTTGCTTCTTGAGCCTGTGGAACCCATTGTGCCCTCAGATTCTTCATACACTCTCGTCCTCCCTGAATACTCCCTCTCTTACTCCATTAACTTCACCAAGCTGTCCCCGACTTTTATAAAACTGGCCCTTTCTTCACCTTCAACCAAAATTTTACTTCTTCCTTGAGAATGCCCCCCTATTTCAATATATCTAAGCCTTTTAAAATTCCCTTTTGTGTAGCCTATACAATTTCCAATAAAGATTTCACAAATCCTCTATAAATACTCCTTGTAATGGGGAGCTCTCTACTATACAAGGAGGACTATTCTGTTTTGACCAGATTTTAACACTAAAAAGTGATTCTTGATCAAAAAAGGCATTTATACAGAGACTATAGGGTATATGACCTAGATGAAAATGCAGAAGGGTGTTAATTCTAGACAAAAAGAGCATATGCAAGGGTCCTGAGATGGGAAAAAACAAAAACAAAGATTTAAAAAAAAAAAAAAAAAACACCACTCTGGAAGAATGTGAGGAGCACTGGCATTCCTACAGTGAAGAAAGTGAGGTGGATAATTTGGCAGATATGTTATATCCATATTAATTTTTTAAATTTATTTCTACATTAAAAAGACAGCAGAAAAAGATGAAATTAGACTTTTTTCATTTTTAGAAAAAGTTTCTGTAACTTGGTGACAGTTGAATTGTAAAGGGGAAGAATGGAAGTAAGGAGAGAAGTCAGAAAGTGAGTGCTAGGCTCAACCTTAGAATCACCCCTCCGGTGTGATCCTTCCCACCAAGCCCAACTATTCTGCCCTAGTTCAGGCTCTCACACCATCTTTACTCATCGAGCACACTGGTCTATGATTCCCCATTTCACAACTGATTTCCCAGGTTCCAAAGTGTGTGATGTGTATGTGTGCCCCCTCATTCCCATCACCAATAAACTCATGGGAAGTTCTGGAGGAGATCTACAGTAAAATCCTGGAGGTGATCTGTGGTAAAATCCTGGAGGTGATCTACAGCAAAATCCTGGAGGTGGTGTCTACCAGCTTTGTGGTCACAGGCAAGCTGCTTTTCTCCCCTGCCTCAGATCCATCATCAGCAAAATGAGAATCATGTTGTCTACTTTGCAGGATTATTCTAGTCCATTAATGTTATGACATCCATAAAGAAACTTTTATAAGGCTTAGAACATAATAAGCAGGGGCTCTTATAATTTATTTTTTAATTCCTTTATAAAAAATAGATTGTAAAGCTCTTCTGATTAACAGGATTGCAGAGGATTAATTCCCTGACTTGAGACAGAAATTATTTTATATAGAAGCCACACATACCTCTCCAGATTACTCTGCTAATAGCTCTAATTCCCCATCTTGCCTCTACACTCCAGAAACACTGACATCCTCATTCTCCCTATGCCTCTTTACAACTCTGTATCTTTTGTACGTATTAATCTCTCTTTGTACAATGTCTGTCACTGTTTCTTCACCTGGAAAATTCTGATTTATCTTCAGGGCCTAGAAACAGTTACCCTTTTATGTGAAGGCTTCTTCAGTTATTTCAGAGACAACCACTTCCCTTGTCTGTACCCCCACAATACTTGGTTAATAACTCATGTTTCTTAACAAGGTGTTTGATCTTTTATCTATTTTCTGACTCCACTAGACTACAAACATTGTCAAGGCAGAAAAACAGTGACTATCCTCTACCACCACTACCTGAATAGATATTCCCACTGAGTAGTATATACCCATCAGGCTGAATATATACTCATGCTTATACAATCATAAATACTTTTGAGTACTTATATGAGCCAGCCCCTGTGCTTGACTCAAAGATGGGAATGAAACAGAAAAGACACTGGTTGGAAGAGACCCAATTAAACCATGTAGACTTAGAAGCTCTGAGTTATTACTAGCTTTAAACTCATCAGGAAATTTCCTCTTTGAGTCTCAGTTGCTTTATCATCGAAACAAAAGTATTAATGGCGCATCTCATAGAATGTATAAGGCACATACGTGAAATCAGATTGTAATTATAGCACACAAATTATACAGATATTAGTTGTTTTTGACATACTATCCTATATCTTTCTAGAGAGTACAATTTAATTGTGGTGCTGTAACATATAGAAAAAGTCAAATAGAATAACATATACACAAAAATATTCATTAAAATATAGCACCAAAATAGCACAATTGAAATACAATACATATAATTAAAAATACATGGAAATGTATATTTTATATATATATATATACAAAATATCTTAATACCCATATGCTGATTATAATTCAAGGTAATTTAAGATAGGTATGATGATGTAATGAGTTAATTTTTTTTTTCCAGAGACGGAGTCTTGCTCTGTCATCCAGGCTGGAGTGCAGTGGCATGATCTCAGCTCACTGCAACCTTCATCTCCTGGGTTCGAACAGTTCTCCTGCCTCAGCCTCCTGAGTAGCTAGGATTACAGGCTCCCACCACCATGCCTGGCTAATTTTTGTGTTTTTAGTAGAGATGGGGTTTCACCATGTTGGCCAGGCTGGTCTCAAACTCCTGACCTCGTGACCCACCCACCTCGGCCTCCCAAAGTGCTGGGATTACAGATGTGAGCCACCACCCCCGGTCGTAATGAGTTAATTCTATTAAAAATAAGACAGGAATAATCCCCATGAGTTAAGGTGGTTGAGGACATCATCATGGAAAAGCCATGACTTGAAGAACAGGTAGGATTCAAATGGAGTGAGAGGAGGCTGCTTGTGATTACTTGTGGGTCTCCAGGTACTGCAGAGTACCCAATGTAAATGATCTTTTTATTTACAGAGCACCAGTGTACATGCTCTGTTTGTCCAATTTATGCACAGTTATAGGGAGAAAAAGGATTGCTACAATTGTGTAATGACATAAGTTCACATCCCCAGAAAATTATAATTTGAGCAATGTCATTAAAAAACTTGAGATACAATTAAAAAGTACTTTTGAAAACAACACGGAGAACTCATAAAGAGGGTAGCTGGATAAGTTGAGAATTTAACTGGATCTGTATTTGCCAACTCCTGAATCCCTCCACATCCGCTCCTAATGTTCACCATCCACGTGCCCTTTGACTTGAAGGTGATTTATGACCCTCAATTATTTGGACTTGTCAGAATGCAATGCAGTGATTCTGCTCTCTGTCAGGGGTGATCCTACCCACTCTGAATAGTGATGGATTTTCTGATCAATTTAGCCAGCCATTTACACACACCTGGAAAGCCAAACCACTATGATGTTTAGCTGTGTTTTTCCTAAAGGGTCAAAATGTAATGAGCATCTAAACCAGGTTTCATCATAAGAAGCTGAGTGAGGTTTCTATCTGTAGTTTTAACGACAGTGTATATCTTCTAACTCCCTTTCCCCAGCCCTTGATTCACAACTAAGATTATTTCCAAATTCCTGCAATTCCCTACTCCCCAACTATAGACATGAAATTTTCTTTTATGTTGCTCTTTGATTGGACTGATATTCCAATACTTCATAAGATGTCTGTACACACAACAAAAGTATCCAGTACACCTGGGGTTTTACTTCTGCCTACAGAAATATTTTTTTTTTCCTGCAGAGTCAATGCCCTTGTCAATCACCCAGCCAGAGCCACAAATACAGGGAATAAATATGGATTTTAGAGAAAAAGAAATAAACAGAAGAACAACTCTAAAATAAAACCCTATTCAGGAAGAAAATCAAAAGAATATGTAGCTAGCATACCTATGCAAGAAGAGTGTCGAAAAGAAACTCTTAAAACAGAAAGGAATTGAAGAATCTTAAAACATTAGGAAGGAAGAAAGAAAAACAGAAAGTGCAAGATATGGGTAAATGTGATCTTGAGTTTTATCAATTATGTTGAGAAGCAAAACTTATAACATTTTTTGATGTGGTTGTCAATGTATTCATAAGAAATACTTAAGGTAATTATATTATAAACAGGGGAGGGTAAAGGAATTTAAGAGGAGATACTCTTTCTATACTCCGTAAAATGTCAATAACAGTAAACTATGATAAGGTATATAGATAAATTATATATATAGATAAATATATATCACCTAGAACATCTACTGAAAAATCTACCCAAGAAATATAGATAAATCAAATTTGAATTATTTTCCAGAAAATATCACGGCTGCCCACAACAAAGATGTAATTAGAAAACAAAGAAATGAATAACAGCGAGGGAAAAACAGAACCTCCCTCCCAAAAAAATATACACCACAAAGCAAAACATAAAATGGCAACATAAGCCTTAACATAGCAATAATTACATTAAATAAATATGGTCTCCACCTTCAAACAAAATTTTACTTCTTCCATGAGAATGTCCTCCTATGTCAATATATTTAAGCATTTTAAAATTCTCTTTTGTTTAGCCTATACAATTTCCAGTAAAGATTTCACACATCCTCTATAAATACTCCTAGTGACGGGGAGCTCTCTACTGCACAAGTAGGCCTATTCTGTTTTGACCAGATTTTAACATTAAAAAGTGATTCTTGATCAAAAAAGGCATTTATACGGAGACTATAGGATACACGACCTAGATGAAAATGTGGAAGGGTGTTAATTCTAGACAAAAAGGCAGAGATGGTCCAAGTTGATAAAAATACATGATAACTGTATGCTGCTACAAGAAATGCAGTTCAAATATAACTATAATAAATGTCACTTTATATTGCCTTGGCATGCATTCTGAGTATAGGGTTAACTGTCTCATACCAGAAGCAGGACTTCACTACTTTTGACATAGTTTCCAGTTCTTTAATTTCTCCTAGTTCCTCAATGTGGTAGATGCATAAATCTGCCCAATGCATCTTCCTCTCAGTAACCACCTCAACATGGGACTTATACATACAACATTTTTCTCAGTTATCTCTCTCCTAGAGAGTGGCTGTCTTGGTAGGAGTAAACTGGACACAGGTCAGACAAGAGTCACAAGGACATCACTCAGTATAGACAGGTTTCTTGTAAGAGGAATACCTGTTGAAGGTCAGGCACCTAGGCATTATGTCATCCACTAGGATTAAGAAGTATCCCGAGAAAAGCACAGTATAAACATCCATGACCACATCCCTTGGATTACTGTCAGGGAAGGGTAAGTTTATAGCTACTTTCAGGAGAGAAATATTAAGTTTGGATTAGAGGAAAATACAGCAATAACTATACATGTAAGTTGAAATTAGATGGTAGAAAAAGATTAAGAGCACATGTGTTAATATCAGATAAGGAGACTTCAGAGAATGAATTACTAGGGACAGAGAGGGACGTTACATCTTGATAGAAGTTTCAATCCAACGAGAACCCCACGTAATTCTTAATGAGTACTAACTAAAAAACACAGCTGCAGAATATGAGAAACAAACACTATAGAACTGAAACGAGAAATAGACAAATCCATAATTATAGGTAGAGTTCAATACTCCTCTCTAAACAATTGATAGAACAACTGACTAGCCAGTGTAGAGATGAACTCAGCAAGTGGCTATGCCACTTGTTTTGATCTGTAAGACAGGAATGATAATGATAATACTTATATCCTGCTTAATTTTTGTAAAGATAAAACAATGTATTTTTGTAAACAGCTTAGAAATATAACCCACATATAATAAGCCCTCAAATATAACAACCTATTGGTACATGGAAATCATGTATTTAAAATATAGTAAATAAACCAACACCCCAAAAGGAAAATGGGCAACGACATAAGTAATCAAATCATAGTTGAAGAAATGTCATTATTGAAACATACAGCCTCATTATTAAGTGTTTTCAAAATAAAAGAAACAATGAGAAAGAAACTCTTTTGGAAACAACTCTAATCACATCTCACGGGTTTTGCTGTTTCTATATTTGCCTCAATTTAATTAAAGCAACATACGACAAGCCTTGTTTTCAAAGAATCAGGAAAATTGTATAACTAGGTTTAAAAAATTCATTCTACCATTTAAATACAAGGAAATTGACAAACATTTTTCCTTAATTTGTTTCTTCCCTGGACACAGCTGATTACAAAGTCATAACTAGTGCTAGCACCTTGATACTGTTAAAGAATTAATAAATTATCAGTCTCAAATTGGGCCAAGGTCTATGGACACATTGTCCCCATAATGAAGACTCCTCTACTTACTGATTCTATTTTAGCCTCAACCCAGTTTGTTGCTACTTCCTTAAGGTAAATAACTTCTTATGAGAGGAAAAGATCCTGATTTAATAGGTCACTGAAAATGAGACATTTTAAGCCCAAGGCAGGAATTACAATAAATAAAATTAATAGCTAACATAGTTAAACATTCTTCCTTAGCCAGGCAGCTTACTATGTCCTATGTGTGTGTTATCTCATTTTATCAGCACAACTACTCCTGTGTATTTTCTAGTTTCATATCCCCACTCAGTCCTTACATTCTAAGCACATCAGATTACTCTAACTTCTTATATACCTTATTTGTTCCCATCACAGGTCCCTTGAATATGCTGTTCCCTATATACAGAACTCCCCATCCCATAATCCTTCCTTACCTACCAAATTCCTGATCATTCTTTACATTCCCTTTGAAATATCAGATAAAATTAGGTCCAACAAGTTCAATATCCATGTGAAACAGCTCTGTTGTCTGGGGTATATACCCCGGCTATTGGTCTCAGTCAAGAAAGAATTCAGGAGACAAACACACATGAGGAGTGGGTTTAGGAGTGGAAAATTTAATAGAAATAGAAGAAAAGAGAGAGAAAAATTTTCCTTGTGCTGAGAAAGTGTGTCGCCCAAAAGAGGGTCTCTGGTTTGCAGTGGAATGCAATCAGTTTTGTACAGAGGCTTGAGGAAATGGTGATTGATTTACATAGGGCTCAGGGGATTGGTTTGACCAGGAGTGCCATTAACATAGCCCGAAAAAGACTGGTCCTCCCACTCTAGTCTTTTATTATGCCAATGCAGCCTCCACCTGGTGGTAGCCCCACTGGTAAGAAGTTTGTACCCTTTTGCCGGCACGTCAGCCTTCTGGTTTCCTTTCCCTTAGCTCACCTCTAAGCAAAGCATTTTAAGGTTTGGGAAAATTAACTTTTCCTAGTTTGGAGGAACATTATAAAAGAGCCATTTTAAACCGTGAAAGAAGGAAAAACACCATAGAAAAGTCTGGGGGTTCCAATTAGGGTTGTCAGGAGGTATTGCCTCTCTTCCTATGTGGAATGATGTTTCCCCTGTTGCTTTGCCCTCCCTATTTTCTCTTTTCCTTTTAGGCCTACGATAAGAGACATATTGCCACATAAGCCTTCTGAGTTTGATATTATTCACTTTCTGATTGGGGGAAACTAGTAAGTATCATAACTCCTCTGAAATGTTTAGACAAATATCTTTTCTGTAATTTCTATACAGTTTTTTAAAATTTGTTTATTTACATCATGGATATAGTTTGAAATATATATTTGTTGCTGGGGACACACACAGCTATCTAAATGTGGCTCCATTATCACAATGATTTGCTGGTATGTAAATGTACCAACTATTAATAACTCCTATAAAAATGGCAATGTCACCCATTTCTGTGACCATGTCTTTTTCTATCCCTACCCCTCAGCTGTACTTGCCTAAGTAAACATTCTCTCTTCTCATGGTTCTGTTTAAGGCATACATTTCTTATGTAGACATAAGGGTTCATTGTTGTAACTTGACTTCTCCATCACTGCCCTAATGAGATAATGTGTTTACTTTTATAATAATAAGCATTACCTTAAAATGGATCATAAGTAGGCTATTTGCATATGTCTGTACCCAATATTTTATCTGAAACCAAAAGATAAAGTATCTTTTTGCTTCATATCATCTACTTTCTATTTTCTTCAATATTCATGGTATTTAAAAGAAGTCATAATAATTTGTACTAAATTCTTACAAGAAAACTGCAAACAGAAATTGATTAGTCTTGCAATAAATTTTTCAGGTAACAAATTGTTGTTCTTCCAGTACACTCACACATGTTAAGAATGATCAACCCTCTTTTCTTGTGGATAGTTTTCACTTCATTATACTAATACTGTTGTGTTTTCTCTTTATCTGTATCTTACGCACAATGCAGGAAATAATAGATAATTGGTGGACCAATAATGTAATCTATTATCAGGTTGAGAATTTCTAGGACAGGGTGAAAAACTAGTGTTGCAAGACAGAACATAAAATTCAATCTCCCTGATAACATTATTTAAAGGTGAAGGTAGAAATAGCCATCAGCTATTGGAGGCAATTAGATATAATTATAATAACTTCTGCATCTGCCCATGATAAACAATCTCGTATTGACTAATCTTCCTACCCCAAACAACTATTATATAAAACTGGATAGAACATATGCAACGACTGTTTTTAGATACTATGCTATTAGGAAATACTTGAAGTAGTCCCTTCAATTCTTCAAGTTCTCTACCTTGGGTTACTTTCCAGACTTGGCATGAGTTAGAGAGTTAAGAGTTCTGGCAGAACATGACAGTCCGTTTAGAGGAGGGGACAGAAATTGGAAATTGGGCTACTAAGGTGACTGGAATTTGTGGGACAGAATACTAAGGAAAAAGTTGCACCCAAAAGAAAAAGGGAGCTCCAGAAGTTTAGAAATGTCCTGTGGTTGAGGGTCTGAAGGTCAGCAGAGAACTGAGGAACTCTAAGATAAACAGAGATAGAGGAAGAGGCAGAAAGGTGGAGAGCATGATAGTTCTGATTGGCTGAAGTGGAAGGGCTGACTGAACTCTTAGGTCACTCAACTCAATACACGATAAAAGTCACTTCTGAGACGTAAAGCCCTTAGACATTAGAATAAGGGATTCTCTATATCTGTCCTAAAAAGGCTTAAAATCAAGCCAAAGAAGATCAATGTATCCATCAGTGGGTGTTACAAGTCTTATCATATATATTTAAACTCTTCACTCACTTTTGGGGGTTATAAGTATGTTATAATACTGATTGCACATATCTATGCATACACTAAAAGCCAATGAACTGTATACTTTAAATAGATGAATTATATGGTATATAAATTGTATCTTAATAAAGCTGCTAAAATGTTTAAATGTGCACTTGATTATATTATTCGCTATGTAAATCTTCTTAATGTCTTCTCAGTATATACAAAATAAAATTCAGACTCCTAATATATATACATTTATAAATGTGTGTGTATACACACACACCCATACACACATGCACACATGCCTATAAGTATACATAGAAGAATATATGAATTCAATGGTTTATAGAGCTAGGGCCTTCACCTTCTTCATGCATAGGTTCTTATGGTTCCTGAGAGGTGACAATGTGCTAGCAGCCCTCGCTCGCTCTCGGCACCTCCTGGGCCTTGGCATCCGCTCTGGCCACACTCGAAGAGACCTTCAGCCCACTGCTGTGCTATGAGGGTCCCTCTCTGGGTCTGGTCGAGGCCAGAGCCAGCTCTTTCTGCTCACAGGGAGGTGTGGAGGGAGAGGCACGGGCGGGAACCAGGTCTGCATGCAGCACTCGCAGGCCGGCGAGGGTTCCGGGTGGGCGCGGGCTCAGCAGTCCCGCACTCGGAACGGCCGGCCAGTGCCTGCTGGGCTTGACTGGGGGATGAGCTCCCTCTGGGCTGCCAGAGTGCCCAGGCTGGGTGCTGCAGAGTCCCGTAGTGAGTGCCAGTGAGAGGTGAAGCCGGCTGGGCTTCTGGGATGGGTGAGGACTTGGAGAACTTTTCTGTCTAGCTAAAGGATTTTAAACGCACCAATCAGCACTCTGTGTCTAGCTAAAGGTTTGTAAATGCACCAATCAGCACTCTGCCTAGCTAAAGGTTTGTAAATGCACCAATCAGTGTTCTGTGTCTAGCTTATCTAGTGGGAACTTGGAGAACTTTTGTGTCTAGCTAAAGCATTGTAAACGGACCAATCAGCTCTCTGTAAAATGGACCAATCAGCTCTCTGTAAAATGCTCCACTCAGCAAGATATGGGTGGGGTCAGATAAGGGAATCAAAGCAGGCTCCCTGAGCCAGCAGCGGCAACCTGCTCAGGTCCCCTTCCACACTATGGAAGCTTTGCTCGTTTGCTCTTCACAATAAATCTTGCTGCTGCTCACTCTTTGGGTCCGCACCACCTTTATGAGCTGTAACACTCACCGCGAAGGTCTGCAGCTTCATTCCTGAGGCCAGCGAGACCACAAACCCACCGGAAGGAACGAACAACTCCAGATGCGCCAACATTAGGAGCCATAACACTCACCTCGAAGGTCTGCAGCTTCACTCCTGAAGTCAGCGAGACCATGAACCCACCAGAAGGAAGAAACTCTGGACACATCTGAACATCTGAAGGGACAAACTCCGACACACCATCTTTAAGAACTGTAACACTCACCACGAGGGTCCGCGGCTTCATTCTTGAAGTCAGCAAGACCAAGAACCCACCAATTCCAGACATATTTTGGTGACCCAGATGGGACTATCGCCTATCACCAAGTGGTGAAACTATCACCTATCGGTGAGACTATCGCCTATCGCCAAGTGGTGAGTACCATCAGACCCATTTCACTTGCTATTCTATTTTTCCTTAGAATTCGGGGGCTAAATACCGGGCACCTGTCAGCCAGTTAAAAGCGAGTAGCGTGGCCACCGTACTAAAGACATGGGTGTCAGGCTTTCTGGGAAAGGGCTCTCTAACAACTCCCAACTCTTTGGAGTTGGGAGCATTGGTTTGCCTGGAACCAGCTTCCGCTTTTCCTGTACTTCTGGGCTGAGCCATGGGTCAACAGAGAGGAAAGCCATTCAGCTCTGGGGTCCTGACAACAAGTTGCTTGACCCTGCGGCCATGAGTGGAACTCTCAAAGACATGTCGCCCAAGTGAGACTCGCCCATCTATCCTATCTATCCTGACCCTTGCCTCCTGGGTCCTAATGCCTGTCAGACAAACTTCCTCTTTCCTTTCTCCTCCAAGGCTAGTCCCGCTTCTAAAAACCACTCCCTGTCTCTGGTGCTTTTCTAGTTTCTCCTGTAAGAATGATTTCTAGTATAAACTCCAGGACTCTGTTAACTTTTTTTGGCACCCGGGCTCACCAATCAGAAAGACATAATTTTTGCCCAAAGCCTCATCATAAGGGTGACTGTCTGGAATTTTAGACCCCTCCTCAAACTAGCAGGCCTAACAAAAGCTATTCCTGAAGCTAGGATACGGGGAGCCTCAGATATTGTATCCTTCCTATTCATATAAATGAGGACAAAAGGCATCACTCTTCCAACCCTGGAGATCCATTCCCTCCCTCAGGGTATGGCCCTCCACTTCAGTTTTGGGGAATAACATCTCTACAGGATGGGGTAAGGTCCCAGTAGTAACAGGAAAATGCTTAGGACTCTAACAGGTTTTCAAGAATGTGTCAGTAAGGGCCACTAAATCTGATTTTTCTCAGTCCTCTTTGTGGTCTAGGAGGACAGGTAAGGGTGCAGGTTTTCAAGAATGTGTCAGTAAAAGCCACTAAATCTGACCTTCCTTGGTCCTCCTTGTGGTCTGGGAGGAAAACTAGTGTTTCTGCTGCTGCATCAGTGAGCACGACTATTCCTACCAGCAGGGTCAAGGGACCGCTGCAGGTTCTTGGGCAGGGGTTGTTTCTGCTGCTGCATTGGTGAGTGCAACTATTCCAATCAGCAGGGTCCAGGGACCGTTGCAGGTTCCTGGGCAGGGGGAGAAACAAAACAAACCAAAACTGCAGGCAGTTTTGTCTTTCAGATGGGAAACACTCAGGCATCACGGGCTCAACCTTGAAATGCATCCTAAGCCATGGGGACCAATTTGATCTGCAAACCCTGAAAAAGAGGCAGCTCATTTTTTTCTGCACTATGGCCTGGCCCCAATATTCTCTCTCTGATGTGGAAAAATGGCCATCTGAGGGAAGTACAAATTACAATACTACCCTGCAGCTTGATCTTTTATGTAAGAGGGAAGGCAAATGGAGTGAAATACCTTATGTCCAAGCCTTCTTTTCATTGAAGGAGACTACACAACTATGCAAAGCTTGCAATTTACATCCCAAAGGAGGACCTTTCTGCTTACTCCCATATCCTAGCCTCCCTATAGCTCTGCTTCCTATTAATGATAATCCTCCTCTAATCTCCCCCACCCAAAGGAAATAAGCAAAGAAATCTCCAAAAGACCACAAAAACCCCCAGGCTATTGGTTATGTCCCCTTCAAGCTGTAGGGGGAGGGGAATTTGGCACAACCCAGTACACGTCCCCTTCTCCCTCTCTGATTTAAAGCAGATCAAGGCAGACCTGGGGAAGTTTTCAGATGATCCTGATGGGTACATACATGTGCTATAGGGTCTAGGGCAAACCTTCTGTCTCACTTGGAGAGATGTCATGCTATTGGTAGATCAAACCCTGGCCTTTAATGAAAAGAATGTGGCTTTAGCTGCAGCCCGAGAGTTTGGAGATACCTGGTATCTTAGTCAACTAAATGGTAGAATGACAGCCAAAGAAAGGGATAAATTCCCTACTGGTCAGCAAGCCATCTCCAGTATGGATCCCCACTGGGACCTTGATTCAGATCATGGGGACTGGAGTCATAAATGTCTGTTGACCTGTGTTCTAAAAGGACTAAAGAGAATTAGGAAAAAGCCCATGAATTATTCAATGATGTCCACCATAACTCAGGGAAAGGAAGAAAATCCTTCTGCCTTCCTTGAGCGGCTACAGGATGCCTTAAGAAAATACACTCCTCTGTCACCCAAATCACTTGAGTGTCAATTGATCCTAAAAGATAAGTTTATTACCCAATCAGCCACAGATATCAGGAGAAAGCTTCAAAAGCAAGCCCTGGGCCCTGAACAGAATTTGGAGGCATTATTAAACTTGGCAACCTCGGTGTTCTATAATAGGGACCAAGAGGAACAGGCCCAAAAGGAAAAGCGAGATCAGAGAAAGGCTGCAGCCTTAGTCATGGCCCTCAGACAAACAAACCTTGGTGGTTCAGAGAGGACAGAAAATGGAGCAGGCCAATCACCCAGTAGGGCTTGTTATCAGTGCAGTTTACAAGGACACTTTAAAAAAGATTGTCCAATGAGAAACAAGCTGCCCCCTCATCCATGTCCGCTATGCCGAGGCAATCACTGGAAGGTGCACTGCCCCAGAGGACAAAGGTTCTCCACCAGAAGACCCCAACCAGATGATCCAACAACAGGACTGACGGTGCCTGGGGCAAGCACCAGCTCATGTCACCACCCTCACTGAGCCCCGGGTACATTTAACCATTGAAGGTCAGGAAGTTGACTTCCTCCTGGACACTGGTGTGGTCTTCTCAGTGTTAATCTCCTGTCCTGGACTGTCCTCGAGGTCCATTACCATCTGAGGAATCCTGGGACAGCCTGTAACCAGGTATTTCTCCCACCTCCTCCATTGTAATTGGGAGACTTTGCCCTTTTCACATGACTTTCTTGTTATGCCTGAAAGTCCCACACCCTTATTAGGGAGGGATATACTAGCCAAGGCTGGAGCTATTATCTACATGAATATGGGGAACAATTTACCCATTTGTTGTCCCCTACTTGAGGAGGGAATCAACCCTGAAGTCTGGGCATTGGAAAGACAATTTGGAAGGGCAAAAAATGCCCACCCAGTCCAAGTCAGGCTAAAAGACCCCACCACTTTTCCTTATCAAAGGCAATATCCCTTAAGGCCTGAAGCTCATAAAGGATTACAGGATATTGTTAAACATTTGAAAGCTCAAGTCTTAGTAAGAAAATGCAGCAGTCCCTGCAACACCCCAATTCTAGAGTACAAAAACCGAATGGTCAGTGGAGACTAGTGCAAGATCTTAGACTCATCAATGAGGCAGAAATTCCTCTATATCCAGTTGTACCCAACCCCTATACCTTGCTTTCTCAAATACCAGAGGAAGCAGAATGGTTCACTGTTCTGGTCCTCAAGGATGCCTTCTTCTGTATTCCCCTGCAATCTGACTCCCAGTTTCTCTTTGTCTTTGAGAATCCCACAGACCACATGTCCCAACTTACATGGATGGTCTTGCCCCAAGGGTTTAGGGATAGCCCTCACCTGTTTGGTCAGGCATTGGCCCAAGATCTAGGCCACTTCTCAAGTCCAGGCACTCTGATCCTTCAGTATGTGGATGATTTACTTTTGGCTACTAGTTCAGAAGCCTCATACCAGCAGGCTACTCTAGATCTCTTGAACTTTCTAGCTAATCAAGGGTACAAAATGTCTAGGTCGAAGGCCCAGCTTTGCCTACAGCAGATCAAATATCTAGGCCTAATCTTATCCAGAGGGACCAGGGCCCTCAGCAAGGAATGAATAAAGCCTATAATGGCTTATCCTCACCCTAAGACATTAAAACAGTTGTGGAGGTTCCTTGGAATCACTGGCTTTTGCCAAATATGGATCTCTGGATACAGCGAGATAGCCAGGCCCCTCTATACTCTAATCAAGGAAACCCAGAGGGCAAATACTCATCTAGTAGAATGGGAACCAGAGGCAGAAACAGCCTTCAAAACCTTAAAGCAGGCCCTAGTATAAGCTCCAGCTTTAGGCCTTCCAAAAGGACAAAACTTCGTTTATACATCACAGAGAGAGCAGAGATAGCTCTTGGAGTCCTTACCCAGACTCGTGGGACAACCTCACAACCAGTGGCATACCTAAATAAGGAAATAGATGTAGTAGCAAAAGGCTGGCCTTACTGTTTGTCAGTAGTTTTCGTGGTGGCCATCTTAGTGTCAGAGGCTATCAAGAGAATACAAGGAAAGGATCTCACTGTCTGGACTACTCAGGATGTGGAGGGCATACTAGGTGCCAAAGGAAGTTTATGGCTATCAGACAACTGCCTACTTAGATACCAGGCACTTCTTGAGGGACTGGTGCTTCCAATATGTATGTGCGTGGCCCTCAACCCTGCCACTTTTCTCCCAGAGGTTGGGGAACCAATCGATCATGACTGCCAACAAATTATATTCCAGACTTATGCTGCCTGAGATGATCTCTTAGAAGTCCCCTTAGCTAATCCTGACCTTAATCTATATACCGATGGAAGTTCATTTGTGGAAAATGGGGTATGAAGGGAAGGTTATGCCATAGTTAGTGTTGTAATCATACTTGAAAGTAAGCCTCTTCCCCCAGGGACCAGCACCCAGTTAGCAGAACTAGTGGCACTTACCCGAGCCTTAGAACTGGGAAAGGGTAAAAGAGTAAATGTGTACACAGATAGCAAGTATGCTTATCTAATCCTACATGCCCATGCTGCAATATGGAAAGAAAGGGAGTTCCTAACCTCTGGGGGAACCCCCATTAAATACCACAAGGAAATTATGGAGTTATTGCACAATGCAAAAACCCAAGGAGGTGGCAGTCTTACACTGCCAAAGCCATCAAAAAGAGGAAGGAGAAGGGAAAACAGGAGCATAAGCAACTGGCAGAGGCAGCAGAAAGGAAAGAGAGAAAGAGACAGGAAGTCAGAGAAAGAGAGAGAGGAAGAAACAGAGACAAAGAGAAGGAGACAGAGCGACAGAAAGTCAAAGAAGGAAAGAGAGGAAAAGACAAAGAGGGAGTCAGAGACAAAGAGAGAGACAAAGAAGAAGTCAAAGAGAAAGAAAGAGAGATAAATAGTAAAGAAAAAACAGTGTACCCTATTCCTTTAAAAGCCAGGGTAAAGTTCTGTCTACCCAGCCAAGGTATATTCTTCTTATGTGGAATGTCAACCTATATCTGCCTCCCCACTAACTGGACTGGCATCTGCATCTTAGTCTAAGTCCCAACATTAACACTGCCCCAGGAAATCAGACCCTCTCAGTACCCCTCAAAGCTCAAGTCCGTCAGTGCAAAGCCACACAACCAATACCCCTACTTATAGGGTTAGGAATGGCTACTGCTACAGGAACTGGAATAGCCAGTTTATCTACTTCATTATCCTACTACCACACACTCTCAAAGGATTTCTCAGACAGTTTGCAAGAAATAACGAAATCTATCCTTACTCTACAATCCCAAATAGACTCTTTGGCAGCAGTGACTCTCCAAAACCGCCGAAGCCTAGACCTCCTCACTGCTGAGAAAGGAGGACTCTGCATCTTCTTAGGGAAAGAGTGTTGTTTTTACACTAACCAGTCAGGGATAGTGCGAGATGGCGCCTGGAATTTACAGGAAAAGGCTTCCGAAATCAGACAATGCCTTTCAAACTCTTATACCAACCTCTGGAGTTGGGCAACATGGCTTCTCCCCTTTCTAGTTCCCGGGGCAACCATCCTGCTATTACTCACCTTCAGGCCCTGTATTTCTAACCTCCTTGTCATATTTGTTTCCTCTAGAATTGAGGCCATCAAGCTAGAGATGGTCTTACAAATGGAGCCCCAAATGAGCTCAACTAACAACGTCTACCGAGGACACGTGGATTGACCCACTGGCCCTTTCACTGGCCTAAAGAGTTCCCCTCTGGAGGACACTACAACTGCAGGGCCCCTTCTTCACCCCTATCCAGCAGGAAGTAGCTAGAGCGGTCATCAGCCAAATTCCCAACAGCTGTTGGGGTGTCCTGTTTAGAGGGGGAATTGAGAGGTGACAACGTGCTAGCAGCCCTCACTCGCTCTCGGCGCCTCCTTGGCCTCAGCATCCACTCTGGCCACACTTGAGGAGCCCTTCAGCCTGCCACTGAGCTATGAGGGCCACTCTCTGGGGCTGGCTGAGGCCAAAGCCAGCTCCCTCTGCTCGTGGGGAGGTGTGGAGGGAGAGGTGTGGGTGGGAACTGGGGCTGCGCATGGCACTCGCAGGCCGGCACGGGTTCTGGGTGGGCACGGGCTTGGTGGGCCCCGCACTCAGCACAGCGCAGCCAGCTGGTGCCTGCTGGGCTTGATCGGGAGATGAGCTCCCTCTGGGCTGCTGGAGTGCCCAGGCTGGGTGCCACAGAGTACTTGCAGAGAGTGCCAGTGAGAGATGAAGCTAGCTGGGCTTCTGGGACAGGTGAGGACTTGGAGAACTTTTCTGTCTAGCTAAAGGATTGTAAATGTACCAGTCAGCACTCTGTGTCTAGCTAAAGGTTTGTAAACACACCAGTCAGCACTCTGTGTCTAGCTAAAGGTTTGTAAACACACCAATCAGTGCTCTGTGTCTACCTAATCTAGTGGGGACTTGGAGAACTTTGTGTCTAGCTAAAGGATTGTAAATGCACCAGTCAGCACTCTGTCTAGCTAAAGGTTTGTAAATGCACCAATCAGCACTCTGTGTCTAGCTTACCTAGTGGGGATTTGGAGAACTTTTTTGTCCCGCTAAAGGATTGTAAATGGACCAATCAGCTCTCTGTAAAATGGACCAATCAGCAAGATGGGGGGTGGGGTTCAGATAAGGGAATAAAAGCAGGCTGCCCAAGCCAGCAGTGGCAACCCGCTTGGGTCCCCTTCCACACTGTGGAAGCTTTGTTCTTTTGCTCTTTGCAATAAATCTTGCTGCTGCTCACTCTTTGGGTCCACGCTGCCTTTATGAGCTGTAACACTCACCGCGAAGGTCTGCAGCTTCACTCCTGAGGCCAGTGAGACCAGGAACCCATGAGAAGGAATGAACAACTCCAGACCTGCCACCTTTAAGAGCTGTAACACTCACCGTGAAGGTCTGCAGCTTCACTTCCGAAGTCAGTGAGACCACTAACCCACCAGAAGGAAGAAACTCCAGACACATCTGAACATCTGAAGGAAGAAACTCCAACACACCATCTTTAAGAACTGTAACACTCACCGTGAGGGTCCACGGCTTCATTCTAGAAGTCAGCGAGACCAAGAACCCACCAATTCCTGACACAGTTCCTACAATAATGTGCTTTAAACCTGGCAGCCACCCAATGTCTTCATGACTTAGGTCTTACACTGTTCTTGGAAGTCCAGCATTACACTGTAATCTTTTTCTGGTTTTCCACAGCATCCCTACTAAGACAAAAATGACGTGTATCCTTAACTCTCCCTTTTTTTATAGTCACATGGAGTTACATACACCTCTTAAGTCTTGCTTACTTTAATGTTTTTAGATGAAATACTCCTTATTGTCTTTCCTCAAATATTTAAGAACAAGGCTTCTCCCATTTGTCTTGATGGGCCTTGTTTTTTCAGCTTATCTACTGACGAAAGTAGGCAGAACAAAAATGTGATTCTACAGTCTTAATTCAGAACCATAAAGGGTTAGGGGCTTCTTCACCATGGGATCCATGTGGAAATTTGTCACACATGCACACAAACACACGCACACACACACACATTTATGTAATTATCGTTTATTCCAGTCCAAAGGGAAATTCAAACCATAAACCCTATTCATTTAGTGACTGTTAGGAGCAAAGGGTAAAACTTGCAAGTTGAGCCATTTCTATATTTTCTGAGAGTAAAATCTCTTAAGAGGATCGATAAGAATGCAGGAGTACCTGTCTCCTCTGTAAGCTAGATTATTTACAAATATATGTTTTCAGCCCTGAGTTATTCCTGACCTGTGCTCATTACTTGCTCTTTGGTCTTCTATACTTCTATCAGGGAATATGTTGGTATCTAGAACTCTCTCTAGGTCTAAAGTAGAACTCACCACATTCTGGTATATATCATATGCCAGCATAATAACATAACATCTTTGGCTTCCTTTTCTCACTGTATCACTTGCCCACGCATGTGAGTTCTTCCTAGAATCATTTACTAAATTAACTACTTGATTCAAATTCGTGTCTTAGGATCTAATTCTGGGAGCAAAATCCTAGACAGCTCCCTGGCTCACACACTTCCTATGGCTTTCAATTCCCTGCCATGTGAAGTCCAAACTTCTTAGTGTATACAGCCTTTGGCAGTTACTCTAATGTCACTTCTAATGCTTTTTGTTTGGTTGGTTGGTTGGTTGTTTTTTTCTCAACACATTCCCCAGGAGACAATTTGTTACAGCCAGATTAGGCCTTTTTTCTCCCTATGCCCAGGTCACATTCTCCTGTCCCTGCTCTTAGGCCATGCTGTTACTCACACTGGAATTTCCCACAATAGAGTGATTAAAATCATACACTCTAAAATCAGGGTCTTTGCATTTATATCCTGATTGTAGCTGTATTCTTGGTTGAGTTGCTTAGTCTCTCTGCCTCCATTTGCTCATTTCTTTTCCAGGTATAAGAATAGTAACAATCTCATGAAGTGACTGAGAATTTAAAAAAAAATAGTGATTAGAATTGTACCCCATTTCTTGGTAAATATTCAATGAATGTCAGCCTTATTCTCCCATCTTTAAAACTTACCACCCTTCAAAGCTAAGCTCCAATTTAGGGCTAGCATTTTACCCCCAAGAAATAAATTATAAGTTAAAACTGTAAAAGTTAAGTAATAGTTCACCTCATTTGCTCATCTCTACTAGATATCAGGATTAATTCCACTGTAGAGATTCATTTATGTCAAATAATATAATATAATATGACAAATATGGCTGTTGATGTTGTTGTGTAATAATCTTCCTGGTATACAACTCCCTGAGCCAAAATATTATTTTCAACTACCTCACATGTCTACTAAGCACATAGAAACTCTAATGAGCCAAAACACTCACAAGGAAACATTATTTTCATTCAAACATTTGTTTCTTCCCCAATCTTTCATCAGCTTCCTGACTTAAGAATCTGTTCAAGTTCACATAAACAAATAATCACCATGTAAAGTTGATGACTTGGAGGGCAGATACATCGAACAGCTTCTGCTCTATAATACAGGAAATACTCCCTAATTATTTATCACATGAGCTCAAATCTCTAAATGCAACTCTGCCAATTTCTGGGGCCAGGTTCCATAATATTTCAAAGCAAAATCTAGAATGATGTTTCTACAAAAGAAATAGAATTGGAGCTCACTTTTTGTTTTGTTTTGTTTAATTTTCCAGTTGAAACATAATTATTGTTTTAGAAACATGGAATTACTATGGGACTGTAATTCAGAAAGTATTTACAATGTATCTTCTGAGTACCAGCTATTGGGCTGGTTGCTTTAAGGGATTCTATGATGATAAGGAAGTCTCTGCCCTTAAGGAGCATTTAGGAAGTTAATAGGAGTGCTTCAGCACATCAAAGAAAAAGCTCATTGTAATAAAAACCACATGAGAAGCCTAAGTGCCATTTGGATTAAATTGGAGGAGAACAAATTCACCCAAGATAATGGGAACTTGAGTCAGGATATACATTATGTAGGAAGCAACACTGTAGACAGGACTGGAAGGAAGAGATAGACTCAACCTGTGGAGAGGGTGAAGGAAGGGTCTCCATGGAAAATAAAGAACAGGTGTGTTATCTTATTTTTGCTGGCTGGCTGGTACACAACTATTATTTTCCTGGCACAGTAGCTCTGACTTTCCTTTGAGGAAGCACCACTCCAAGTCCATGTTCTTTGAATAGGTTTAATGTTATCAGTGGCACATAATCTAGACCTGTCATTCCCTTTTACTACTTACAGTGATTGGTTTAGAAATTGGCCAGGCAGGTGTGTTCAAAGTTCATCCAGGACTTTTTGGTGACTAGAAAGGAGCCATCCACATTGGCTAATGATCTTGAGCATGAGAACATATAAGCCTAAAGCTGCTATTAGCCATCTTCCCTATCCATGAATCCTGGGACTAAAGCCAGCATAGAAGTAAGAATCAGGGGATGGAGGAGACTCAGTCCTAATGATGTCATTGGAGCCTGAGCATCAAGCCTACATGGAACTAGCCAACTCTGGACTTTCTGGTTACTTGGACCAGTGAAATTCTTCTGCTCAAGGTTATTTGTGTCAGGTTCTTTGTTGCTTCTTAAATAAAAGGTCCAAATTAGTATAGCAAATAAATACATGGTTCTGGAAAAAGACGTGTAGGAGAAGCAATATCTCAGCTAGTAGAAAGGTCTCTGCTATATAGACATTATCAATAACTGTCAACGTCTAGCACTCACAGGGATTGGTATTCACATTTAGTGTCAGATCTCACCACATAAGCTTCTATTAAATGCATCTAAATGCATTTAGAATAAATTTCACTAAATGTAAATGAAAGTGAGATCAACACAATAAAAGTTCTTGGTTGGGCATGGTGGCTCACGCCTGTAATCCCAGCACTTTGGGAGGCTGAGGCAGGCAGATCACGAGGTCAGGAGATCAAGACCATCCTGGCTAACACGGTGAAACCCCACCTCTACTAAAAATACAAAAAAAAAAAAAAAAAAAACCAGGCATGGTGGCGGGCGCCTGTAGTCCCAGCTACTCGGGAGGCTGAGGCAGGGGAATGCATGAACCTGGGAGGCGGAGCTTACAGTGAGCCAAGATCCCACCACTGCACTCCAGCCTGGGCAACAGAGAGACAGAGTGAGACTCTGTCTCAAAAAAAAAAAAGAAAAAAAAAAAAAAGAAAGTTCTTCTACTATGAATGTCAGATTTATTTTCCTTATCTCCATTCCCATCCCACTTAGTGGCTGATATGGTTTGGCTTTGTCCCTGCCCAAATCTCACCTTGAATTGTAATAATCCCCCTGTGTCAAGGGTGGGGCCAAGTGGAGATAATTGAATCACGGGAGCAATTTCCCCCATACTGTTCTCATGGTAGTGAATAAGTCTCAAGAGATCTGATAGTTTTATAAATCAGAGTTTCCCTGTACAAGCTCTCCTGCCTGCCTCCATGTAAGACATGCCTTTGCTCCTCATTTACCTTCCGCTGTGATTGTGAGGCCTCCCCAGCCATGCAGAACTGTGAGTCAATTAAACCTCTTTCCTTTATAAATTACCCAGTATCAGTTATATCTTTATTAGCAGTATGAGAACAGACAAATACAGTGGCCTTCTCCACCTAACACAGGGTCAACTGGCACAGAAGACTTCATCAGTACAAAATTTCCTGTCCAACCTTCCTCTTATTGTGTCAGAATGGTAGTAAGTTGAGAGTTGGTAGTGAGATTTGATGATGATAATGGTGTAATAGCTATCAGTCTTGATGGCTTCCTATCTTCTAGGAGCTGTACTGAGAGTGCTACATGTATAATTTCTTCATACTTTCATAAAAATCCTTATGTGACTTATGCACCATTTTTCTATTATACAGTTTAGGAAACTAAGGCTCATAAATGTTAATTAACTTGTTCACATTCCCCTCAGAGGTCAAATGGAATAAAATCTATCTGATTACAAGTCCCACTCTCAATCCTTATCCTAGCAATAATCTGTAAGTTTGCAGCATACAAGGAGCTTTCAGGTGCTTAATGAAAACTTGTTTTGGAGGTGAATGGAGAGCTTGCTCCTTTGCTTTTATGGATATAGAGTCAAACACACAATTCTGTGCAGACCATAAGGTGGCTAGATAGATGCCCAGCAAAGTCCAGATTCTTAGGGGAAAAAAAAATTGCAGCATTTACTTTTTAGAGTTAGAATTAGCAAATAAATTATTTCTCTGAAATATGCTATTCCTATTTATCACAGTTACACATAACAGGTGAAAAAGATGAGGTCTGGAGAGGTGAGCTACTCTGAGAGCTGGACTGTCGGAATGAGATCCTGGCCACCCTGGCTTGGCCTCTGTGTAGATCCTGCTTCTTAGGGGAAGTTAAATTGCAACCATAACTAAAGGACTGGAACTGGAGTTAAATTAAAAAATGTGGTAGTCCAGTGGTCAGACCACCAGCTCTCATTGAATTTTCCAGGGCAACTGTGTACTGGAGAGACAGGATGTTCTGCTTCAGTTAAGGAAATACATAAATATTTATTAAAAACTACCTACAACCTGATGTTTGTATGCTTTATCTTTCCTAATCAAATGATAGCACATGGAGCCTTTTTGTGGTAGATACTATTATTCCTATTTTACCAAATAAATAAAATAAGGTTCAGATTAGTTATGTAAAAGCCCCCAAATTACCAAATCGGAAATTTTCTAACCCAGAATTAGATCTCTGTTGTCCATTGTATTTACAACTTTAGAGTACATCATACCACACACTCACTCCCACTACCGTCAGTGGTGGTTGTGGGTCAAAGCACAAAACACACACACACATGCACAAACTATTCCATCAAAATGTACACTGTTTTTAAATGAATTATAGATACTCTATTTGTTGGTATAGTTGTTGTTGTTAGTGACTGTTTTCATGTGAAAAACTTAGCTGAGATAGCTTCTTCTTCAAAGAAAAATTAGAAATCAGTCTAGATGCCTGCTTATCTAGTTTTTGAATACTGTGACTTGGAAAGAAGAGACTTTGATACAAGTACAATCTGACAATTTTTTTATTGTTATACAAGGAGCTTATATCAACTTCCTAAGTTACCAACAAAAGTTACAAAGCAACCGTTGTTTCAGTAAATGTAAACATGCAAACTGCATAAACAAGAGGACCCAAAAGACCATGAGATTCCAATTTGGGGTTCTTTTTTTTCAGGCAGTTTGATAGATGCTTGCATTTACTAAAGCATGCCAACAGTTGCTTTGTGTATCTCATTACCAACTGTGTGACTTTGGGAAAGTCAGTATTCTTAGTGTCTTCATCTTTGAGTCTGCAAATTAGGGAGGTTTACCTTCTAGCTAAGGACAAAATGCTATTTCAGAAAAAATGGAGGAAAAATACATCAAGTCAGTCCCCTGGAAGTGAATAGTGAATAGGACTAAACTCCAAATATCTACTCTGTTCTTAGAGGCTACAAAAGTAGGACACTATGGTAGGTGTTGAACACTTAAATGCTTACAAAGGCTGGACAGGTGATGTAAACGAGTGATGTGAGAACACAGGGAGTAGCAGAGCACACCATGTCTGGGATCATCTAGAAGGGGATTTGCAAAGCAGCTAATAGCACCAGAGTTAGGAGTCAAAGTATCTGCGATTTAGTCCTAGCTCTGCTTACTAATTGTTTGTGTTTGGATAAGTTAGCTAAATTTTTCATGTCTCAGTTTCTTCATCTATAAAATGAAAGCAGCAAGACTCACCTTAGAGAATTGCTGTAAAAATTAAACAATATTGTCAATATATGCTCTTAGCACAGTGCTTGACAGACAACGCTCAGTAGTTTGATTTTTTAACCCCTTTAGAAAGAACAGGGATGCCTTTATATTCTCAGTAAACTCTTGATTTTTTTGACCTCAACTGCCTGGGCCTCCTAAGTCATTGTAAATGATGTCACCATAGACCCATTGGATTTATGCTTACTGAGTGATTTCTGTGTCTGTCACTGTGTTTGCTGCAGTTCATTCAGTCGTGAGCAGGACAGGCAAGAAGGATGTGGTCTGAGACCTGGCCCTAGGCCTTCCTAGAAACCAATGTGGCTTAATTCTGAGGATCCAAAGGTATTCAGAAAATCCAGAACAAGTTCATGGCAAACTGTTAAATATTATTAACCTTGTAAAATGTGTGGCAAACAGGAAGGCCAGGTTTTAGCTTCTTGTAAAGAAGAATTTAGTCACCCAGGTGTATAGATACTATGGAAAATTCTCACAAGCACAGAGAATGAGGACTAACTAACAACCTTTATCTATTTCACAGTCTGGGCATTATACAACATCTATGGCTATACTGCACTTGTGAGTCTTTTCCAATCATTTCAGAGTATCTTGGGCCAAAACCAGAATCCCTTCTCTGAAGGTCTTAAAATCTCTATATCTCACAGGCAAATATTGATTTATCTACAGCCATAAAATATAAGTGACAAAAAGGATAATAAAGATGAGCAAAACTACTCTAAAACAGTTGGACTCCTGGAAGAAGCAAACTGAACGTGTTTAAGCTGGTCTGGGCATTTGGCAACATTCTGTCTTAAGAGCTCTAATGGTGTCAAAAAGTGTGGTATAAAGGATGGGGTCCTCATGTATTTCACTTGTCTGTAGAATTTGCTCACTATATCTTCATATTCATTTCTAAATACTTAATTCATGTTAACAGTCAATCTCTGCTTTTAAAGAGTTTGCCAATAGATACTCCAGCGGGCAATAGACACCAATAGTATAATAAGAGCTCTTCTGAAAAAAAAAAAAGTGTGCTGGGGGCATATAGTTTGTGCATCTAACCTCGTTTAGGGTGTGTTATTCAAAGAACCCTTTTTAAAAGAGGAGACAGAAGAAAAAGTCAATTAAACAAGCATCTCTTAGGGATTAAGAGAGAAAAGAAATGAATAATGGAAAAGAGTCTCTCATCTAGAAAGCTTCCTTCAGGTCCTGCCTTCTCTATCTCTACCTGTGGAGATTGGGATGCAACCTACATTCTGAAAGTACCTTCTTCCAGTAAACAGATGTTATTTTCTAGCTGGCCTCACTAGGGCAGGAAAAGGAGTGGGAGAAACAGGATGTTTTCTTAGCCCTGAAGTAAGCTAAATGCATAGGAATCACTTCCATCACCTAAGCATTCTCCCTTCATTCCAGACAACTAACATTTTATTTTATTTCTTATCCATAAATTGTACTCTCCACTTTAACATCCTAGAGTAAACACAGAATTATTCTTGAAAAATATAAGAATTGTAAAAATATGAAATAAGTATAAAAGCAAGAGAGGAAACTGCAAAGATTTTGCTTAGCAAAATTTAAAACCTCCATTTGAACACAAAGAGAAGTATTTCCAGGAAGTACATCAAACAACCCAAAGGTTTTTCTGTAGAAATTATCTATCAGAAGCAGATAAGCAATACTTACGACCAAACTAAATAAACAACAAACATGAGAGAAACAATTCACAGAGAAAATGTATTAGAAAATTAAGTATATAGAAAAGTACCCTTCACTGTGGTGACCCTGATGCTATAAAGAAGAAAAGTCTCCAACTTTCAAAAATGCTAGTTAAAACAGCCATGAGGTCCTTTTTTCACTTATCATGGTAGCCAAAATATTTTTAAATAAAAATAACCAGTAATTAGAAAAATACATAAATTTCTATTGAGAGTATGCTATGCTATAGGGAAGCCATTAGAAAATGTATACTCAAGCCTGAAAAATGTCCGAAGACAGACTTTGTAATGATAATTATGACAGTCTACCCTGTGAAAAATAGTTCAAAGTACAGAATAAGCTTTATGCAGAGATATATTCTTTTTTTACAAAATATTTAAATTAGGTATTTTCATTTCATTCATTGAGCACATAGTGATGTCATAATATTTAAGTAGTAAACATAAGAAGAAAATACAAAATGGCATACCAATATTTTTTCTATGGGCCCTGTCTTCAAGGGATCTGCAATTTAATTAAAAGGAATACGGTACACATTGGAAAAAAAAATTAGAATAATTTTAAGAGAAAAATTTGGATGTGGCAGAAAGGCAAAATAAAATAACAGATTAATCCATCAATCATCTTCTTTTCTATCTATTTTGTAATAACTAAAGTAACAAAAACCATTGCAGAAAATTTGAACAATACAAGAGAAAGAAAAATGAAGAACATAAAATTGTCTCTATTTCCTCAGGTAACAAGAATTAATATTTTTTTATTTTCTTATTTTCTCCTTTACATACGCATGGGGTAAGAAGCAGGGTGCTTGCAAATGTACATATGATTATATGATAATCATTTAGACACTAGACTAGTATCATTTAAGGCCCTATCTATTGCTTTTTGAGAAAAAGTTGCAAGATAAATATACATTAGCAGGGGCAGAGTCTGTGTAGACATCATCTTTTCTAGTCATTCTTTTTGAATTCACAAATAAAAAATCAAATGGGTTTTAGTTTAGGCTAAGTTCCCAAATCTGAGTCTTTAGTGGCTCTAGCACAAGAGGTCAGACCTCTTGACTCCCAGTGAGGGTGACATACAGGAGCGATTTAGTATACGGCATTGGAGTCAGCCTGCTTGGTTTCAAATCCTAAGTTCTGTGATCTCCAACACATTATTTAAATGCTTATTAGCCTCAGTGTACTCATAAGTATTTATGTATAAAATGGGCATGATAGCAATAAAACTGTCTTCATAAGATCATCTTGGGGATTCAATGACATGACTTGTAAAAGCACTTAGTCAAGTGTTCACCTCCTAGTAAAACATATATTAACAGTTATTATTACTTTTAGTTAGTCCTGTGCTTTTCTCCTACATGATGTTTCACATGTTTCACAGTACTTGAAGCCATCATTCATTTTGATTTTTTTTTTTTTTTCTCTCACTCTGTCACTCAGGATGGAGTGCAGTGTCGTGATCTTGGCTCACTGCAACCTCTGTCTCCCGGACTCAAGCAATTCTCCTGCCCCAGCCTCCTGAGTAGCTGGGATTACAGGTGCATGCCACCACACCTGGCTAATTTTTGTATTTTTAGTAGAGATGGGGTTTCACCATGTTGGCCAGGCTGGTCTCAAACTCTTGATCTCAGGTGATCCATAGCAGTCATTCTGTGAGTTGCTCTGATGTCCCCTCTCCTAAACATCAAGAAAAGCTGATGGGTTTGGTCTGGGTGTGGCTGGGGAAGCTGGAGGAGGGTTGTTTGGAGCTAAAAGACTACATTCCTATCCTAGCTCTCCATTTATAAACTCTAGGACTTGGGCAATCATGAAGTTCTCTGAGCCTCACAAGACTCACAAAAAGACAATTCCAAGACCTACTTCAAACGATTGTTGAGAGGACTAAACTCAGAAAAGTGGCTAGCACATTGCCTGCCATGTGGTAAATTCTCAGGAAACAGTAGCAGAAATCAAAGAATGGAAAGAGTGCCCCATAAGTCAAGTCCTGCAAGCTTTTGGCAACAGGCATACTCATTTGAATGTTCATCACTCTTTTTTCTGTTGAGGGCGGGTATTCAAAACCCCTTTTAAAGGATTTTGTAATTTATTAGCATGCTAGTGATGCTTAGCAATTGATTAATTTGCCCCCGTAATTAGTTGGGGTGATTAGAGAAAGCTTTCTTATCACTGCAAAGTTTGATTTGTAACAAGCCATTAAACCCCAAGGGAGGGAGTTGAGAAGAAATGAGTACCCTCCACTAACAAATACACACCCTCTTGTGCAGATGAAGTGTCCATTTTCTTAGCAAGGTATTTGAAATTTAGGCATTATTGGCTGGCGCTTTTTGCCAGCAAGATTTTAAGCTTCAAACAAGAAAAGCTAAAATTATACCAACATTTCCCAAAATATATTTTATTTATGGGAGGACTATTCACCCCATGAAACACACTATAGAGAATAAAAGTGGCTCTTAAGTTCAAATAACCTTGGAAGTCTTACATAAACTAATCTCTCTTTCAGGATTCACAAGACACACAATGGCCCCCCTGCGTACTCAAACTGTTTAACTTTGGGAGAATCTGGATAATGCCAATTATTTAATTCTATGAAGCTTTTATTTCTGTCAATCATCATCTCTTAATGTTCTAAAAAAGTAACATACACCAAAAACTTCCTGGGAATTCTTATCTATATTAAGATGTATATTAAAAGTTTCAAATAAAACAGTATACCTATCCTGAGTTCTGATAAGTTATTTAATTTAAGAAGGGTTAGATACTGGAAAAATCATATTCTAAGTAAAAGAGGAAATTATTTTTCTCACTTAACCCATTGCTACTCCTAACTGGCTTCCTCATTGTGCCTGAACCAAGAATTATATGACATCACTAATATAGTGGATGTTAAATGGAGACCCAAAGAATAATTAGCATCTGTCTCCAAACTTGTATACTTATGTCTTCTCTTGCTGTATAAAGTACAAATTTCAATTCTAAAATGCTTTTATTCTATTTATTTTTATCTTAAGATATTACAGAGTTCCTGATTTAAAATAGTTTGACTTATGATTTTTGACTTCATAATAGGTTTAAAATCATATAACCCTATTTTAAGTCAAGGAGCACACGATGTTAAATTTTTCAACTTTATGATGGATTAATCGAGGTATTAAGCACACTTTCAATTTACAATATTTTCTGTTTACTAAGGGTTTACTGGGATGTACCCCATCCTAAGGTGCCTCTGTGTCTGTGTGCAGGCTGGGTAGTAGGGAAGAACAGGAGACCTTAAAAATCTAAATATTTTTGAAAATCAGTGAAAATTTGAAGTTTCAGTCACTCTGTAGAAAAAGAGAATTGACATTCCAAAATAGATTCCTTCCAGTAAGCTCCATTAAACATAGTTATATGTAGCTTAATGATGAGAATACATGCTGAGAAATGCATCGTTAGGCAATTTCATCATTGTGTGAACATCATAGAGTACCGATAGTGACAGGAGGCAGAGAAATTCTAGACAGATGGGGCAGGCTCCTGTCAAAACCACACTTTTGAACCCAAAAGCCTGAAACCTGGCCCCAAAATGAGAACTTCTATCCCTGTTTGCCCACTCTCTCCCAACTGGTTCTTTCTGAATAAATGATATATTTTTACCAATCAAATGTTGTCTTTTCTAAAACTACCTACAGCCCTCCCTGCCTCCATCCTGTGCCTATAAAGACCCAGACTCAGCTGGCAGAGAAAAGCAGCAGCTGAACCTTGGGAAGACCTTGGCTGGATGTCGGGGAGAGGTGACTTTGAGACGGTGGCTGGACGAAGCACCTTGACTTCAGAAGAGAGGGGCAGGGAGGCGGCTTGACTTCTTGGGAGAGGAACCTTCCCTTTCTGTCCACTTTCCAGCTCCCCTTTCCACTGAGAGCTGCTACAGTCTCGCTCTGTCACCCAGGCTGGAGTACAGTGGTGTGATCTCGGCCTACTGCAACCTCTACCTACCAGGTTCAAGTGATTCTCCTGCCTCAGCCTCCTGAGTAGCTGATACTACAGGCATGCGCCACCATGCCTGGCTAATTGTTGTATTTTTAGTAGAGATGGGGTTTCACCATATTGGTCAGGTTGGTCTCGAACTCCTGACCTCGTGATCCACCCACCTCGGCCTCCCAAAGTGCTGGGATTACAAGTGTGAGCCACCGCAGCCAGCCAAGAGCTGATTTTATCATGCAATAAAGTTTTCTACATTCATCATCCTTCGGTTTGGCCATGTGACCTCATTCCTCTTGGGCACCAGACAAGCATTTGGGATGCACCACGTGCAGGTGACCCAAAAGGCTGTCACACTGGCCCTTTGCCCTCGCTGGTAGAGGGCAGCCACCCCACATGATGAGGCAAAAGGCCCACTGAGCTGATAACATACTGCTGTCTGTGGATGGTGGAGCTAAGAGAGCATTGTAACACACCCTCTGGGGCCTTGGGGTGGCAGGCACCCCCACCTGGATGCTGCCACGGGGCCTCACAGAGTTGTGCTGGTGCTGAAGCAGTCAGCTGGTTTTTGCACTCCTATGCTCTCACACTCCCTCCTGCAAGGGGTGGAGACTGGAGGACCTGAGTGAACAGAGGTTGCTCCTGCTGGACCACTGGCCAGTTCCTGTGGTCACTCACTCTGGCTCCCTCACTCGTTAGCTTGTACATTCCCTCCTGCAAGGGGTTGAGCAGGGAGGGCTGAGTAAACAAGGCACCCCTGTCATGAGTCCATTGGAGGGGTCAAGAAAATATCCTGCATTAGTACTTACACAAACCTAGATGGTATAGCCTACTACACACCTTGGCTATGTGGTAAAGCCTATTGCTCCTAGGCTAAAAACCTGTACAGCACTTTACTGTAGTAAATACAGTAGTAGGCAACTGTAACACAGTGGTATTTCTGTATCCAAACATTGAAAAGTTACAGGAAAAAAATACAGTATTATAATGCTACAGGACCACTATCATGATGTGGTCCATTGTTGACAGAAATGTCATTATTCAACAGGACTGTAAATGGTTTTTCCTCAACTTAAAGATAAACAGTAGAAATATAGTTAATTTACTTTATCTTGAGATTAAGAACTCAAGATACCTTGTTACAAAGCTCAGGATTCTGTTGGCTTGGGGCTAATCTTCAGTTCATTTGATGGAGTTAAGGTTGCTTTTAGTGATCAAATGTCGCTTGAACTAGGTGGGATACAGAGGGTACAAACTCTGTGATGTTCAAGAGCACAGTACATGATCCACACTCTGAGCTGGTGGCACACAAGTTCAAGCACGAAGTTCAACCCATCAACTACTTAGTGCTTGTCAAGTTGTTTGTGTTTTCTGGGTTTAAATGGTTTCCTCTTGTCATCAATGGTAGAGCATTTATTTTTTTTTCTGTTACGCCTCATTTTTTTTAAAGTTTGTTTCTTGAAGAGAGAAAAGCATTAATTATTCTCTTTTGTAAGTAGAGAGCTTTAAAACACACTGATAGCTGTCTCTCACATAACTGTTAAAATAAATTTGGCATGAGACTGACCTCATGCTTTCATTTCCTAATAACACATTGCATCCTAAGTTGAGTGTATGTTATTGTAAGAAGTGGCTGTGTCTTAATCACAGCAGCTGAGCCTCAGCCAGTCACAGCCTGCTAACTCATCAGACCATGTCCACATAAGGCAAATGACTCACTACACCATGCCCAAATAAGGCCAAGGCTCAGCTGTAATCAGTCAAGCTGTTTCTGTAATTACTTTTTTTTTCTGTCTATAAATACTGCCTACCCATGATGCTGGGTACAGCTTTCTGAACCTCTCCTGGTTCTCAGTGCTGCCTGATTCATGAGATATTCTTTGCTCAGATAAATTCTGCTAAATTTTCTAAAGTTTGTCTTTTAACACTATCAAAATAATTTTATCCTAGATAAAGCACTTCCTTCCCTTAAATAAGATAAGCAACTGTTAACGTTATGGGTGAAAGCATCCCAACATAACAAAGCCAATTATTTAATTGTCTGTAGGTAGTTTACTGTTGAGGCAAGATGTGCTGAACACTGAGTTTCTACATTTAAAAAAATGTTTATACCCATATTGTGTGAGTGTGTATGTGTGTGTGTGTGTGTGTGTGTACGAAAAGGGAGAGAGACAAGGAACTGCCTGAGACAGGGTCTCACTCTGTTGCTCAGGCTGGAGTGCACTGGTGTGAACACAGCTCACCGCAGCCTTGATCTTCTAGGCTCAATCAATCCTACTACCTCAGTCTCCCTCCTGAGTAGCTGGGACTACAGGTACGAACCACCATGTCTGGCTTTTTTTTTTCTTTTTTAGAGACAGTGGTCCCCTATGTTTCCCAGACAGGTCTTGAACTCTTGTCCTCAAGCAATCATCCAGCCGATACCACCTGATTTTTAATACCTTCTCCAGCTATCCCTTTTAATAACATGTTTGTAGGTCTAGGAAAGTTCCAAACCCTTTAGCCTGAATCTTCAGGAGACTTGGAAATAACACTTAGGCAATGAAGAGTCCTTGTCATAGAGTCCATGGCAGGACTTAAGGAACCTAGCAATTGCCTAAAGTCATATGGAAAAGATTTATCAAATGCAAGTAAGCCCTCCTCTCTCTCTCTCTCTGTCTCTCTCTCTCTCTCTCTCACACACACACACACACACACACACACACACACACACCCCTACACAAATGCACAAATATGTTGCTCTGGGGAGAAGATCCACAACTTCCTCAGGAATCCTAAAAAGTTTCCATAAGCAAAAGAGAGTAACAGCCACTGTTCTAGGTCTGGAGACTAACTTACCATGTGACCTTACACAAATCACTTGGCCATACCATACCGCACTTTCCCCTCCTGTCAAATCATAATGATGTAATTATTTTCTGGCAAACCTTCGAAGTGTGAATATTGAATGATATAAAGGGCTATGTATACATTAACTATGATTATTTCTTTACCCTTCCCCTTTCCCTTCTGAGGTATCTTGTGAAATTTAGTCATGAAGTTTCTTTTGGGCAAGTTCCAAAATCTGACTTATGCAATGCTCTATTTAGATTTCTTTTATGAAGATATTTTAGTATTCTCTATTTGCCATTGTTTGCAAATTATTTTTCCAATTTGTACCAATAGACAAAAAAATTAAATTAAGAACAAATGAAAACAGTGAATATGCATTTCTGCCCCCATCATCTTATACATGGAAGATAAACTGAACAAGTAAACATCAGAATGACACACCATCATTCCAAGAGGACTTCAAAACCTGAGCAGGGCTATTTTAATAACAGAGCAGGGGTTTTTTTTTGTTTTTGTTTTTGTTTTTGTTTTTAAGATGGAGTCTCGCTCTGTCACCCAGGCTGGAGTGCAGTGGCGTGATCTCGGCTCACTGCAAGCTCTGCCTCCCAGGTTCATGCCATTCTCCTGCCTCAGCCTCCCAAGTAGCTGGGACTACAAGTGGCCGCCACCATGCCCGGCTAAGTTTTTCTATTTTTTGGTGGAGACGGGGTTTCACCGTGTTAGCCAGGATGTTCTCAATCTCCTGACCTCGTGACCTGCCTGCCTCAGCCTCCCAAAGTGCTAGGATTACAGGCGTGAGCCACCACTCCTGGCCCAGAGCAGCTTTTCTAAAGAAACAGACAATGCTATGTAGCAGCTCTAAAACTAAGCTTAAATAACAGAATATTTCTGCCAGAGAAAGAATTTCAGCTAACGTGCTTTAGACCCAAAAGACGGCTCCAGCAGCTGCCAGAGACGCTGCCATGATTGCTCTCATGGCTTTGCTGCTCTGTCCATGAGAAGCAGCACATACACATGCAACACACACATGCGCACACTCACAAATACATACATAAATGCGTCAAAGGGATAGGTAGCTTTCAGACTCTCAGAAACAACACTTAAGGAACATCTCATCGTGTGATTTCTTATAATTATGATGTGGTCTGAATTTCCTGTAGGAGATCCATAATTGGCCAACATTTAGGAGCGAAGTTTTATTGTGTTACTGTTCTAAGGGCAAGTGGGTGCTTCCAATACTTGACTGGGAAATACAGAGTTTCTGAAACCCAAATCATAGGGAGAGCTATTTTAAGGTCTGGTGAAGGGAATAAAGAGACAGCCACTTGATTTCTTCAAAACATAAAGCAATTTTTCCCCACAGTCCCAGAAAAAGCACCTGGCTCTCTTTCCTTACTATGTACCAAGAAATTGTTGGTTTTCTCCCTGTAGAATTCTGTATAGTTAGTGGAAAACTATTTCTCTAAAAATTATGTGGAGGGACTGTTACATATAGATAAAATGCATGCTTCAAATTAAAAGAATTAAAATGAATTCTAGAAATATTACTTTGAGGTTTTCATAATTAGAATGAGTATTGTGTATTATCTCTACATCATTTTTCAAACCCTGCTATAAAGCTCACGATGTGTAATTACTTAGGCAATGCTAGAAAGCCTCTAAAAACAGAGCTCAATACTTCAAATGTGAAAATCTGTAATCATCATTCATCTATGCATTAACCCCCAAATTCATTAAATTTCTAATATCTTGAAGGCAATCCAAATAGAATGCAATAGGAGATAGGAGATATCTGCCACAGGCAGCTTGAAATCTAGTAGAAGATACAACTAAAACAGAAATAACCTTAGAGCACTTCTTAGTTTTAACCAAACTTCCCTGTGTATAAATCCCACTTGTTTTTTTGGTTTAAGCCCCTAGCAATATATATATATATATATATATATGTCCAATTTATATCCCATAGACAAATCCATAAAGCATTTGAAGACAACTATTACTCCTTGCCAGTTAAAAACCCCTAATCGATTTATTCAGTACTTTTTTTGAGCACCTACTATGTGTCATGTTACGGAGACACAGCAGGTTAAATACTAACACAGCCTCTGCCTTCAAGAAGTAGATACCTATCCTTGCATCTACAAATTTTTGTAGATAAAAATTTTGTAGATTAGATCCAAATATCTTTTTTTATGTGCCACTTTAAATACTAACAATGAATGCTGAGCAGAGATTTATTCATGTACAGAACTAAGCGACAGTCCCTGCCATCAAAAAGCATATGGGCTGGTTTAGAGCCAAGTGTAGCTACTCCACTCATGTCATTTATCATGAATTTTCTAAACTAGGCATGTAGATTTTCCTTTTCCAACATTATCAAGGGTAACTAAATATGTGGGAAAGATAACACGATGAGGTTTTGCATTTATCAGAAACAATATAAAATGAATATTGAGCTCTGAGTATAGTGGCTATGTGCAGTCTTTGAAGACTTCTAAATCCAAAAAGCTCATTGATCTAACCCAAGGTAATTGACGTTTTATTGCTTTTTTCTAGGATCTTTTTTAAGACCCTGGGCTGCAGTTTATTCTGTATGGGGCCGTTCAACATTTTGAGGCCTTACTGAAACACTAAAGCTTGAAATTTGCCAGGGAAATCCTCTCAGCAAGTTCTCCAACTCAATCTTCTCCCTTTCCTCTACCCGTTCACTGTATTTCAGCTTATTCTGTCTTCAATCTCTAACTCCTGCGTTTTGGAAAGTCAAAGAACACAACATAATTGTTGCCTGTCTTTTTTCCATCAAACCACCACACACTACATAAGCTGCCTCCAATATTTCCAGAGGGATGGGAAGTATTTTGATAGTGGTTGTCATCTTTCCTTTCTCTTCTGCTTTCTTGACCTGAGTCTCTGACTTGCACCATTAAGTGTCCCAAGGGTCTGTCTATCCATATATTGGTTAAGCATTACAAGCTCTGCCATATTTCTTTAATGGATTACTTTGAGATGATCCTTAGTTCATGATAATATATTAATATGGCTAATACTGAATAACTCAAGTTTCAGCTTCTTAAATTATCACTTAATGAATGTTAAGTACATTCTTACTCCATCACTGAGTCTCCTCCCACCCACCCATTGGTAACTCTCAGCCCTGTGGTGGAGTTTGGAGATAAAGGACAGATCAAGGATCATCCAGTAGACAAAGCACAGGTATCCATCCTGTCATACCCTCAGCAATTCCTTCCTGGTACAGCCAGTCTAAGATAGTAGTCATAACACTCTGAAATATCTCTTTACTTTGTTTGTACTTCAGAGAGTATTTCATACTCTGGATTTACTTTATTTATCTATATTTTAACTTTTTATAGTCTACATGTCATCTACCTTAATGCCACTTCTAATTTGAGGTAAGCCATTCAAGGACAGAGGCCCTGCTCACCTTATTTATCATGCTACCTCCAACTGGCACATGATTAGCTGATAGAAATGTTAAGTAAATGATTGAACCAGAAGACATGTCTTTCATAGTGACTCATCTAGGAAAAAAAAACTATCAATCATTCTAGTCCAAGTATTTGTTCTCAGAATTCACTTGTACTTTATACAGACTTATCACATCCTGATGTTTCTCTGACAATAACTATTGAGAATACATGCCTATTTCATCAATTAAATAAGATATTTGGTGGCTAAATCACCAAACTTATTCTATTCGCTCTTTGAAAGTCCAGTTTTTGAACACCTGAGTTTCTGTAGGATTCCTAATATTTCTTTAGGTTAGATATAGGTACTTGTTTCTCTTAATGTCTATTGTGCCCTAGAAGAGAAATATAAACTTTGAACATTTCCATGTCAAAGTGTCTCAAGTTTCTTGTAGAAAGTTACTTTATAAAATAAAGTAACAGGCAATAAAAACAAAAAGATATTTTGTAAAGTTATTAAAACTCATTCAAAGTGGAATCATTAATTCACTTATTATTTAATTTACCCATTTAACTAACATATTGAAAATGAAATAAATACCAGGCACTGAGCTAATACACAAGAAGAGTTAGAAACCGATATATAATTCCTGTCTTCAGTGAGTTCACAGTATTGCACCAACAGCACATATGATCACGAAACAGTAGAATCTAAAATGTAAAGTTAAACCACAATAGAAAGGTAGTTAGCATATCTAGAAGCGAAGTGAGTAAAGGAAGGGCGGGTGAGTGACTAGAGGAAGTACTTTCTATGAAAGGTAATATTTGAGTCTAGATTTAGGAACAAGGTAAAGTGAGAGAAAGGCATCCAAAGTAAGGAAACAGTGTGTGCAAAGGCCCAGAGTGAAGCCAGATGCTTTAAGGAGAATACAAGAGGCTCAACAAGCTAAAGCAAAATATTTGTGCAGGTACAGGTAAACTACGAGGCCTCAAAGCAGACAAGAGCCAAATTGTGGAGAATAGTGTATATAGCATGGTAAGAAGTTGAACTTTATCCTGAAATTCAATTAGACAGTGAAGGAGTTTAAAATAAGAGGATAGATGATTAAAAATCACACTCATTTAGCAATAATCAATCACACAGGAGATAGAATGAAGAAAGAATTGAAAAAAAGTTAAGGCCTGGAGGCCTTAGCCAAGCTAGGAGGTTACTTTCGTAACCCAGGCAAAGAGAAAAGAGGGTAGAGACTCCCCTCATGAACTAGGGAGTCAACAGATTGTGGGAAAAAAACTGAAAGTACATTGGTGATCAGTTAGAAGTGGAGGTTGGGAGAGAAGGAAACATAGGAATAGAGGCCTCTGGATTGGATGGCCATAAACCCCAAGACGCCTTTATTATCTGACGGAGAAAAGTGGTGCTCAAGTGGAACAAACTGAGTGGTATTAAACTGCAGGAAAATTAACTGCAGGTCAGTAATAGTCATCAAAAATACCAAAAAAGAGGTGTCTTTTAGAAATGTAATTTAAGCCAAAGAAGCAACATATTTGAATTTGTACAATTCAAAGAAGGAATGAGAAAGAGAGAGGCAGATGCATTTTAAGTGAGAAGGAGGTGGATCCTAGAAAAGCAAATTTGTAAATGAATAAAAACAGTGATAGGAGAGGTGAGAAGAAATTACCAACATATGAAGACATTTAACTTTCCATGAATTTTTCCTGAAGCTGTCAGATCAGGGAAGCTATTCCAAGCAGTCCTTTGGTAAATTTCAATTTAAGAAAAACTTAAGAAAATAAAAACTAGTCTTGGACATAGTCTCATTCTCCTGCAGCAGTGTATGCATTTGATCTGCTCTGATTGAAAACTACTATTCTCTGAACCACTGGATTTCAGATTTTCCAGTAAATATAATGAGTTTAAGGTGACATTCTTCATAGCCCTCAGGTCCACGTTTGAAAACTGCTATAACAAAATATCTTAAACTGGATAGCTTATAAAAAATAGAAATGTATTTATTATAGTTCTGGAGGCTGGAAAGTCCAAGATTAAAGCACTGACAGATTCCATGTCTGGCAAGGGCCTGCTTTCTGCTTTGTAGATGATACCTTCTAGTTGTGTCTTTACATGGTAGAAGGGAAAACACTCTTTCCAGCCTCTTTTATAAGACCACTTATGAGGGCTCTGCCCTCATGACCTAATTGCCTGCCAAAGGCCCTGTCATACCATCACCTTGGAGATCAGGATTTCAACATATGAATTTGGAGGGGACACAAACATTCAGACTATAGCAGTAATCCCGAGTTCTACCATAGATATCTTGCACTGACAGGCCCAACAGTAAGCTTTTGGCTACCTCCAGAATGAGGTGTCAAGTTGCTTATAGTCTCTCTTTATGAACCACAGCACTACCAACTATGGACATGACTGTCAGACACAGGATGTGCCTCCAAGTCTGATGTATATTTATGGCCAACATTGTAGCTCAATAATGAAATTCAGCTACTTTAGCACATGGCACCATTAAGAACTCCGTCCTGCCATGAATCTTTACCTGGTTGACTTGTTGAGAGCAAATCCACATAGAATGCCAGAACACAAAGTTTTTTCAGGAGAACAAATTTGTTCTCATAGGAAGCCAGCTGTTCATATGGTCAAGGAAAACGATGGAAGCAAGTTGCCATTATTTGAAATGGTGGAGAGAAAAGAAAATGGTAGATAGATCACTGGACTGTCAACTACAAATAAAAGCCATCAATCACCTTGCAATTTCCCCACAGAGCCTAGCAGAGTGAAATAGCACCTAGGTTGGAATGCAACCACCAAAATCGACTGAGATCAAACTGCAACCTTAAAGTATATTTCCAAAATAGACAAATCACAGCATCGGCATTCACCCACATTGGCCTCACTGGTTGATTGGCATAGGAGAAACAATATTATTCAAGAACTTAGCAATGACCACAAAATATGAAGGACACAAAGACATAGCTCATGGCACAACAAAACTTAATGAATTGGTAATACTCTATCTTATTCCAGAAAGTACTGTCATGAAGTGGTATTTGTGAGAAATGAACTTTGAGTTTGTTTCTTTGTTTCCTTATAGTCAGTGTAAAGAGGAAAACTAGTGAATTACATAATATACAGTAGTACATGTACTATAGCTGTAATACTCATTGTATGCAGATGCAACACTTGGTGTGGACAGATGAGAAATAGAGAAGAGCTTAAATGTATTCTGATACCTATATGCCAATTTCAAGGCATAGCTGAAGAATAGTGTAATTTAAAAGGCGTACGATAGTTGAATTGGGCCAACTAGAAATCCAAGTGTCAAAGTGAATTGCAAAAGGCAGTCACTCAATAATAACATGGAAAGAGAAGTTGAAGATCTACCAGACTTTGTAGCTACATTTGTGCATATATATGTTTATCAACCTCAATAACATCATCCTCAAACAACAGAGGACAGTGACAAATGCATAAAATGTGTATGTCACAGCCAGTATCCAATAATTAATTCATGTCTAGAGCAGAGAATAAAAATGACCAAATACATTAGTCACACTTCTATTGCTTGAAGTCAGTCATTTATTATCAGTGGCATCACCAGCCTTATTCAAAGTCATTAGTATCCATTAGTAAATTAAAATGTATTTGTATTTTGAGACTTCTGTTTTTATTTCACATATTTTGTTCCATTTCTCATCAGGAATCCTGTGTTATGGTTCTATATTTAACCCCAAACATTTTGTTAAAAGTAAATTTTCTTTCAGAACAGAATCTAAACAGATTTCCAATTCATTAATTTTCAGAACGGTCCTCACCCTCTTAAATCATACAACTACTGATGATTTTCTCTGCATATAAATCTTAGCCACATATTTATCAATGATGTTTTGTGAGTCCCGGCTTAATAATGAACAGTCATCTGTCATTCAGTCAAAGTATTCTGTGAGTGAATAAGATTTTCTAGTCCTAGAATGTAAAACAGAATACACTGTATATAGAAGAGCTTACATTTCTTCTATAACTTTGTTCAGTGTTCAGGAAACATTCTGGCATTCTAGGCAACTTATATAACGAAACAATTTACTGCCTTTCTTCATATATCTTCAGAAGCAAAGCATCCAAAAATAACTGTTGGCAGGCTGATTTATTTTGGATAAATTCATTATCTTCTATCTAGTCTTTGTCACCTCGGTTCGCTCTTTTCTCTCCCTCCTCCAACTTCTGTGTGTGTGTGTGTGTGTGTGTGTGTGTGTGCATGCATGTATAAAGGAAAGTAAATATCTTCAGTTTAATCAGAGCAGTAGGCAAAGTTCAGAGGTTCAGAGGGTCACTGAAATCTTGTTAAGCAAAGACGCTCAATCCCCATACCATTTACAGTGTTTTTCCCCCGGATCCCACCCACATGGCAGTATTTGCATATCTTCTGAGAGTGAAATTTTCTACCTTCTTTCATTATCATTGTGACAATTTTGTGTAAACGTATTTCAGACTAATTGGATTCTGAGTTGCATACAAGCACAAAGAACCATCAAATAGTGAGGCTGTGCTGCTGGTTAAAATCAACTATCAGCCTGGAGACCACTCTGCACTGTCTTTCATCAGTCTGCCACCAACAGGATGCACATTGCTTTGCAAATAAATATTATATCTAAATGTTTCAGCAAGGCAGACATTCTAGAGAGATCCATAAGAGAGTCCCTTCTGGAAAATATATGTTTAATTTTTCTGGTACTCCCATTTCATAAGCAAAAATTATATAAGCATGGTCAGAGAGAAAAGAAAAATAACTGAACTTGAAGATTTGCCCTCGGTTCTATGCTTTTCTTCTCTTTTTATCCTGTCAGCATAGTATACATCAAACAAGAGCTCTGTGTTGTGGCTCTGCTTTTTTGCTTTTATTTCCCCCAATGAATTTTTCAGGATTTGAACTTTTGCTCAATATACTAAGATGCATAGCACTCTTCCTTGATAGATACCAACGTAGGCTTCCCAGCCAATGACATATGTTTTCTCCTCTGACTTTCTATTATACCTAAGATTAATTTCACTGCTCATATTTTTTGCATACTTATTTTTTAGATATCTATCTTACAATATCTGATTTTCAAACAACAACAATAGTTCAGTATTTATCCATATGATTTTATTTATTTAGTGTACAGTGTGGCATCCCAAATTCTGCAGCCACTCAGCAAAGTTTTCTCAGGTTTCCTCCCCATCATAAGACACACCCTGCCTATCTAAGAAAGGCCACAGACAAGAGGAACAAACGGTAGATGTATCTGCATGAAAGAAAATATATAAAACGAGAGAGTATCAACAGGAAAAGTGAAAATCATCCTAGCCACCTTTAGTCAACTCGTTTTTCCAAGCTGTTGCTTCATTTTTACCTCATCTGGCTAGTTCAGTGAAGAAAAGGGCACCTAAAATATAAAACCCGGCACAGATTACAAAATATTTACCTAAAATTTAATTATTTAAACAGCCAAGTAGACAACAGTGAAATGTTACAGGAGCAACAAGGTTCAAACATAATGAAAGAAAATTATTCTTCATATAATCTGTTAAATTCTGGGCCTTGGCAGATGGGAAATCACTTGAACACGTGGTTCCAAGGAGATGTAAGAGAGAGAGGAAGTGACTCCTGGAGAGGTGACCTCTACCGGTAACAGAGTATTCACCAATGGTTGAATAGAGCAAGACAACACTAGCAGTGAGCTGCTATTGAGAAATTACCAAGAGGTAGGCACTGCGCTAAGCCCTTCACATCGGTTATCTCAAACAACAACTCAATGATATCAGTACTGTTATTATCCCCATTTTACAGATGAGTAGATTAAGGTTTATGAAGCTGAAATTGCATGCCTAAGGTGAAAACTAAGCCCTGGAGCCTGAATTCAAATGCAGGCAGCAAGAGGCTTCACCACTTTGCATACAGTAGTTGCTTTATATCTTATAGGAATTTGCAACTGCATCTACTTAAGGAGGGAAGAAAATTGTGTGTGTGTGAGAGAGAGAGAGACAGAGAGTATGTGTGTGTGTGTGAGTGTGTGTGTGTGTGTGTGAAAGAGAGAGAGAGAGAGAGACAAAGATGGGGGTGGGGAGACAGAGACAGAGAGAAAGAGAAAGAGAATGCTCTGACTAGCCAACCAGTGAGTATCACTGCCTCCTCCCATTCTGTGCCATGTGTGTGCTCCCCGGAAGAACAGGACACAGGAGACCTGACTGCCATTTGCTTCCTCAGTCTCAGCTCTCAGCAATTCTCACAGTGGGATCTTGTGAGTGGCTTAGGGGTCTTTTCAGCATATGAAGCACAAGACTTTCTCACACAACATGGCCCTATAGATGCACCAACTACTTCATCAGATGCTCAGTCAGAGGAAGATCCATTGTCCCTACCCCCAGAGAATAATTGCACTTAGACTCACTGAGAGATGGCACATTTGTTTCCAATGTGGCCCCTCTTAAGGGGTTTTCAGAAGTGATATAACCTTGCCTCATGTGCCACTGTTAAAACGTAATGCCAGAGTGAATGGCAACTCCTCTGTGCTTCCAGACAGCAAAATTCATACTTTTCCAGAAGCCACATGATCCTCTTGGACGCCCTTGGGTGCCATTCATATTTCAGGCTTCTATATTGCTGGGTAGTATAAAATAATGTGCAACTATTTTTTGATTTCTTTAGAAAACATTTTAAAAGTGCTTCCTCAAGAACAGGTGTTTTTATTTAAGACAAGATTCATTGTAGTAATCATTTTGAATGGCTCGATCTAGTCTCCTCATTGCCCTAAGACAATCTTTGCATTGGTCGAAAAGTGAGTAAGTGAGCAGATTTTCAAACTGGGATATGGTGATAAATATAGAAACAAAATGAGGAATTAGACATGAGAGACTGGACATAAACATATACATATGCAAATACAGACAGGTGTCCACCTTTTCCACTTCTATTTCCAGCTTTGTGCAAGGAAGGATGTAAAATATTTAGTAAAGGAGATATATGTGTTTGCATTCCTGCTCTGTCAAATATTAGCTGTGCATCCATTATTTAATTTACGTGAACCCCCCCTAGCATTTATAGAAAGTTTATCATGATAGCTATTTCAAAGGATAACTGGGGAAATTAGTATAAAGTTCCTGGAGTAGAGATCTTTCACTAAAATTGCAGCCTACACAACTTCCTCCTCCTCATTATTTCTTTTCATTTTAATTTTTTTTTTGAGACAGGCTCTCTCTCTGTTGCCCAGGCCCAGGCTGAAGTGTAGTGGTGTGATCTCAACTCACAACAACCTCCACCTCCTGGGCCCAAGCAATCCTCGTACCTCAGCCTCCTGAGTGTCTGGGATTATAGGCACGCATCATCACCCCTGTATAGTTTTTGTATTTTTTGTAGGGACAGGGTCTCACCATGTTGCCCAGGCTGTTCTGGAACTCCTGAGCTCAAGGGGTCCACCTGCCTCATCCTCCCAATGTGCTGGGATTACAGGTGTGAGCCACCATGCCCAGCCTCACATTATTTCAAGAAATAAAAAGTAGAAATCTTCATGCACATAATCAAAATGTAACTATCCAGCAATCCATTCTAACGATGAGGGTGAAGATGCTGTACTCTTCAGTTCCTAGTCAGGGGTGTCCAGGGTTCTTCTCCCACACGATTTGTCTCTATTTCCAGAATTTACACTTCATTTATTTCCCTCTCTGGCTTCTCAACAATATTTTTGGAGTTTGTTAACTGCATGACAATATCATGCTCTCAATCAGAGAATGTTTTGAAAAAATGAGTGCCCCTGTATCATGGCAGGTACATGTTATGAGTCATAATAACGTGCAGATGCTGTATCCACAGGGACTGCTGCTTTCACCGTACGAATGTCACGAAAACGTTATCCATTTCTTGCTAACACCACATCTGCTCTCCACTTCCCTGAATTAAGATTCTACAATTTCATAACGACTTATATTTTACTTAGTCCCAGAGTGACCATCTGATTGATCCTGTTTTTTGTTTGTTGGTTTGCTTTTGTTTGGTTTGGGTTTTGCTTTGTTTTTTTGTTTTGTTTCTGTATTTTACTTTGTCTTAAAAGGAAAAAAAATGTATTTCTTTATGAAAAAGACAAAGTTCAGTTAAGCCACTTTAATTTGGAATTTTTATATCAGTACCTAAGTTTTAAAATACAATCACTGCTTTCTTCTCTGAGATAGATGGGACTCTGACCAGCTGGCTCTAAATCCTACAGGACAAACACTTCAGCCCCATGATTACATGATGGAAATTGGCAAATAAGCAAAGATACAGATAACCCCATAATATCATCTCAGTGTGTCCGAGACTTTTTATTTATAGCATATTTCCCTCCTTAACTAAGTTTTAGTCCCTCTAATATGAAACAATTTCTAACACTGAGAGCACCCCATTTTATTCAAATGGGGTAAGTGGGACATAAAAAGATGCTTGGTGGCTGAGGGAGTTAGCCTGGTGCTTACATTTTGTTAGGATCAGTTCAGCAGTCACGTATTGCGTATCTACTTTGTGCCAAACACTAAACCTTCCCTGGTGGTGAATCTCAGTGTAGCCAGCATGTGCTGGGGCTTCACTCATGATAGGTCACAATACACCATTTCTAAGTCACTCTCCAAGCTTGTCTCAGAAAGGCAGGAATAGATACTTTATATCTTCCTTTTGACTATGTTCCTTATCTATGTTTCACTGCTTGTGAGACTCTTTTTTACAAATTTCGTAATAGTGTATCATGTGTGTACTGAGTATCATAGTAAAAAGATATTGTACCAATTTATTTAAGAAAACAGATTGTTTACCATGTCTTGCACCAACATCTGCTCTTCCCCAAATTCAGCACCCAGAAACAAGCACCTTTAATTTTTTACTTGTTTATTCACATCTTTATTTAAAGTGTAATTTCTATTTATAGATCTTCAATACAATCCTCAGCTCAAGAACTCCGCTCTGCTGAGTAACACTAACTCCAATTAAGATAAATTATAACTTCAGCCACTGAATGGTGACGGCAAGAACAGAGAGAGGAGTGTCTCACACAAGCACCTGGCGTTATGTTATCACTTTCCTTCTCTGGAGTCATACTTGGATTCAGTGTTAGAAACAAACAGGGGCTGGGTGCGGTAGCTCACTCCTGTAATCCTGCCACTTTGGGAGGCAGAGGTGGGCAGATCACCTGAGGTCAGGAGTTCGAGACCAGCCTGGCCAACATGGTGAACCCCATCTCCACTAAAAACACAAAAATTAGCTGCGCTTGGTGGTGGGCACCTGTAGTCCCAGGTAGTCAGGAGGCTGAGGGGCAGGAGAATCATTTGAATTCAGGAGGCAGAGGTTGCAGTGAGCCAAGATCACACCATTGCACTCTAGCCTGGGCAACAGAGCCAGACTCTGTCTCAAACAACAACAAAAAAAGACACAAACAGGGAAACACTGTCTTATAATACCCTCCCTCAATCTCCATTCCACTCTCACACTTAACCCAAACTTCTTCCAGATATTTTTTCCATTCTTTGTCAGTGCCACTTTCTCTCTTGTTCTTAATCTTCATATCAAGGTTTTGATGAACAATACTCAGTGCATCAGAAAGGCCATATTGTTTAGAAGGTAAACACATAGTCTTTAGAGTCCAAAAATGTGGTGGGAGTCCTAACTCTGCTATAAGGGTGACCCTGAAAAAGTTGTAAGTTTGTTATACACCCTCTAAAAACATGACAATAGACCTACCTTTCAGGATTGCATGAGAAAAAATCTATAAAAATCACCCAGAATAGGTATAAAATATTTTGAAATTTCCTATAATAAAACAATGTTGCTGAAGAGAAACCAATTTAAAAAAAAGTAGTTGTTGAAAGTAACAATAAATTCAGATTATGGCAGATCTATTCGCTATGAGTACCCTGGATTTCTCATCTAACTTTGACATTGATTTGTTACTCTTGATCAAGAAAATTTCTCTGTCCATTGATTGGTTAGTTCTATTTTGGGTTGTGCTACTATCTCTGAAATACAGAATAAGAAATTTATTTATGACTGTGGCAGGTACTGGAACCTTTGCATTAAAGATGCTTTTAGATGAGAGGAGAAGTGCAAAATTGTTAGGACATCAGACGTTCACTCCATAAAGATAAACAGTAGGCTCTGGTGTTTGCTAGATGTGAAATCTTGAGCAAGTTAATTAACCTCTTTAAGGCTCATCTGTAAAATGGGAATATTAGGATTGCTTCTTACTTTGTAGGACTTTTGTGTAAATTAAATGAAAAAACTCATGCAAAGAAGGTGCTTTAATATATTTGGAAGCCCTCATGTTTTTTCTATGACTATTATGGTGATAACAAAGATGATCACGATGGATGATGTCACGAAATGTCAAAAAATATTAACATATTCAGACAGCTTGGAGAATTCCTTCTTTGGTAGGGTCCGGCAATCTTGATTTTTAATTAAGGAGCTTACTTCTTCCATTGCCATGGATAACTAATCAGATTACTGATAATGATATATAGTGACTTTATTTTTCTACTAGAAAATAATTGGATCTGTCACCTGTTAATTATAACATTAGTTAAATATTTTGGAAGGTCATTAGAGGTAAACCACTGAGAGAAATACCTACTGCATTTATGTGGCATATTTCTGTGGATTGCAGATGGTGATGGCCTCTGCATAAAATTAGTCATTTATGACTTCAAATAGTGCCTCCATCCTCTGAGACTCCACATAAAATGAAATTTGAGCAACAAAACAGTACAAAGGACAAAGGAGATGAATGTTTGCTGTAGCTCTTTTTAAAAATAGGTAATCTTCATATTGCACAGAGGGGACGTTATCAAACCAGGCTATTAGAGGAGATAAATATAGACTTCAGATATACACTAGAGCTTTTTCAGTGCATCTTTATGCTCCTATCTCTTCCTTTCATGTTGTTATCCAGTCCATAAGGCATGAGCTGAGCCCACATCCTCTGGACATAGTGGTGCAAACAGCGCCCTAGTGGACAGGTAAATTACAGACCAGGGATAGCCATAGCAGCACTATTTTCAGGGTGGCTAAATAACATCTAGCTAATTCATCAATTCAGAATGGCTTCTGATAGCCATTTACAAAACCTTCCAACACCCCAATGTGTGCTCTATACCTGATTTAGCGGATAATAGAACCAGTGCTTAAGAGATTGAGTGATCTGTGGCCTAGCTCCACCTTTTTTGATACTAGCACCTAATAAAAGAGGAAACAAACACATATAAATAATTGCAAAATTGGGTTACAAACTGTGGCATATTTTTAATATTTACATTTTTAAATTAATGTTTTAATTCAAACAAAAATATGATTATTCAAAAGATAATTACAGGATTAATTAAAAACAATTTGTGGTGCAATTTAAATAATGTGAAGATTTTTATATCCTCTTTGGAAAAATGTCTATTCAAATCCTTTGCTAATTTAAAATTGAGCTATTTGTCTTTCTGTAACTGAGTAGTGAAAGTTACATATATTTTCTGGATATAAGTACTTTAACAGATGCATGATTTGTAAATATTTTCTCCCATTTTGTGTGTTACCTTTTCACTTTCTTGATGGTATTCATTGAGTTCACAAGTGGTTAATTTTGATGAAGTCCAATTGATCTACTTTTTGTCATCTGTGCTTTTTGTGTCTTATCTTAGAAAACTTTGTATAACCCAAAGTATAAAAGATTTATCCCTATGCTGTCTTCTAAGTGCTATATAGCTTTTACAGTTACATTTACATATTTGATCTATGTTGAGATAAATTTTATATATGGTTTGAGGTAGGATACGAATTCATTGTTTAGCTTGTGAATAGCATGTTGTTGCAGCAAAATCTATCGAAAAAAAACATTCTTTCCCTATGTGCCTTGGTACCCAGGTGAAATATCAACTGACCAGGTATATAAAGATTTATTTCTGCTTTTTTTTTCATTCTTGAGACATGGTATTGCTCTGTTGCCCAGGCTGGTGTGCAGTGGCACAATCACAGCTCACTGCAGCCTTGACCTTCTAGCTCAAGCGATCCTCTCACATCAAACTCTGGAGTAGTAACTGGAGTTAGCACACCCCACTATATCCAGCTTCTTTTTTAATTTTTAGGAGGGATGAGGTCTCGCTATGTTGCCCAGGCTAGCTTCAAATTCCTGAGCTCCAGTGATCCTCTTGCCTCAGCCTCCAAAACTGCTAGGACTACAGGCATGAGACACTGCACCCATCCATAAGGGTTTATTTCTGGACTTTCAAATCTATTCCTTTAATTTGCATGCCTACCTTCTATCAGCAGCACACTGTCTTTATTGCCATAGATGGGTAATAAGTTTCAAGTTAGGAAGTATGAGTTCTTCAACTTTTTTCTTCTGTTTAAAGGTTGTTTTGTTTTTTCTAGGACCCTTGCATTTTTGTATGACTTTTAGGATCAGCTCATCAATTTCTTAAAAAAAGGAATCTGGGAATTTGATAGACAGTGTGTTGAATCTGTAGATCAATTGGGGAAGTATTTCCATTTAAAGAAAGTAAAATATTCTTCCATTTACTTAGATCATCTGTAATTTCTTTCAACATTATTTTGAAAGTTTTAACGTACTTCTTAAACTTATTACTGAGAAATAAGTTTGATATTATTATAAATGGAATTATTTTCTTAATTTCATTATCAGATTGCCCATTGACAGCGTATGGAAATAGAATTGATTTTTGGAAATCTATCTTGCATCCTGCAACCTTACTGAACTCTTTTACTACTTCTAATAGTGTGTATGTATACAGTAAACTTTAGAACTCTCTATATACAAGATCATAGGGTTTGTAAATAGAAAACACTTTCTATCTCCTTTCTAATGTGGATGTCTTTTATTTCTTTTTCTTGTGTAAATGCACAAGAAAACTCCCGCAGTACAATGTTGAATAGATGTAGTGGATGTTTTTCTCTTCTCTTATATTGATCTTAGGAGGAAAACATTTAGTCATTCACTATTACATATTATGTTATCTGTTTGTTTACATAGATGTCCTATATCTGGTTGAGAAAGATCACTTCTATTTCTAATTTGATGAGTGTTTATTTTTCTAAAATAGTGTTTTGTTTTGTCAAATTATTTTCTTGCATCTATTCAGATGATCATGTGGGTTTTTTCTGTTAGTATGGTGTATTACTTTGATTTTTGGATGTTAAACTTGCATTTCTGAAATAAATCCCACTTGATGTTTTATGTCTCTTTTTTTTGATGTGCTGGATTTAGTTTCTTGGAACTGTTGAGGACATTTGTGTCTATATTTGTAAACAATATTAAACTGTTAGGGTTTTTTTTGAAAGTGTATTCACAAACCATTCCTGACTTTAGTATTTTGAGTTTTCTCTATTTTTTTCTTTTCTTATTCATTTCAGCTAAACGTTTGTCAATGGTGTTAATCATTTCATAGAACCAAATTTGGTTTCAGTGACTTTATTGATTTACTATTCTGCATTTTATTAATCTATGCTGTAATCAACATTATTTTATTCTTTCTACTTCTTTGGGGTTTATTTCATTCTTATTATTCTGGTTCACTAAAGCAGAAGATTAGGCTCTTGATTTCAGTAATTTCTTTTTTTTTTGAACTAAAGACATTTACAGCTATTAAGTTTTCTTTAAACACTAATGTAATTATGTTCCATACAATTTTTTATTTTTTGTTTTCATTGTCTTTCATCTCAAATTGTTTTCTATTTCTCTGGTAATTTTTTAATTTAACCCATTAGTTATTTATTACTCTGTTGTTTAATGTCTACATATTTATGACTTTCTGTTATTTTTTACCTCTATTATTGATAAAATAATTTCTATTATTATTATTATTATTTTTTGGAGACAGAATCTCACTGTGTCACCCAAACTGGAGTGCAGTGACACGATCACAGCTCACCACAACCTCCACCTCCTGGGATCAAGCAAGTCTCCTGCCTCAGCCTCTGGAGTAGCTGGGATTACAGACACCCACCACCATGCCCGGCTAATTTTTGTAGTTTTAGTAGAGACGTAGTTTCACCATGTTGGCCAGGCTGGTCTCAAACTCCTGACCTCAGGTGATCTGCCCACCTCGGCCTCTCAAAGCGCAAAGTGCTGGGATTACAGGCATAAGCCACCACGCTCAGCCTGTTATTCATTTTTAATTGAATTCTATTGCTGTTAGAAAACATATCTTGTATGATTTTAATCATTTTAAATTTATTGAAGGTTATTTTATTCCCTAACATAATTGTGCTTGCCCCACCCCTTCTCAGGCTTGGCATAGCCTTAAATACTACAATCCACGTGCTCAGTATGGGACCCTGAACCTAATTCTGGAGGAAGCAGAGCAGAAATTATTCTCAAATATTCATGTCTGTTTGTCTTACCCTGTCTGATGATTATCTGAAGGACATGACTTTGTTTCAGCTAGCTTGGAACTCACTCTGAATGGAAAAGCTGCAGGCTTTTTTCAAAAACTTTTCTAAGGCAAATATACAACATACAGTCACTAGAAGATAAGGTTTACAATACAGGTAAACAACAGGGTGCCTAAGCCCAGGACGAAATATTGAGACTTTCTTTTGAAAATTAGGGTGTTCAAAAGTATCTGTGCCTCGCTTATTTCACTTAACATATTATCCTCCAGGTCCATCCACTTTGTGTGGCAAATGACAGAATTTTTTTTAATGGCTGAGTAATATTTTATTCCATAATGTGACAAAAATATACCACATTTTTGCACAGTAGGATGACTTCAGTTAACACTACTGTATATTTCTGAAAAGAGGATTTGGAATGTTCTTACCATAAAGAAATGATAAATGTTTGAGGTGACAGATATGCTAAATATCCTGATTTGCTCATTACACAATATGTACATGTATTTGAAACATCACACCATAGACATAAACAATATGTGCCAATTAAAAATAAAATAAAGCTAAAACATTGTATATACTGTGAAATTTAGAAAATCACACACATGCCCCAGACAGGGCCCATGCTCAAGGCCTGATAAGACCCTAAACTTTCACCTCTGGCTAATCTGTAATCACAATGCAAGCAGAAAGTGAAAGGTAAGGAAGAGTTGTAAACATCATAGATAGTGACAGAGTACCCCAGAGCAGAGTCAATCTGTAAAGACTGAGAGAGGTGGTTTTCTTCCTTCTTTTATTTTCTTCTTTCTATCCCTCTTCTTTTTCATTTTTCCATTTTTTTTGGTGGGGGATGTGGCTGGGGTGCTCCTGACATTCAAGGAAATCTTTGTCAACAAACTAGCTGAACAGAAGCTTAAAGAAAAGATTTCAGAGATTACCACTACAGGAAATACAGATTTTACAAAACTATCTTAGAAAAGTCACTGAACAAACAAGCAGCTACAGCCTGCAGCAAACAACAAAAATAAATCCCGAGGAAGGGAAAGAACAGAATCTGATATCCAAAGTTACTATATCATAATATTCAAAATATTCAGTTCAAACAAAAAAAAAAACTATAAAAAGAAGCAAGAAAATATAATCCATCCACAGAATAAATTAATAGAAGTTGTCCGTGGGGAAGCACAGGTATTGTACTTACTAATAAAGACTTTAAGTGTCCTAAATATTCTCAAAGAGCTGAGGAGACCATGAAAAAAAGAGTAAAAGAAATCCAGGAGAATAATGTATTAATAAATAGAGAATATAAATAGAGACTAAAACTATAAAAAAGGAACCAAACAAAAATTCTGGAGTTGAAAATGCAATAATTCCCATGATAAACTCATTAGAGGATTATAATAGCAGATTTGAGCAGGTAGAAGAAAGAATCAGTATATTTCAGAATAGCTGATTAGAAGCTAGGTCAATTAAAATTCTCCAATTTGAGGAAAGAAAGAAGAAAAATGAGAAAAATTAATACAGCCTAAGAGATCTGTAAGAGAGTATCAAGTGTAGCAACATCTATATAATGAGAATTCTAAGACAGAAAAGAGAGAAAGGGGCAGAAGTAATATTTCAAGAAATGTGACCTAAAACTTTTTTAATTTGATGAGACTTAAATCTATACATTCATGATGAATAAACCCCAAAGAAGGATAAACACAAAGAGGTATGTACCCAGACATATTACAGTCAATGTATTGAAAGATAAAAAGAATATTGGAAGTACAGATTCATCAAGTACAATGAGTTCTCAATGAAAGTAATAGCAAATTCTCAGAAAACCATGGAGGCCAAAAAAGAGTGATGAAAGAAAATTTAAAAAAAAACAGCTATCAACCAAGAAATACATATCCATCAAAACTACTCTTCAATAATAAAGAAGAAATGAAGACATTACCAGATAGAGAGAAGCTGAGAGACTTGATGCTAACAAATCTGCCCTACAAGACATGCTAAAATTAGTCCCTCGGGATGAAATAAAGGACACTAAAAGTAACTCAAAGGCACATATAAAGAACTTCAGTAAAGGTAACTAAACAGATTAAAATAAAAGCCACTATTATTGTAATTTTGTTGGTAACTCCTCTTATTTCCTGTATGACTTAAAAGACAAAAACATAAAAGAATTATAAATATAAATTAATGGAAAATTTGTAAATGTATAATTTTTGAGAATAACAATGTAAGAGGGGAAACTAGGTATATAGGAACAAAGTTTTCTAGGTTTTTTTGGTACAAATTCAAAATAGATTGTTATAAATTTTAGATGTTAAATTGTAATTCACATGGTAACCACTAAAAAATATCTAAAAACATACACAAAGGGAAATTAAAAGGAAATCAAAAAAGTACACAATAAAAATTCAATTTAATACAAAAGAAGGAAAAGAGGGCAGTAATGGAGGAAATGAAGAACAAAAAAAAGGTATATGACATATAGAAAAGAAATAGCAAAATCACTCTTCCTTATCAGTATTTCAAATGTAAATGCATCAAACTTTCAAATCAAAGACAGAGATTTCCTAAAGAACTTGAAAAAAAAATGAACAAAACATGATTCTGCTGTATGTTGTCTACAAAGATTCACACTGGATACCAAAGAAGTCTTCAGATGATTAGAAGCGTTTTTCAAATATTATCTTCTAGAATTTTTATGATTTCAGTCTTAGAGTTAAGTCTTTGATCCATCTTGAGTTGATTTTTGTCTAAGGTGAGAGATGAGGATCCAGTTTCATTCTTCTATGTGTGGCTTGCCAATTATCCCAGCAACATTTCATGAATAGGGTGTCCTTATCTTACTTTGTGTTTTTGTTTGCTTTGTTGAACATCAGTTGACTGTAAGTATTTGGCTTATTTCTGGGTTCTCTATTCTGTTCCATTGGTCTATATGCCTGTTTTTATATGAGTGCCATGCTGTTTTGGTGACTATGGCCTTATAGCATAGTTTGAAGTCGGGTAATGTAATGCCTCCAGATTTGTTCTTTTTGCTTAGTTTTGTCTTGGCTATGTGGGCTTTCTTGTTTCCATATAAATTTAGGATTGTTTTTCCCAGTTCTGCAAAGAATGATGGTGGTATTTTGATAAGAATTGCATTGAATTTGTAGATTGCTTTTGGCAGTATGGTCATTTTCACAATATTGACTCTACCCATCCATGAGCATGGGATGTTTCCATTTGTTTGTGTCATCTGTAATTTCTTTCAGCAATGCTTTGCAGTTTTCCTTATAGAGGTCTTTTACCTCCTTGGTTAAGTATATTCCTAACTATTTTTGTTTGTTTGTTTTGCAGCTATTCTAAACTGGGTTGAATTCAAGATCAGGAGAGAGTTTGTCTCTAGAACTCTGAGCCTTCTGTCTAGTATGGTCAGAGAGTAGACAGATCTTTCCACTTCAACAAGGATTGAACTCTTAAAGGTCTGCGGTGCTCCATCTCCATTGATGGCCCCAGCTCAGTAACTGCCTGGTATGTTTCCTGTGTGAAATCAGTTCTTGTAAGCAGAGCATTCTGAATAAAGTTGGAAAAAGAAAAGCTTTGCTTTGCAAAGACTGATGACAGACTGGTCCCCCACAGACCTAGGCTATCCTTCACCCCTTTTTTTCCAGAGACAGGGCCTAGAATGAAGGCAGTTTTTTCTATGTCACTGAAGCCTGGAGATTTGCTTTGGCTCCTTGAGGTGGAAGAGGCTAAGTGGGCAGCTGCCACAGCAGCTCTGTGTGTTCATCCTGGCTCTTCTCAGGCTTCCTGATCCCTTTCATTGTACCATGTCTTATCTCTCAGCCAACCAAATGGCCTCCCCACTCCTGACCAGCAGATAAGTTTTGGAGTGGTTGGCATGGTTTTGCAATTAGGGCAGCTCATGGTGACCAAGGCAGCAAGTCAGGTTTCACAGGCTGACTCCACCTTTCGTTCCCTACGGGAATGGCAGGCCAGGCCCGGCAAGCCATGTCCCACTATGTCCTCCCCTCGGGAGGAAAGGCCAGCTGCCAGTTAAGTCAGCAACTAGTCCATAGCACAGCCTTGTAAGTGTGTGAAGCCAGGAATTGCCTGTAAGCAGAGCTGGAACCAGAGCTTCAGTTAGTAAGAGGAAGGATTACCTTCAGGAGTAGTCAAGGAAGAAGACTGGCTGCTGTCTTTACAGTTCCACTGCCCTAACCAAGTGTCCACAGTCTAAATGTATAGTGTCCATCCCTCACGTAATAGAGGTTTCCGGCCCAAAGTGAGACTACCCCTTCAATTAGAAAAGGGTATAGGGATAGTCCATGTGGGAAGGCCAGAAGTGCCAGTTGCTCAACCATTGGGAACACCTGCTCTTGCCCCACTACCTTCTAGAGAGGACCAAAGGAAAGGTCTGTGGATTGAGGATGTGGCAGGAACTGGTCCTTTCACCCACCTCTGGTCAAAACGAGGCTCTGCCTGATGTGTGCCTGTCACCATCCACCAGCAGCTATGTCCTAGCCTTCCCAGATGGAGAAGTGGTGGCCCAAATTTTAAAACAAAAGAAAACATGAAGGTGTATTGTTTTTGGGGGGAGGTGAAAGGGGAGATAAGAAAATGGTTTGGTAAAAGTGTTCCTATTTCTCTGCATCCTCTCCAGCACCTGTTGTTTCCTGACTTTTTAATGATTGCCATTCTAACTGGTGTGAGATGATATCTCATAGTGGTTTTGATTTGCATTTCTCTGATGGCCAGTGATGACGAGCATTTCTTCATGTGTTTTTTGGCTGCATAAATGTCTTCTTTTGAGAAGTGTCTGTTCATGTCCTTCGCCCACTTTTTGATGGGGTTGTTTGTTTTTTTCTTGTAAATTTGTTTGAGTTCATTGTAGATTCTGGATATTAGCCCTTTGTACTGTTGGTGGGACTGTAAACTAGTTCAACCATTGTGGAAGTCAGTGTGGCGATTCCTCAGGGATCTAGAACTAGAAATACCATTTGACCCAGCCATCCCATTACTGGGTATATACCCAAACGAGTATAAATCATGCTGCTATAAAGACACATGCACACGTATGTTTATTGCGGCACTATTCACAATAGCAAAGACTTGGAACCAACCCAAATGTCCAACAATGATAGACTGGATTAAGAAAATGTGGCACATATACACCATGGAATACTATGCAGCCATAAAAAATGATGAGTTCATATCCTTTGTAGGGACATGGATGAAATTGGAAACCATCATTCTCAGTAAACTATCGCAAGAACAAAAAACCAAACACCGCATATTCTCACTCATAGGTGGGAATTGAACAATGAGATCACATGGACACAGGAAGGGGAATATCACACTCTGGGGACTGTGGTGGGGTCGGGGGAGGGGGGAGGGATAGCATTGGGAGATATACCTAATGCTAGATGACACATTAGTGGGTGCAGCGCACCAGCATGGCACATGTATACATATGTAACTAACCTGCACAATGTGCACATGTACCCTAAAACTTAGAGTATAATAAAAAAAAAAAAGAAAGAAAATGGTTTGGATTTTGTGTGTTGTTATTTTTTGGGGATAGTTGTCTGTAAGTTTCCTTAAGTGCTTTTATTTCCCTATCCTGTCTTGTCTTTTCTTTTTTTTTTTTTTTTTTAAGTAAGTTGCAGGCTTTGGCTAGGAAAAACCCAGGGAGTTGGGGGCAAAAACCTGAGGCTGCTGTCCCTTTATCTGCCTTAACGGTAGTGTCCCCTTCCCTCAATTTCTCCCTGACCACATAGGTTGGGCCTCAGGCCTTCCAGCTAACTGCTTCCCATAAGGCTCTGCTATGATGTCAACCTATAACCAAAGGAGCTGGGTGTCCAGGCCTGGTGACCAACTCTTCTCCGCCCACTCAATGAAGGTGCTCCCCACCAGCAGGCAGGAGGCAATGCCCTATCTGCTACCAACAGCCCCTTCCAGAGCCCACCTGTCCCAACCAGCCTTGCCCTGCCATTCCCTGCTCTGCCCATCTTGGGGTACCCTACTCAGGGTTGGGCTGGCAGGGCTGCACCAAGCCTCTCTCATAAGCAGAAACTCAAGAAACCTCTGGGGTCCTACTTTCTGGTCATGTGATCCCAGGGGTACACATGGGCCATCTGGGTGCCTGAACAGAAAAGCATGGAAGGGAGAGTCGCACCTCTGCTGTCTTGCTTTGCTGGTTTAGCGGGCAGTTGCCCGCCCCCACCCCACACTGCACCTTGGGCTCCTGAGTCAGCAGATTAAGCATTTTATAAATTGTATTTTAAATATATGTTTTAAACTTGTCAAAAAAGAACCTGCAAAAAATGAACAAACAAACCCTACCAGAGTTAATAAACAAGTTCAGCAAAGTTCCAGGGTGCAAGATCAGCACACAGAAATCAGCTGTGTTTCCATAGATGAACAATAAACAATCCAAAAAGGAAATATTAAAAATTCCACTTGCAATAGCATCTGAAGAACAAAATACCCTCTAAGAATAAAGTTAATAAAGGGACTAAAAGACTTGTACACTGAAAACTACAAAATATTGCTGAAAGAAATTAAAGGAGACCAAACTAAATGAATGAAAATGTATCCCATACTCATGAATTGGAAAACTTAATATTCTTAAGTTGTCTATTCATTTTTTGATGATGTCTTTTGATGCACAAAAGTTTTAAATTTTTATGAAGTTCAATTTAGTTTGTCTTCTGTTGTTTATAATTTTGATGTCATATCTAAGAATTCATTGGCAAACATAAGGTCATGAAGAGGTGGAGTAATCATTCAATTGAATATTATTCACCCATAAAAAATGAAACACTGATATGTCCTACTGCATCCTCAAAAACATTATGCTATGTGAAAGAAGCCACGTACAAAGATCAAATATTCTATGTTTACATTCATATGAAATATTCAGAATAACAGAACTCATATTAATAGAGAGCAGAATTGTGGTTGCCATGGGCTGGGAAGATGGGGGAATAAAGATAACTGCTTAATGAGTACTGGGTTTCATTTAAGATGAGGAAAATATTTTGGGATTTAAAAGAGGTGGTTGCACAGCATTCTGAATGTAATAAATGATCCTGAGTTTTACACTTTACAATGGTTGATTTTACCTTCTATAAAATTTAACCTCATTTATTAAAAGAAGTTAGGTATTGAAGCTGAACTCTCCAACTATTATTGCTATATCACTGATTTCTTCTTTCGATTCTGTCAGTATACCTTCATGTATTCTGGTGCCCAGCTGTTAGGCATATATATATGATTGCTATATTTTCCTGAAGGAATTAATGTACCATTGTAAAATTTTATTTTGTCACCTTTGTAACATTAATAACAGCATTTGTCTTAAAGTCAATTTTGTCTTATGTTAGTATAGCTACTCCACACTTTTTAAAAAATTTTTGCATGGCATAAGTTTTTCCATCCATTTAATTTTAATCTAGTTGTGTCTTTAAATCTAAAATGGGTGTCTTATACCCCAGTATGGTTGAATCACATTTTTTTTCATTCTTTCACTCTGTCTTTATGGGTATTTAGTCTATTTATATTAAATGAAGAATTTCTATTTGACATCTTCTATTTGTTTCCTTTATGCTGTACGATTCTTGTTTGGTTGTGTTTTTTTGTGTGTTTTTCAGCTATTGCTGCCCTCTTTTGTGTTCAATAGCTATTTTCTAGTCTAACATTTTAATTGCTTGTTGTTTACTTTACTATATGTTTTGGTCACTTTCATAATGGTTGCCCTGGGGTTAGAAGGATTTTATTTAGCTGATTTGTATAAAATGTTGCTTCCAGATTTTCTGCAAGAGTTCCCTATGATATTTAGTTTCCTTTGATTCATTTCAGAATAATCAAGTTTTCTGCAAGTTTGCAAGTTTAATGATATGCCTTTCGGTCAGTCTAGCAAATGCCCAGATACTTTGTTTGTGTGTTTTGTTTTGGTGACTGAAAACTGAGTTAGTTGTGAGTCTTTGATTTTATGGCTCTCTTCTGTCCTAACGATCCTGTTTTTATTCTTTTTTTGTGCTGTGCCCTTTACCACCCAATTGCCAAAGTTACTTTTTTTTTTTTTGGCTTATTTTTCTCCCCCAGAAGCTATAGGTTTACAAGACTGCCTCTTAAATTGTCCCTGTCCTTTTAAATCAAATGTACCTCTTTACGTAGAGTGGGTCTCCTAAAAATCTCACTTGGCTCTTTCCATGGAGTCTGCCTGTTTAAATATAGCACCTCAGGCCCTTTATTTGATGTTTACTTTGAATCACAAATACTTTTAAATCCTTTCTGTGTAGTAGTGTTCTGATCTGCCATGTTACTTTTTTGGTACGTTTAGAGTTAAGGAGGATAAAATTTTTCCTGGTGGTTGCTTCAACTCACCCTCCAGCCCCTTTACTAGCTCATTCCTTTGTCTTCCCTCCGGCTTGCCTAGGACTGCCTTTGCATTCTGCAGAATCTTGCCTATGGTGGCAGCAGGGAGAGAGGGCGTAGGACCCTGGCTCAGGGATTTGGTGAATTTACCCTTCATACTTAGTTATTTTGTGGTTTTCACTTTCTCCATCTTCAAGCAGTACTGTTACTGTGGGTTTTCCTGGAAGTTTCCCAGGTATAAATGATATTCTGTATAGTTTGAAGAGGAAGTTTGGAAAGGATGTTTTCTAAACTACCACCATTGACTACAGCCATCCCAAAATTTCAGATTACAAGTTTTAAACAAAGATCTTTGGGATATGTCACAGATTTGGGAAAGTAGTTTGTGATGGTCCTCAGGCTACAATAAAACCATCTCTTCTCTCTGTCCCTCTTGTCCTCTTCTCCATGTGTTCTCAGCTCCCCTCTCTCTACCTATTAGCCAGCTTTTTCTACACGGCCAAAACCAGGACCACTTCCTGAGTATTACCACTATAATATCAATGTATTCATATCATCTCTTTGTTCCCTGGAGACTGGCCTAACACTCTTCATGTTTCTCAGTCCCTAAAGCATAGAGAAGAGATTCATTCATGCAACTTGTGTCAGTCACCCCATCCTTAAACAAAGGAAACTTCACCAGGGGAATGGGTTATATATAAATGTCATCTACTTGGAAATTGTATTTTATAAACCAGATAGTATCGGAGGGTATCATTTTAGAAAATACTTCATTGTTTTCGCCATGAAATCAAGTATTAAAAGTCAGGCAAAATAATTAAATGGCCATTATAACCATATATATGAAGAAAAGCCTTGCATCAAATAAAAGGAGTGTACCTTCATATAAAACCACAAGAAGAAAAAATAACTTTGATCCTACAGTCTCATTCTCAGCTCCAATGTGAGTAGCCTTTCTCCTGCATTTTATTCTATTTCAATTCTCCTCACACTGCGATACTCGATGAATTTCTCCCCTGTTCCCAGAAGCTTTCACCAAGTACTATATACAGAGCTGTCAATCTCTTCCCCAAGAATGCATAATAATGATTTGCACATTGCATTCCTTGATGATGGGATGCATTTATTGTCCATTACTTTTTTGTCATATAACTCATCTATTATAGATTATAAGCTCCCTAAAAATCTAGTAAGAATTATTATCTATTACCATAGTTAAGAAACAAATATCCTTCCCATATATTCAACAATTTGTATCATGAACCTTGCGAAACTCTGGGTAATCCTATATTAGGGAACATATTTTAGAAAGGAGATGTTGTTTACATGGTATTATAAATATTGCTTATATGTATTATAAGTATTGCCTATATGAAGCACACTAAATAGCCCCACAGCAAGCAGGATAGTTAAGTTCCACAGTAATAGACTCTTTGCCAAGATACAAAAGAGCTCCTAATCTCTGAATAATACCCTCAGGAATCATCTCAAGCTAAGTGATCAAATTCAACGTTTGTCACATACAAGACGGCGTTTTGTCCACCCCAAAGTATTGTACTAATTATGAGCATGGAGTAGGGAGATCTATACCCCATTTCTTCTATTATCTATATAGGGCTCTTCTCAAAAGAGAAAGTTAAAAGAAGCATTCCTTATTTTCCAGGAAACAAAATGAAGTTTGTTTTCAACACAGATTTTTAATACTGAGGCTTGTCAAGTCATGCATTAAAAACAACTAGCAGCCAGGCACAGTGGCTCACGTCTGTAATCCCCGCACTTTGGGAGTCCAAGGCAGGCAGATCACAAGGTAAGAAGTTTGAGACCATCCTGGCCAGCATGATGACACCCCTTCTCTACTAAAAATACACAAATTAGCTTGGCATGGTGGTGCATACCTGTAGTCCCAGCTACTTGGGAGGCTGAGGCAGAATTGCTTGAACACCGGAGGCAGAGGTTGCAGTAAGCCAAAACTGCACCATTGCACTCCAGCCTGGGTGACAGAGCGAGACTCCATCTCAAAAAAAACAAACAAACAAACTACTAACATACAAGCTCACTAATTTTGACGAAAGTAATAACCAGCTTGAATGTGTAAAAACTCAGAATTATGAATAGTATTTTTAAAAGGTGAAATAACTTGAATCTGATTAATGCTCTAAAAAACAAACATTCCTTAGCAAACTAATAGTGACGATTTGGCATTAGCCTATTTGTTGTTAGTATGTAAACAATGATCGCTGCATGGCTAAAAATAGCTCGTTCTTTGAAATAAGTTAAATTTTCCCTTTTTAGGAATATACACAGTATTGTTTATTGACCATTATCACATTTTCTTGAATATATGCAGTAAAGTTTAAGGTGACATTCTCATTTAATCATTGCATGCCTTCATGAGGTAAGTAAAACTACTTACTTTAATAGACCAAATGGTAAAAGGTTAAAGGTATTTTGTGACTACCCAAGGACAGGGGTATGCAGGGATTGGGGCTAGAAATTGATAAAATCAAGTTCTTTCTCATAATTAAGCTAAGCTTTGACAAAAATTTATGAAGCCTAAGTCAATGAAGTCTGAATAAATAAGGCTATTTTAAAAGATATACAGATAGATTACAAAGACAAAAATCTTCTCTCTATGTTAATTCTTAAAGTTCTTAGGGACTTGCAATACGAAATGCTAGGAAGTAGGATGAAGGAGTCTATCTCCTTTCATTTTGACTGGCCTGGACTGCACTATAAAATTTACCAATTCTTTATTTGTTGCCTAATCTAACTTATAAAGTATAATATATGTTAAAGGCCTTTTCTGCATCTATTGAGATAATCATGTGGTTTTTGTCTTTGGCTCTGTTTATATGCTGGATTACATTTATTGATTTGCGTATATTGAACCAGCCTTGCATCCCAGGGATGAAGCCCACTTGATCATGGTGGATAAGCTTTTTGATGTGCTGCTGGATTCGGTTTGCCAGTATTTTATTGAGGATTTTTGCATCAATGTTCATCAAGGATATTGGTCTAAAATTCTCTTTTTTTGTTGTGTCTCTGCCCGGCTTTGGTATCAGGATGATGCTGGCCTCATAAAATGAGTTAGGGAAGATTCCCTCTTTTTCTATTGATTGGAATAGTTTCAGAAGGAATGGTACCAGTTTCTCCTTGTACCTCTGGTAGAATTCGGCTGTGAATCCTTCTGGTCCTGGACTCTTTTTGGTTGGTAAGCTATTGATTATTGCCACAATTTCAGAGCCTGTTATTGGTCTATTCAGAGATTCCACTTCTTCCTGGTTTAGTCTTGGGAGGGTGTTATGTGTCGAGGAATTTATCCATTTCTTCTAGATTTTCTAGTTTATTTGTGTAGAGGTGTTTGTAGTATTCTCTGATGGTAGTTTGTATTTCTGTGGGAACGGTGGTGATATCCCCTTTATCATTTTTTTATTGCGTCTATTTGATTCTTCTCTCTTTTCTTCTTTATTAGTCTTGCTAGCGGTCTATCAATTTTGTTGATCCTTTCAAAAAACCAGCTCCTGGATTCATTAATTTTTTGAAGGGTTTTTTGTGTCTCTATTTCCTTCAGTTCTGCTCTGATTTTAGTTATTTCTTGCCTTCTGCTAGCTTTTGAATGTGTTTGCTCTTGCTTTTCTAGTTCTTTTAATTGTGATGTTAGGGTGTCAATTTTGGATCTTTCCTGCTTTCTCTTGTGGGCATTTAGTGCTACAAATTTCCCTCTACACACTGCTTTGAATGTGTCCCAGAGATTCTGGTATGTTGTGTCTTTGTTCTAGGTTTCAAAGAACATCTTTATTTCTGCCTTCATTTTGTTATGTACCCAGTAGTCATTCAGGAGCACGTTGTTCAGTTTCCATGTAGTTGAGCGGTTTTGAGTGAGTTTCTTAGTCCTGAATTCTACTTTGATTGCACTGTGGTCTGAGAGATAGTTTGTTATAATTTCTGTTCTTTTACATTTGCTGAGGAGAGCTTTACTTCCAAGTGTGTGGTCAATTTTGGAATAGGTGTGGTGTGGTGCTGAAAAAAATGTATATTCTGTTGATTTGGGGTGGAGAGTTCTGTAGATGTCTATTAGGTATGTTTGGTGCAGAGCTGAGTTCAATTCCTAGGTATCCTTTTTAATTTCTGTCTCATTGATCTGTCTAATGTTGACAGTGGGGTGTTAAAGTCTCCCATTATTATTGTGTGGGAGTCTAAGTCTCTTTGTAGGTCACTCAGGACTTGCTTTATGAATCTGGGTGCTCCTGTATTGGGTGCATATATATTTAGGATACTTAGCTCTTCTTGTTAAATTGATCCCTTTACCATTATGTAATGGCATTCTTTGTCTCTTTTGATCTTTGTTGGTTTAAAGTCTGTTTTATCAGAGACTAGGATTGCAACACCTGCCTTTTCTTGTTTTCCATTTGCTTGGTAGATCTTCTTCCATCCTTTTATTTTGAGCCTACGTGTCTCTCTGCACGTGAGACGGGTTTCCTGAATACAGCACACTGATGGGTCTTGACTCTTTATCCAATTTGCCAGTCTGTGTCTTTCAATTGGAGCATTTTGTCCATTTACATTTAAAGTTAATATTGTTATGTGTGAATTTGATCCTGTCATTATGATGTTAGCTGGTTATTTTGCTTGTTAGTTGATGCAGTTTCTTCCTAGCCTCGATGGTCTTTGCAATTTGGCATGATTTTGCAGCGGCTGGTACCGGTTGTTCCTTTCCATGTTTAGTGCTTCCTTCAGGAGCTCTTTTAGGGCAGGCCTGGTGGTGACAAAATCTCTCAGCATTTGCTTGTCTGTAAAGTATTTTATTTCTCCTTCACTTATGAAGCTTAGTTTGGCTGGATATGAAATTCTGGGTTGAAAATTCTTTTCTTTAAGAATGTTGAATATTGGCCCCCACTCTCTTCTGGCTTGTAGAGTTTCTGCCAAGAGATCAGCTGTTAGTCTGATGGGCTTCCCTTTGTGGGTAACCTGACCTTTCTCTCTGGCTGCCCTTAACATTTTTTCCTTCATTTCAACTTTGGTGAATCTGACAGTTATGTGTCTTGGATTTGCTCTTCTCGAGGAGTATCTTTGTGGCGTTCTCTGTATTTCCTGAATCTGAATGTTGGCCTGCCTTGCTAGACTGGGGAAGTTCTCCTGGATAATACCCTGCAGAGTGTTTTCCAACTTGGTTCCATTCTCCCCGTCACTTTCAGGTACACCAATCAGACGTAGATTTGGTCTTTTCACATAGTCCCATATTTCTTGGTGTCTTTGTTCGTTTCTTTTTATTCTTTTTTCTCTAAACTTCCCTTCTTGCTTCATTTCATTCATTTCATCTTCCATCACTGATACCCTTTCTTCCAGTTGATTGCATCGACTCCTGAGGCTTCTGCATTCTTCACGTAGTTCTCGAGCCTTGGCTTTCAGCTCCATCAGCTCCTTTAAGCACTTCTCTGTATTGGTTATTCTAGTTATACATTCGTCTAAATATTTTTCAAAGTTTTTAACTTCTTTGCCTTTGGTTTGAATTTCCCCCTGTAGTTCGGAGTAGTTTGATCATCTGAAGCCTTCTTCTCTCAGCTCGTCAAAGTCATTCTCTGTCCAGCTTTGTTCCGTTGCTGGTGAGGACCTGCATTCCTTTGGAGGAGGAGAGGTGCTCTGCTTTTTAGAGTTTCCAGTTTTTCTGCTCTGTTTTTTCCCCATCTTTGTGGTTTCATCTACTTTTGGTCTTTGATGTTGGTGATGTACAGATGGGTTTTTGGTGTGGATGTCCTTTCTGTTTGTTAGTATTCCTTCTAACAGACAGGACCCTCAGCGGCAGGTATTCAACAACCCTTCATGCTAAAAACTCTCAATAAATTAGCTATTGATGGGACGTATCTCAAAATAATAAGAGCTATCTATGACAAACCCACAGCCAAGATCATACCAAATGGGCAAAAACTGGAAGCATTCCCTTTGAAAACTGGCACAAGACAGGGATGCCCTCTCTCACCACTCCTATTCAACATAGTGTTGGAAGTTCTGGCCAGGGCAATTAGGCAGGGGAAGGAAATAAAGGTATTCAATTAGGAAAAGAGGAGGTCAAATTGTCCCTGTTTGCATATGACATGATTGTATATCTAGAAAACCCCATTGTCTCAGCCCCAAATCTCCTTAAGCTGATAAGCAACTTCAGCAAAGTCTCAGGATACAAAATCAATGTGCAAAAATCACAAGCATTCTTATACACCAATAACAGACAAACAGAGAGCCAAATCATGAGTGAACTCCCATTCACAATTGCTTCAAAGAGAATAAAATACCTAGGAATCCAACTTACAAGGGATGTGAAGGACCTCTTCAAGGAGAACTACAAACCACTGCTCAATGAAATAAAAGAGGATACAAACAAATGGAAGAACATTCCATGCTCATGGGTAGGAAGAATCAATATCATGAAAATGGCCATACTGCCCAAGGTAATTTATAGATGCCATCCCCATCAAGCTACCAATGACTTTCTTCACAGAACTGGAAAAAACTACTTTAAAGTTCATATGGAACCAAAAAAGAGCCCGCATTGCCAAGTCAATCCTAAGCCAAAAGAACAAAGCTAGAGGCATCACACTACCTGACTTCAAACTATACTACAAGGCTACAGTAACCAAAACTGCATGGTACTGGTACCAAAACAGAGATATAGATGAATGGAACAGAACAGAGCCCTCAGAAATAACGCCACATATCTACAACTATCTAATCTTTGACAAACCTGAGAAAAACAAGCAATGGGGAAAGGATTCCCTATTTAATAAATGGTGCTGGGAAAACTGGCTAGCCATATGTAGAAAGCTGAAACTGGATCCCCTCCTTACACCTTATACAAAAATTAATTCAAGATGGATTAAAGACTTAAACATTAGACCTAAAACCATAAAAATCCTAGAGGAAAACCTAGGCATTACCATTCAGGACATAGGCATGGGCAAGGACTTCATGTCTAAAACACCAAAAGCAATGGCAACAAAAGCCAAAATTGACAAATGGGATCTCATTAAACTAAAGAGCTTCTGCACAGCAAAAGAAACTACCGTCAGAGTGAACAGGCAACCTACAAAATGGGAGAAAATTTTTGCAACCTACTCATCTGACAAAGGGCTAATATCCAGAATCTACAACGAACTCAAACAAATTTACAAGAAAAAAACAAACAACCACATCAAAAAGTGGGCAAAGGACATGAACAGACACTTCTCAAAAGAAGACATTTATGCAGCCAAAAAACACATGAAAAAATGCTCATCATCACTGGCCATCAGAGAAATGCAAATGAAAAGCACAATGAGATACCATCTCACACCAGTTAGAATGGCGATCATTAAAATGTCAGGAAACAACAGGTGCTGGAGAGGATGTGGAGAAATATGAACACTTTTACACTGTTGGGGGGACTGTAAACTAGTTCAACCATTGTGGAAGTCAGTGTGGCGATTCCTCAGGGATCTAGAACTAGAAATACCATTTGACCCAGCCATCCCTTTACTGGTATATACCCAAAGGACTATAAATCATGCTGCTATAAAGACACATGCACATGTATGTTTATCGCGGCACTATTCACAATAGCAAAGACTTGGAACCAACCCAAATGTCCAACAATGATAGACTGGATTAAGAAAATGTGGCACATATACACCATGGAATACTACACAGCCATAAAAAATGATGGGTTCATGTCCTTTGTAGGGACATGGATGAAATTGGAAATCATCATTCTCAGTAAACTATCGCAAGAACAAAAAACCAAACACTGCATATTCTCACTCATAGGTGGGAATTGAACAATGAGAACACATGGACACAGGAAGGGGAACATCACACTCTGGGGACTGTTGTGGGGTAGGGGGTGGGGGGAGGGATAGCATTAGGAGATATACCTAATGCTAAATCATGAGTTAATGGGTGCAGCACACCAGCATGGCACATGTATACATATGTGACTAACCTGCACATTGTGTACATGTACCCTAAAACTTAAAGTATAATAATAATAAAATAAAATAAATTTAAAGAGGTATAATATATGTTAAAATAAATTAATGATATTTTCTTTTATGTCTATCAAGAGCAGAAAATTGGAACAAAAAAGATCTTTTGAAGTTACACTGAGCATTCTCCCTCTTTGCCCCTCTGTCTGCACCACTCTTGTACAGGAATTAATGTTTATGAAGGAAATTAGATTCACTCTTTGCATAAACCAATATATTTTGCTGGTGGCTATGCAAGTCCAATTAACTCCTCTGACAACATGGTAAGATTAGGATATTGGACTATGTTTGTAGCCAATTAGAAATGTCATGGTTGAATACTCATTCTTGTAACATTATTTGGAGTTAAGAAATCCTAGTACTGAAAGATATTTATGGACCTCGTATATGTTTAGGAATAAATTAAGGGCTTTTTTTGTAAGAATTGTAAATATGTAAGGCACAATGTAGTAGAAAGTAGAAAGACATCTCCTTATTATCATTACCAATATTATTACACATTCTAAAAATTAACATTATCATGGGAGAGAATATGGTTAAATAGACAGAATATTTGGTTGGAAAATTAATAGACCCAAGTCCTAATTTTATTTCTGCTGCTTCATGACTCACAGTCTCTATAATTTTTAAAGAGGAAATAATCATTATAATATCATCAGGATCACATAAGGTAATAAACATGATGTGCCTTGGAAAGTATAAATAATAAGGTATGAATTATAAAATAGAATTGGAATCACACGTTTCTTCTGAAATTAATTTAAATTATAGTATAAGCAAATCATAATTTAAACATTAGAAATACACTCAGAAAGTATTTATGAAAAAAATTGAGAACCAAACCTTATTTGAATTGTGCTAAAGATAAATAAGTAGCCCACTCATAACCCTGGTATAAATATTTTATAAGTGAGAATGAAGTTTCCAATAAGACCATGGAACAGTTCAAAAGACCAAAAAGCATACTTAACTGAATGTATGGAAGAGTTATTAATTACCCGAAATTTGAAAACATTCATCAAACCACACATGGATCAAACTGAAAAAGGTAGTTTCAGGGGTTTTAAGGGGTTTTAAGCACAAGCGTCTGAATAATCATTGGCTGACTACTAGGCAATGGTAGTCAGCCCTGGGCAATATTAATCTAAGGAAACCTAAGGCAAAAGTTTCAAAAATAATAGCAACTATATTTGTGGATTTTCACACAGCTATAAAGAAATACCCAAGACTGGGTGATTTATAAAGGAAAGAGGTTTAATTGACTCACAGTTCCACATGGCTGGGGAGGCCTCAGGAAACTTACAATCATGGTGGAAGGGGAAAGAGTCACCTTCTTCACAAGGCAACAGGAAAGAGAAGTGTGAGTGCAGGAAAAGCTCCCATTTATGAAATCATCAGATCTCTCATGAGAACTCACTATCACAAGAATAGCATGGGGGAACCCACCCCCTTAATCCAATTACTTCCCTTCCTCAACATGTGGCAATTACCATTCAAGATGAGATTTGGGTGGGGACACAGAGCCAAACCATATCATCAAGGAGGGCAGATATCTCTGACACATTGATTTCATTTCCTTTGGATATATACTCAGTAGTGGAATTGCTGGATCATACAATAGTTCTATTTTCTATACTTTAGGAAACTTCCAGTCCAGGTGCGGTGGCTCACACCCATATTCCCAGCACTTTGGAAGGCCAAGACAGGAGGATTGCTTGAGGCCAGAGGTTCGAGACCAGCCTGGGTAACAAAGTGAGCTACGTCTCCAAAAAAAGTGAAAAAAAAAAAATAGTCAAGTGTGGTCCCAGCTACCTATAATCCCAGCCACTCAGGAGGCTGGGGCAGGAGGACTGTTTGAGCCCAGGAGTTCAGAAGCCAAGTGAGCTATGATCATGCCACTGCACTCCAGCCTGGGAGACACACAAAGACACTGTCTCTAAAAATAACAACAACAAAAAAAATTCCATACTTTTCACCATAATGGCTGTACTAATTTGCATTACCACAAACAGTGTGTAAGCGTTCACTTTTTTCCACATCTTTTCCAACACTTGTTATCTTGTCATGTTGATAACAGCCATTCTAACAGGACCGACATGATATCTCCTAGATAGTAATGAATTTGTTACTTAACTAGATTTAACTATTCCACAATGTATATATATCTCAAAGCATTATGTTGTATACAATAAATACATATAATTTTACCTGTTAATCAAGAAAATAATAATTTTTAAAATAATATTTTTACATAAATAAAAAATAATAACAAAAAAACTGAGAAGTAAAATTAGAGTTTGCAAAAAATACATAGAGAATTAAAGGAAAGTATTAAGATAATGACATCCAAGACAGACTATCACAGGAATAAAGTTTGTTTGTTTGTTTGTTTGTTTAAAAAAAGCTATATGGAAATTCTACAGTTTAAAAATACAGTAAGTGAACAACTCACTAGAGTATATGCATCCCAATAATAGAACTGAGCTGGAAGAAAAAATAACCCATGGACTTGAAGATAGAGCAGAGAGATTATTTAACCTAAAGAACAGACAAAAAGCAAAACAGAGTCTCAGGAACCTGTGGGACAATGTTAAATATATAACTCATTGTTATTCTAATGCTTGTTTTAGGAGTTACATTATATGTCTTTAACTTATCATATTTTACTGTGATACACTGAATAGTGCCCCACAAAGATGCTCATGTCGTAATCCTCAGAATTTATAAGTATGTTACCTTAAAGAGTAAAAGAGACTTTGGAGATGTGAGTATGTTAAAAAAGTGAGGCGTGGAGATGATCCTGGATTATCCAGATGAGCCCAGAGTAATCACAAGGGTCCTTATGACAGAGAGGCAGAGGCAAGGAGATGTGAAGTGAGGGCAAGCACGGGGGCAAGAATGAGAAGTGGGGGCAAGCATGAGAGAGAGGAAGAAAGAGAGAGAGAGAGAGAAAGAGAGTTGAAGACATTACACTGCTGAGCTTGAAAATAGAGGAAGAAGCCACAACAAAGAAAGACTCTATTAGCTGAAAGGGGCAAGGAAATTGATTCTTCCCTAAAGCCTCCAGGAGAAACACAGTGGTGCTAACACCTTGACTTTAGCCTAGTAAAATCATTTTGGAGCTCCAGGACTATAAAAAATAAAATTGTATTGTCCTAAATCACATAGCTGTCAGTAATTTATTATAGCAGAAAGAGGAAACAAATATATCATAGTCAAATAATATTGTGCCACTTCATATATAGCAGGTATTCTTAACTGGGGATAATTTTTGTCTGCTAGGGGACAAATGACAATATCTATAGACACTTTTTATTGGCACAAATGGTGGCAGTGGGAGTAGGCATGGTGCTGATGGTATTAGCTGTGTAGAGTGTAGAAGCCAAGATACTGCTAAACAATGCATAGTACAGCCCATAAAAATAAAATAGAACTACCCAGCCTAAAATGACAAGAGTGCTGAGATTGAGTATCTGCATACCTAGTTTAGAAACTTATAATAGCATACTTTCATTTTTTCACTCCAACATTGTATGCTACTGCTTGTCATACATTTTATTTTTACAAAAGTTATTAATGACAGAATACTTTGTCAGTATTTGTATTTAAACATTTGATGAACATTTTAACAGTGTTATTGAGCTTGAATTCACATACCATACAATTCACTCACTTAAAGTATTACATTCAATATATTTTAATATGCTCACAGTTTTGCAGTCATCATCACAATCTATATTAAAAGTGTTTCTCACCTATCCCAAATAACCCATATTAGCAGTTACTTGCCAATTGCTTCCCATGTCCCTCCTTCCTAAGATTTAGGCAACCATGAATCTACTTTCTGTTTTATAAATTATCTATTTTGGCCATTTTGTATAAATTGAATTATACAACATGTGGTTTTTCTAGCTTTTTTCACCTAACATTTCAAAGTCTATCCATATTGTTTCAGTACTTATTTTTTTATTGCCAAATAATAGTCCACCAAATGGGTAAATCATATTTATTCAATTCATCAGTTGGTAGACATTTGGGCTTTTTCTTCCTTTTGACTAATATGAATAACACTGCTATGAATTTTCATATACAAAGTTCTGCGTGGACATAAGTTTTCATTTTTTATTGGCATATAGATAGGAGTTTATTTACTGGGTCACATGGTAACTCTGTGTTTAACATTTTGAGAAACTGCCAAACTATTTTCTAAATTGGCTGCACCATTTTATACCCTCACCAACAAAGTCTGAGGGTTCAGTATCTCCATACCTTGCCCAACACTTGTTAATATTTGTCTTTGTGATGTTAGTTATGCTAATGGAAATAAAGTGGCAGCTAATTGTGGATTTAATTTTTATTTCCCAGGTGGCTACTCATGTTGGTATTTTTATAATATGATTATTGGCCATTGGTATATCTTCTTTGGAGAAATGTTTAGTTATACCCTTTGTCCATTTTTAGTTGAGTTATATGTCTTTTTATTATTGAATTATGAGCTTTTTATGTATTCTGAATAGAAGTCCATATGCTGATCTATCAGGTAAATATTTTCTCCCCTTACGTGGTTTGTGTTTTTATATTTTTGATGGTTTCCTTTCACGTTGAAAAGTTTTTAATTTTGATGAAGTACAAATTATATTTTGTCACTTTTGCTTTTGTTTCATATCTAAGAAACTATTGCCTTCCCCAAGGTCATAAAGATTTACTCTTGGGTTTTCTTTTTAGAATTGTTTAGTTTTAGCTATTTCATTTAATAATCTTATTTATTTTGGATTAAGTTTTCTGTGTGGTATGAAGAAGAGGTCCAGCTTCATTGTTTTGGACATACATACAGAGTTTTCTCAGCACCATTTGTTGAAGGCTATCTTTCCCGCAATAAAGTTCACAAATGGTTTCATGATCTCCTTTCACAGAGGGAGAATTCTAAGCAAATTTCTCTACCCCTCCTACATTTGAAGGTGGTGCTTTGAAAAAAGACAAGTATGTGGTGAATGAAAAGTTATTTTTATTTTTATTTTTTTTATTTTTTGAGACAGAGTCTCACTCTGTCACCCAGGCTGGAGTGCAGTGGTGCTATCTTGGTTCATTGCAACCTCCGCCTCCCAGGTTCAAGCAATTCTTCTGCCTCAGCCTCCCAAGTAGCTGGAATTACAGGCATGTGCCACCATGCCCAGCTAATTTTTTATTTTTAGTAGAAACAGGGTTTCACCATATTGGCCAGGCTGGTCTTGAACCCCTGAACTCATGATCCACCCGCCTCGGCCTGCCAAAGTGCTGGAATTACAGGCATGAGACACCATGCCTGGCTGAAAGGTTATTTTTCAAGTATTTTCTTTCTTCACTAACTTTCTTTAATTTAATTTTTCCTTTGGCAGTACTGTCTCTTTAAACTGCTGACCCTGATCAACTTGAGGGAAGGAAGAAGTGAAAATTCTCCTGTATCATTGACAAGAGCTAACCAATGATTTATTCAGGCAATGTCACGTTTATTTCTAACAGCTGCAAGTGCCAACAAACTCAATCCTGGCCTCTGAGGTGTTAACCTGATGCTGAAGTCCAAACACCTGCTCAGATTCCTTCACCTTGTATGTTGACTCAGTGCCATTTCCCTATCAGGTAGATTACATAAAGCATATGCATCAACTCCGAATCCACACTGTAGCAAGAATGCCATGTCTCCCAGGAAAATGTGCATCTTGTTCAATTCTCAGTAAAGTAGATGCAGCCTGGATAATGAAAACTGAATACATTCAAGTATTCCCATTTAGCCACTAGTCTCCTCCCTCTTCAAATTGCATAATTTCCCTTGTAATAAGTACGGTGACATTTCACTTACTTGTAATTCTGTGTCTTAGCCTGAATTCCTCCAGAAAGTAGACAGTAGACCTTGAGGCAAAGATCCAAGTGAGGGTGGTGTATTTTTGAAGGTGGGGGGAGGTAATCTCAGGCAACATGCAGAGAGAAATAGAAGGACAGGCAGTGAAGGATAGGAACAAAGAGAGGTGAGTTATCAAGCAAGTTGGCATTATGGGTGACTGGAGTATAATCACACCAGGAAAGTCTAGGACTTCTTAAGGAATATATACCTCAGAGTTATCCCATTCGAGTTGGAGAGGGAACTTGAGTACTTATGTAACAGTCCTGTCAGTCATTGGATGAGAGCCCTCCCTTCCTTAAGAGAGACAATTCTTTAACGCATCCGATCTGTCCAGTCCGCAGGCAAACCAGGTCCTTGCGGTTAGAGAAAGACTAAGACAGAGACAGGCAGTGTTTTAGTTATGGTTCTTCAAAGAAATAAATTCAACAGAACATATAAACATATATAAGAAGAAATGTATTGTAGGAATTGGCTCACAAATTATGGAGGCTGAGAAGTCTCACAAGCTGCCATCTGCAAGCTGGAGAAGGAAAAAAGCCACTGGTGTAATTTAGTGTGAGCCTGAAGGCCTTAGAATTGGGTTTTGGAAAGAGGTGATGCTGTAAGTCCTGTCCTGGTCTAAGTCTGAAAGCCTGAGAACAGGAGTATGTTTGTCCAAGGACAAAAGAACATGAATGTCTCCATTCCATTCACTCCATTAGTGAGTTCTCCCTTCCTCCACCTTTTAGTTCTATCTCATTCCTCAACAGATTGGATGATGCCCAACCACAATGAGGAGGGCCATCTGTTTTACTCAATTCACTAATTCAAATGCTGATCTCTTCCAAAAACAGCCTCACAGACACAACCAGGAATCATGTTTACCTGCAATCTAGGCATCTCTTAGCCCGATCAGGTTGACACAAAATTAACCATCGCTGGCAAGAATGGCATTGGAAGTTGGGCCAGTATACAGTGAAAATATAAGGGCTAAGGGCAGGTAGTCAGTGCACCATCGGTGTCTTCTCAGACCACTTATGTGTCAACTTTCCAGAACAGATCTAGACCAAAAAGTTAGCTAAAAATGGTATCCTCAAGCACTCAAAGCTCCATTTCTTGTGGAGAATGCCATGAACTCTCACTTAAATGTATTTGCTGACTCTTAGGAAAGGCTTCAAACCTTCACACAATTTGAATCGCATGGGACAGCTGGTTGCCTAATTCACTATAGCTTTCCTATTAGAAGCAGCAGATACCTCCTATTGGTAGACACATGCCCGACACTAATAAATAATGATAGAGTGGTAACAGATGACAGTAAAGGAGACTGAAAAATATAAAAACAAAACAGACACAAGAAAGCTGAGGAAACAGAGTTTTAAAATAAGTAACAAATAGCTTTCTTTATATTAAGTTTCAGTATAATAAATAATTACTATAATATTCATTAAGTCAACAGTTACTGAGCATTGTTAGTATGTCATTTGCATTGCTGTAGATGGAGGGGGAAGCATAATTAATATTACCACCAAAGTCATAGCCATTATGAGATTATACTCTTGTGGTGAAGGCAGATTTTTTAATGCATATTTAAATGGTTCTACTCAAAAAGATAGGAAGTAAAATTCATTCAAAAATCAAATAAAGCTATTTTTTAATATAAAGGGAATAATAATGGGCATGCTGAAAAACTTTGTTATTCAGAAGAATTAATTCCCCAGGATTGACCAAGAGCTGGACTTTCACTGTGACTGCCTTGAACTGCCTCCCCTTTCTCCTGCTTGCCTTCTGAGTGAAAGGCCTAAGTAATGTGTGGAATACAGGACTAAGCAGAGGAAAGGGAAACTTACAGAATTTGTCCTCAGAACAACTCAACCATGGAAAATTTTATATAATGGTGCTAAAAGGAAAATCAGAGCACACATATCAGAGAGCCCTGGAGTACAGAACTGGGTTTGAGCCTTTGCTCAGCTGCCTGGTAACTGTGTAATTTTGGATGAGTAACCTTCTCTGAGCCTCAGTTTCTTTGGGTGTATAATGAACTTTTTAATAATACTAGCTTTTCAGAATTGGGCATTGAGTTATCTAATGAAAAATCCCTAGCTCAGAAAAATCCCTAGCCCAGAAAAATCCCTAGCTCAGCAATTTCTGGCACACTGATAGGAGGAACTCAATAAATACTTCCTTCCTAGTCACGTGAATATTCTGTCACTCTGACAGTAAGTGGAAGCAAATTTGTCTTGATGCATCCACAGAGTTGAGCGCATGTGTACCCAGTGATGGCTAGCCTTGACAAATTTGCATGTACACTGTATTAATCAAACAGGTTTATGTGGTAGACACTAACAACATGGAGACCACCCCTCCACAAGTCTAGACTTGTTGCACATACTAACCAGACTCAGCTCACTGAATCAGACCTCCCAAAGCTGAGTGACATACTGGCTTCAAAATTAGAAGTAGTATTTTGCTGACAGAGTCTACCACAATTCATTTTGTCACATTCCAAGGGCTCTCCATAAGGGTGCCAAGAACTCTAAAGTCCCATAACTGGGAAACATGTATTTCACTTCTGGAAAGACTAACAACCAAGGGCAAACATGAGGAAGGAGACACAGCTAAACACGCCTGCACTCATGCTGGAGCAACTCCAGATGTTTAAGGAAAGCCAGTTGCTCACAGCACAGATCACACCTGCTTCACCAGTTGTAATCAGAGCCTGTTGAGTTTCAGAGAAATTAACTGGTAATAGACAAATAACCTAAGAAGGCTTAACAATTCCATACCAAACAGACAACAGAATGTCATGCAATAAAATGGCAAGTGAAATTGCAGGTTAATAACCTTGCACTTTACAATATACTGTACTTTACAATACAGTGAGGCATATAATATATAGTACCAGGCTGGAATAAAATGTACTATAAATAACATAAATGCATATATAATAACAGTTTATAGATAATTTCAGCACTAATTGTAGTCAAGTTGCCTTGCTTTAATATGATGTCATAATGATGTCATATGAGTAGCTTCCTGCCTGGTTCTTCCCTGAGCTGGCACCAAATAAAAATATTTTTCTCAGCTACAGTAGTTATTAATGAAAACCCCAACTTATGAATTTTTTTTGGATGAACATGCATGAACAAAAACAGATTGTCACAAGATGGGTAAGGCCTCTTAGGTTGCACACACTGCCAGTTCTGATGCAGAATTCTCCTCCCAAAGATGTTTCCAACTATTTCAAAGGAAGGAAACTTTTAAGCTGTCCGTATTCACCTGTCATCTATTTCATACTACCTGGTAGATGTGGCTCTGGTCAAAAATGCCACAGCAGCTGGGAGCTCAGCTCTCCCCATCTAAGGTGCTTCAACTTAGCGAGAGATATAATAACATACAAACTACTTATATAAGATACAAGACATTAGCTTTCAGTAACATTAAAAACACAGCTCCTGGAAGGTGAATGGCAGGAGCAACTGATTGGTTGGCAAATAATAGGGAAGGTCAGGGAAGTAGCCTTTCTTTGCCCTGGTCCTTAAAGGAAGAGACTCCTCCTGCCAGGAAGTTTGCATGTATGTCTCTTGGGATGTAAATTAAGGGACATCATCATTTCAAAGTACCATTCAATGAAGAAAGAAAACCTATTATGACTGATGAACAAACATGTTTCTGCTAAAAACAAATAAACATAAACATAAATAAACCCTGTACTGAGGAGAGAGGAAAGGTGTGTAAGTACAGTTGTCAGAGGGAAAAAGAATTGCAAGAGAAGATAATTTAACACTCACAGTGGACAGTGTCTAGAAGAATATCACTATCAAATGAAATAGTTGAGTCTCCAACAGAGTGAATGGGCTAGTTGTGAATGGATCAAAGAAAGTACGCAGGTGTCAGTGCATTTCTCGGTACAAATGAGTGAATGGGATGCAGGCTGAACTATGGAAAGAACCAGCAAAATGGATTAGGTTCTTAGGAGACCCAATACATAACAGTTGTCTGCTCTATCTTGGGTTCTAAACTAAAGAGTAAGGCCAATAGACTTCAAAATATAACCTTTACTACCATAAAGTCAAAACTAGGGGATACGGTTTAGTATAAAAACAAATACATCGAAAAAAATACATCTAAACAAAACAAAACAAAACAAGCAGGTCTGCCAAATGAATCCTAGAATGAGAAAGACTTATAAGTGCTCTCAGAGGCACTGGGACAGGACAGGCCACACTGGAGCTTAACTTAGAGGAAAGGACCACCCTTGAAATAACAGCAGAAAACATCATCTCCCTGCAGGTAGTTACCTCCTGAAAGAAAAATACACGCAGACCCAACATATTTTTTAACAAGTAGACCCTAGTCCCAGCCCATCCCTCATTCCCCCTCCACCCACCACCCCACCCCAAGTGATTTTCTTGCCATTTGACTGTAGACATTCTTTGAGGAGTAATGTACTACCTATTTCCTCATGCTGCCTTTTTCCAAGGTTCTCTTGTGATGGCCTAACGAGGTAATGAAGTTAACTATGTCAGGTTTCATATGTTTCTTTATGATTCCTAGTCCTATGTAATTATGTACCAAATTGTTACTCTGCTTCATTTTTATTTTCCCAAGTAAATACGTATTTATGAAAGAAGTTCTTTTGACTCAGTTAGTACAAAGAATAATGTCTAAAGATCATTTTCACCGAAGCAAGTACCTAATAACTTCTCAAATGCGCTGAAGAACACTTCCTTAAATAGTTCCTCAAACTGCAGTTGTGAGAAACAGCCATCAAACTCTGCCTAGGACCTTTTTCCAAGAGCTCTCCACCCAAGCAGAAGCAGCATTGGAGGTCTTGGGACTCTGGCATTCACACAAATCTCATCACAGTTTTCTTAGACAAGTGTCCATTGAAACAACCATACCCTTATTCCCTAGGTTTCAAGTACTCTTTCAAATAAAAGATCAACATCAAGTAATTAAACTCTAGCTCTCCTTTTCCAAGCTGACATACAGACATTAAATCTACACAGGGTTGGTGGACATGGGTTAAGCAGCTTCTATAGGCTTTGAAAGCTGCCCATTTTTCACTTGCAAGTTTTCACAGAGAGTTGTTGTTTGTTTGGTTTGCTGGTTTGCTTGTGCTCAAGAAGGTCAATATCTGGCTAATGTAATTAATTGGGGCACACTTGGTCCATGATGATAGCCTTAAGAATCAATAGATGTTTCAAGCATGACTGTTTTCATTAATAAGATATTTTATTAAATTAGGGTGGTAGATGATGGTGATGTCCTGGACCTTATCAATTATAAATGAACTATTGCTTGGAGAAAATTAGAATTTCCAATTCCCTGTTCCTTGCCAGAGATCATCCAGGCTGTACTTACAGAGCAGGGCTTTATGATTTAAGGCACTTCAGTGATCCAGGCTCTTATCTAATGCAATCAAAATTTCCTGGGCTCAGCCTGACTTATTGAGGACAGCTCTCCACAGGGACTGAACATTCAGGAACCCCTGGAGAAATTCCTTCTGGTTTGGTGGCTCTCCTTACATGGAGAGTCCTGGGAAAAAGTAGAGCAGGGCAAAGGTCATATGGAGCTGCCTCGAAGATGGGAGCTACCTGGATGTCCTGAACAGACACAGATTTTCATCATTTCAGATCAACTTTGAAATGTTGATTCAAAGTTGAATCAACATGATAAAATCTTCATCACAAGGTGGTTATGAGTATTGAATGAGACATAGTATGTCAATGTCTGGTGTGGAGTATATCCTCACTAGTTTTAGATATTATGTCATTACTGCTATTATTAAATACATTAGTGAATCACTTAATTGTAGTAATGACAATTGCTACACTTAATTATAGCAGTAATGACATAACAGCTACAGCTTGTGAGGACATACTCTGCATCAGACATTGAGCTACTATGTATCACTCAATACTCACAACCAACTTGTGATGAGGATTTTATCATGAACACCATTTTTAGGGGGATGAGGAAAATGAAGTTCCACACGTTAAAATTATTTGCCCAAAGCTACGATGCTAATGATCGGTGGTACTAGAATTAAAGTCAGGTTTATAACACTAAAACCCCTGGATTTACCCATCATGCTATCTCCAACCAGTACTTCTATCAACCAAATCAGGTTAATGGGGGATTGGGAACACTGATGATCTAAGTTCTTTGTTAGGCACAAGCAAAATGAGCCCTAATTTGTTGGAACGATTTGGGACAACAAACTTCACTTGTTCAAAACTTACCCACATGTTCACCATGACCCAAAGATTATTTTCAGTCATCATTGAAGGCATCTTCTAAATTCAATTATTTTGTGTACTGAGGAATGGAAGTAGGAAGTGAAGTCTATCTATAGGGAAAAAAAAACTATTCTGTGGACTATTTTCAGGTATTCTGTCCAGCCTGGGGAGATGAAGATAGAATGAAGAACAGAATAACAGGGGAGAAAGTCCAAATTTCATGTTCTTAAAGAAGATGTCAAAACAATGATGGGAGAACTTTTCTGCTTATTTCTTTTGTTTTCTTGGTGCAAGAGGGTAGGGGGCAGGAATTTTCTTTCAGAAAAAAGTTAAGATTTGTCATCGTTGACCAAAAGAATAAAGAAAGCATTACTGCATTAAGTAATTTAGTAGCCAGAAGAGTAGATGGAAATTATAAAAAGATAATAATAATAATTTCTGGGATTTTATAAGATTATAGAGGTCTTTAACATTTATTATCCTATGTGTTCCTCACAACAGTCATGTGGGAAAATAGAATGGAGATTATTAGCCCCTTATGAAAAATAATAAAAATATATTTTTTAAATTGAGACTAAAAAACTAATTAATTAGCAAGGTCATATGATTGGTAATTAGAAGAGCCAGCATCAATCCCTGGCCTTTGGTCTAATTGTCCCTTCAGTAGAAACTCTATACATGGTTAAGATAAGAGGAAAGATCTCAGAAAGCAAGCTGATGGAGAAAGCTATGAACACAGATAGTTATGTCTGGGTCTTTTCCTGATCTTCCTCAAACCTTGTGCTTTAACTTAAGAGAAATCCACATATGTCTGTGCATCTCTTGGTCCTAAAATCTATTTCTCAGACACATCCCATGGCTGAGGCTAGGGACACACCAGCTTATGGACAAAGCCATTCTTGCATTTTCATGTTTATTATCTTGGCAGGCATGGTACAGAGAGGTCAGTGCATGTTCCAGCCTACCTTGCTGGGAAAAAGCAGAATTGGGTAAAATTAAGATATAATTTTTCCTTGATATTCAACCAGTCAATAATCATGAAAAGATGTTTTAGAGTCTTCCTTTCCAGACGTTAATAGAGCAGTGTTTCCAAGAGGCAGGTGCTAGTTTTACTATTTAGTGCACTAGGGCCAAATGTGTGTTTTCTTTATTTAGATTTGGTTAATTTTAGATTTTTATTTCTTATTCAATTTCAATAAATAAATCAATTATCAGAACAGCCTGGCCCATAAAATTCCATTTTTCTGTTTCTATCATTACCAGTTCAGAATAAATGTATTAGGCAGATGATAGCGCACTATCATCGAGAATCTTTGGCCATGTAGATCTCAGAAGAATAATCCTATGTCTTGTCTCTAGAAATTCAACATTAGGGTTGTAGAAGAGAAAAAATATAGTGAAAGTTTGGTTTTTGATGGGACTGAAAGCTGAAAAAAATGTAGAGGTAGACAGACCATAAGTATATGTGAGTTTATTTGTCCTTCCAACTAGGATGTGTTGTAGAAGACACCAAAGACATATTCTATGTTTCCTTCCCACAGCACAAAGTCTAGTTGAAGAGACAAGGCTTTGATGTATACTAAACATGCAGGAACAAAAAGGTGCTTCCTCATAAGCAGGGCACTTAGTCAGCTTTAGATATAAACAGGCCAGTCATTTGTCAGTTACAACTGTAACATGGGGCTTAGGAGTATGATAAATTCCAGAGCCAGATACACCTAGGAAACAGTCTGGACACTGTGCTGCCTTGGATAAGATAGGAATTCTCACCAAAACTTTACATTATTATATATAAAATGAGGACAATACTATTAGCAACCACATAAGATTTCCATGAAGATTAAATGGGATAATGCAGGAAAAGAACAGAACAGTGCCTGACATTTTATGAATTCTCATAAATGTCAGCTATCAGTATGAGCAGTAACAATAGTAGCACTGGCAGTAGTAGTAATAAGCAAAATCTGTTAGAAAAAAAGGTAAAAAATTGTTATTGATATGATTTGGCTCTGTGTTCTCACCCAAATCTCATGGGGGATTTTAATCCCCACATGTCAGGGGAGGGAACTGGTGGGAGGAGACTGGATCACAGACGTGAATTTTTTTCATGCTGTTCTCACGATAGTGAGTTCTCATGAGATCTGATGGTTTAAAAGTGTGGGGCTTCTCCCCTCACTCTCTTTCTCCTGCTGTCATGTAAGACATGCCTTGCTTCCCCTTTGCCTTCTGCTGTAATTTAAGTTTCCAGGGGCCTCCCCAGCCATGCAGAATTGAGTCAATTAAACCTCTTTTCTTTATAATTAACCCAGTCTCAGGTAGTTCTTTACAGCAGTGTGAAAATGGACTAATACAAGTATAGTTAGAGAAGGCTCAAGAATGTGTGTGGGAGAGAGCATCTCAAGGAGTGCCAGGTCTAAGAGGCTTACTTGAAATTGTACTGGCAATCCAACAGGCTATTGAGAAGGAAGAGTGATGCCCCAGGGGGCTAATACTAAGCAGAGCAGATAGAGGAAGTGGCTTGAAGCAGATAGAGGAATAGGCACTGGAGTATAGAATAAATTCAGGGCTGATGTGCAGGGACTGAGGCCCCCCTATTATCTAGGTCTGTTGCCACTATATCCTGCAGAGGGTGCAGTATATATCACATGACCACATTGTTACCAATCTCTCCCAACCCAGATCCAGCTTACTGGACCAGGGATAGCACCTGAGTAGGGGTTGCCTATCTACGGACTGGCCAGTTTATGTCTCAAGTCCAGGACCCTTCTACCAGGAGTGAAATTTTAATTCCAAATGGAAGACTTGAGAGATTCATGAAAGTAGAGATTATCAGCCCATATATACAGCACTGTTATAAAAAAATAAGTTTCAGAGGCCTCAGATTAGGACAAAATTACAGAACAGATGTGCAGAGAAACCCAGAGAGATCATGAGAAAGAGAGTTGAGGCTGAGAGAACAGTGACACCTGGGAGCTGTCATTCTGGAGGTTCAGGTCCTGATGCTGCAGAGGTGTGGCCCTCAGCTCTTCCTAGACTCTCACGAAGCCTCTCTGTAGTTTTTCCATGGCTCTCCTCTCTCATCTGCACTTGCTTTCCTTAGTTGCCAAGTAGAATGGAAACCCTATGCCAATTCTAAAAGCAAAGATTTGAAGGAGCCAAAAGAGCAAGTTTTCTTCTCTCATCTTTTTTCAGAAAAAAAGAGCAAGCTTTCTTTTTCTAAAGTTTCACTTCACACTAGCTGATGCTTTGGGATTATCCAAGAAAACCATAAGCAAAAGCATCCGCAACAACCTGGGAACACTACAGATAAGCCACCTTGCATCTAATCTGACTAATAGATGACATAGTTTCTCTCCATAAAATGCACCTCTTTCAGTTTGGCTGATGGGATGGCTAAAAAAGAAAAAAAAAGCATCTCTCTGATGCAGTGCACACCCTGTTAAGGGAAAATAAACCAGCATTCTGCAATTTCAGTGACCAGTATTTGAAATAAGAAATAAGTCTTTCATTTACTGGTTGTCTGACCTTGGATAAGCTTTATCACCTCTGTAAGGCTCACATTCTGCATCTGTAAATTGGAGGTAATAATATTTACCTTGAATGAGTTCTGCACAAATTAAATGTGATAGTGCATTAAACTTTCAGCATGTGAACACACAGTAGCAGGCCTGCCGCAAGCCTATACTGCCTTAATGGGATAAGAAAAATGTACTTTTTCTTCTGGGAGAACAACTGGCAAGTAGGGTGTGGAATCTGAAGAGCAGTACATAGCAAGAGTTCTTAATCATCATTAAGTGTTAATTATTAAATTGTTGTTGTAGATAACTTATGTCTAAATTCATTTATTTTCAGAAACGCAGCATAGCTCCACATAACAAACTGTAGTTTATATAATTTCTCCTTGGAGATGGTTTATAACTAGTTCGGTAGTTGGTGTCAAATACAGTGTCATCAGCTTTCAGCAGGCTGAAAATCAATGCAGCCGTGAGTGCTGTCAATAGTACCGATTACATCTCATTGGTCATGATGGAAAGTGGTTTGAATTTACTTAATATGGATTATTTTTTAACTTGATGCCTGCTTATATGTCACTCTAAACACTGAATCAGAGCAGGTTGACATGAAAATAAAACTTATCTCTGTCTTCCAATGGCTCCAGTAGCCACCTATGACAGTTGATCTATCTATATTACAGACTGCATAATTCAAAGTGACAATAAATGGCCGGGCACCGTGGCTCACGCCTATAATCCCGACACTTTGGGAGGCCAAGGCAGACAGATTACCTGAGGTCAGGAGTTTGAGACCAGCCTGGCCAACGTGGTGAAACCCTGTCTGTACTGAAAAATACAAAAATTAGCTGGGCGTGGTGGCACATGCCTATAATTGCAGCTACTTGGGAGGCTGAGGCAGGAGAATTGCTTGAACCCCAGAGGCAGAAGTTGCAGTGAGTCAAGATTGCACCATTGCACTTCAGCCTGGGCAACAAAAGTGAAACTCTGTCTCAAAACAACAATGACAACAAAGTGACAATAAAGAAAAAAGAAGCTAGCATAATTTCACACACATGGAAGGTAAGGATTTCTGACAGATTTATTTATTATATAACCTGCTGAAAACTCTGTGTGGAAATGTTTCAGTCACTGCTCTTTGCAGACAGGCAAATTCTTTCATCCTCAGGCCCTTTGGATAAATTTTCTCCGGGAGCTCATGGACTCTAAATCTGTCAAATAGGGACCTATTAAATCTGACTCAGTGCTATAAATGGTAGAAGCCTGAAGCCTTGAGTTGTAGCAGCTCTGAAGATGACACACACCTCCCCATATGGCATTTTATGGTAGAGAAGAGCAAAGCTATTAGAACTGCCATCTTCCAAATTAGAAACCAAAGGAAGCATTTGCAATTCTTGCCCCTCTTGGACACCAACCCCAAGTACGGTGGCCACTGCCCAGCCAGACTGTGCTGTATTTTCACTTTTCAATGATCAGGGGTAAATGAATGAAAGAATTCAGAATCATGTGATTATCTCATCTCCAGAGTAAAGGGATGGTGAGTGTCTGGAGACAACACTAAGAACTGGTTGAAGAATACCACCCAAAGCCCGGGAAGAGGTCATATGTTTGTTCTCACATGTGGCAGCTCCCAGGTATGAGTGTTGAAGCCTTCTGAAAGCATCATATTTGGGAACTCTTTGACCTAACATAATGCCTGTGTGATTAACTCATTCAAATTCTAAGAATGACAAAGCTTAAGCAAACCGAGTTCTCTACAATTGGTACTCCATCTGTCTGCTTCCAGAAAGCAGTGTTTAGGCACCAGAACCTAATCAAGAAAAAGAGGAACAGGGCTTCTAGATGGGGAAGTGGGACTGTGCCTCACAACGGGCCTGCCACAGGATAGGCTTCAGTAAATGGACCTTCCTCTCTTGCTTATACAGGGCACTCCATGCTTCAGACTGAGGGTTTTTTCCTTACCATGTGGGAAGGAAGAATATTAACTCTATCCAAAGGATAGGTGGACCTGAAGTTGCTCAGGGTCTGTTGGAGGCTGGTTTTCCAGAAGCAAATAAGACACAGTTTGACATGCTGGATATCTATTAAAAACCAACGCCTGTGGGAGAGTGTTGGAGGAGAGGCAGAAATCTAACCATGAGACAGGTTTACAAGGTCTTGGCCAACTCCACTGGAAGTTTGAGAGCACATATGGCCTATCTGAGTTGTCCCACATTGGGCCAAAAGGGCTGGGCTTTTATAGCCCTGCTTTAATTGGTCACTGAATATGGGCCACCCCAGGAAGGCATGAATACCTTTGGGGAATGTAGGTCTCTGTGTGAAGCAATCCCAGAAGTGAAAGAGTTGAAAGCTTTTTGCTGGCTGCTGGGGCAGTGAAACTTCCCTTGAAAGGGTCCTGTTCTTTTCCCAGTAGGATTTAGCAAGGTAGACCTTCCTTGGTGGGGCTTTTAATCTTTAGAGCTTAGCCACTCTGACTCAGTACCTAGTTCTAAACTTTCTGGGCCCTTCTTTCTGCTCCTGGAGGTGAGTGCCTCTATGTAAGCTCCCAACTGTGCCTTCCCTTTACTCTTTTCTTTCTGTTGCATATTAGTCTCCTGGTACTTTTTTCTTTTCTTCTTCTTTTTTTTTTTTTTTTTTTTTTTTTTTGAGACGGGGTATCTCTCTGTCACCCAGGCTGGAATGCAGCGGTATAATCATTGTTGTCTGCAACCTTAAACTCCTTAGCTCAAGTGATCCTCCTGCCTTAGCCTCCTGAGTAGCTGATACTACAGTCATGAGCCACCCATGCCTGGCTAATTCTTTTTATTTTTGCAGAGTTGGGGGTCACACTATATTGATCAGGTTGATCTCAAACTGTTGGCCTCCAGTGATCCTTCCACCTCGGCCTCCTAAAGTGGTGAAATTATAGGTGTGAGCCATCATGCCTGGCCTCCTGGCACTTTTCTGTAACAGCTTCTCCTTCAAATCTTGGCATACATACTACTGGAGGTTCAGGGCTACCAACTGGACACTTTTAATTTTAGTGTTCTCTGATCACATTGCTCTCAGTGAGACTTGTTCTCTCCTACTTCCAGTCATAGATTGCAGAGTAGAGTTAGCCCTGACCATTGTTAGTGACACTGCTACCAAAATGCCTGGGGTTCCCTCTTGGTCCTGCTGCTTGCTGCCCAGGAAGTCAATCACTGAGACAATGAGTATTTCCAGGGAAGAAGGCTTTATTCGAATGTTGCATTCAAGGAGATAAAAGATCTGTCTCAAATTCATCTCCCTAACTGGGCAAAATTGGGGTGTTTAGGCAGCAGGGAACGTGGGAAAACAGGAATTAGGGAGGAGTAAGGAAGTAATCACGATGAATGAGGAGTCTGGCATCTCATTATCTGGATGCAGTGATCTAGTGAGTTTCAGTTCCTTGCCTGAGAGTGAGTTTCCTGAGAAAGGAACTCAGATAAGACAAATGCAAGTTTCAACTTTTAAGACCAGGGAAAGTCAATTTCTATGTTTATTTTAAAAATTTGTAAATATAAATTCTATGAGACAATTGGGCCAGTTTCAGCATGGGTGCCTTCCCTAGTCCTGATGGCTTTGGTAATCAGTGTATTCTCTAGGTATACCCATGAAGCATGACATCTGTTGGGTACTGTGGCCTTATATAGTGCAGCATGTCCATTTCCCTGAGCCATTCAGTCCCTTCCTCCACTGTCTGCCATGGCAACTCTAGCATTTCAACTTTACTCATTGGGTCATGGCTGCTCCCATGCTTCTAAGAATCATCCTAAATGGGCTTTTGCACCATTTCTCAGGGTCCTCACCAGGTTGTTGTATCTATATCTTGGTAGAATACTCCCTAACCAATTATCTCTCCTATATCCATACCCACACACCCTTAATTTGGTAATTTCCAGGTAAAGCTACAATCAGAAACTGGTAAGAGAGCTCTGCTGTCTTATAGAAAAAAAGAAAATCCACCTATTTAAAGGCACTGAAAAGTCATGGCATCAAAATCAAATTTGCAGTCAGAAAAGGAGAATTCCCCTAATGGAGACGCTCCTCCAAGTAGAGGGGCTTCTCAATAAACCAAACAATACCAAGGCGTCATTAGATTCTCCACTAACTAAAGGCAGATGATTCTGATATGGGAGGGGAGCAGGGAAGTGTTGGGTAGAGAAGTGTGGGGTGTCTGGCAAGGGCTGTACCATCAGGCCTATGCCCACGGACCTAAGTGAGAATAGGCATTCCTGTTTTTGCGCCCAAATGTTGCATTTTTCCAAGACCACTCTGGCTGGCACATCCCCTATCCTATGCCCATATAAACCCAAGACCTTAGTGGGCACACACACAAGCAGCTGAACATCGAAAGGAGCAGAGGACCAGACAGCAGCAGACACCGGCAGACCAGTGATGGTGGAACGACATGCAAAGAATGAGAGGAAAGGAAGGATATCTGGATGCCAAGGGAAATTTGGCTGGGGTGGTCAGAGAAGAGTCCAGTTGCTGGGCAGCCTAACTCTAGGGGAAGATCACCTTCCCACTCCATCCCCCTCTTCTGTTCCCCATCCATCTCACTGAGAGCCACCTCCACCACTCAATAAAACTTTGAATTCATCCTTCCAGCCCACATGTGATCCAATTTTTCTGGTACACTGGGCAAGAACTCAGGCTATCACACTGGCCCCCTGCCCTTGCAATAAGGCAGAGGATCTATTGAGCTGATTAACACAAGCCGTCTGTAGACAGAAAAGCTGAAAGAGCACACTGTAACACATGCCCACTTGGGCTTTGGGAGTCATAGACACCCACCCCTCAATGCTGCCATGGGAGCGGAGACCAAAAGCACTCCCACGGTCTCTGCACCTGCCCATTTGCATGCTTCCCCTAGGGTTTTGAGCTGTGGGGGTAAGAGAAGGAGTGAGCCACACCCCTGTCACATGTCCTTTGAGGGGGATAAGGGAACTCTTCTGTTTCAATTCTAGGGTTGATGGTTGCAAACAGCTCACTCAGGCTTTTAATGATGGAGGAGGCTTGGGTTTCAGAGCCTCAGCAAAGAAGGCAAAAGTTTTATGAATAAATGAATCACCACATCACACAGTAAGCCACAGGTTTTCATCAACATTAATTTTGCTGAATATTAAAAAGATTTAAATTGCTGCAAATACAAACATGGCAAATAAAAGAGCAAAAATGCAACTATTGGGATTATAATATATGTATAAGAATGAGTAATCAAATGTACACTCCAAGTGGAAGACTATATAAATACTAACTACTCCACCGTTTACTACCAATAATAATGTTTCATCAGGACAAGGCTATTCCTTAAGTAATTTATATTCTCTGCCTTTATTAAGTTATTAATCTCACTTATATGGTTAATGGGGAAACCCTAGGTCCAAATTAGGGACCAGAGGAAATGAATCAGAATTAAAGGCAAAGGAGCATTTTATAATCTTGCATTTGTAACGTTGCTTTGCTTAATGAACTATCCCCAACTCCTTGCCTTGACCTTGAATCCAGAAGAATCTACCCTAGAGACATTTATCAGAGCTTTCCAGTTAGACCACACACACATTGCCAGGACTAAGAAATAACTCTGGTCCAACTCAGTCTCTGCTAAAGCATTCATATTTCAATGAGTCCAATTAAACTAAGTTTTATTCTGTATGTCAAGGAAAGAGGAAAGAGAGGAAGGGTGTCTAGTGATCCCCTGTGTAAGGTTGTCCATGTTAAAATTGTTATACTCTTTGGGAGACAAGGAGTAGAGTACAATGGTTAACAGTGTGGACTCCAGAGTTACACAGACCAGGCTAAATTCCAGCTCAGCCTGTAACTGAGTAAATTTTGGGTACATTATTTAACATCTTTGAACCTGAGGTCTCTTATCTACAAAGAGGGTATAATAGTAGTATCTATTGTTAGGCTTATGAAGAAGACCATTTCACGGGGGAGGGGAAGGGAGTGGAGGGGAGGGGAGGGGAGGGAAGGGGGAGGGAAGGGGGAGGGAAGGGGGAGGGAAGGGGAGGGGAGGGAAGGGGAAGTGAGGGGAGGGGAGGGGAGAGATAAACCAAATAAAACTTTCGGAAGTCAACTCTTTACACAAATTATCTGCAATAGGACAGACTGAAGAATTCTTTCCAAGCACCTTCCCACCACAGTCTGTTCTTATTCTCCAAGTTTCACTGAATAATTCATGAGCAAAAGGATATGAGCATGGAAAGAGCAGCAGCCTTCTAGGAGCACCATTCCAGAGGCCATCCCAACATCAAGCATACTTACTAATGGTGTTTGTGGGGAATGAAAAAGATGCTGAGTCTTCTCATGGCCATGTGGCCCAGGGAAGAACACCATCAGATGAATGGCCTTATTCTTCTTGCTCTGCAATTGCAGATGCCATTACAAAGCTAGGTTAAAGCAAAAGACTCTACAGCAGCTTAAATATCTGTTGTCAGCCACTCTGCCTATACACATCCTCAGACCATTAGGGGAGTCACTTGGGTTCCAGCCCTGGTCTGCTAAGATACCTTCTCATTGTCAATTGGCATCTGCCTTGAGAGGCAGCTTCTCTCCCTGTTTTGCATCCAGTCTATAGTGGAATGTGTTGACCACACATTGTCCCCAGTGAGATTTTCTACCTCTAAAACCACTATTCCCATAAGCCTGAAAGAGTCTGGTTATATGAGTTGGCTTTGTCCCCACCCAAATCTCATCTTGAATTGTTTTTTCTGTCATCCCCATGTGTCATGAGAGAGACCTGGGGCGAAGTAATGGAATCGTGGGGGTGGGTTTTTCCCATGCTGTTCTTATGATAATGAAGAAGTCTCATGAGATCTGATGG